>NW_011332701.1:1764110-2448509 GCF_000001405.40 Homo sapiens
TGGTGGATGATGAGAGAGTGAGAGAAAGCAAGAAGGCCAAATTCAAGCTCACTCCCATGATAAAGTTAATCCATTTGCGGGGGGCGGAGCCCTCAGGGCCTAATTCCCTCTTAAAGTTCCCACCTGTTAACACTGTTGCACTGGGGATTCCGTTTACAACACATGCTTCTTGGGGGTGCTATAGTTTGGATGTTTCACCTCTTCAAACCTCACATTGAAATTTGATCCTCAGTGTTGAAGCTGGGGTCTCACGGGAGGTGTTTGGGTTGTGAGGATGGATCCCTCATGAATAGATTAATGCTGTCCCTGGTGGGGGTGGGGAAGAAGTGAGTGAATTCTCACTCTACTTTGTTGCTGCAAAAGCTGGATGTTCAAAAGAATGGGCATCTCCCTTCTCTCTTGCTTCCTCTCTTGTTATGTGATCTCTGCAATCTCTGCACACAGCAGCTCCCCTTCACCTTACACCATGAGTGGAAGCTCCCTGAGGCCCTTACCAGAAGCAGATGCTGGCACCATGCTTCTTGTAACAGCCTGCAGAACCATGAGCCGAATAATAAACCTCTTTTCTTTAGAAATTCCCCAGCCTCAGATATTCATTACAGCAACACAAATAGACTAAGACAGAGGGACACATTCGAACCATAGCAAATCTCTCTGCAGTCCAGATCTGTTACTTACTAGCACTGCTCTAGAACTTTCCTTCCGTTTGTTCCTTGTGTCTATGTTTCTACAACTATGTCATATAACTATATGTATAGTTACAGCCTGCCATTTAGCTATAACGTACTCTCCCACTGTGTCACTTGGCTCACCTCCTGTGCCAGTTAACAAGCTAATGTCAGGGCAAAATCCACTCTTCTATTCTCTGCTCTTTGTGGCTGGTATGCCCTCATTCATTCCTGATAGCTTCTCCACTCAAGCCTGCATCACCCTGAGTAACTTCAACATCCCCGTGACAACTCCCCCACCAGTGACAGCCTCTTGACTCCTCCTCTGTATGTCCCAGTCCACTCCATCTCAGCTGCCCCCTCCCATAGGCATACCTAGGATTTTGTCTTCACCAGAAGCTGTTCTCCTCCAAAATAGCAAATCCACAAACAGCCCATGCCCTGTCCATGGCTTCCAGCTTGCTCACTCAGCAATGTTCACCCTTTGACTATCATTTCTTCCCTTAGCTGATATTCTTATATTTGTCCTTGCCTCCTCCAATCTACTTTATGCATCAAAAACAGAGAATGCTTTTCACATTGCGTCAGGTCACTCTGTGCATGTCAATTATCAATATAATGTATATAGAAGGGGCACAGACTGATGGTTGCCAGGGAATCATAATAATGGCTGTTATGGAAGGGTGTGGTGAGTGTGGCTTGCAGTGATGTAACAGTATCTTGATTGTGGTGGTTACATAAATCTGCAAATGTGGCAGAATTGCATAGAACTATATACACACAAGTAAGTACTATGAAACTGCTGAAATCTCAATAAGCTCTATGGATTGTATCAATGTTAATGTCTCAGTTTTGATATTGTACTATAGTTATACAAGATGTTATGGTGGGGGAAACTGGATGAAGGGTACAGAGGACCTTCCTGCACATTTTTTTTGCAACTTCTAGTGAATCTATAATCGTTTTCCAAAAAGGTTTAAAAAAAAAGGAAATAAAAATTTCTTCCTGACCTTCTGCTAGGTGGTGAGGATGCAGCTATGAGCGCAACAGGCTGTATCTCTAGACTCATATGACTGAAACAGATAGGGAGGATAAGTTGTGGTTCTCATCACTCTTGGGACAAGCCAGGATCCTGAATAAGGTCTATTAGTTCCCCTAATGGGCCCTGCCAATCCTGGCAGCCTCACCTCCCACTGTTCTTCAGTAACCACCTTGGCTTTTACAAGTTTCCTAGCGTGTAGGAGCTTCCTCCCCGACATGCCTCCCAACTCTCACCTGGGAGCAGCCTCCCCTGTGCTCCTAACCTGGTCAGGTCCCTGTACAGGCTCTGCCAGCTCCTTGAACCTCTTCTCCAGAGGTGCAATAGATCTAATCTCCCCTATTAAACTATAAGAATCGATGTTTTCGTTGCTCATGATTAAATCCTCAGCAATGTACACGGTGGCCAGAACATAGGAGTCACTCATGAATTTTTTGAATGAGTGAATGACTGAAAGGGCTTTAAGCAGAGGATAATGCAATCTGATTTGCTTTTTAAAAAATAAACTTTTGTGGGGGCTGGGCACAGTAGCTCACGCCTGTAATCCCAGCACTTTGGGAGGCCAAGGTGGGCAAATCACTTGAGGTCAGGAATTCGAGACAAGCATGACCAATGAGGTGAAGCCCCCTCTCTACTAAAAATTTAAAAATTAGTCACTTTGGGAGGCCGAGGCGGGCGGATCACGAGGTCAGGAGATCGAGATCATCCTGGCTAACACGGTTAAACCCCGTCTCTACTAAAAATACAAAAATCATTAGCCGGGCGTGGTGGCAGGCACGTGTAGCCCCAGCTACTGGGGAGGCTGAGGCAGGAGAATGGCGTGAACCCAGGAGGCGGAGCTTGGAGTGAGCCGAGATCACGCCACTGCACTCCAGACTGGGCGACAGAGTCAGACTCTGTCTCAAAAAAAAAAAAAAAAAAAATTTAAAATTAGCCAGGTGTGATGGCACACACCTGTAAACCCAGCGGGGAGGGAACTGAGGCAGGAGAATCTCTTGAACCTGGGAGGCGGAGGTTGCAGTGAGCTGAGTTCGCGCCACTGCGCTCCAGCCTGGGCGGCAGAGTGAAACTCCGTCTCAAAAATAAAATAAAATAAAATAAAATAAGCTTTTGTGTTTTAGGGTAGCTATAGAATTACAGAATAATTACTGAAGTAGCATAGAGCTCCCAAATGTTCCATACCCATTTTCCCCTATTATTATTAACATCTTACCTTAATCTGGTAGATTTGTCACAATCAATGAAACAATACTGACACATTATTATTCACTGGAGTCCATACTTTGTCCAGAATTCCTGTTTTTCTCCCTAATGTTCTTTTTGGGATCCCATCCAGAACACACGTCCACAGTATAATTAGTTGTCGCGTCTCCTACAGCTCCTCGTGGTGTGTCAGCTTCTCAGGCATTCCTTATCTAAAGTCTTATCTATGCTTCACCTTCTTAAGAGCAGCTACACAGATTGAAGTTCTTCTGCTCGGGTTTGTCTCTTCTTCACTGTGTCTTTACTTATTTACTGGACTGTTTATTTATATAAATTAATCTATCCTTCATTCACCTACTGAAGGACATTTTGGACATATATTTATTTATATAAATATGGTCTCATGGATATTTATGTTTTGGGTTATAGCCTCCTTTTTTTGGTGTTCAAATTGTTCTAGCTTTGGACTTTGGGGGCTCTTTCAGTTGGCCTATGTGTCCCTTTAACATAACCCTATCTTTATGGGAATTTATTTTGTGAGCACTTCGTTATTTTCTGGCACTAAAAGATGCTCCCGGCTTATCCTGTATATTTCCAACCTGAGTCCTAGGTTCAGCCTTTCTCAAAAAAGCCCTGGTTCCTTCCACTGAAAATGGTATTAGAAACCAAGCTCTGAGCAGTAGGTATGCTCGTTGCTACTGGGGAGTCATTGCTTCATTGCTTGTAGGCCTGCTCAGTTGGCAGAAGAGCAAAATATATTAGGTTTGTGCAAAAGTAATTGCGGTTTTGCTGTTACTTTTAATGTAACTGTCTGCATCTATAATTCTATATGTAACCATTTATAGATATACCTCTGCATATATATAATGCTGTGTGTAACCATCTGCATCTATATTGAGAAGCATGAGTTCCTACTGAATGCTTCACCTCTAATCCATTACCACATAGATCCTTCCAGACTCCTCTCTTTATCTGGAATCTCCCACGCCTGCAGTGAGGAGCCTAGCTTCCATTATTTGCTTACTTTAGTTAATTCTTTAATCCCAGTTATACGTGTACGGTGGTTTCAGAATTGTTAGCTCATATCCCTAGGGGGCGCAACTTTATCAGCTAGAATAGAGTGTGTATGTAGAGTTCCTGTGCCTTTAGTCATTCATTTCCAAAGATACCTAAGCCAGCACTTTATTCCTCATCTCCTTCAACAACATTGTTCCATACATTTGTGGTACATTTAGATCCTTTTGTCGCATTCTGCCTCTCATTCTGGGTTCCCCAACATCCTAATTATTTTTATTTTTTTATTTTTTTTTAGACAGATTCTTGCTCTGTTATTCAGGCTGGAGTGCAGTGGTATGATCTCGGCTCACTGCAACCTCTGTTTCCTGGGTTCAAGCCATTCTCCCTGCCTCAGCTTCCCGAGTAGCTGGGATTACAGGCGCCCGCCGCCATGCCCAGCTAATTTTTGTATTTTTTAGTAGAGACAGGCTTTCGCCATGCTAACTAGGCTGGTCTTGAACTCCTGAACTCAAATGATCCTCTCATCTCAGCCTCCCAAAGTGCTGGGATTACAGATGTGAGCCACCGCACTCGGCTCCTAATTTTTTTTAAATTTACCTGATTAGGGTTTGCTCTCTGCACTGTAAAGTTGATAGAAATCCCCCATAGGGTTTTGCCAAATCCTTGTATATGCCATTATAGTATCACTCATACAAAAAAAAAAATCCCTGTGCTTCACCTATTCAATCATCCCCCCAACTTCTAACCTCTTGGCAAACACTGATCTGTTTATTGTCTCTGTCGCTTGCTTTTTCCAGAATGTCATATAGTTGGACTCATACAGTATATTGCTTTTTCAGACTAGTTTATTTCATTTAGCAATATGCATTTAAGATTCATCCATAACTAGAGTCAGGCGCGGTGGCTCATGCCTGTAATCCCAGCACTTTGGGAGGCTGAGGCAGGTGGATCAGCTGAGGTCAGGAGTTCGAGACCAGCCTGGCCAACATGGAGAAACCCCATCTCTACTAAAAATACAAAATTAGCCAGGCCTGGTAGTGAATGCCTGTAATCCCAGCTACTCAGGAGGCTGAGGCAGGAGAATCGCTTGAACCCGGGAGGCGGAGGTTGCAGTGAGCCGAGATTGCGCCATTGCACTCTAGCCTGGGCAACAAGAGCGAAACTCTGTCTCAAAAAAAAAAAAAAAGATTCATCCATAACTTTGTCGGGCTTGATAGCTCAGTTCTAGTTGCTGAATAATATTCTATTGTGTGAATGTACCATAGTTTGTTCATCCATTCACCTATTGAAGGATATATTGGTTGCTTCTAATTTTGGACCATTATGAATAGAGCTGCTATAAACATTGGCATGCTGGTTTATGTAGGGACATACGCTTCCAAATCAGTTCAGTTTCAAATCACCTGAGTGTGATTGTTGACTCTGGTAGTAAGACTATGTTTAGGCTGGGCACAGTGGCTCATGTCTGTAATCCCAGCATTTTGGGAGGCCGAGGAGTGTGGATTGCTTGAGCCCAGGAGTTCAAGACCAGCCTGGGCAACATGATGAAACCCTGTGTTTCCAAAATATACAAAGATTAGCCAGGCCTCATGGCATGCACCGTGTAGTCCCAGATACTAAGGAGGCTGAGGATGGAGGATCTCTTGAGCCTGGGAGGCAGAGGTTGCAGTGAGGTAAGATCACACCACGCACTCTAGCCGGGGCAACAGAGTGAGACCCCTGTCTCAAAAAAAAAGAAAAAGACTAGGTTTAGTTTTGTAAGAAAGCGCAAATTCTCTTCCAAAGTGGCTGTACCATTTTTGCATTCCCACCAATAAATGAACATTCCTGTTGCTCCACATCCCCTCCAGCAGTTGGTATTGTTGGTTTTTGGATGTCCGCCATTCTAGTAGATGTGTGGGGGTATGTCATTATTGTGGTGATTTGCAATTCTCTAGTAACAAATTATGTTTAACTACAGATTAAGTATTCTAAAATCATCATTTTGGGCCAATGCCCATTATTTAACTGGCTTAACAGTAATAATAATATTGATTCAGAAATTTTATTTAGTCAGTTATTTAAGAGAACATTTTGCAGCTAGTTTTGCTTGAGGTGTTCATCAGGTCATGACATGGTTTAAAGCTATTTCATCATTGCACTGATGAGATATTTTATCATTGCACTGATGAGATATTTTATCACTAAGATTATATCTGTTTTAAAATTTTCAAACTAAAACTACTAAATGTATGGTAACAAATTTTGAGGCTTCCATTCATCCATTGTTGAAGTGACCTAAAATCTTTTTTTTCTTTCTTTCTTTTTTTGAGACAGAGTCTCGCTTTGTCGCCCAGGCTGGAGTGCAGTGGCGTGATCTTGGCTCACTGCAAGCTTCACCTCTCGGGTTCACGCTGTTCTCCTGCCTCAGCCTCCGGAGTAGCTGGGACTACAGGCGCCCGCCACCGCGCCCGGCTAATTTTTTGTATTTTTAGTAGAGACGGGGTTTCACCGTGTTAGCCAGGATGGTCTCGGTCTCCTGACCTCGTGATCCGCCCGCCTCGGCCTCCCAAAGTGCTGGGATTACAGGCATGAGCCACGGCGCCCGGCCAAAGTGACCTAAAATCTTGACCCAGTCCAAGGGTACTTCCTCATCCCATCTCCATGCAGGGAATGTTCATCCTTTTAGAACATGTTGATAGCAAGTCCATCATTTTTAAGAGGATTTTTAAACCATATTCTCAGCTCTACTGGATGTTAAATCATGTGACTATGAACTTAATAGGCAACGTGCATCACAGGACATGTCAGGGAAGATAGGTTCAAATGTATTGCTGCTGAGCATGCACAGAAAGCTTAAGTAAGAGAAATAATAATGATGCAGGATTACTTGAAGGCTGTATTGACCATCTATTCATTTAGACTAATAAGGATGGAGATGGATTCAAATTGATCACAATGGTGATGCTCTAAAGAGACAGACCATGAGGTTCTGCTTCCCAGTTCCCTAGAACTCCCTTGGTCCAGGACCTTCTGAGGGCTGGTGGTTGAGGTTTTCATTTGATTCTCACAGTTGATAGAGCAAACTTTAAGAAGCTGATATAGAGGAGAAAAAGGATCAAGTTAGGCATCAGGTTCCTGGGTCCACTACCTAACACCAGTGCTTCCTTGGACAAGTTACTTAAGCTCCATAAGCCTATTTCCTCATGTGGAAACTGGTCATAACAATCGCATTATAATCCCTACTTTGTCCAAATTAGATGAACACTGTGTGTAAGACAGCACCATTGTCTTACAAAGCAGTTACAAACTGGCAGCCAGATCAGGCACAGGGGCAGGCCATTTACCCTGCAAGATGATGTATGTTTTAAAAGTTTGAGTCAACTTTTTCAAGTTCAAAAACTTCATATTAAGCCAAGATTTATGGCTTCCTTTAAAAACTTTAATGGATCTCACAATACAGTCCCTACATTTCCAAGAGCCGAGCAGCAGCCCTGCCCTTTAGGCAAAGCACCAGCTCTCCAGGTGCCTCAGCTCCCTACCTTCCTAGCTGTCTCTATGTTTTTTTATTAAAACCACAAATAAACTGTAAAGCCATAAAATAAGTGATTAATATTATTGCTGGAGATAACTTATGGAAGGCTTCTTAACACCTGAGAGGCGATGTTTCACTCAGAGTAAAGGTGAGGGTGGCCTCTATACGGCTGGTGACAGAAGGTGCCCATGGCACAATTCAGTTTGTTGAGCCAAATTTTCTGTGCTTCATTCCACAGTCTTTGTAATCTGAGCATGCATGGCTTGAGAAACACTTTTTAGGCACACACTTTGATATAAAACAATTTGTCAAAAAAAGAAGATGCTGGAAATTCCAGAGTCAAGTAGTCTGCCTTACTGACATCATTCATGGCAATAATATTATATGGGCTGCTATGAGCATCTGCTCAATATTATATGGGCTGCTAGGGGCATCTGCCCACTTTCCTAGAATGCCACTTTTCTTTCACTGGGTCTATCCAAATTGGAAACTCCAAAGCCCATCCCAGTTCTCTCCCACCATCATCATCATCATCATCATCATCATCATCAATCATCATCATCGTCATCTCATCATCATAGATGTGATGATGATGATCTCTCTCTCCCTTGACCTCTTAGGGAAATTACTATCTATAAAAATTAACTGGCAATGAGTCACATGTTGCTTTGAAACCTGTTCTATCATATCATGATGTCTTATTGTATGACCTATAATTTATTTGATTCTTTTGTAGGGACAGGGTCTTGCTATATTGCCGGGGCCAGTCTCAAACTCCTGGCCTCAAGTGATCCTCCCACCTCAGCCTTTCAAGTAGCTGAGACTACAGGCATGAGCCACCACACCCAGCTTATGACTTAATTATTCATATACAGGTAGTATTCACTTTGCATGGTACTGTGGAACTGTAAAAATCACCATGCAATCTGAAACCACGCAAAGAAATATTAATAATCAATGGGGAAAATATGATTTTTCTTTCTTTTTTTTTTTTTGAGACAGAGTCTCGCTCTTTTGCCCAGGCTGGAGTGCAGTGGCGCGATCTCTGCTCACTGCAAGCTCCGCCTCCCGGGTTCACGCCATTCTCCTGCCTCAGCCTCCCAAGTAGCTGGGATTACAGGTGCCCGCCACCACGCCCGGCTAATTTTTTGTATTTTCAGTAGAGACGGGGTTTCACCGTGTTAGCCAGGATGGTCTCGATCTCCTGACCTCGTGATCCGCCTGCCTCGGCCTCCCAAAGTGCTGGGATTACAGGCGTGAGCCACCGCGCCCGGCCTGATTTTTCAATGATACGTTCTAATGCTTGTAAAAACATTAAAATCTCTCTTACTGGCAGTTATAAACAATAGGAAAATGAAAAGGAACAGTAAAACTGATATTTGATTATGCCTTGGTGAATTGGCATACTCCTTTCTAAGTTTGCATCACTTCCAACATTTTCCCCTTTGTGCTTTCAATGTCATAAAATATATCTGAGAGTTCCATTAACTTAAAGTGTTTCCCCACCACCACCTTTTTTTTTTTTTTCTAGAGTTACTTCCTCTGGGGTATCTTCTTCATTCTTTTTGTCATGACCTTTTCCCTCATTTATGTCTGTAAGTTTATTGTCAATAAGTCCTTCTGGCTGTATATCTAGAGTTTCTCCGAAGGTGGCAGGGTCAACATTCACATGATCAGCTATGTCTTCCATAACTCCACATGGTCAGCTATTTCTTCTATAACTCCATTTACATCCCATTCAAATTTCACTTCCATCTTTAACACTTTTTGTTTCTTTTGTGTACTTTCATCTTTGTTGGCCAATTTGACCTTCTAATTATCTGTTTTTATAAAATGCCACCTGGGTTTATCACTGAGAATCACCGAGGCAGCACAACTACACACTTTGCTGGCAGTGCAATTGAATGACATATGCACAATGACCAATCACTGCAGATTTTGAAAGAACTTGCTGCGATTGGTCACCAAGCACTGCAGGTGTTGGAATAAAGGTCATGATTGGTAACTGACTGTGGTGCGCATCTGTTACTTACATAGTGATTTGTGGACTGAAGAGCTAGCAGCCCCATTTGTGCTCCATGCAATGACTCACAGTTAATATGCCATGGTAACTGTAATTTGAACCGTGTTGTTGGAAGACTGAGTTATTTAATGAAACCATGGTAAATGAGTTCGTTTCATGCTTAATCAGAACCACGAGAAGCAAAGCCTGCCTGTATTTGTATTCTGTCTTCACAAGTCCAGTGTAAGCCCCATGAGGGCAGGACCCATGACTCAAGAAGTCATCTGCACATATTCCCCATGCTCACCCCAAGCACCTACTACAGTACCTTGTGTATGAAAAAATACTCGATAAATATTTACTGAATTTTATTTTCTTCACCAGAGAAAGAACTGTGTAGATGTAACACAGTATTGAAAGTCAAGAGACTTCAATTCTTGGTCTGGGTCTGGAACTAATTGAGTATGATTTTTCAGACACTCTCTCTTTTAAAAAAATGTATTTTAAGCAAAATCTCTACCTATGGTAAGGATATAATCAGAATTCTAACAACTATTGTGTCTTAGTCATATTCAAGATGAAAAAACTGTTTTAGTTTATTATTTTATTATTTATATTATTTTATTATTTTTTGAGATGGAGTCTTGCTTTGTTGCCCAGTCTGGAGTGCAGTGGCGCGATCTCAGCTCATTGCAACCTCCACCTCCTGGATTCATGCAATTCTCATGCCTCAGCCTCCTGAGTAGCTGGGATTACAGGCATGCACCAACATGCCCGGCTAATTTTTGTATTTTTATTAGAGATATATTCCCTCTTTCAGTGTTCCTGGGAGCTCCTTAATGAGCCAAAACACAAAGCCATTCTGACAGAGAATGCTGGCTGTCAGCTGCATTCATTCAGAGCTAAGTGATCTGATCCACACACCAGCCTAACAGCCAAAGTGATCTCACTAAAATGACCAATATCACTGCAAAGGAAGGTTTTCCAGGCCAAGAGAACGTGCATGTGCAAAGACCCTGGGGCAAGAAAGAACCTGGCATTTCGTAGCTACCAAAAGCCCATATGCAGGAGAGCACAGAGGGCAGAAAGATGTGAAGAGAATCACGAGATGGCCCAATGACGAAAGGGGAAGAGCTGGAAGGGAGTGCCATGAGCCCCTGTTGAAATCCCTCTGGCTGCAGTGTGGTGAGTGGATGGCAGAAGAGTCACAAAGGATGTGGGGGAAGAAGCTGTGAAAGGATGCCAGAAGAGATGTGATGTGACCTGGCCCTGGGTGGAAGCAAGGGAGATGGGAACAAAGGCATAGCTTCCAGAGAGGTCAAGATGTCAAACCAGTGTTTGAGGCAGGTGGTCCATGTGTGGTCCCAGAACAGCAGCATCAGCAGCATCTGCAGGGAACTTGTTAGAACACGAATTCTCAGGCCCACTGTAGACTTCCTGAATCAGAAGCTCTGAGATTTCTGAACAGTTGGGGTTTTCTCAAGCCCTCTGGAGGAGTCTGCCTCTTGCTCAAGTGTGAGGTCCACCAGACGAGGTGATAGAAACAGAAAAGAACCTGCAAAGATGACTCCTGAGCAAGGGGGCTCTCCCACAGGGCCTGGGTGTCAGTGAGTGCTCTTCGGGGGCAAGAGAGAACCCTGGGAAGCACTGAGAAGCAGACAGCAAAGCCCCTCCAAAAAATGGTGTGAAACTCCAATTTCATTTTATTTAATTAATTAATTTATTTATTTATTTGAGACAGAGCCTCGCTCTGTCATCCAGGCCAGAGTGCAATGGCATGATCTTGGCTCACTGCAACCTCCGCCGCCCGGGTTCAAGCGATTCTCCTGCCTCAGCCTCCCGAGTAGCTGGGATTATAGGCAAGCACCACCACGCCTGGCTAACTTTCGTATTTTTAGGAGAGATGGGGTTTCACTATGTTGGCCAGGCTGGTCTTGAACTCGTGACCTCAGGTGATCCGCCTGCCTTGGCCTCCCAAAGTACTCCGATTATAGGCATGAGCCAACATGCCTGGCCTGAAACTCCAATTTTAATTTGAAGGACACATTTGACAACATATGAATTAAATATATCTATATGGTAGATTTCTCACCAAGAATTTAGATGAAAAAAAGAGGGAAAGGAGACAGTTGCAACATTTATGACGAGGGAAACGGTCACTATCCCTAATATGCAAAGGAGTCCATGAGGAAACTCGATAGAAAACTGGATAAAGAAAGTGAGTGGGAATTTCACAAAACGAAGAAATACCGATAATGAATAAAAAGATCATCAGTCTACTTAGTAACCAAGGCAATGCAAATTAAAGTGGCAATGACATTTCTGCCTATCAGATGGCCACAAGAATTTTTTAGACCAAATAACATCCAGTGGATCATATTCCACATTGTGGTCGAGAATAGAAATTGGTACAATCTTCGGTGATGGTAATTTGATGGAGTCTTTTAAAACTTAAAAATGCTCATTCTCTGAAAATGAGCAGAAAAAAAGAATTTGTATGACAATAATTTTTGAAAGTGATAAAATAAACTGTTAAGACAGTTTAATTTCTACGTAGATACCATCTTATTCATAACATATTATACCAAGTAATTCTCAATTTACTTTCAAGGTAATTATAAATCCCTGAAGTCATTATACATCTCACCCAAGGAATTATAATATCTAGCAATAACAAAAATACATTGAAAAGGAGTAACCTGCTCAGCAGATTTTGAATATTTTATTTTGAAATTCAACGTGGAACTTAACCAAAATATTGTTTTATTTCTCTTGGCAAAGTATCTCAACAGAGAGCTATTTCCCTAGGAAAAAAAGAAAATCTTTTATTCCCTATGAAATCAAGTCCACTCTAAGGAAGCTGATTAGGAAGGAGAACTGAGTGCCTCAAGCTCAGTAGTGCTGTCCCGTGAAGATGATGTGACTTGGACCCCAAAGGGTGGAAGAGCCCTTACCGGCATCACGAGTAAGGGCAGGTGAGAAAGGTGGGCACCTGCAGGTGGTGCTCTGGGGTCTACACACAGTGACATGCACAGGTGACACAAACCGTGGTATTTATAGGAGTATTCAAAGGCAGGCTAACCTCAAACACTCTCAGCTTAGAAATGTACAGATAGATAACGTTTAAACTGAGACAAAGCTTTGCAGTTTATGTGAAGCTCAAATGCTGCTGAAGCTGCTCTGTTTCCTGGCCCACCCATCCACCAGCCTGTGTATCCTCCCCAATGAACAAATGATGGACCAAAATGTGGTATGGCAAATGGCAAATGTAAAACTGGAGCAAAGAGATTGTCAGGCTCTTTGAGAATATTACTTTTTCTAAAATATAGTTGATTGATTATTCTTTTGAGAGATAATCATAGGCCCAGTGGAAGTTCAAAGGTATATATCGAAAGTCAATTGGCCTCCCACCCTCTGAACTTGCTTTGAATTCCTTGTGTGTCCTCCCAGGACAGTCTATGCATACACAAATACCTCCTCTATGTGTAAATGTCAGTGGCATGCTATTCACACTCTTCTGAGTTTGTCTTATTTCACTTAACCATATACTTTGGAAATTGATCCACATCTGTATCTCTAAATCTGACTCATTTTTTAAAAGTCATTTTATTTTAAATAAAATGTGGATTCAGGGCAGGGCATGGTAGCACATGCCTGTAATCCCAGCACTTTGGGAGACCAAGGCAGGCAGATCACCTGAGGTCAGGAGTTCAAGACCAGCCTGGCCAACATGGTGAAACCCTGTCTCTACAAAAATACAAAAACTAGCTGGGCATGATGGGGGGGTGCCTATAATCCCAGCTACTCGGGAGGCTGAGGTAGGAGAATTGCTTGAACCTGGGAGGCAGAGGTTGCAGTGAGCCGAGAGCACCATTGCACTCCAGCTTGGGTGACAGAGTGAGACACCATATCAAAAGAAAAAAATAAAATATGGATTCAGAAAACTGCAAAATAAAATATATGGCTTAATGAATTATTTGAAGGTAAATACTACCTAGGATAAGAAATAGAACTTTGCCAGCCACCCCAGAAGCACCTCCATATTCCCTACCTAATCCCTGTCTTCTCCCTCCCACCATAAGTGACATTAATCTGACTTGTTTTCATTTTTATTTTTATAGCTTTATCACCCAAATTTGCTCCCCTAGACCTTATACTTTAGTCCTACCTATTCTAAAAAATGTGTGCTAGGTCTTTTAAGTCTCTTTTAATCTATATGGTTCCTCCTCCATCCATTTCATTTCTTTACAACTTATCGTTGACAAATCTGGGCTAGTCGAATTTCCCATGTCTGTCTTTTTCTTTTCTTTTCCTTCTTTTTTTTTTTTTTTAGATGGGGTCTCACTCTGTCACCCAGACTGGAGTGCAGTGGCTCAATCTCGGCTCACTGCAACCTCCACCTCCTGGGTTCAAGTGATTATCCTGCCTCAGCCTCCAGAGTAGGTGGGACTACAAGCGCGCGCCACCACACCTGGCTAATTTTCTGTATTTTTAGTAGAGACGGGGTTTCACCATGTTAGCCAGGATGGTCTTGATCTCCTGACCTTGTGATCCACCCGCCTCAGCCTCCCAAATTGCATGTTGGTAGCAATTTGCTATGCCCTTTACACTTAAGGGTCAGTTTTTCTGGGTATAACATTTTTGGCTTATACTGTCTTTCCTTGAGTATGTTAAATATGCTAATCCATTCTCCTTTGGTATAAAGCATTTTTCTCAAAAAATCCTGGTAATAGTCTATTTTTCTTTTCCTTATAAGTCACATAAGACTTTTTCAAGATGTCCAAAGAATTTCTCTAGAGGTTCAAATGATTTTTTTTTTCTTAAGTACTAATAATTTCAGTAGGATATATCTTGACAGCAGTCATCCTGGGCCGATATTCTCAAGTGTGCATTGAACCTTTTCTTTCTTTCTTTCTTTCTTTTTTGAGACAGGTTCTTGCTCTGTCACCCAGGCTGGAGTGAGTACAGTGGTACAACCTCAGCTAACTGCAACCTCTGCCTCCCGGGTTCAAGCAATTCTAGTGCCCCAGCTTCCTGAGTAGCTGGGATTACAGGTGCAAGCCACCACACCCAGCTAATTTTTGTATTATTATAGAAATGAGATTTCACCATGTTGGCCAGGCTGTTCTCGAATTCCTGGCCTCAAGTGATCTGCTCACCTCAGCCTCCCAAAGTGCTGAGATTACAGGCATGAGCCACCGCATTCACATTTCAATATACATTATCAAATCTTTTATTTCAAGGAAGTTTTCTTGGATTATAGCTCTTAGTACTTCCTCTGTTCTCTTGCTTTGGTTTTCTTCATGAGGAAAACCTATTATTCATATGTACAATAGCCTTCAATGTTCACTACTTTCTCTTAAATCCTTCTCTCTTCATTTCTTTTTTTTTTTTTTTGTCTTATTTCACCTTTTATGTCTCTCGAGGCATTACCCTTGTATTTGTTTACTTTTGTGTTCCTTCCAGGAACACAGGTATTGACATCCATCAAATGTATTTAAATCCATGGATTCATAATAATTAGTCTACCTTACAGAATAATTATTTTTAGTTCTACTTTTTTCCTGAGTTGTCACTTCATTTCCAAGTTTCTCTAATTCTGATTGATGCTGTTCTGCCATGTCTATCATGTACTTAATGTCTTTTTCTGAAATAGATCAAACAGAAGCTTGCTGTTTTATGACTATGTCTCTCTGCCATGACTTGTCAGTTACAGTGTTACCCTATTCTTTATTCTCTCTAGTTTTTAAAATTACTTTGCATAGGATTGAACTTGATACTCTTCTAGTGCTCGTTTTTTCATGTGAAATCAAGTTTTCCTAAACTTTTAGAACAAGTCAGGGTTCCCTAGGGGGACAGAACTAATAGAATAGAGGGATAGATAGATAGATAGATAGATAGACAGACAGACAGACAGATAGATAGATAGATATAGATAGATAGACAGAGAAAGGGGAGTTTATTAAGTATTAAATTATATGGTCACAAGGTCCCACAATAGGCCGTCTGCAAGCCTGAGGAACAAGGAGAGCCGGTCCGAGTCCCAAAACTGAAGAACTTGGAGTCTGATGTTTGAGGGCAGGAAGCATCCAGCATGGAAGAAAGATGTAGGCTGGGAGACTAGGCCAGTCTTGCCTTTTCACGTTTTTCTGCCTGCTTTATATTTGCTGGCAGCTGATTAGATTGTGCCCACCAGATTAAGGGTGGGTCTACCTCTCCAAGCCCACTGACTCAAATGTTAATCTCCTTTGGCAACACCTCACAGACACACCCAGGATCAATACTTTGCATCCTTCAATCCAATCAAGTTGACACTCAGTACTAATCATCACAAAGGCCATGTTAAGGAATGCTTTTCAAACTTCACAGGGCTCCTACTTCTGTGTTCAAAAATAGAGCCACCTGCTTTCAGGGATTTGCTGGCTGTTTCTTTCCCCCAATGCAGATGGAAACTGCTCCTTCCTTTCTTTCATCCTTGTCTTGCTCAATTTTGATTCCTCTCCCAGCGCTTTCTCCTGAGTGTGGAGCCCTTCCTGATCAGTCTTGGGAATTCCTAGGGGCTCGACTGCTCCTGCCTCCTCCTGCCTCCTCCTGCCTTCTTTATTATTATTATTATTATTATTATTATTATTATTTATTTATTATTATTATTTTTTGAGACAGAGTCTCGCTCTGTTACCCAGGCTGGAGTGCAGTGGCGCCATCTCGGCTCACTGCAAGCTCCGCCTCCCAGGTTCGCCTCCCAGGTTCGCCCATTCTCCTGACTCAGCCTCCCGAGTAGCTGGGACTACAGGCACCTGCCACCACACCTGGCTAATTTTTTTGTATTTTTAGTAGAGACAGGGTTTCACCCTGTTAGCCAGGATGGTCTCGATCTCCTGACCTCGTGATGCGCCCGCCTCGGCCTCCTAAAGTGCTGGGATTACAGGCTTGAGCCACCGTGCCTGGCCTCCTCCTGCCTTCTTACTGTGGGCACCTGAACTACCTCGCACTAGAGAGGCAACTCTTCAGCTCCACCTGCTCGTCTCGAATTGGCCCACAATACTTTCTAGTGAATACTGGTATATCTGGGGTTCTTCTGTTCTCAGGTCTATCATGCCTCACCCCCTTGCTTTCTAACTTCTTTCAGCCCCTCAAACCCAGATACCATGCAACTCTTGAGGCTGTTGGCCATTTATATATGCTAGGTTAGTGGGAATAATTTGTCACCTAGTTTTGTCATAAATATTTTCCTTGGGTTGTGGGTTTTGCTGCCTAGTTTCTGTGTGTCTGCATGGGGACTTGGAAAAACTGAAAACTTGGACCCCTTTGCCTAGAATCTGGTTTATTCTTTATAACAGGGGCACTGTATTTATCTAACCAGTCCCCTATTGATGGATATGTGGGTTGTTTCTGAATTTTGCTATCACAATCAATGTGCCCTATTATTGTTTGAATGTTTGCCCCCTCCCAAACTCATGTTGAAATTTAATTACCATTGTAACAGTATTAAGAGGTGGGACCTCTAAGAGGTGATTAGGCCATGAGGGCTCTGCCCTCATGAATGGATTAATACTGTTATTGTGGGAGTGGATTCACCCCCGTTCATCTCTCTCTCACCTCTCTTTGCCCTTCTGCCATGTTATGACTGATCAAGAAGGCCCTCACCCCATACACAGTTCCCAGAACTGTGCACCAGTCATCTGTTTATTATAGATTGCCCAATCTATAATATTAATTATTATTGTTACCCAATTATTACTAATTAATACTCAATCTATAATAATAATAATCTGTTTATTATATATTACCCAATCTGTGATATTCAGTCATTGCAGCACAAAATGGACCAAGTCATACCCTTTACACAAGTGCATATGAGCAGGTACATCTGTAGGATACATTTCTAGAGGTGGAATAGTTCAATAAGGATATGAACACAGTAGGTGCTCAAAAATATTTGCTAATTTGAGTTAGAAAATGTATTTGCCACAATAGTAATAAAATTTGTTCTGGCCCACAGCCCAGGTAGACTTCTATTGAGAACAATGTACTTAAATACTGTTAAGCACAACTTTGGGGCTCCTTGAGCAGAAGAAAGAGGAAACAAAAAAAGACACTGATTCATTCCTGCAGTTAGCAATCAGGTGTTGCCTAGTGTACTACAGACTCTACTGGGGCCTGGGGATATAGCAGAGGTCCTAGCCCTGTTGGAGCTCACAGTTCAGAGTGGAGATGCCTTTGTTGTTTGAGCAACTTTGAGAATTAAATGATTGCTCTTCATACTCACAATTGAGTAACACTTCGTAAAACGTACCATCCAATCTTTGTCTACACCTAGAAAAACTTCAGGGTAAATTTCAGTGCAGAGCACAGGGAGAACAGCTGTCCAGGATAAATACTTAGATGTCAGCTGTCCATTTGGTCATATGCCATTTCTGAGAGTCAGTCTACAACCTCCTCTTCAGAAGGCACCCAAGGTTTTCTGTAAACAGATGAGGCTGCTTCAGGGGTACACTGCGATGCTTCATTCCTGTTGGTACTGGAGTACAAATCTGGGAACTTTAAAATGCATCGATGGTGGAAAAAAAGAAAAAAACAAAACAAAAACAAATAGCAAAAGCGGTGTGCATTGCTTCAGTTTCAGCCAAGTTCATTCTCTCTTCCAGAAACCCAGCTTCCATGCTGATGTCCTTAAGCCATCAATGCCGTCAACAATGCTGTTATTCCCTAAGTTCAGGGTCAATAAAGGCAGAGCTAGCTCCGCAGCTCATGGCAAAGATCTCCATTTGGCCATAACATTTTCCCAGATTGACCTCGTAATGTTTTTCAACACGGTGCTCTGGACAACCTCTACAAAGAGGTGAAGGCATCCAAGCTGAGTCTCATCTCCCATCCCCTATGTGACTATTCTGCACTGAAACCTGGGACTCTTCCTCCTTCTTTATCCCTCTGCAGTGATTCAGTCCCCAAGTCCAAGTCTATTCCAATGATCCCTTCACCTCTATATTTCTTCTACTCTTTCTGATCATCCTCCATAAGTTCTGCTGCCAGATTAACCTGTCACCCCTTTGAAGCCATGATTCATGTGGGCTGGTCTCAGGCTGATGTGATGTTCAAAGAAACGCAGTCTAGCATCCACTTGTATTTTCAAAAATTGCTCCCGTCCTTTATGTCTCTTTAGTCCCATGCAGGAGATACTTTGCCTATAGAAACATTTCTCAAACACCCTCTTTGTCTGTCTCCTACTCCCATCACTTCCTGGGGCTTCTTCTGTGCTTTCTTGTCTAAACTCCCCCAGTCCCTAGCCCCGGACTCTGAGACACTTCTCACTCCACCCTTCCCCCTTCCCTGGTCTTTGCATCACAAAAGCCCAAAGAGTCAGCAGGGAAATGACCCAGCCTTTCTTAGAGAGCTTGGGGAAAGAAACCTGGTGGGGAAACTCTTTTAGTCGGACAGACAGAGGCATATTAAAACTCATTAAAAAAAAAACTCTTAAAAAAGAAAAACACTTTGTAAATGTAATTTTTTCTGCTCCTTGACACAGATTTTCCCATCATCCCCTAGCGTCTAATGGATAGAGTCCACGCTCCTGGCCTGGGAGTCAAGACCCTCCACGTGCACCCTTAACTTATGTCTCAAGCTTCTCTACTGCTTCCCAGCCTTACCCCTCTGCCCTTCCCAGCCACTTTATCTGCTGTCCCTGACCACACCACCAATATCCCAGCATGCTGGCTCCTCTCTTCTTCCCCATCCAATTCCCGATTTTCCTTCCAGTGTCATCTCAAGTGGCTTTATCTCGGGGTTTGATGTTTTCTGCTCCTCCCAAACCTCCCAAGCCTTCTGACTCTTCATAAGAGTTTGTTCGGTGAATGAATGAAGCCCTCACTTCATGCCCTTCTCTGGTACAGGAATCGCATCATTCAGGAAGCTTCTTTGAGCAACTAACAGGCATTTTCTTAGCTTATTTCGTTGCCTTTAAACCAAGGCTGCCATTTCTGCCTGTGCGTTCTGTCTGCCTTCGCTGCACCTCCACTCCTTCAAGCTTGGATTGATGACTTCTGTTCTCTAATTTTATCTGGGCAATCAAATTCCCAAAATATGTGTAAAAGAGAAGATTGCATTCCTATTTTACAAACGTGGCAACTCTGTGGAATTTTTAATCAGATACCAGCTTTTCTGCATCTCTGTGATGTTTTTCCTCCTTCGGAGTCAGTAGATAGGGCCTTTTGCTTTGCATTGTTGACCATTGTCCTTGCCTTCTGACATTTTTTGCTGTCTTCCTCACGTGCATTCCACAGTCAGAATACTGGGCTTTGTCCTTCCCTCTTTCATTACAAGAAGCTCTGCTATAAGGATGTTTTGTGGGTTCCTCAGCTCTAATGAAATTCCAGGCATTTCCTTGAAGCTGGCCCCCAGGGAGAAGCTACTCTCACTGGTCTGTGACGCTCAGCTAGAGAGGAGATGACGGCGTGAGTTTGGTTCTGGGCTGGAATTTCTTGTTGCAACATCCCAGCGTGGCCCCTCTTAGAACCTTCCCACCACCACATTCAAATCTTATTCCTCCAGCCTCTGGCACACCTTCAGCCTGCTACCAGCAGAGAAAAAAAAAAAAAAGACATATGTTCTTGCTCCATATATCCTTGAGGTGGGCAAAAAAATTAAATGTTAACCATGGAGGAAATTGTGCACATCCAGACAGGACACTGTGGCAGTCAGATCAGTGCCAAATTCTGGGAAGTTATCAGTGATGGTCATAGCATGGACCTACCAGTACCTGCCCAGGGACCACGATCTGTAGCTGGACCACATCTTGGTGTGCCACAGTGAAGGCACTGGGGACAAATATGTTCCTCCCACTATCCTGGTGGATCCAGAACCTGGGATCATGGACTCTGCTCAGATCCTTTTGAAACCATGCCCCAAAGAGTTAAAGAAACCAGTGACTCACAGAAATTCTTAAGCCTGCAGGATGGCAGATAAGAAAAGAAACAGCTTGCTGAAATTCCCTCCAACTATAAGGTAACAAAACAGGCTGAAATCAGTTGAAACCAATACGGCCCACTGGAGTATACGCAGAACGAGACTGGTGATGCTACGACCTGAATTTCCTCTGCATGTTTCATCCTAACTCCCCCAGAATTTGCACGTGGGCCCCATAAAAAGGCAGGAAGAGATAATTGTCCATGCCCAAGGACTTTGCAGACCACCCTTTTCACTCCCTGAACCTTTTCTAACAAAAGTACAGCCTTATGCCCAGCACAGGGAGACCGATTTGAGCTAGAATGCTATCTCCTTGTTGATAGACCTGCAATAAAAAGCGTTTCTTTTCTGAAAAACCCAGTGTCATAGCGTTGGCTTCTAGCGCATCGGGTAGTGAGCACTTTTGCTTAGATCTGCAGACCAGACCACTTTGTTTTCGGTCAGTTTGGGGCAGGCAGCAGTACACAGTGGAGCTGAGCTGGTTGATTCATTCCTGGATATGTGCAGAAGGAAGCTGAGAGCTGTGACTGCCTTCAGGGCTTCCAGCTGACCCACTCACTGGGTGAGGGCACAGGCTCTGGAATGGGCACCCTCCTCCACAGCAAGATCCGAGAAGAGGATCCTGACCACATCATGAACACCTCCAGTGTAATGCCCTCACTCAAAGTGTTTGGCACTGTGGCTGAGCCCTGCAGTGCCCCCTCCCCATCCATCCACTGGTAGAGAACACTGATGAGACCTGCGGCACAGACATTGAGGCTCCTTATAATATTCGCTTCCGCACCCTCGAGCTGACCACACAAAACTATGAGGACCTGACCCACCTGTCTCAGCTAACATGCGTGGGGTCACCACCTTCCTCTGCTTCCCTCACCAGCTCAATTCGGACCTCTGCAAGCTAGCAGTCAATACAGTGTCCTTCCCACGCCTCCAGTTCTTCATGGCTACCTTTGCCCCTCTCACCAGTTGTGGAAGCCAGCTGTATAGGGCTCTCACCATGCCCAAACTCACCCAGCAGGTCTTTGATGCCAAGAACATGATGGCTGCCCCACCAGGACTGCCTTCTTCCATGAATATCCATCCATTCATGAAGGAAGTCAATGAGCAGATGCTCAGTGTGCAGAACAAGAGTCGCCAGCAGCTATTTCATGGAATGGATGCTAACAACGGTCAAGACAGCCATGTGGGACATCCTTCCTCATGGCCACAAGATGGCGGTCACGTTCGTCGGCAACAGCGCGGCCACCCAGAAGCTCTCCATGGCCTCTCAGGGCAGTTCCCTGCTGTATTGTGCGGGAAGGCTGTCCTCCACTGGTATGCAGGGGAGGGCATGAACGAGATGGAGTTCGCTGAGGCCGAGAACAACATGAATGACTTCATCTCTGAACATCGACAGTCTAGGACGCCGCCGCAGAAGAGGGAGAGGACTCAGTGAGGAAGCCCAGTGGGAGGCCTAAGGCAGAGCTCCCATCACCTCAGGCATCTCAATTCCTTCAGCCTTCTTCCTTGGCTGCCCCTTTCTTCTCCCTCAGTAGTCGTGTTTGCTGCCTTTACCTTGTTTATCTGGGGAGAGGGAGGGTCTAGAGCAGTGCCTGGTACATAGTAAGTGCTCAATAAATATTTGTCTGCTGAATGTCTCCTCTCTCTTTCCACTCCAGGAAACCTAGATTTCTGCCGATCTGGGTAACCGTGTATTTCCTTCTGGTACCCTCCTCCCATCTGCCCAATTAATATGTCCCTCTGTTTTCAAAATAATTCTCCAGGAAGCTGGGTCCCATTCAGATCCCATTTAGAACCAACCGGGTGCTGAAAACCCAGATAATGTGCACCATCCTATGTCCACGTAGTAGCCAGCACTGGGAAGGTAGAAGGTGGCAGGAAGAAGTTACTGCAAGGGGCTGGGCATGGTGGCTCACGCCAGTCATCCCAGCACTTTGAGAGGCTGAGGCTGGAAGATTGCTTGAGCTTAGATGTTTGAAACCAGCCTGGGCAACATAGCAAGACCACGTCTCTATTTTTTTTTTAAGTAACAATAAAAAAAAAGAAAGAAGTTACTGCAAGGAAGAGGATGGGATTTTCCATTCTAGAACGGTTTTGGAGAGGGAAATCCAGGCTCATAAAGCCATAATTCCCAGGTATTTCTGTGCTCCAATTCTCAGGTTCAGGGGAGGTGGTAACAGCATTATCCCATTTTCAGTTTCCTTTGGAGGAGTCGCCCCGCTTCACCAAGAGAGGTCTTTCCTTCTCCCACCACTCCTCTTCTCTCACAAATTTTTTTTTCTTTTTTTTTTTTTTGAGACGGAGTCTCCCTCCATTGCCCAGGCTGGAGTGTAATGGTGCGATCTCAGCTCACTGCAACCTCTGCCTTCCGGGTTCAAGCGATTCTGCTGCCTCAGCTTCCTGAGTAGCTGGGATCACAGGCACACACCACCATGCTGGGCTAATTCTTGTATTTTTAATGGAGCTGGGTTTTCACCATGTTGGCCAGTCTGGTCTCGAACTCCTGACCTCAGGTGATCCGCCCACCTCTGCCTCCCAAAGTGCTGGGATTAGACGTGAGCCACAACGCCTGGCCCCCTCTTACATTTTGGATCCCTTCCTTTTCCCTAATCAGAAAAGGAGATTAAGAGGGAGAGATCTGCCTGGGTCCCTTAGCCTCTAGAAATGCCCTCTCCATTCCCAATTTGTCTTACCCCTTAAAAGGTGTAACATCCCTGACATATGTGGGAAGGTGTGTTCCCCCACCTAAATGTTTGAGTCATTCCCAAGATGAGAGGGGATGGGGCAACATCTCATCTCTTCCTTTTGCTATTCCCTTTTTTCCCCTGCTCTTGGTTTTGTCCTACCCTACACTTCAGATTTCTATTTTGGGTTGAACTTGCTGCTTTTTCCTCATAATGAAAAGATGACATTGTCCCAAGAGCCAAAATTAAATGGGAATTGGAAAAAAATCCACTGTGCAGATTGTCTTTCTTCCCTACCCGGCAGGGATGATACAGGGAAGCAGCGTCCAATACCACCTTTGTTAAGAGCCTAGAAGCTCAAAGTGTGGGCACTCCTGAGAGAGGGCCCTCATGCACATGCCATGGCACCAGAGGACCTGGTGGGACAGCAGCCCCCACCCCGGTTCACAGAGCAGCTGCCATCGCCCAGGCTAACCTGGAGCATGCAGGTAACAGTGTCTGTTGGAGGATCACACATATGTTGTTGCTAGACAATGTACCCTGAACAATGCAAATATACAGCAGTTTTGCAAACATCAGAGCAGACAAAAGTCATTCTTGATGTATTACCCTCAATTTGGAATAAATCCTTTGTGCAACAGAGCATTTCCCTTACCCTTTATAAAAAGCTCCTTTTAAGGCAGACCTTTGGACAAACCAAGGGGACGATGACCCCTTGGTCAGACTTCTTTTTACCAGGATGTGGCAGAGTTAGCCTGCAGTGTGAGAAGACAAGTCCTCTGACACCACTTGAAGGGGCTGAGACAGACCCGGTCAGGGCTGATGGCTGTCAGAGGGCTCACCACTCCACACTCAGAGGTGGATTTTTTTCCAATTCCCCTGCTCTGTGAGACAGTCACACTCACAGAGTGTCTCTTTAGAAGCTTTTATGGAAGCTTTTAAATTTGCTTCACAAAATGTTAACCTGGCTGTGTTTTCTGCATTGCATATATTTAAGGTGTATGACTTGATGATCTGATTGGTTGAATTTTTGATTGTTTACCTTTTCCTTTTTTCATACTGCTTTAAGTATAACAAAAAGGGAAAGGAAACTTTTAAAATACATTGGATCTCATTTCCCCTTTACAGACAAGTATTTTGCTTCCTATGACTCAACTTTTATATTAGTCAGGATTCTCCAGAGAAACACACTCAATAGGCTATACAGAGATAAATAAGAGGAAATTTAGGGGCTGGGCATGGTGCCTCACACCTGTAAACCCAGCACTTTGGGAGGCTGAGGCAGGCAGATCACTTGAGGTCAGGAGTTTCAGACCAGCCTGGCCCATCTCTACTAAAAATACAAAAATTAGCCAGGTGTGGTGGCACATGCCTGTAATCTCAGCTACTCCGGAGGCTGAGGCAAGAGAATCACTTGAACCTGGGAGGCGGAGGTTGCAGTGAGCCGAGATCATGCCACTGCACTCCAGTCTGGGCAACTGAGTGAGACGCCCTCTCAAATTATAATAAAAATAAATAAATAAATAAGATAAGATTTATTATAGGAACTGGCTCATGTGATTATGGAGGCTGGGAAGTCCCACGGCAGGCTGTCTGCAGGCTGGAGGCCCGGGAAAGCCAGGGGTGTACTGCAGCCTGAGCCCAAAGGCCAGAGAACCTGGGGAGCTTATGGTGTAAGTCCTGGAGTCCAAAGGCCTGAGCACCAGGAATGCACACGTCCAAGGGCTGGAGAAAATGCAGGTCCCAGATCCAGAAAAGAGAGAGAGAGAATTCCCTTTGCCTCCTCCTTTTTTGTTTTGTCTGGCTTCTCAGTGGATGGGATATGCCCACCCACATTGGTGAGGGTGATCTTTACTTAGTCAATGGATTCAAATGCCAATCCCTTTCAGAAACACCCTCACACACACCCAGAAAGACTGCTCTACAGGCCATCTGGGCATCCCTTAATCCAGTCAAGTTGACCTGTGACATTAGCTGCTGCAACTCATTATTTCATGTCTTCAGCTGCGATATTAAGAAACATGATGGAATCCATCAACCTACGCCATCAGCATTCATCAACACAGGTGCAACTTAGGTTAAAAGATGAGGCTTTGGGGGAAGATATTCAAAGCACCAAGCCCTACTTGTCACCAAAAGCAGAATTTCAGATCAGTGGGTGGACATTGGGCAGGAGGCGCTCTTATGTGGCATCTCTCAGAGAGCTCTGCAGGGTCTCATCCCGATGGCTGCACAAGGTGGTGGGTGACGGGGATGCCCGCTGAGCCTGAGGCCCAGGGCAGCCTGACAGAGGGCCTGTGTCTCAGCCCTCTCGGGCAGAAGGTTAGGACCAGGCAGCCTGGCATCTTGATTTCCACAGCCCTTTTCCTCATCCTCTTGGTCTCATGTCCTGCTCTGGACTCTCTAACTAGCTGGTTAGTTCCTGACCAAGGTTGGGCTTCCTCCACTCCCACCTCTGTTTCTGTTTCCTAATTTTCGTGGGCTGCCTATCTCTTTCTTAGAGTCTTAGAAATAATGGCTAGTTCATCTGTCTGTAGCCATGTCTATAGTGTCCATAGGCTTAAAAATGTTTTCACAGAGGCCGGGCGTGGTAGCTCACGCCTGTAATTCCAGCACTTTGGGAGGCCGAGTCGGGCAGATCACAAGGTCAGGAGTTCGAGACCAGCCTGACCAACATAGTGAAACCCCGTCTCTACTAAAAATACAAAAAATTAGCTGGGCGTGGTGGCAGACCCCTGTAATCCCAGCTATTTGGGAGGCTAAAACAGGAGAATCGATTGAACCCGGGAGGCGGAGGTTGCAGTGAGCTGAGATCACGCCATTGCACTCCAGTTCAGGCGACAGTGTGAGACTCTGTCTCAAAAAAAAAAAAAAAAAATGTTTTCACAGATGATCCAGGAAACGCACTTTGAAGGGTCCTAAATCTGCTTTCCCTCCCGTGAGCCTCTTGTGAATCTGAAGTTCTCAGCAGGTTGCCAGCCACTAATAGAACAGAGAAACACAGAAATCAATGCGAAAACCTTTGTTGCTATGTTCTTCTTACAAAAATTACAGACATGTCCTAGGTAAGATAAGCATATGTTCTCTGATAATGATGATCAATATCATTCTTCTCTGAAATGCAATCTAGAAAACAGGTCCCCAGAGGCTGCCCTGATGGGTGGTGGCTGCCAGCAGTGTGCCCTGAAGGAGACTGATCTGGTCACATGGCCCTCCCACCCCAGGGTGGCAGCACCCACAGACTTAGGAGAGACACACAGGAGGGTGACTCAGCCTGGCTCTCAAGAAAGGGCCAAAACACCCTTGGTGAGAAAGCACAGAAGACGCTAAGACAACCCCTGGAGAAACCAAAGGAAGAAAGTTACATGCAGGAGACAGAGCCTAAGCAGACAAGAGCTGGAAGATTCCCCTGGCTGCGGCTGGAGTGGAGGAGGACCACACTCCCAGTGCAGAGCCACCCGGCAGGGGCCCATTTGAGTTTTGAAGCGAAATCACCCTTTCTGAGTACTCTTTGTGTGTCAGGCATGTGCTAGCTGTTTTGCATGCATGGCTGGGCGCGGTGGCTCACGCCTGTAATCCCAGCACTTTGGAAGGCCAAGACAGGTGGATCACAAGGTCAGGAGATCAAGACCATCCTGGCTAACACGGTGAAACCCCATCTCTACTAAAAATACAAAAAATTGGCCAGGTGTGGTCGCTGGCGCCTGTAATCCCAGCTACTTGGGAGGCTGAGGCAGGAAAATTGCTTGAACCCAGGAGGCGGAGGTTGCAGTGAGCCTAGGTTGTGTCACTGCACTCCCAGCCTGGGTGACAGAGCGAGACTCCATCTCAAAAATAAATAAATAAATAAGTCACAACAACCTCATGAGATAGACATCCTTACTTACAGATGGGGAAACTGAAACACTGAGGGTTAAATAACTCGCTAAATATCCCATGGCTGGTCATGGTGTAGCTGGGACACACACAAACCCAGGCCTATCAACTCCAGTGCCTACACGCTTATCCAGTGCCTCTAGAGGGACAGACACAGTACTGAAAAGTGCCTGTGAAAGACAAAGTGTCACCTGTCTCATTGCAGTAGTGGACAAATGGAACTCTGACTGCTCAGGAAAGAAGAGGTCGGTGCTCTTGGAGCTTCACTCTCTTGTCCCATGCAGGTGCAGGGTAGAGGCTACGGATTTCCTGACACCCACCCTCCTGGCCATCCCCTGATCTCATCACCAGGCTCATCCTCCCACTCCTGGCCACGTGCCTGGAGGTTCTCCTGTCTCTGCCTCAGGTGGCTTTTCTGGTTTCTGGGCCATCTCTCATGGCCTCTGTGAGCCCTGTCCTCCCATGACTCACAGTTTGCTCCCTGAATCTCACCCTCAGACTCTAACTGGAGGATCCATTCCAGCTTTCCCGCATCTCAGTCCCAGTGAGTGGTTCTGTGTCTGTGAAGCCTCAGAAGCAGAACCAATGGGATGATATAGAATGTGGGGGTTTATTATAGGAATTTGATCTCATGCAAATGTGGGAACTGGTTAGAGTTTATGTACGTTTTTTGCTTCTGTGCCTGGTCAGCTGTGAGGAAGGACAGATGACACAAAGTGAGGAAAAGGACAAGCTCACCCTGGAGAATGAGTTTGGAGCCCTCCTGGGCTTCTCCCTACCTCTGGGAAGCACCTGTCAGGTGAATTGCAGGAGAAGCTGGTGCCTTTGCCATGGAGCTGAGCATGAACTACCTGGCCCAGCAGACAGGGAATTGGGAGAAACCGGGGGGAAGTGGTTGCTGCAGGCCGGGTTGCTCTCCCATGCCCAGGAGGTGGGCCGGCAGGTCAGGGACAGTGCACCTGGGCTGTGAAGCTTGTGGTGCCTGCACTGACATTCTGAGCAAGGTGGCTGCTGTTTTCCCCTCCACCTTGCAAATCTCAAGAATGGGTCTGGGCCAGGTGCAGTGGCTCACACCTATAGTCCCAGCTACTTGGGAGGCTGAGGCAGGAGGATCATTTGAGCTCAGGAGTTCCAGGCTCCGATGAAATATGATCACACCACTGCACTCCAGCCTGGGCGACAGAGTGAGACCATGTCTCTAAAATAAATAAATGAAAAGGAAAAATAATGGTTTTGCTAGGCTCTTTTCCACACTGACTGATGAGGCCAAAGAAATAAGTGGGAAGAAGGAGTTCATGGAAACTGCCTGGCTGTTTCTGAGCCACTGTCCCCTGTCCCAGAGGCTTTGCTTGGGCAGACAGAGGGTTCATCTTACTGAGAGGTGGGGAAAAGGGCAGGAAATGGAGAGAAAGGAAGAACAAATCCCTCTCATTTGATCAGTTCATTTATTGGATGTTTCTTGTTAGAAGCTGAGAATAAAGACATGCAAAAGATGCAGCCTGACCTCTGGAAGCAGACAGTATCGATTATCCCAGGCATGTGGGAGGAGCCGGGTGGACTCTCAGGGTCTCATCGTGCTGCTCTCCCAGGTCTTGCCTTAGGCACCACCATTACTGCATTTGAGAAATGGCGCTGGCAGTAGTTGCTCCTGCTTAAAATGTAAGGGGGCGGCCAGGCGCAGTGGCTCATGCCTGTAATCCCAGCACTTTGGGAGGCCGAGGCAGGCGGATCACAAGGTCAGGAGATCAAGACCATCCTGGCTAACACGGTGAAACCCCGTCTCTACTAAAAATAAAAAAAATAGGCGGGGCACAGTGGCTCACGCCTGTAATCCCAGCACTATGGGAGGCCGAGACAGGTGGATCACGAGGTCAGGAGATCGAGACCATCCTGGCTAACATGGTGAAACCTGTCTCTACTAAAAATACAAAAATATTAGCCAGGCGTGGTGGCGGGCGCCTGTAGTCCCAGCTACTCGGGAGGCTGAGGCAGGAGAATGGCGTGAACCCAGGAGGCGGAGCTTGCAGTGAGCCGAGATCGTGCCACTGCACTCCAGCCTGGGTGACAGAGTGAGACTCTGTCTCAAAAAAAAAAAAAAAAAAAAAAAAAAAAGTAAGGGGGCAGCTCGCACCATTAGGATGGCCACTATCAAAAAAAAAAAAAAAAAAAACCCAGAAAATAAGTATTGGTGAGGATGTGGAAAAATCGGAACCCTTGTGCACTGTTGGTAGGAATGTAAAATAGTGCAGGCACTATGTAAAACAGGATGGCAGTTCCTCAAAAACTTAAAAATAGAATTACCATATGATCCAAAAATTCCACTGTTGAGTATACATGCCAAAGAAAGCAGGGTCTTGAAGTGATATTTGTACACTGCGTTCGAAGCACTATCATTCACATTAACCAAAAAGTGGAAGCAAGCCAAGCATCCATCCACAGACAAGTACATAAACAAAATGTGGTGGATTCATACAATGGAATAGTATTGAGGACAACATTTCTACTAAGTGAAATGAGCTAATCACAAAAGAACAAATACCGCGTTATTCCACTTATATGAGGTGCCTAGACTCATCAAATTCACAAAGACAGAAAGTAACATGGTGGTTGCCAGGGGCCATGCAGTGGGGAGGGGATGGGGACACAGTTTCAGTTTTGCAAGATGAAAAGAGTCCTGGAGATAGATGATGGGGATGGCTGCACAACACTGTGAATGTATTTAACACTACTAACTGTACACTTAAAATGGTTAAAATAGTTTATTTTATTTTATTTTATTTTATTTTGAGATGGAGTCTAGCTCTGTTGCCCAGGCTGGGGGCAATGGCATGATCTCGGCTTACTGCAACCTCTGCCTCCCAGGTTCAAGCAATTCTCCTGCTTCAGCCTCCCAAGTAGCTGGGATTACAGGTGCCCATGACCACGCCCGGCTAATTTTTTTGTATTTTTAGTAGAGACAGGGTTTCACCATGTTGACCAGGCTGGTTTTGAACTCCTGACCTCAAGTGACCTGCTGGCCTCGGCCTCCCAAAGTGCTAAGATTACAGGCGTGAGCCACCACGCCCAGCCAAAATGGTAAATTTTATTATATGTGTTTTTCACCATAACTTTTATAAAAAACCTAAGGAGAAATGTTGAAACTACCAAGGAGAAGGTGTTATTGAGAATAAACTCCAACAGCCGAGACCTGTTGGTCCTCTTTGGTCAACTGGAGCAGGTGAGAGGGGATGCCCTGACCTCAAGCCTCTCCTCTCCAATTGTTTCAAGGTTTGCTTCTGTGAAAAGGAAAATGGAAGTTTACTTAAACCCCGGCATGTGTTTTATTTTGTCCTAATTGTGTAGCCAGGCATTCACTGTTCTCATTAGTTCTGCCAAGTCAGCACCAGAGGCTGGCGAGGTGGCCGTGGAGATGAACGAGTCCTTCCAGATGGCAGAGAGCGGTGTGAGGCTGAGGCTTGTCATAGTGATATGCAATGCCCCTGAACTCTGAAGCTGAGAACTTCCTTTGGGAAGCTGGGTGACCATCTGCGAACACTTCCACCCCAAACATCATCATCAGTGGTTTTACGATGATGTTTGAGTTCCTAGTGTAGCAGTTAAATTTTACAGCAAAAGCTATAATGCTCCTTTATACTTTGTTAAATTATCTTTGGACAAAGAGTTATGGGAGAAGGTGAAGAATGAAGAATTCCTTTCTGAAACACAATAAAAAGAGTGGATCAATGTTTTTCGGTAGCTCCTGGGGCCGTCTTCCCCTGACAATGTTTCTCAACGCTGAAACACACACATGGTCTTGCAGAGCCAGCCTCTGAGCGAGGAAAAGCTTGGCACCCCCATGTCCTGAGTGGGCTCAAGTTCAGGTTTCCAAGGCCATGGTGCCCAAGCTACAGGCAGCCAAAGTTTCAGATGTTACCATAGCTAATTGTAATTTACTCAGCTTCATCCTCACAAAGCTGAGGACATTAACACTGTAGTTAGCACCATTTTCCAGCAGGGGAACTGGGGTTTAGACACAGAGTTAGGTTTTGCTCAAGGTCATGCAGCAAGTAAACGTGAAAAATGAGGTTTGAACCCAGGCAATCTGGGTTTAGAGGCTGAAGACTTTACTACATGCAGCTTGGGCTCTGGTGGCAGAGATGTCAACGCCATCAGAACAATACAGAACTCATGAAAGCTCCAGTTCCAGATAGGATGTTGAGGACACCACAATGTCAGAAGGTGTCACACTGGTTTTGTTTTTAAATCAAGAAGGTGCTAAAAGGAGGCAATCAGATAATAGGAGAAAAAAAGTCACTACTGGGTTGGGGCACATGCATGAGCCTGCAGGGACAGGAAGGAGGGAGGGTAAGGTATCTCCACCAGACCCTCAACTCACCCTCTCCCTCCTCCTGGGTTCAAGTGATTCTCCTGCCTCAGCCTCCCAAGTAGCTGGGATTACAGGCGCCCACCACTACGCCCAGCTAAGTTTTGTATTTTTAGTAGAGACGGTTTCATCATGTTGGTTGGTCAGGCTGGTCTTGAACTCCTGACCTCAGGTGATCCACCTGCCTCGGCCTCCCAAAGTGCTGGGATTATAGGCGTGAGCCACCGCACCAGGCTTCCAGTCCCTTCTTTTGGCCTCTAGTTATAAAGGTAATTGTAACCATGAAATATCCAGGATATAAGTTCCCTTTGCCCACTGGTACTTTCGACTTGGTTTATCCACGTTTTCGTGCACTCTGTGTCTTCTTAGTCTATATCCTATGATAGTTATTCTACGATTCACACAATATCCATTCTCTCATTTCTTACGACCAAATTTAACTTCAACCTTTTCTAACTTTGTGATACCAGAAAATCAAAATGATTTATCTCTTTCCTTCTGTCTCCCAATAACGCGCACACATGCACGTGCGCACACACACACACACACGTACAATATAGTTTCTAGAAAATGTTCATCTAGCTCGGTTTTCTGGCCCTTAACCGAATGTGTGAGTAGTGTAAGGATGCATTTTCTTGATCCTGTGCTATGTTTAAAGCAATATGTCTCCATCTGATCAGGGTTATGTCTCTCTACAAATGCTGGATTTATGTAAATGCCACTCTGTCTCCAACCAGTACAGCACATGATTTAGCTGTCGTTCAGTGATGTTATTTTGGAGAACTGCATGAGCTCTAACTACAGAATTTAAGAAATTCTATATTAAAGGAGAAGAACCAGCATCAGTGCTGGCTTTTACAAAACTATTTATTTCAAAATAATTGGAGACCCACAGGGACTTGTAAAAATAAGAAATAGAGTTTGTTGAGCCCTCCCTCACCTTACTTCCTCCAGTGGTGACATCTTTTATAACTCTATTGCAACATGAGAGCCAAGGACCAAGAAATTAACACTGCTACATTACACTGCAACCTTACTCAGTTTTCACTTATTTTTACCCTGCATTAATTTGTGTGTGTGTGTGTGTGTGTGTGTGTGTGTGTGTGTATAGTTTTATGCAATTTTACCCTATGTGTAGATTTATGTAATGTCAGGATCAGGATACGGAACCATTCTATCATCTCTGGGGAACTATCTCATACCCATCCTATCCAGGCTCACCCATCCACCCACCCGTCCCTAACAGCAACCACTAACCTGTTCTCTATCTCTATAGTTTTGTCATTTTGAGGATGTTTTGAAATGAACTTGTACAATATTTTTTAAAAAAACCATTTCAAATTGGCTGTTTTTACTAAGTAAAATGAATGCCCTTAATATCCATCCAAGCTACTGCATGCATCAATAGTTTTCATTGCTGAGTAATATTTTCTTTTATGGATGAACCAGTTTGTTCAACTCTTCACCCTTTGAAGGACATTTGGGTTGTTTCCACTGTTTGGTTATTATGAATAAAATCGCTGTGAGTGTACAAGTTTGTGTGTGAATATAACTTTCCATTTCACTACTGGGTTGTATTGTTAGTACATGCCTAGTTTGTTGTTCTCTTTTTGAGATGAAGTCTGGCTCTGTCGCTCAGGCTGGAGTGCAGTGGCACCATCTCGGCTCACTGCAACCTCCGCCTCCCAGGCTCAAGTAGTTCTCCTGCCTCAGCCTCCCGAGTAGCTAAGACTACATGTACTTGCCACCACACCTGGCTAATTTTTGTATTTTTAGTGGAGACAGGGTTTCACCATGTCGGCCAGGCTGGTCTTGAACTCTGACCTCAAGTGATCCACCCACCTCAGCCTCCCAAAGTGCTGGGATTACAGGCATGAGCCTCCACACCTGGTTGTACATGCCTAGTTTTTAAAGAAACTTATTTTCCAGAGTGGTTATACCATTTTCACACTTCCACTAGCTATGTGTGAGAATTCCAGTTTCTCAACATCCTTGCCAAGATTTCATGTTATGCCTATTTTTATATTTTAGCTATTTAAAAAACAATTTTTTTCTTTTCTTTTTTATTTTATTTTTTGCTCTGTGCCCAGGCTGGAGTGCAGTGGCATGATCTCCACTCACTGCAACCTCCGCCTCCCTCGTTCAAGTGATTCTCCTGCCTCAGCCTCCTAAGTAGCTGGAATTACAGGCATGTGCCACCACACTTGGCTAATTTTTTTGTATTTTAGTAGAGACAGGGTTTCGCCATGTTGGCCAGGCTGGTCTTGAACTCGTGACCTATATGATCAACCCACCTCGGCCTCCCAAACTTAGAATGGTTTCTTCATGTTGTTGCTAGTACATAAAAATACAATTGATTTTTCTGTGTTGATCTTGTATCTTCAAACTTTGCTATACTCACTTAGCTCTAGGAGTTTTCCTAGATTTCTGATAGGGTTTGGCTGTGTCCCCACCCAAATCTCACCTTGAATTGTAATAATCCCGACATGTCAAAGGCAGGGCCAAGTGGAGACAATTGAATCATGGGGGCGGTTTCCCCCATACTGTTCTTGTGGTAGTGAATAAGTCTCATGAGATTTGACGGTTTTATAAATGGGAGCTCCCCTGCACAAGCTCTCTTGCCTGCCTCCATGTAGGATGTGACTTTGCTCATTTGCCTTCTGCCACAATTGCGAGGCCTCCCAGCCATGTGGAACTGTGAGTTCATTAAACCTCTTTCCATTATAAATTACCCAATCTTGAGTATGTCTTTATTAGCAGCAGGAGAACAGACTAATACAGTATCTTACTTAGCATTTTTTACCTAATCAGGTCATCTGAAAATATGGACAGTTTTATTTCTTCCTTTTTGAGCTGTATGCTTTTTATTTTCTTTTCTTGCCTTATTTTACTGACTGAAAACTTGACAGGACACATCCTTATCTTGTTCCATATCTTACAAGAAAAACGTGAGCTTTCACCATTGAGATGATGTCAACTGTAGGATTTTCTGTAGATGATCTTACTCAAGTTTAGGAGGTTCCCCTTCATACCTAGTTTGCTGAGGGTTTTTATCATAAAATGATAAAGACAAATAAAACAAATACAATAAAAAAACAAATAAAAATAAACTGTCTTTATTGTTGCCAGTCTTGAGATAATTTTGTCATTTTTACTGATATTTTCAAAGAGCCAGCTTTTTCTTTGATTTCTGCTCTTCTCTTTGTTATTTTTTCCTTCTTTTCCTGGTTTCCTGGGGTGGGTGCTTAATTTTTGACCTTAGGATCTTTCTTCTTTCCTAATATAAGCATTTGGTGCTGTAAATTTCCCTCTGTGCAGTGCTTTAGCTGCATGTCACAAATTTCGATGTGATGTGTTTTCGTTTCATGCAGCTATGGGCACTTTTATTTTTCTAACTGACTTTTTAAGCCATTTTAAAGTATACAATTCAGTGGTATTAGTGCATTCAAAATGTCATGTTAGGCCAGGCGTGGTGGCTCACGCCTGTAATCCCAGCACTTTGGGAGGCCGAGGTGGGTGGATCACGAGGTCAAGACATCAAGACCATCCTGGGCAACATGGTGAAACTTCGTCTCTACTAAAAATACAAAAATTAGCCAGCCATGGTGGTGCATGCCTGTAGTCCCAGCTACTCGGGAGGCTGAGGCAGGAGAATTGCTTGAACCTGAGAGGCGGAGGTTGCAGTGAGCCAAGATCTCACCACTGCACTCCAGCCTGGTGACAGAGCAAGACTCCATCTAAAAAAAAAAAAAAAAAAAAGTCATGTTACCATTACCAGTATCCATCTCCAGAATTTTTTTCATTATCTCAAACTGAAACTCTATCCATTAAATGGTAAGTCCTTATTCCCCGTTTTGCTAGTTCCTGGTAACCTCTATTCTACTGTCTGTCTATACATTTGCCAGTCCTAGGTGCTTCATACAAGTGAAATCATACACTTTGCCTTTTTGAGTCTGGCTTATTTCACTTTGCACATGTTTTCAAGGTTCATCACATGTGGTAGCATATGTCAAAATTTCCTTCTTTTTTAAGACTGGATAATAATTCAGTTCATCGTATGTATGTGCCATATTTCATTTATTCATCCATCCATTGGTGGGCTCTTGGGTTCTTTTCACCTATTGTGAATAATGCTGCTGTGAACAGCAATGAACAACTACCTATATTTCTGCTTTCCATTCCGTGTAAGTATATACCCAGAAGTTAGATGACTGGATTGTAAGGTAATTCTATGTTTAACTTTTTGCACAACTCAAACTGTTTTCCACAGTGACTGCATCATTTTACATTCCTACCAGCAGTGCACAAGGGTTAAATTTCTTCACATCCTCACCAACACTTGTCATTTTCAATTTGGGAGGATAATAAGTCATCCTAATGGGTATGAAGTAATATTACATTTTGATCTGCATTTCTCTAGTAATAATGTTTAACATCTTTGATGTGTTTATTGGCCATTTGTACAGCTCCTTTGGAGAAATGTCTATTCATGTCCTTTGCCCATTTTTAAATTGAGTTGCTTGTGGTTTGTTACTATTGTTGTTGAGTTGTAGGAGTTCTTTATATATTCAGGAAATTATTCTATGTGATCTTACTCTCTTTACATTTGTGAAGGTTTGTTTTTTATGATCCAGGTTTTCATCTATCTTAAATGTTCCACGGTGCTTGAAAAGAATGTATACTATGCTGTTGTCACTTAGAATATTCTATCGATGTCCATTAGATCATGTTGATTGATGGTGATGTTCAGTTCATCTGTATCTTTGCTGATTTTCTATCTAATATTTCTATCAATTGCTGACAGAGGGGAATTCAAGTACCCAACCATAATTGGGGAATCGTCTAGTTCTTTTTTCAGTTCTGTTTTTACTTCATGCATTTTGATGTTCTGTCCTTTGGTGTTTGGTACATGCACATTTAAGATCACTGTGTGTTTTTGGATGGTTGCATCTTTATTTATTTATTTAAGACAGATCCTCACTCTGTCATCCAGGCTGGAGTGCAGTGGCACCATCTTGACTCACTGCAACCTCTACCTCCTGGGTTTGAGTGATTCTCCTGCCTCAGCCTCCCAAGTAGCTGGGATTACAAGTGGGCGCCAACACACCCGGCTAATTTTTGTAATTTTAGTAGAGACAGCATTTCACCGTGTTGGCCAGGCTGGTCTTGAACTCCTGACCTCAAGTGCTCTACCCGCCTCGGCCTCCCAGAGTGCTGGGATTAGATGTGTAATCCACTATGCCCGGCCAGGTTGCATCTTTTTATCATTATGTAATGTCCCTGGTAATTTTCTCTTGGAAGTCTACTATATCTGTTATGAAGCCACTCCAGTTGGCATGGCATATCTTTTCCATCCTTTTATATTCAATCTACTTATGTCATTATAGTGAGTTTCTTAGGTGCATCACATAGATGGGTCATTTTTTAATCCATTCTTCCAATCTCTGTTTTTCAGTTCGTCACTAATTATATTTTACAGAGATCATTTATATTAAAAATAATTATTAATCGATTAGGGCTCAAGTCTACCATTTTATTATTGATCTCCTGTGTGTTGTCTCCAGTTCTTGTTCCTTTGTGTACCTCTTCTTGATTTCTTGTGGATTACCTGAATGTTATTTAGAATTTCATTTTGATTTGTTCATAATGTTTTTTATTCATTTGAATAATTTTCTTAGTGTTTGCTCTAGGTATACCAAAATATATGAAGCATATCGCAGTCTACTAGTATTGACATTTACCATAGTCAAGTGTAGAAACTTTACTTCCCTTTATTTCCCTTTGCCCTCTCCAATTTTTAAATATCGTTTTAAGTACTTCTATATACACTGAGTACCATACCAGATGGCATTATAATGTTTGTTTTAACCATCAAATATAATTGCATAAGGAGAAGGATAGTCTATTACGTTTGCCCTTTTTACTTATTCTATTGTTTTTTTCTTTCATTCTGTATTTCCTTTCCTCTTTCTGTCATCTCCATCTGCTATCACTTGCATTTTGTTTCTTTAGCTGTTCTTTAAAAGTAGATTTGGCTGGGCATGGTGGCTCATGCCTGTAATCCCAGCACTTCAGGAGGCCAAAGCAGGTGGATCACTTGGGGCCAGGAATTCGAGACCAGCCTGGCCAACATGGTGAAACCCCATCTCTACTAAAAATACAAAAATTGGCGGGGCATGGTAGTGCACACCTGTAATCCCAGCTACTCGGGAGGCTGAGGCAGCAGAACGCTTGAACCCAGGAGGCGGAGGGTGCAGTGAGCCGAGAGCATGCCACCGCACTCCGGCCCGGGTGACACAATGAGACCCTGTCTCAAAAATTAAAATAAATAAATAAATAAAATTTTTAAAAAGAGTAAATCTGATGGCAACAAATTCTATTCCTTTGTCTGCGAATGTCTTTATCCTTCAGAAATAAATGGTACTTTCACTAGTTTTAGGACATAGGGTTTATAATTCTTTATTTTTCAGCCCTTGAAAAATGCTGGGCTACTTCCTCCTGGTCTCCATGGTTTCAGATGATGAACATTCTGTCATTCAAATCATTGTTCCCCTGTAACTAATTCATCGTTTCTTTCTAGCTGCTTTCAATTGTGTTTTTTGGGGATTTTTGTCTTCAGTTTTCAGAAGTTTTATTATAATGTATCTTGATGTGGATTCTTTTGGTTTTATTCTGTTTGAGATTCACTTAGCTTTTTGAATCTAAGTTTATGCCTTGCACCAAAGTTGGGGAATTTTCAGCCATTATTTCTTCTGGCGCCTTTTCAGCTTCACAAATTTTCTCCTATCCTGGAACTCTGATGACATAAACGCTAGTTCTTTTGTCATTGTCCTGCAGGTTATGAGACTTTGTTCATTTTTTTCCCCCAGGCTATTTTCTCTATTTATTTATTTACTTAGTTTTTGAGACACAGTCTTGCTCTGTCACCCAGGCTGGAGTGCAGTGGCATGATCTCAGCTCACTGCTACCTCCACCTCCCGGGTTCAAGTGATTCTCCTGCCTCAGCCTCCCGAGTAGTTGGGATTACAGGTGCTCACCACCACGCTAATTTTTGTATTTTTAGTACAGACGGGATTTCACCATGTTGGCCAGGCTGATCTCGAACTCCTCACTTCAGGTGATCCCCCGCCTCGGCCTCTCAAAATGGTGGCATTACAGGCATAAGCCTGTATTATTTAGATTGAGTAAATTTTATTTCTCTATTCTCACATTCACTAATTTTATTCTCCGTCATCTCTAAGCTAGTACGGAGCTCATTCAGCAAACTGTTTCTTTCAGTTCCTGTATTTTTAGTTCTATGATTTTCATTTAGTTCCTTTTTTACATCTTCTATTTCTTTGCTGAGACTTTCTATGTTTACTTGTTTCAGGAGTATTTGTAATTGCTTGTTGAAACTTTTTGTGATGGCGGCTTTGAAATCTTCATCAGCAAATTTCAACTGCTGAATCATCTTCATGTGTGCTTTTGTTTGTGGTCTGTGGCCATTCAAGTTATTTTCTGGGTTCCTGGCATGACAAGCGGTCTTTGATTGTATCTTGGAGACTTTGGGTACTATGTTAGAAGACTCAGGGTCTGTCTTCTTTAAAGTTTCCATTTTAGCAGGCAGTTTCCCCGTTTAGACTTAGGATGCAAGTCCCTTAGGCTGCGGGTCCAATGACGACTGAGTTTTCAGAGCCCCTGTAGTGCTACTGTAGTCAAGTTTGTTAGTGTGCCACCTGCGGGGCACTCTGCAATGCGTATGTACATCTGCATGTGTGAAACTTTCACACTGGTCCAGTTCTAATCTTTTGATGTGTTGAACTGGTCAGTTTTTACCTTTGGGTTGATCAGCTGTCTGCGCCAGACCTTCTAGGCAGGGCTTAAAGAATCATTTTCTCCAGCTTTTTCCTATCTGAGATCCTCTTCCCCATGTCTAGCTGGGGGTGGGGACAGAAGTCCAGACTCCCCACTCCATCTCTGTGGACACCATGCCAGTAGGGAAGGAACTTGCTGCCAACAGCTGCCAACAACTTGCTGCCAACAGCTGCCACCTGGCCCTGGTGGATGGGAGTGGGAGTCCACACCCCCTCCCTGGCCTCTGCTGATGGCACCAGCCCAGGCTGCCTGCTGCTGCTGGGCGGGGCATAGGAGTCTAGACTCTCCTTTGAGACTTCACTGCAGTGCTGGAGTTGCTAAGGTGTGCACTTAGCTGGAGGTAAAGTGGATATTATCAAAAAGGACTTCCGTCCTGTGGGCTGCCCATTTCCCTGTCTCTGCTAGATAAATAAGGTTTTTCTTCAAGCTTTATTTTCCATCTGTGCCTTATGGTGGTTCTGGATTGCAGGCTTCTCTAGCACCCAGTCCAGAATATAGCAAAGATAAAAAGAAAACCCAGAGTGTCGCCACCACCTCAGTCCTCAAGTCTTGAGTTCTCGAACCAGGCTGCCTGCCTCTTTTTACTTTTCCAAGGGTCCTTATGATTATCCATTAAATTATTTCCAGGGTTTTTAGTTTTACTTAACAAAAAGGAGCAGAGGGAAGTGAATCTACTTGTCTAGGACCAGAAAGCCAGCTGCTTTTTTATGCTGTCTTTTATTTTGTAGCTAGAAACTCCTGGATTTTTTTCCTCAGAATGTTGGAGTCAATGTTTCTTTTATTTTCAAATACAGAAATGTCTTATAACCTGTTTACTAAAATGATAAAGAATCAGGTTAACAGAGGCCAGGCACGGTGGCTCATGCCTGTAATCCCAACACTTTGGGAAGCTGAGGCAGGTGGATCACCTCACATCAGGAGTTCAAGACCAGCCTGGTCAACATGGCAAAACTCTGTTTCTACTAAAAAAAATGCAAAAATTAGCTAGGCATGGTGGTAGGCACCTGTAATCCCAGCTACTCACAAGGCTGAAGCAGGGAGAATTGCTTCAACCCAGGAGGCAGAGGTTGCAGTGAGCCGAGATCCCACCACTGCACTCCAGCCTGGGCAGGTCCCAAGAGCAAGCCGCAAAGGTCCCTGGCAAGTCTCAGCCCGTGGCTGGATCCTCCCTCTGCTGCCTCTACCTGTTGGTTTTACATCAGGTTTCCCACCTGGTTTCTTCCTGGAAGCCCAGTCTTGCAGGGGGTACAGGTGATTTTGGACGGTAATGCAGAGAGACCAGCCACTCTCCACTGTGAGACAAGTTGCATGAGGATGAGGCTTCAGAGGTCTGGCCTGACCTTGATTCAGGTGCGATGTCAGGAAGGAAACAAACGTTGGCATTAGGATTGCATCCAGCATGAATGAATTGTGATTGCTGAATGAGTAAACTTTTAGTTGGAGGAACATTTCCACTCCAAACTCCCGTGGGAGTAAGTTCTTCAGAAACTGCCTTCAGTGTGCCCCAGGATTCTGTGAAAGTGCAGAGACTGGCACCACCAACTGTCAGCCTTCTCCAGGGCAGGATGACAACATGTGTCAGGTCCCACTGAATTGCCCAAAAGGCTGAATAAGCACATGTACCAGCTTTCCAAGGTCCCCGAGGCTTCAGGGAGAGGGAGGGGTTGGAGGAAATATTGATTCCAACTTTTGAAAGAAAAGAAAATCAACATTAACATCCATAGATCTATAAGATGTATTTTATGTCAAATAATCCATTGTAATTCAATTTACATGTAGGAATATAAAATTGCATTTGATGTTGGGGGGGGCGGGCATTGAAATGTATTTGGTATGACATGGAGTGGAGCCTTCAGTGTTTTTAAAAGGGCCCAGCTGAACCAGGAAAGGAGGGACAAAAATAGAAGGGTGGGGAGGGAAAAGATCAGCTTCAATCAGTTCATGCACAATTTTGCAATCAGAAATGTCAGAAGGAAACTATTTTAGTGTCCACACACTTAAGTTTTGTGAAATGGGGTGAGGGGGCCGGGCACGGTGGCTCACGCCTGTAATCCCAGCACTTTGGGAGGCCGATGTGGGAGGATCACCTGAGCTCGGGAGTTCAACACCAGCCTGGCCAAAATGGTGAAACTGTCTCTACTAAAAATACAAGAATTCACTGGGCGTGGTGACGGGTGCCTGTAATCCCAGCTACTCGGGAGGCTGAGGCGAGAGAATCGCTTGAACCCGGGAGGCGAAGGTTGCAGTGAGTCGAGATCGTGCCTCTGCACTCCAGCCTGGGTGGAGACTTCATCTCAAAAAAAAGAAAAAGAAAAAACGGGGTGGGGGTTTCATGAGGGGCTCACTGCTCGGGGTCTTACCTGGGTTCTGCCAGTGGTGGGGCTGTTACTTTCCACTGGCAGCCACACCAAGCTGGCCACACCTGGCACCTCTGGTGTGGTGGCTGGGGATGCCCTGGAGACGAGGTCTTCAGATGCCCCTTCATGTGCACCAGATGCCAAGTGCCTGCTGTAGGGGAGGGTGGCGGAGACCCTAAGGTTCGGTGTGCAGGAGGATTAGCCGGTTTGCCAGACAAGCTTAGAGCATGTCTTTACCCCACTTGCCCTGTGGGGTAAGGGTAAGAACTGTCACCCTTTGGTGCTGGCTCCTGTGCCAGGACCCCCTCCCAGGACAAGTGCACACGATCCCCTCCCAGCAGAGCTTGGATATAGCCCTGCAACTTGCAGTAGGCTCCGCCCACCTCTTCCCTACAACCCCCACTCCTGTTTGGGGCTGTAAAAGTAGAAAAAAACTCCCATAAAACCCAAAATGCTTTTTCTACTCTCACCCCACAAAAATCAACACAGAAGACTTCTATGGCCAAATGTGCAGGGATTTCTCCCCAAAAATAAACAAGCAATCGGTTCTGCAGTGGACACCAGCTGGGTATCCCCCAATTCAGTTCCAATACTGTCTACCTGGAGAGAGTATCAGATCCCAGAGGGTGAGGGCTCTGTGCCCAAGACTACCCCCCTTCCCAGCCCCGCTAGATACCAGCAACAAGTCCGGGGCCTCCAGAACTCCTGCCTGACTGGCTTCAAGTTGGGGTCCCCATGGCTCCTCTTTTGGTTTGATTAATTTGCTGGAGCAGCTCACATAACTCAGGGGAACACTTAACTTACCTTTAGTGGCTGATCACAAAGGACACAAATGAAGAGATGCACAGGGTGAGGCATGGAAGAGGGAGCACGAAGCTTCTACGCCCTCCCCAGGGACCACCCTCCAAGAAGCTCCCCGTGTTCAGCCATCCAAAAGCTCCTGCCATCCAGCCTCCCGAGTAGCTGGGACTACAGGCGCCTGCCACCACACCCGGCTATTCTTTGTATTTTTAGTAGAGACGGGGTTTCACCGTGTTAGCCAGGATGGTCTCAATCTCCTGACCTCATGATCTGCCCGCCTCGGCCTCCCAAAGTGCTGGTATTACAGGCATGAGCCACCGCACCCGGCCTCCTTAGGGTTTTTATGGAAGCTTCATGACTGATTAAACCACTGGCCATTGGTGATCAACTCAACCTCCACGTTGGGGGGTTGGGCTGAAAGTCCTAACCCTCTAATCCTGCCTAGGTGTTGCTCGTAACCAGCCCCAACCTTCCTAGGTGCTGCCAGCCAGCAGTCAGTTCATTCATGTGCAAAAAGACATCACTGTGTAGTTGCTAAGGATTTCAAGAGTCATGTGCCAGGAAACGGGGTTCACAATATCACAGGGGCCATGCTGGGTCTCCCATGAGCCTGAGACACCCAGCCTCGTCCATAGTGTGCTCAGGAGTCCTGCACTGTAGGGCGGGATGTGCACCCCGTGCATGGGACAGGGGACACAGAGGACACAGAGGAGCTCGGAAGTGTGGCAGGACTAGGCCACGATGACCCATTCTCCTGCCAAGGAATAGCGAGAGAAGGCTCCCCAGGGTGCAGCCACAGCACACCTAGGGGGTCCACGGAAACAGACCCCGTGTAGGCCTCTCCCTGTGAGTTCAGGTCATCTGAGACTGATCATTCAAGCCCCAGCCATGCGCTGTTGATGATGTGAGACCACAGCTTATCCAGGAATCAAAACAGAGGTGTCTGCTCCAGCCACCTGTGATTTATGGGCTTTAATTGCAGACCTGCTCCTGTCTTATAAAATCAGGATGGAGCCTCCACTGCTGAGGCAAGGAAAAGATTTGTCTAAAATATTGGCTGCTGTCGTCGATACTGGGACCTCTTGAGCCAGGTCCCTTCCACATTCTGATGAGGTAAGGCTGCTCTGGAAGAAAAAGCCCTCCAGAACATAAATCTATTTGACAACAAATGTCTCCTTCTCATGGCGAGCCAAATCCCCCTGTGCAGGAGCCAGAGATACAGACACAGAAAAAGAGGAGCTGGTTCAGTCTTCAAGGACAGAAAGAAAGAGAAACTCTGCCTGGTGCTAAAGCAGGCCCTCTTTGCAGCTCATTCCAAGCCTAAACCAGCTCCTGCAACTCTCACCAAAGCTGTAGCTCTTCACGGGGATGGAAAAGCAATCTCGTCGCGTGTGGCCATTGGGATGATTTTCTCCTCCCCTCATGCCTGCTGTGGACGAGGGGCGTTTCCTCACGTCGCAACTGTTGCTTTGGCCAATGGAACGTTAGCAGTTGAGGTGTGGGCAAAGTCCTGGAATGTGCTTGTGCGTACAGTTGGCTCAGCTCCTGGGCTCTGGCCCTTCACCATGAGAACACGTCCAGGTGCTGCTGATCAAAGGAGGAGGAACCCGTGGGGCACATCAGAGGCCGCCCTGCAGCTTAGAGCCCAGTGCAGCTGAGCCCAGTGGCCTGCACAGCTGTGCATGAAGAATGAACATTGGTTGCTACAAGCCACTGAAATTGTGAAGTTGTCTGCTACACAGCAATATTATGCCAGTAGTCCATCACCACATCCAGGACTTTAGAGAAGCAAGACCCTGATACGACGCTCCTGCCACCATCTCAGAATTATCTGAAAAACAACCCTGACACCAACATAATTTTTTCTCTCTCACAAATTCAAATTATATTATTCCCTCAGTCTGTGAGTCAGGGGTTATTTTATTTTTAAAGTTTGCTGCCTCCTCAGTATATGTAATTTGACCCTAATTTTGTAAGACATGAATATAGCTAAATATATTCCAGAGATGAGACTGAAATGCTCAAGATGGTGACAGCAGTATTTCTGGGTTGAGAGATTTAGAGTGACTTATGTTCCACCAAAAACATTTCTATATTTGTTCACATTTTCTATAATGTCATTATTTTATGATCAACTATATATACTTGATTTTTGAACAGATAAAGCTTAACATAAACATGGTTTAAACATAAAGTTTACTCCCCAGAAACTTTGTTCAGAATGTCAAAAACACAGGACAGGAAGATAAGTAAATCCTCATACAGCAGAGTCACTGTTCACCCTGGGAAGGGAGGTAACTGCCAGAAACCCAAACAAAGGGATCCTCAGATGCTGTTGGCCTCTTCTGCTTAGGAACTGATGTCAGAAAATATTTGTCCTTGAGAAAGCCAGCCCCTGATTAAATGTTACTATGCTCTGATACAATGTCAGTAAATCATTTCCAAAACCCCAAACACTGAAATAGTAGGGGGTGGCAATGACCACTTGGGTGATTTCTCACCTGGGAGGACATCATAAAGGTAAAGATGAGCACTGGGGTACAAATGTGCTTGCAATGGGGACATATGCAGTGAGCAGAGAGTGGGGCACACACCTCCCTAGACTCATTTCTCAGAAACACATCAGGTCACCCACTTTCTCTCCAAAAGCAGAAGTCAGATTGAGCTCATGTTCCCTTGTCCATGAATAACTGGATGTGTGAGGTTATGACAGATTTAGAACCTGCCAAAATCAGAGTGAGTGAGAGAGTGAGTGTCCTTCCTGGGCTAGAACATACTCTACTTCTCTGAAGTTGAACAAGATGGAAATTTCATAACCTCAAGGGACAGAGAGAACACTGCCCACTGCAGATGGTAATATTCAGGGGCATCCTCCAGGGTTCCTCAGGTGGGCAGAACCAGAATGGGTCATGGGATGAGAGATCTATTACGGGAACGAGACCTTGCCAGTTGCAGGAGGAGCTAGAGAAGAGAAGGTATGAGAGGGAAGTGTGCAGAGCGGAGGAGTCACCAACTAGCTGGTCTGAGAAATCAAGCTCGTCGCACTGCCAACGCTGGTCCATGAAAGCAGAGGAGACATCTACAGCAAGCTATTTCTTCAGCCAAGCACCTGAAGATGGTCGGAGTTATTGTTGGCCAGGAGGATGCCCCACAGTGAAGAAGACCAAATGGACATGGAGTACAAGGACACGCAGGAGGCTGTGGCACCTCCAAGTGTGTCTGTCACTGCACCTAACTGCGTTGACCTTCAGAGGGTAATGGCTGCTGCCTGCTGATCAGAATTGGCTCAGTCCTTTCTGCAAGGAAGGAAGGGGAAAGGGAAATCAAAAGGAATCTGGCCTTGTCAGTTTCTATGGCGAGGCTCTGCCAGCAAAAAACAGTGGCTATGGGCCAGGCAGCCCAGAGTGCCTGCTGCAGGGCCAGCTCTTCCAGCTAAGGGCTTCTCCACCTCGGCACTGCTGATGTTTCCAGCCCAGTGATCCTTGGTGGTGGGGGTTTATCCTGAACACCACTGGTCTCTATCCACAGGATTCCAAGGGCATAGTCCCTGCAAGTCATAACCAAAACCATCTCCAGACATTGCCAAATGTCCCCAGAGTGGTGGCAGACAAAACCCTGCCAGCTGAGAACCACTGTTTTACCTTCTGCATCTCAGAGTGCTGAATCAAGGTTTAAGAACATAATGAAGCTTATTCAGTCACATTGTGCTCACTAAAAACATTGTTTTAAAAAGTTTTAGTGAGAATAGAAAGGATTTCTGTGCAATTAATAAAAAACAAAGGGCTGGGTGTGGTGGTTCACACCTGTAATCCCAGCAGTTTAGGAGGCTGAAGCAGGAGGATCCCTTCAGGCCAGGAGTTTGAGACTAGCCTAGGTAACATAGCAAGACCCCATCTCTACAAAAGTTTAAAAATTAGCCGGGCGTGGCTGTTGCCTAGCAAGTAAATAAATCCAGTGTTCTATTTTTCTATCACTGTGGCATTCATTGCCTTTCCTTTAACAATTCTGGAGATTCCACTAAGATTGCCTTGTCGATTCTCCTTGTCTGGAGCAGTGGACAGCCCAATCTGAGGAGTGTGAGCCCTCAGCTCAAAGGGCTGAGCCCACGGTCAGGGGCTCTGCTGCTTTTTGTGGTGAGTCACTCAACAGCAATAATGCCTTTCTTGTTTGTGGAGTTATAACCTGAATCCTGGTCAGCAGTTTCCAATGCATGACTCAGTGTGAGACTTTGTTGGGATGCTAAAGTGATTTGTTGAGTTTTCAACCTTGATTTGTAACTTATCTATTAACTCTCTTTTGAAAGAAATCTTTGTCGTGGAGGAGTAAATAAGCTACTGAGCATCTGCAGAGTCCCACGGCTCTCTAAATTTCTGCCTATTCCATTTATAGTCTGCACTTCTTGTTCAAATGCATGTTGGGTCGTGGAGACCAATGCTGTCCAGAAAAAAACTGGCCGAGTCTTGACTCAATCTGAAAGTCTCTCTGTTACACAAAATTGTCATTTGCCATACTTATCATAATTATCTGTCGGTTTGTCTCTCTGTTTCTTGTCCTAAAAGTTCTGCCGAAAGTTTGTGATTGAAGCATTTATGCAAAAGTCAGACGTAACAATTAAAATGGTAAATTTTATGTTACATATATTTTATCACAATAAAAAATAAGTCAAATGCTGGCTGTACAAACTAAAAGTAAAGAGTGAGACATAGACTTACGGGAGGCAGCTAGAGCAGTTCTTACAGATAAATTTATAATTGTAAATACTTATAATAACAAAGAAAAAAGATCTCAAATCAACAACTTAACCTTCCACAGTAAGACACTGTGAAAGAACAGCAAGCTAAACCCAAAGCAAGCATAAGAAAGGAAATAAGAAGAATTAGAGAGGAATTTAATGAAATAACAATTAGAAAAACAATAGAGAAAATCAACAAAATCAAAAGTTGGTTTTTGTTTGCTTTTTTTTTTTTTTTTTGAGACGAAGTCTCACTCTTGTCACCCAGGCTGGAGTGCAATGGCATAATCTCGGCTCACTGCAACCTCTACCTCCCAGGTTCAAGCGATTCTCCTGCCTCAGCCTCCTGAGTAGCTGGGATTACAGGTGCGCACCACCACGCCCAGCTAATTTTTGTATTTTTAGTAGAGATGGGGTTTCACCACGTTGGCCAGGCTGGTCATGAACTCCTGACGTCAGGCAGTCTGCCCGCCTTGGCCTCCCAAAGTGCTGTGATTACAGGTGTGAGCCACCACGCCCAGCCAGAAGTTGGTTCTTGTAAAAGATCAACAAAGTTGGCCAACCTTTACCTAGGCTGACTGACAGAAAAGAGAGAGAAATCAAATTACTAAAATCAGAAATGAATGAGAAGCCATTGCCACCAACTTACAGAAATAAAAAAGAATTGTGAGGAAATACTATGGACATCTGTATGCCAACAAATTAGATGACTTAGGTGAAATGGACAAATTCCTAGAAAGACACAAACTCCAAAACTGATTCTAGGGAAACATAGAAGATATAAATAGTCATAGAAAAGAGATTGAATTAGTAATAAAAGAAAAAATCTAGGCCAGGTACAGTGGTATAAGCTTGTAATCCCAGCACTTTGGAAGGCTGAGGTGGGTGGATGGTCTGAGCTCAGAAGTTTGAGACTAGCCTGGGCAACATGGTGAAACCCCATCTCTACAAATACAAAAAATAAAAATTAGCCAGGTTCAGTGGTGTGTGCCTGTAGACCCAGCTACTCTGGGAGATGGAGGTGGAAAGATTGCTTGAGCCCAGGAGGTCAAGGCTGCAGTGAGACTGCACTCCAGTCTGGGCAACAGAGTGAGGGCCTGTCTCAAACAAAACAAAACAAAACAAAACAAAAAAACCAAAAAGAAAAGAAAAGAAAAAAGATTCCCACAAAGAAAAGCACAGCACTGAGGAATTCTACCAAACATTTACTAAAGAATTATACTGATCTTTCACAAAATCTTCCAAAAAATACAACAGAAGCCAACACTTTCCAACTCTTCCTATGAGCCTGATAATAGCCCAATACCAAAAACAAAGATATCACAAGAAGAGAAAACTACAGACCAGTATCTCTTATGAGTACAGATGCAAAAATTCTGAACAAATTACTACCAAATTGAATCCAGCAATGTGTAAAAAGGATTTACACCATAATCAAGTGGGATTTATCCCAGGAATGGAAAGTTGGCTTAATATCTAACAATAGATTATTTTAATACACCATGCCTTTACAATAAAGGAAAAAACACACAACAATCTTAATAGATGCAAAAAAGCACTTGGTAAAATTTAATACTCTTTCATAATTTAAAAAAGTCACTTTTAAAAACTAGCAATAGAAGTTCCTAAGCCTGATAAAAAGCATCTATGAAAAACTTACAGCTAATATCATACTTAGTAGAGAGACTGCCTACTTTTCCCCTAAGATCAAGATGTCTGTTCTTGCCACCTCTACTCAATATTATACCGGAAGTTCTAGCCAGCGAAATTAGGCAAGAAAATGAAACAAAAGTCATCAAAATTGGAAAGGAAAAAATAAAACCATCACTATTTGTAGATTATCTAATCCTGTCTTTACAAAATCCTAAGGGGTCTAAGAAAAAAATTAATATTAGAACTAATAAATGAGTTCAGCCAAGTTTCAGGATACAAGATCAATATCAAAAAATCAGTTGTATTTCTATACATTAGCATGCACAATCAAAAAATGAAAGTAGAAAAACAGGCTGGGCACGGTGGCTCACGCCTGTAATCCCAGCACTTTGCAAGGCTAAGGTGGGCAGATCACTTGAGGTCAGGAGTTCCACATCAGCCTGGCCAACATGGTGAAACCCTGTCTCTAAAAAAAGCACAAAAATTAGCCGGGCATGGTGGTGCGCACCTGTAGTCCCAGCTACTCAGAAGGCTGAGGCACAAGAATCTCTTGAACACGGGAGGCAGAGGTTGGAGTGAGCCAAGATTGCGCCACTGCACTCCACCCTGGGCAACAGAGTAAGACTCTGTCTCAAAAAAAAAAAAAAAAAGAAAGAAATTAGAAAAACAAATTCATTTACGAGATCATTAAAAGGAATAAAATACCTAGGAGTAAATTTGACAAAAGAAGTGCATAACTTATGCTCTGAATACCACAAAATGTTGTTGAAAGAGATTAAAGAAACTCTAAATATATGCAAAAACATATCCCATGTTCATGTATTCAAAGACTTAATAATGTTAACATGGCAATATTACCCAAATTGATCTACAAAATTAAAGCAATTCCTATCAAAATCCCAGCTGACTTATTTGCAAAAATTGACAAGCTGATTCTAAAATTCATATAGGAACTCATGGACCCAAAATAGTAAAAAAGAAAACATTTTGGAAAAGAAGAACAAATCTGTAGCACTTAAAATTCCCAATTTCATAACTTAATGCAAAGTTAACAATAATCAAGACAGCGTGGTATTGGCATAAGGATAGATATATAGATCAGTGGAATAGAATTAAGAATCTAGAAATGAACCTGTGCATCTCTATATTCAACTGATTTTCATTAATGGTGCCAAAACCATTCAATAGGGGGGAGAGAATAATCTTTTCAACTGGGTGTGGGGAATAACAATTATATATATACATATATATATACACACACACATATATATACTGTATATACACATATATACATATATACACATATATATCATATATACATATATACACATATATATCATATGTACATATATACACATATATATACTATATACTATATATATACTATATATATAGTGTATATGTATACATACATACATACTATATATTTTTTTGAGACGGTGTTTTGCTCTGTCCCCAGGCTGAAGTGCAGTGGCACGATCTCGGCTCACTGCAACCTCTGCCTCCCAGGTTCAAGCGATTCTTCTGCCTCAGACTGCCAAGTAGCTGGGACTGTAGGCACACGCCACGACACACGGCTAATTTTTTGTATTTTTAGTAGAGATGGGATTTCACCATGCTGGCCAGGATGATCTCGATCTCTTGACCTTGTGATCCACCCGCCTTGGCCTCCCAAAGTGCAGGGATTACAGGCATGAGCCATCGCGCCTGGCCAATAATATTCTTTTCAACAAATGGTGCTGGGACAACTGGATGTCTACATGCAAAAGAATTAAATTGAACCCCTACCTCATTCCACATGCAAAACTGAAAGGCAAGTAAAAACGAATTAAAGACCTAAACGTAAGAGCTAAAACTACGGAATTCTTAGAAGAACACATAGACTTAAATCTTCACAACCTTGGATTAAGCAACATTTTCTTAGAGATGACACCAAAAGCACAAGAAGCAAAACCAAAAGTAGATAAATTGGACTTCACTAAAACTAAAATTTCTGTATTTCAAAGGACAACATTAAGGTAGTTAAAATACAAGCACAGAATGGGAGAAAATATTTGCAAATTATCCTATCAACTCAACAATAAAAACACAAATAACACGACTGAAAAGTGGACAAAGGATTAGAATAGATAGACATTTCTCCCACTATACAAATGGACCAATAAGCACACAAAAAGATGTTCAACATCATTAGCCACCAGGGAAATGCAAATCTAAACCACATGAGACGGCACTTCACATCCAACAGAAAATCTAGACTCGAAAATACAAGTGATAACAAGCATCAAAAAAGACATGAAGAGGCTGGGCACAGTGGCTCACGCCTGTAATCCCAGCACTTTGGGAGGCGGAAGCAGGTGGATCATGAGGTCAGGAGATTGAGACCATCCTGGCTAACACGGTGAAACCCCATCTCTACTGAAAATACAAAAAATTAGCCGGGCATGGTGGTGAGCACCTGAGTCCCAGCTACTCTGGAGGCTGAGGCAGGAGAATGATGGGAACCTGGGAGGCGGAGCTTGCAGTGAGCCAAGATGGGGCCACTGCACTCCAGCCTGGGTGACGGAGCGAGACTCTGTCTCAAAAAAAAAAAAAAAAAAGAAAGAAAGAAAAAGACTTGAAGGAATTGTAACTCTCATACACTACTGATGAGAATGTAAATTGGTACAGTCACTTTGGAGAACAGACTGGCCATTCCTCAAATGGTTACCATATACCCCAGTAATTCCATTTGTAGGCGTATACTGAATATAAATAAAAACATATGCCTGCATAAAAGCTTGTACGTGAATGTTCAAAGCAGCATTATTCATAATATCCAAAAAGTGGAAACAACCCAAATGTCCACCAACTGATGTATGAATAAAATAAAATGTGGTATACATTTTACTGGATATCATTTGTCAAGAAGAATAAATGAACTGATACATGCTTCAGCAGGAATGAACCCTGGAAACAGCATGCTAAGTGAAGGAAACTCGTTCCAAAAGACCATATGTTCTATGATTTTACTTTTGTGATGTGTCCAGAACCGGCAGGTCTTTACAGATAGAAAGTAGATTACCGGTTGCCAAGGGCTGATGGGACAATGACAAAGGGGTGCAGAGTTCCTCTTGGGAAAATAAAAACGTTCTAAAATGGATTATGTGATAACCCTATGAATATATACTAAAGGCCATTTAATTGTGCACTTTACATGGGCAGATTGCCAGTATATAAATGATATCTCAATAAAGCCGGTTATCGAAAGGAGTCATATAGAGACAGGGAAGTAAACGCTCAAAGGGTTCTGCCTGAATTCATCATCACAGAAGTGAGTCCTGGCCGGGCGCGGTGGCCCACGCCTGTAATCCTAGCACTTTGGGAGGCCGAGGCGGGTGGATTGCCTGAGCTCAGGAGTTTAAGACCAGCCTGGGCAACATGGTGAAACCCCGTCTCTACTAACATACAAAAAATTAGCCAGGCATGGCAGCATGCACCTGTAGTCCCAGCTACTCGGGAAGCTGAGGTAGGAGAATTGCTTGAACCGGGGAGGTGGAGGTTGCAGTGAGCTGAGATCATGCCACTGCCCTCCAGCCTGGGCAACAGAGCGAGACTCCAAGACTCCATCTCCATAAAAAAAAAAAAAAGAAAAAAAAAGAAAGAAAAGAAAAAGAAAAGTAAAGAAGAAAAATAAAAAAAAGAAGTGGGTCCCAAAGTTACTAACCCAGTCAGAAGAAATTGGGATCAGCCAGGCATGGTAGCTCATGCTTGTAATCCCATAATTCCAGCTCTTTGGGAGGCCAAGGCAAGAAGATTGCTTGAGCCCAGGAATTAAAGACCAGACTGGGAAACACGGCAAGGTGCCATCTCTGAAAAAAGAGAAATAAATTGAGTTCATTGGGAGACCACAAACTTAAGAGGAACACCAAATACACACTATAGCAGGACATTATCAGAGAATTCTTAGAAATGGAGCATATGGAAAAGAAAAGAAATCCATGGCCCTCCAATCTGCAGAGCTCACTCCAAACCTTAAAGCCAGGGATGATGAGACGTGAGAATTCTGTTTCTCAGTTAACCTAGAATTAAGTCTAAATGGTGAAAAAAAATAGATGTAGATCCTGCCAACAGCAGGGACTTTGGAAAAATGTGTCCAGCATCAAAGGAGGACTCAAAGGCAAAAGCATTTTGAAAAGAAAAGGCAAAGCATGCAAGGCAGTCAGACATCAGGAGCATTTACCCACCAAATCAGAAAGCACGAATGTTGAAAACCGCAGCAATGATGCCTCCCTGCAACCTCACCAAAGTTGCCACATTACAGTAGCTTGTTCATGGTGGGGAACCAGTCGTTTTTCTCATGTGATTACCTTATTTATTTATTTATTTATTTATTTTGAGACAGAGTCTCGCTCTGTCACCCAGGCTGCAGTGCAGTGGTGTGGTCTCGGCTCACTACAAGCTCTGCCTCCCAGGGTTCACGCCATTCTCCTGCCTCAGCTTCCCAAGTAGCTGGGACTACAGGTGCCCGCCACCATACCCAGCTACTTTTTTGTATTTTTTTAGTAGAGACAGGGTTTCACCATGTTAGCCAGAATGGTCTCAATCTCCTGACCTCATGATCCGCCCACTCAGCCTCCCAAAGTGCTGGGATTACAGGCGTGAGCCACTGCGCCTGGCCGTGATTACCATATTTCTGAAAGACATAATACTTTTGTGGGAAATGCTCAGTATTTTATTGATTCTGGGTACTAGAATAAGACATGATTTATTTCAGAGTGAAATATGTGAGGTTTTTCCTGACTGTGGCAGGTCACACTGGAAGCAGGGCAAATGTCAGATTTATGTTTTTGGTCTTGTCTTGAAAGTAAAAGGCCAGTTGTAGTCAACAGAGCTCTTGCTGGCATAATTCCAAAGGCCATAAGAGTGCTTGGCTATGTCTTCTGTTCTCTGATTCAGAAGAAAAGAAATCATTGATTGTGTTAGCTTTCTATTGATGCCTAACAAATTACCTCAAAATTAGCAGCTTAAAACAGCACCCGTTGATCACCTCACCATTCTGGAGGTCAGAAGTCCAGGTGGCTTGACTGGCTTCTCTGCTCAAGGTCTCACAAAGCTGATATTGAGGTGTGGGCCAGGCTGGGTTTTTATCTGAAGGCTCGAGGAATAACCCATTTCGTGCTTACTCGGGATGCCGGCACAGTTCCGTTCCATACAGTTGTAGGACTGGGGAGCTTGTTTCCTTTCTGGTTGTCAGCTAGGGGTGAAGAGCCACTGTCCTTCTCTACGTGAGGCCCTCTGTGTCTTCAAACCAGTGATGGCACTTCAGTTCCTTCTTGTGGTTGGGCTCTTTCTCCTTCTGCCTTCTCTTCTACCTGCCTCTTCTCCCATCAGCTGGGGAAAGTCCTCTACATTTAAGGACTCGTGTAATTAGATTAGGCTCACACAGATAATCTCACAGGTTAATCTCTGAATCTTAAGTTCAGCTGACTTGGGAACTTAATTATAACTGCAAAATCCCTTGTTGGCAGTACCTAGATGAACATTTGATGGAATAACCAGGGATGGAAATCTTGGGGCATGGAGGCACTTTTAGGACATGGCCTACCATATCTATAGACATAAAGAGACACAAAGGCCTATTTCTAGTTGACACAAGGGCCACTCTGTCTATCCTGAACCCTACTGCAATAAAACAATCACTCACTCAGAGAAATCAATGGGTTACTACAGTGGGTATTTCAAACCCACTTCTCTATCCATTGCCTTGACCACCATATGAGGACCAACAGAAGACAACATTGATTTCTCCTCCGTGGTTTCATGCCTCTCCACCCACCTGGAACAGGCCCTTTATATAAATGCAGCTGTCATATTAAGTGCCCACCTGCAAGAACCACCCAATTTCACAGCATGCTATTTCTACACTTGACTTTCCTAAACTTGCCTAGACCATGACTCTTGAAACTGTAGATAACTTACTCTGGCTGGTACATTGCAATTTATGAGCAAAAGCTCTGTTAATGGAGGACATACAATAGGAACAGAGCCTAAAAACACACAGGTAGATCCTCTCAAGTCCTTGCCTAAGCCACTCTAATGTCCTCTGAAAGCAGAAGTTATTCAAGGAATAAAACCAATTATACATTCTCAAATCAAAAGTGTCTCACAGAAGTCTATGTATCGCCTTTTTACAAACCTAATGGAAAGGGATGGGATGTTCATTTGTTCAAGACTTAAGAAACATTCCTAAAGTTATCCCTAGGTTTCCCGCAGTGCCCCACTCTAATGCTATTCTATCTCCAGTTTCACTTACAGGCAAATGTACTGTAATGTACAGTACAGGCAAATGTACTGTGAGAGACCTTTCTCAGCCTTCTTTGGCATATCTGTAAATATAGTCGATAGGTATTTTCTTTATTTAGAATGACTAACAGTATACAGGTATTTGGGCAGTAATACCTCAGAGACACCTTATATTCCTTCCAGTCTTTAAATCATGATTTAAAGGACATACTCCCAAAAGGGTACAATTTCATTCAATATAGAAGACTTTGCCTCATATATACCTCTCCCGGAAAACCCTCCAGAGGACTCAATCCACCTTTTAAAGGAGCAAGTGGCTACATATGATAAAGCCTCAAAGGAAAAATGACCATTTTGCCAAGAGGTGGGACATGATTTAGGAGGTGACCTCTCCACCAACAGGCACACTCTACCCAAAAATTGGACACTCATAGGATTTGGGAAACTTAAGAGGTATGAAAAGCAATGGATTCCCAGTTTTTCCAGCGTAACTTGACTCCTCCATGAACTTAACAAAAACACGCAACCAGAAAACTTCCTTGATGAAACTGACCTTGTCACTTTGAAATCTAAATCACAACAGGCCCCAATACCGGCTCCACCTGAACATCATCATCATTTACCTTACGCCCATTTGGCACATTTCCTTTAGCTGAAGCAAAAAGGAGGTGCCATGGGGTACCAAAAAGAGGCTTTAGCTCAACAACATGGGAAGTACCAGAAACCGCTCCTGATTTAGGCACTTCTCTAGACTCAGTGGCTAGGGTTTTCTTCCTTGTTATGTGCCTTAACAGTGGTTGCAAAACGGTCAGTGCTTCTGTAGATATTATCCTTGTCGCACCATTAACTCCATGGGTTGCCCAGGCTGTTCAGTCCATACTACTGACAAGCAACAGCCAGCACTGCTCTGCAAGCCCATTAGCTCAGGCTGGCTGCTGTTGTTGGTCTCTCATGTTACCCACCATGTGTCAGTGTTATCATCTCAGTCTTGCAGTATTGCTTCCACCACCTGAAGAAGAGCCCCAGGACTATAGTACAGCAAACATGAAGTCGAGTATTTCCAAGGAAGATCTAGTTGATGTTCTCCTAGAGAATCTGCAGCAAGTGTTGCTTTTAAATGATCAAGGTCAATACCATTGAAGTTACGCAATGATTACATAAAACTGTATTAGGGCCGGGCACAGTGGCTCATGCCTGTAATCCCAGTACTTTGGGAGGCTGAGGCAGGCAGATCACCTGAGGTCAGGAGTTCAAGACCAGCCTGGCCAACATGGCGAAACCCCATCTCTACTAAAAATACAAAAAATTATCTGGGCGTGGTGGCATGTGCCTGTCATCCCAGCTACTTGGGAGGCTGAGGCAGGAGAATTGCTTGAACTAGGGAGGCGGAAGTTGCAGTGAGCCAAGACTGTGCCATTGTACTCCAGCCTGGGCAACAAGAGCGAAAACTCTAAAAAAAAAAAACAACAACAAAAAAAACTGTACTAGATGATAACCTTTCACCCAAAGTTGAGCCATCTCAAATAGTAGAACTAGTAGCCCTTACCAGAGCTGATGCCAAAAGGGACACATGTACACACACACACACACACACACACACACACACACAGCTATTATGCCTTGGTGTTGTATATAATTTGGTGATGCTATGGGACTGAAGGAATAGCTGACCTCATCAGAGAGGCCTAAAAAAAGGGAGAAAAAAGTAGATTTGTTAGAAGCACTGATGCTCTCAAAAGAGGCATACAATTAAAAGTTAAGGCACATAGTACAAGCCATAATAAAGAAGGTGATGGGAGTGCATTGGCAGATATTAAACAAAGGAAGTGCACTTTTCTCCTTGTTCTTAGGAGTTATTTATGATGAAGGAAATGTAAAAACATGAATAGATTTTTTTACATACAATTTATTTCAGACAGAGTATTTAGCCCTAGATTCAAGAAACAGAAACACTGGGCCAGGCGCGATGGCTCACACCCATAATCTCAGCACCTTGAGAGGCTGAGGTGGGTAGATCACCTGAGGTCAGGAGTTTGAGACCAGCCTGGCCAACATGGTGAAACCCTGTCTCTACTAAAAATACAAAAACTAGCCAGGCGTGGTGATGTGTGCCTGTAATCCCAGCTACTTGGAGGCTGAGGCAGGAGAATCGACTGAACCTGGGAGATGGAAGTTGCAGTGAGCAAGATCGAGCCACTGCTCTCCAGCCTGAGTGACAGAGCAAGACTCCATCTCAACAACAACAAAAAAAAAAAAAAAAAAGAAAGAAAGAAAGAAAAAAGAAAGAAAAGAAAATAGAAATGCTGGCTAAAATCAGGTTGTTCTGTCAATTTCAGTGGTCTCTAATGGAGCAAGGATGGCCTCTTGCTTACACCAAAAATCTGAGGTAGAAATTGACCAAAATGCACAACAGAGCTTCTACCACGGATAAGAGTTGGTGGGGACATTTCCCCTTGGTAACTAGAGATGTGAAAGGTATATGCCTCATCTGTACTATCATAACCACCCCCACAAAAAAATTGTGATGGTGGGACACAGGTCTGAGCTATATCCCAGAGGACTTTTAAACACTTGAAAATGGGCTTTATCCACTTTCCCAAGTCACGAGATTATGCATATGCGCTAAAGGTTGCCTGTAAATTCTCTGGAGGTGAGCTCTTCTCAAGTAGAAAAGCCACTGCAATAACTAAACTTAAAAAAAAAAAAAGTTAGACAATGGTTTTTCCCACCTGGGAAGCCAATCATACTCACTAATATTAAAGGTACTCATTTACTGGAGCAGTCATAAAGGGACTTGGTGAGGTGTTACTACTTCGTCAAAAATCTAGGCCACACGCGGTGGCTCACACCTGTGATCCCAACACTTTGGGAGGCTGAGGTGGGTGGATCACCTGAGATCAGGAGTTCAAGACCAGCCTGGACAATATGGTGAAACCCCATGTCTACTAAAAATACAAAAATTAGCCAGGCGTGGTGGTACACACCTATAGTCCCAGCTACTCAGGAGGCTGAGACAGGAGAATCACTTGAACCTGGGAGGCGGAGGCTGCAGTGAGCCAAGATCACGCCATTGCAGTCCAGCCTGGGTAACAGAGTGAGACTCCATCTCAAAAAAAACAAAAAACAAAAAAAAAAAATTCTTGTTACCCTTACTCTTCAGTTTCCAGAAAAGGTAGAGGTACAAATGTAGGTACACAACTTAAATTGGTGGTGATGTGCGCCTATGATCCCAGCTACTCGGGAGCTTTTCATTTTTCTTTCTTATTGCTTCTTGCTTTCTGTACTGCTTCTGAGGCAGGAGGATTGCTTGAGACCAGGAGTTCAAGAGCAGCCTGAGCAACATAGCAAGACCCTGTTTCCAAAAAAATAAAATGAAGTACAATACATTAGCCAGGGATGATATGCACCTGTAGTCCTAACTACTTGGGAGGCTCAGGTGGGAGGATTGCTTGAGCCCAGGAGTTTGAGACTGCAGTCAGCTATGATTGCACTACTGCATGCCAGCCTGGGCAACAGATAGAGACCTCTGTCTCTAAAACATAAAAATAATAAAACTGGTTAAGTTATCTGAAGCTCTTAAACATCCATGGCTGAGAATTTTACCTCTAGTGGCCATCAGGTCAGCCTGTTCTGGAACTTACAGATTGTAACCTTATGAATTAACAACTAGAAGACCCATGCACCGGTAAGTTTTACCACTCGTAATTGATTGGAGCTTGCTTCAGGCAGACCTAGCTAAATACTGTCAAAGAGAAATTCAATAATCATTCTTATCTTCCATGATTGCAAACTAGATTTTCAAAAACTTCACCTTCAAAACCTCTACACTCCTTCAACCTAGATATTAGGTATTCTGGAAAAGACACCAATTGGAAATATTCTCTAGAGACATTCTGGAAAGGATCCTAGGAAGGTGATAGCAGAAGCGGCCCATCTAGAATGGCAGCTGCCAAGATGCCAGCTGCAGCAGACAGGCAGGCCTGGGCCTCCCATTCTCAGAGTGGGCTGAAGCCCCGCCCTCCCTGGGTACCTCTGCAGCTGCCCTCCCAGGCGCAAGACCCGGGCATCTCTGCAGTCTGCACCCTTGGGGGCCTGGGAAGGCCCCCCATCTCCACAGGCTCAGGAGTCTCTGCTCTGCTGCCTGGCCTCTTCCCAGCTCAGCACCCTCTCTGATCTTGAAGCATGGTTGGGGCCAAGCCCAGGCACTGTCACAGCCCAGCTGGGTGTATACACACTCGGGGCAGCACCGACACACCAGCTCCCTACCGCCTCAGCCCCCTACAGGCTTTGGGCACCCACGAGCATGGGAGGGGAAGCCAAGGAGGGGCTGAGGGCAGCTTGGTGCTGGCCTGCAGGTGCCCCTTAGTTCAAGCAGCCTGGGCACCATGGACAGCAGCAGGACGCAGACGGGTTCCTGGGTGGCAGGGGGTGGGTCCCCAGTGAAGCCCCACCTTCTGGCTGGAGAAGATCTGAAGCCTGGGGGCCAGGCCGCCAGTCCTGTGGATTGGAGGGGGAACTCATGGTGCTTTTTCCTGGGCCCGCCCATGGCTGTCCATGGAACAATCAGCATGCACTTCCCCACCCTGAGGCCCATAAAAGCCCCAGGCTCAGCCAGAGCAGGAGAGACAATGGGACAACCAGCTGCAGAGAGAGCCTTCCCACTCCAGCAATGAACTACCTGCAGAGAGGAGAAACACACTCCAGGTCCTCCTTTCTGCAAAGAGCTGTGGAAATGACAGGACAACCTGCCAGCAGAGAGGGGCCACCCACCCCAGGGCCTTCTCCTCTCTGCTGAGGGCTGAACACTCGTCAGGACACCCTGGTTGCAAAAAGGAGCTACCCACAGTGGGTCCCTGAGCTGTTCTACTGCTCAGTAAAGCTCCTCTTCATCTTGCTCACCCTCCACTTGTCTGCATGCCTCAGTCTTCCTGGTTGCAGGGTAAGAACTCAAGGTGCCAAATGGCAAGTCTAGAAGTGCTGTAACACAAACAGGGCTGAAACACGCCGCTTGCTCTCCACATTGCAGGTGAAGAGTGGGAAAGAAGAGCTGAGGCCCTTTAGGGAGCCCAGACCTGGGGGCTCCCCAAGCCAGGGCTGTGACTCCCTCTTTGAGGCCCTGCGGTTCTTGGAGTCTCTGAGCTTCCAGGCACTACTGCATTCCCCCCAGGGCCAGCCAAAGCTGCTTGTGGTGTGCCTCCTCCAGCTGCAGCCTTGCAGAGAGCTGCTGCCTGTGCTGGTACCTGGAAACTGCTCCTGCTACTTCAGGAGCCGGCCCACTTGACTGTGTGCAGCGGCCGGACTCCACACTCACTTGCTCATGCACCTTGCCACTCCACGCCTGGCTCAACCTTGGCAGCCGTGGATCCAGGCCGGTAGCATGAGCCAAGTACAGCCTGCCAGGCTGAGTGGGAGGAATAAGCTGAATAGACTGGATCAAAAGTCAGACAAAGGCACCACCAACCACAGAGGTTTCTGGCCAGAAAAATAACACCCAAAAGATCCCATAAGAAAGGTTCTTAATAACAGACATCAGTAAAACTGCAAGAAGTGTATCCTTGGATCCATGTATCCCCTGTGCAAAAAGATGGACAAAGAAATTGATTTGGTTGCAAGGGCCAACTGGGAGTCCATATCACTGGGAATCTCAAACTGCACCTTAACACAAAACAAAACAAAACAAAAAACTCCAGATGAAGAAAACTGTCTGAAGGTTGACAGCAGCTACCCAAGTACTTTGCACCACACTGATTAATACTTGAAGCAGCTTCCACTCAAGATCATCAGAGTAAGACCCAATGACCAAAACCACAAATTTTCTTTTCTTTCTTTTTTCTTCTTGTTTCTTGCTTCTGTCTCTAACCCTTATATCGATTTGGATTCCTTTTTGTTGATTTAAACTGGCTGACAGTACACTGATACAGTTTGGCTGTGTCCCACCCAAAATTTCATTTTGAGTTGTAATCCCCATAATCCCCACACATCAAGGGAGAGACCAGGTGGAGGTAACTGAATCATGGGGCAGTTTCCCCAATGCTGTTCTCATCATAGTGAGTGAGATGTCATGAGATCCGATGGTTTGATAAGTGTTTGGTAGTTCCTCCTGCATTCCTTCTCCTTCCTGCCACTTTGTGAAGAAGGTGCCTTGCTTCCCCTTTGCCTTCCGCCATGACTGTAAGTTTCCTGAGGCCTCCCCAGCCATGCTGAACTGTGAGTCAATTAAACCTCTTTCCTTTATAAGTTACCCAGCCTTGGGCAGTTCTTTACAGCAGTGTGAAAATGGACTAATACACACACCAACAATGCCTTATTCATGTTTTTTATTCTTGTCCTTAATACACGTGGTCCAGAGAGAGCTTACGCTTACCAGGGCATTTTCCATCTAAGAGTGTAAAGCTCCAGAAATCGGAAAGAATCTGGATTTTTAAATGCATCTCTGACTTCTAATGTGTCCCTTATTACTGGATATCAAGCATTCCACATTTCTGCTCAAGATTTCCAAGCTTATGATGCTAACATGTTCTGTTCAATCATGTGGATTGAACATATTTCATTTATACAGATCAGTATAGCTATACTTATCTTAAATAATTTATAATATTGCTATAATTATACTTATCTTAAATATTAGACCCATCCAAGGCCTAAAATCTTGTCCAAAGTTTGAACTGAGAAACTGATCAGGTTTTCTCTAATTGTTTTTGATGTTTCTACTTAAATTTTTGTAATTGTACACTAAATTCTGTGACTAACGGTAAAATTGTTTTCTCAAACTTTCGCATTCATATCATGGAAAATTTCATCAGACCCAAATCAAAACTGGAAACTAAAATTTGGACCAATTACCAAATTTTGTGCCAATACTACATTGAGGAAGGCAAACATGTTTGTGCGGTTGGAGAATTCATATATATTAAACAATTAACATTCATTGTATACTGAAAGTAGAACATACGCTTTGACAGAAAGATTTCATATAAAAGCTGTACTGAATCTGGTCAGTTTTTAACTTGCAGAAAGACATGCATTAATAAGAACTTACATGAATTTTTAAATTCCCCATTTCTATCAAGCATGTTTTACACCCATCCTACGCTCTCAATGGAATGCAAATCTACTTGGAGGAATTAGAGATGGTGAGATCCATATCTCTATGTAAGGTATCTTTCCTTATCTTGCAGTATACAAAATTCCTATTGCCATGGTAATCATTTCAAATAAAACTATATTTGCACTCTAGGCTAAAAAAAATTAGCCTGAACTTTCTTGATAAAGTGTTACTAGACAACAGAATTGCCTTTGATTATACACTAGCAGAGCAAGGTGATATTTGTGTCCTGACTAATACCTCCTGTTGCAGCTGGATCAATGAGAGTTCCTTACATAAAATTCAAGGACAAGCCAACAGGTTGTCCAAGTGGGATAATGCATACAGTTGAAATCTAGTCTCATGGCTTGAGTTTGACAAAAGGAGGGGTACTTTGTATCTATTAGTTATGCTGTTTCTATCTCTGTTTCTATTCACTGCTGTTGTCAAATGATTTGTAAACAGCTTCTGAAATGCTGCTGCACCATCTCAACAAACATCAAATGATCCTGAATTGAAAGGATTCTAAAGTGATCTGAAAAAACACAACTGAAAAATTAGCACCTTTGGTAGAGCGTGATGATGGCCCCAATTCTTCATCCCTCCAGTAGCCTCAGCTTTTTCCATGTGCCCTTTCTCTTTGAGACACAGGACCACAGGACTACAGCTGAGAGTGTAACAAGAAAAACTCTCTGGTAGCACAACCCTAATCTATGCACAAGGTAAAACTAGAGAATTTTGAATCTTGTGGTTCACTTAGAGTCACCATAGCAACAACAGAACCCAAGCCCAACTCAAATATCACCTATATTGACTCAGCTCCCCACACTAGCAGAAGAGGATGTGCTCCCATCTCTATGTAAAACGCCGTTCATTTTAGCCTTTACTGTGTAACACAACATGTTTTGCTTTCAACTAAAAATTACAAGACACACAAGAAAGCAACAAAAAGCAATCCCCAGTCAAAGAGAGCAATCAAGAGAGCCAGACTTAGATATCACTGGATGTTGGAACTGTCAGACAGGAAATTTAAGATAACTATTATTAATATGTGAAAGGCTTGTGGAAAAATTCACAACATACATGAGCCAATCATGAATTTCAACTAAAAAATAAAAACTATGAGAAAGAATCAAATGGAAATGCTAGAATTAAAAAACAAAAAAACAAAAAACAAACCGGGCACAGTGGCCCACACCTGTAATCCCAGCACTTGAGGAGGCCAAGGGGGGTGGATCACTTGAGGCCAGGAGTTTGACACCACCTGGCCAACATGGCAAAACTCTGTCTCTAGTAAAAGTGCAAAAATTAGCTGGGTGCAGCGGTGCATGCCTGTAATCCCAGCTACTCAGGATGCTGAGGCATGAGAATCACTTGAATCTGGGAAGCGGAGGTTGCAGTGAGCGAGATCACGCCACCGCACTCCAGCCCGGGTGACAAAGCAACACTCCGTTTAAAAAAAAAAAAAAAAAAAAACAACTATGTAGGCCACAGGCATAACACTTTTAAAGAGCAGAAAGAACAAAGCTCCCACCTTTGAATTCTATACCCAGTGAAAATATCTTACAAAAATAAAGAATAAAGAATTTTTCATATAAACAAAAATTGAGAGAATGCATTACCAGAAAATCTGTGCTATCAATATAAGAAATGTTAACGGAATTTTTTTTTTTTTTGAGACAGAGTCTCACTCTGTCACCCAAGCTGGAGTGCAGTAGCACGATTTCAGCTCACTGCAACCTCCACCTCGCAGCTTTAAGCAATTCTCATGTGTCAGCCTCCCGAGTAGCTGGGACTACAGACATCCATCACCACAGCCGGGTAGTTTTTCGTATTTTTAATAGACACGAAGTTTCACTAGGTTGCCCAAGCTGGTCTTGAACTCCTGAGTGCAGGCAATCTGCCTGCCTCAGCCTCCCAAAGTGCTACAATTACAGGCGTGGGCCACTGTGCCTGGCCAGTAAATTTTTAAAGTAGAAGAATTCTGATAGCAGACAGAAACTTGGGCCAACACAGCAAATGGAAAGATGCTCAACATAATTTACCATTATTTGCCAGGGAAGTGCAAATTAAAACCACAGTGAGAGTCCAGTACACACGTATTAAAATGGCTAAAAACCTGACACCACCAAATGCTCGCAAGGACGTGGTGCAACAGACTCTCTCATATCTTATCTTGCTTGAAAGAAAGCAAAATGGTAAAGCCACTCTGAAAAACAGTTCGTTTCTTCTAAAGTTAAGCATGTACTTACCCTATGACCCTCTAATCTCACTGCTAGGTATTACCCAAGTGAACTGAAAACTCATCTTCACACAAAAACCTGTACACAAACGTTTAAAGCAGCTTTTTATGACCACAAAACTCCATAAATAGCCCAAATTTCCCTCACCTTGTGATTATGTGTCTGCAGTTGCTGCCGGCCAGGGTGTTCGTGGTCTCGCTGCCTTCAAGAACGAAGCCGGGCCTTCGTGGTGAGTGTTACAGCTCTTTTCTTTTTGAGACCGAGTCTCCCGCTGTTCCTCACGCCAGAGGGCAGTGGCGCGGTCTTGGCTCACTGCAAGCTCCGCCTCCCCCGTTCCGGCCATTCTCCTGCCTCCTCCTCCTGAGCAGCTGGGACTACACGCGCCCACCACCACGCCGCGCCAGCTTTTTTTTTTTCTTTTTGCATTTTTAGTGGCTACAGGGTTTCACCGTATTAGCCAGGATGGTCGCAAATCTCTTGACCTCCTGATCCACCTACCTCAGCCTCCCAAAGCGCCCACCAGTGTTACAGCTCTCAAAGACGGCAGTGTTACAGTTCTTACAAATGGCACGGACCCAAAAAGTGAGCAGTAGCAGCTATAAAGAAGCAAAGGACAAAGCTTCCACCACACAGAAGTGGACCCCTGCGAGTTGCCGCTGTCGGCTGGGGGGGCGGGGGGGGGGGGTGGCCAGCTTTTATTCCCTTATTGTCCCCACCCATATTCTGTTTCTGTCCTATCAGAGTGCCCTTTTTTCAATCCTCCCCACGATTGGCTACTTTTAGAATCCTGCTGATTGGTGCATTTTACAGAACGCTGATTGGTGAGTTTTACAGAGTGCTGATTGGTGCGTTTTACAGAGCGCCGATTGGTGCATTTTACAATCCTCTTGTGAGACAGAAAAGTTCCTGATTGGTGCATTTTACAATCCTCTTGTAAGACAGAAAAGTTCCCCAAGTCTCCACTAGACCCAGGAAGTCCAACTGGCCTCACCTCTCAATTAGATAACCAAATTGTGACATATATGTATGAAATACTATCTATAGTGTGTGTATGTATATATACATATATATAATGAAATATTACTCAGCAGTAAAAAAGGAATGAACTACAGATACACATAACAGCATCAATGAATCTCAAATGTGCTATTGTGCTATTAATACGTGAAAGAAGTCAGATTCTAAAGGCCATATGATATGGTAGAATGGGAAAAACGTTAAAACAAATCAGGAGTTGCCAATGCTGATGATATGGTTTGGCTGTGTTCTCACCCAAATCTTATCTTGAATTATAATTTCCATAATCCCCACATGTCTTGGGGGGGACCAGGTGGAGATAATTGAATCATGGAGCAGTTTCCCCCATCCTGTTCTTGTGATAGTGAGTGAGTTCTCATGAGATCTGATGGTTTTATAAGGGGTTTCCCCCTTCACTGGGCACTCATTTTTTTCTCTCCTGCCACCTTGTGAAGAAAGACATGTTTACTTTTCCTTCCACCATGATTGTAAATTTCCTGAGGCCTTAGCCTCCCTAGCCTTGCAGAACTGTGAGTCAATTAAACCTCTTTCCTTTATAAATTACCCAGTCTCGAGTATGTCCTTATAGCAGAGGGATAATTGACGAATACAACTGGGAATTTAGGAGGAGGTGGTTATCAAAAAGCGGAATGGGGGAAGGTAGAATTTTTAGGGGTGATAGAATCATCGTGTATCTTGATTGTGTGGGTGGTGGGTGTAGTGGTTACACAACTGTATAAGATTCAAATCTCATAGAATTCTATACTAACAAGAATTTTACTGTATATAAATCACACTTCATTAAATATAAAACAAATCAATAAAAAAAAACAATCTACTCAATACAACACCCAAGACTGATCTGAATGTGATCTGAATCTGAAAGCCTGATAATTCTCTCATCCTTTCAGGTCAACCTTTCATCTCTGAATGAGGTAAGGACATTATAAAGGACTATAAAAAAAACTTTATAATTATAGCAATACTTGCCTGGGGTTTGATCAAACATGAATATTATTTTGACCAGCCAAAGCTGTTAAATGACTATAAACTTTGAGCAATACACTAGCAAAGGTGATAAACAACCAAGAGGTGATCCTCACCCAACCTAACGAAAATTCTTTCCCAACTAAAGAGCAATGAGACTCACTTCACACAACATACAGATGGATGCATTCTGCCCAGTCCAGGCTGTGCGCTGCAATTGTTAACTGGCAAAATCACAATGAACCTGTCCTTTCTAGCACATAAAATTCCTGATTTTTTTTTCCCTGTGGGGATCCACTCAATTGAAATAAATATAGTGCTTACATTTTCAGTCAGTAGGTGGTCCTTATCATTCCTTTAATAATACACCCAGAGGCTGGGCACAGTGGCTCATGCCTGTAATCCCAGCACTTTGGAAGGCTGAGGCTGGCAGATCACGAGGTCAGGAGATCGAGGCCATCCTGGCTAACACGGTGAAACCCCGTCTCTACTGAAAATACAAAAAAATTAGCCAGGTGTGGTGGCATGCACCTGTAATCCCAGCTACTCAGGAGGCTGAGGCGGAAGAGTTGCTTGAATCCGGGAAGCGGAGGTTGCAGTGAGCCGAGATCACGCCATTGCCCTCCAGCCTAGGAGACAGTGCGAGACTCCATCTCAAAAAAATAAAAAATAATAATAATAATAATACACCCAGAAAACCACTATCACCACTGTCTAGGTCATGAAACAGAACAGACTGGAACCACAGTAATAATGCATTTTCCCAAAATATTACATTCCTGCCTCCCTAAAGGTAACTACTATCATACTTTTAACACCATAGACTAGTTTTGCCTATTTTGTAGCATTGTGTAAATTGAACCATATAGTATAAATAATTTTATGCCTCAACCTTATGCTTATGGGAGTTGTCCATATTACAGCATGTGTAAGTAGCTGTTCATTTTTATTACCGTATGATATTCCATTGCACGAATATGCCACTATATTTTTTTTTTTTGAGACAGAGTCTTGCTCTTTCACCCAGGCTGGAGTGCAGTGGTGCTATATGTCAGCTCACTGCAACCTCCGCCTCCCAGGTTCAAGCAATTCTTGTGCCTCGGCCTCCCGAGTAGCTGGGATTACAGGTGTGCACCACCACACCTGGCTAATTTTTTTTGTATTTTTAGTAGAGACAAGGTTTCACCATGTTGCCCAGGCTGGTCTCGAACTACTGAGCTCAAGCAATCCGCCTGCCTTGGCTTCCCAAAGTGCTAGGATTTCAGGCGTGAGCCACCACACCCAGCCACCACTATGTTTATGTACCTGCTATCAGTGAACATTTAAATTGTTTTTGGCTTGAGCTATTATAAATAATATGCAAGGATAAATAAATGCAAGGATCTTTCCATTACACTATGGTTCAAATGTGCCCCCTCCAAAATTCAAGTATTGCCAATGTGATAGTATTAAGAGATGGGACTTTTAAAATGTGATTCAACCATGAGGGCTCCTTTTTCTAACTGAAATTAGGTGCCCTTCTAGAGGGACTTGATGGAGGGCTTTGCTCTCTCTTGCCCTTCTGCTGTCCATCCTGTGAGGACACACACACAAATGCCCTCAGCAGATGCCAGTGACTTGATCTTTGACTTCGCAGCCTCCAGAACTGAGAGAATAATTTTTTTTTCTTTATAAATTACTGAGTCTCAGGTATTCTCTCACAGCAGCACAAAATTGACTAAGACATGTACCTTTCAGATGTGTATCTTTTGGGTTTCGAACCATGTGACTATATTACCTCTTCAAAATTGAATCAAATTAAAATTGTAAAGTAATGAACAAATCCAGTGAGCATTTCTTTGGATTTCTTTCTGACAAGTAGTAGTGCAAATACACTCTGTGTGAAAAGTAGTTTTAAAGTAGCACTTTATTGTTATCATTGGCAATTAGAATCCAATAATTACAGTTGACCCTTGAACAACACAGGTTTGAACTGCGTGGGTCCACTTCTATGAGGACTTTTTTCAACCCAACGAGGATTGAAAATACAGTATTCATGGGATGTGAAACCTGCATACACAAAGGGCCAACTTTTCTTATAGGTGGGTTCCAGAAGGCCAACTGCAAGATTTAAAGATGCACAGATTTGGGTATCCTCTGGCAGTCCTGGAACCAATCCCCCTCAGATACCAAGGGACAACTCTATAATTATTGTAAAGCATTAATGATATTTACATGAATTAAGAGTGTGGTTGTAATTACAGCATTTTTTTGCTGATTTGTAAAGAATTCTCCATTTAATGAAAATTAGTAAACAAGGCCAAAGATGTTTTAACTGAAAAAGGAAATTAAAGGTTCATTTGAAAGAATCAGACAATTGCATCCTCTGAGAAGATTTTTTTGTTTGTTTGTTTTGTTTTCTTTTGAGACGGACTCTCACTCTGTTGCCCAGGTTGGAGTGCAATGGCGAGATCTCTGCTCACTGCAACCTCTGCCTCCTGGGTTCAAGTGATTGTCCTGCCTCAGCCTCCCAAGTAGCTGGGATTACAGGTGCACACCACCATGCCTGGCTAATTTTTGTATTTTTAGTAGAGATGGGGTTTCAGCATGTTGGCCAGGCTGGTCACGAACTCCTGACCTCGTGATCTGCCCGCCTCGGCCTCCCAAAGTGCTGGCATTACAGGTGTGAGCCACCACACCCGGCCGAGAAGATGTAATTTTATCACATAAAATTCAGATACCCTCACTGTGTTTTAATTCAGCTGGCTAATTTATCTGAGATTATACTTTAAAACCTGAGTATAAACAAAAAAGAGGTATGTAACATTAGGTTGACTGTTACAATTCAGTAGAATATTTAATGAGCTACACACATACACACACATTTACAAGCATCCAAGGCTATAATACACAGAAATCATAAAACCAATGGCTGACAGTCTCCACTTCATTATTACTGTTTACTGTAAGGTCATTATTAAAGTAGTGTGAAAACTGTTGCCCAATGGAATAACTGTTGTTTTCCATTTCAATACAAACGTAGTCAGTGACACACACATTAACCTTTAAAACACCCATGTTTTCCATGTCCATGTCTACCTAAGACATCAGAAAACTATTTACTTAAAGAAAATGCGCCAGGCATGGTGTATTACGCCTGTAATCCCAACACTTTGGGAGGCCGAGGCAGGCAGATCACTTGAGGCCAGGAGTTCGAGACTAGCCTGGGCAACATGGGGAAACCCCATCTCTACTAAAAATACAAAAATTAACTGGGAGTGGTGGTGGGTGCCTAAAATCCCTGCTACTGGGGAGGCTGAAGCCAGAGGATTGCTTGAGCCCAGGAGGTGGAGGTTGTGGTGAGCCAATATCGTGCAACCGCATTCCAGCCTGGGTGATGGGAGTGAAACCCTGTCGCAAAAAAAAAAAAAAAAAAAAAAGAAAGAAAAAAGAAAATGAAATAAAATACAGCTGCATAACTGAGGCTCACAAAGCTACTCTGCCATGGGTTACTACAGGAAAATGGAGATTCTGGGAGAAGAAATAGTATATACATCCAAAAGTTTTGGTTTTGCTGCAGTCTTATTGTGCCTGCTTTTAAAAAATCCGATGTGAAGATTTTCCCCAAATAAAAATATTTTTTATAATAGGATAAAGTTATATCCCAGCATAGTGATATTCATGACCATCCTCGCCCCTCCTTTGTATGGTCTTTGTGTCATCCTTGACAGGTCCACCATTTTAGTGCATTACACCCTGCAACCTGGCTCCAGACAGAAGACTCCCTCTTCTTCTCAGAAGCCTGCCTGGGCTGCACAGGGCCACCTCGCCCAGCAGTGTTCACAACTCTGTCTGCTGGCTCTCTGCTGCCCCTCTCCATCCATGCCACGCACACGAGCCCATAAGGACTGCCTCCCGATTCTTTTTCTTTTTTTTCTTTTTTTGAGATGGAGTTTCTCTCGTGTTGCCCAGGCTGGAGTGCAATGGCGCAATCTCTGCTCACTGCAACCTCTGCCTCCTGGATTCAAGCAATTCTCCTGCCTCCGCCTCCTGAGTAGCTGGGATTACAGGCATGCACCACCACGCCTGGCTAATTTTTGTATTTTTCTTAGTAGAGACATGTTGGTCAGGCTGGTCTCAAACTCCCAACCTCAGGTGATCCGCCCGCCTCGGCCTCCCAAAGTGCTGGGATTGCAGGTGTGAGCCACCGCGCCTGGCCAGGACTGGCTCCTGATTCTAACGGTTGCCCGGAATCCCGTGCCCAGCCCAGCTGAGCTCTGTACCCACTAGGGTACTTGATCTGCTGTAATTGCTCTGGGCCTCAGCCTCTCCATGCAGCACACACACACATGCTTGGTGTGCTTCACAAGGATATAGGGAGAGCTTTAGGAGAGGCAGACTTGTCTTCTAAGAATCATTTTTAGTAATAAATAGCATGGTGGGGTGGCGGGTGCAGTGGCTCATGCCTGTAATCCCAGCACTTTGGGAGGCCAAGGCGGGCGGATCACCTGAGGTCAGGAGTTCGAGACCAGCCTGACCAACATGGAGAAACCCCATCTCTACTAAAAATACAAAACTAGCTGGATTATAAATCATGCTGTTATAAAGACACATGCACATGTATGTTTATTGCAGCACTATTCACAATAGCAAAGACTTGGAACCAACCAAAATGCCCATCAATGATAGACTGGATTAAGAAAATGTGGCACATATACACCATGAAATACTGTGCAGCCATAAAAAAGAATGATTTCATGTCCTTTGTAGGGACATGGATGAAGCTGGAAACCATCATTCTCAGCAAACCATCGCAAGGACAAAAAACCAAACACCGCATGTTCTCACTCATAGGTGGGAATTGAACAATGAGAACACTTGGACACAGGAAGGGGAACATCACACCCCGCGGCCTGTTGTGGGGGAGGGGGAGGGGGGAGAGATAGCATTAGGAGATATACCCAATGTAAATGCCAAGTTAATGGGTGCAGCACACCAACATGGCACATGTATACATATGTAACAAACCTGCACGTTGTGCACATGTACCCTAAAACTTAAAGTATAATTAAAAAAAATACAAAATTAGCTGCGCATGATGGTGTGCGACTGTAATCCCAGCTACCTGAGAGGCTGAGGCAGGAGAATCACTTGAACCCAGGAGGCAGAGGTTGCAGTGAGCCGAGATCGCGCCATTGCACTCCAGCCTGGGCAACAAGAGTGAAACTCCATCTCAAAAAAAAAAAAAAAATAGCATGGGGGTATGAAGCCTCATATTTTGATAATAAATTGCTCCCAGCATATATTACAATCTGATGCATTCTTAAATGTGAATTCCTTTGTGCTATAAACGTTAAGTGCCTCATTTTCTCAATGCTGTGAGCTTTTAATTCTGCAGCATGGCTCTGTGACTGTGATTGTGAGTAGGGACGGCTGTGTTGATGTGCATGTGGTCATTCCACACCTTAAACGTGAGAGGTGCACTCTGGTCTGTGGTCAACAGCTAAATTCCTCTATCTCTTTAAACTTCACTGCACCAAACTGGAGAACCCACAGCTGCTGTTTCCCAATGGGTCTGGGCAGTATTTGAGGCTGGTTTGCAAGCCAACTATAATTTTCTGTAGTGGAAAGAGACTCTTTATTTTTCTCTCTCTCTTTTTTTTTTTTTTTAGCGCTCCTGCGCACTGCCTGATGTTCCCTCCCTGGGCTGGATGCCGACGCTGGGAGACTCGGAAGCCGCGTGTGGAAGATGGCAGTGTGGGTATGGCCTGGGTGCTTGCGTGATGGGGTGGAGGGAGTCATTATCCCCAACACAAACGCGCCCACTGACTCGGACCCGCATTGGACTGTGGGACCTGGGCAGACTCCCTAAAATGTGGGTTTTGTGATAGTTATAACAGCCTGCATTGACTGGTCCTCGGCCAGTCTCAGGGTCTTTGGCAATATTTGGAACTCTCTTGGCCCTTTGTCTTTTGATACTTATCTGGCCAAATTTGGCCTGAATGGACCAAACTTCTGCCTTTTCTGTTTCTGGGCAGGCACTGTTGGGCACTGCCAGAGAGAAATCTCAAAGTCAGATGTTACACTGTCTGGGATGCAGCTGCGCCCAGCAATCCTGGTGTGTCCCCAATCCAACTTTCTCTGCCACCTTCTGGAGTGGCTATTTCAAGTCTCCGGTTTTCTGAAGTCCTTAAGTCTCTCTTTCCACTTCAAAGAGAACATTGCAGTCATCGGTTGGGAACTTGCTCCAAGTGAGGAGCAACTGTGCCCACCCTCCCATCCTCTCCCACACCTGGGGAGTTCATGGCTAGCCCTGCCCTTTGGGCACTGGCTCCCAGCCAGAGACCTCTGCAGGGGCAGTGCCCCATCTCATGCCCTCTCTTTCCTGCACCTTCCTCTCTGCTAGTGCCCTTCTTCTGCGTATCTGGCTGTGTAGGAGAAGTTCTCTATCAGCAGAGCCTAGTTCAACAGTTAAAAAAAAAATTCACCATAGGTTTCATGCCCTGAATACCACTTACAGAGCAGCTGCTGGGTACTTGCAATATAGGCAAAATGCAGATCTTGCTCAACTCTTCTGGTGTCTGTTAACTAGCCATTGCGCTCCCCTAGATAAAATGGCTCTCTCTAGAGGGGTGACACAGATCATTCATGGTGGGTAGCAGACATCAATCGCTACCACTTGTTTTCTTGCTGGTGGTAATGGAGACCCTCCAGGGAACCCTTACACCCCTCTGAATCTCCTCGTGGGAGGAAAACTGGGTTGTGCTCTGAAATGTCGTTAAAGTCATATTTGGAGAGCTGCGCTGACTCTGAGGAGCTGGCTGAGATCTCTTTCTTCCTGAACAGCATGCCAGCTGCCATGCAACCATTCCTCACGCAGGCAGCACAGGGGAAAGCAGGGAGGCCACATCTTGGACTCTAACGTAATGATTTTTTTTCCTGCTTCTGTGGTTAAACACATTTAGAGGACCTGTTTTGAAGGTTCCTATGTTCCTGTCTGCGTTATGCAAATTATAGGCACGTGTATGTTAGGAATGCAAGGAACTTGTTTACATCATCTTTTTTTTTTTTTTTTTTTGAGCCAGAGTCTCGCTCTGTCTCCCAGGCCGGAGTGCAGTGGTGCGATCTTGGCTCACTACAACCTTCGCCTCCCGGGTTCAAACAATTCTTGTGCCTCAGCCTCCTGAGTAGCTGGGATTGCAGGCACACACCACCACACCCAGCTAATTTTTTGTGTATTTTTAGTAGAGATGGGGTTTCACCATGTTGGCCAGGCTGGTCTCGAACTCCTGACTTCAGGTGATCCTCCAGCCTCTGAACCCAAAGTGCTGGGATTACAGGTGTGAGTCACCGCACCTGGCCTACATCGTCTTTTGTGAAAAAAAAAATTATTTATACACTTGAATGTCTAATCAGCGTTTCAAAGGTAACATGCCCAAAACTAAATTCTCAGTATCCCTCCTCCCCAGCCACCTTCATCCCAGCAGGGGTGTCACCAGCAGCTCAGGCCAATGATCCAGCAGTCAGACTTGACTCCGCTCATGCTCTCTCACCCATCTAACCCATCAGCAATATTACTGGGTCTGCTTTCCAAATCCACCCTCATTACACCTCCCCCCACTCACCCCCACCCTCGCCCAGACTGCCACCATGGACAGTTACAGTGGCCTTCTAAAGGTCATGTCTCCCCCATTGTCTTCTCTCCCAAATTCTATTTTCCATAGACAAGCTAGACTATTTTGATCATGAAAATCTCACTGTGCTGCTCCCTGCTTACAATAACCTCCTCTCCCTTATGGAATCAAATCTGAAGTCCTCACCGTGCCTGCACCAGCCCTCCAGCATCCCTGTTTCTTGGGCCTGCCAGGCCAGTCCCCACCTCAGGACTTTTGCACTTGTTATGTCCTCTGCCAAGAAAGCTCTTCCCTGAGTTATCAGTTCCTGGAGTGGCCTTCCTTGACACTGTAGTTTCCCAGGGCTGCTGTAACCATAGACTGGAGGGCATAAACAATAGAAATGTAGTCTCTCACAGTTCCAGAGCCAGAAATCCAAAATCAAGGTGTCTGCAGGGCCACGCTCTCTCGCTCTGAAAGCTCTGAGAAAGAATCTATCTTACTTATCTTTCTCAGCTTCTGGTGGTTCCCATAAACCTGTGATGCTCCTTAGTTTATAGACGCGTCATTCCAATCTCTGCCTCCATTGTCACCTAGCACTCCCACTATGCCTGTGAACCTTCCCTTCTTATAAAGACACCAGTCACACTGGATTAGGGCCCACTCTAATTCACCATGACCTCATGTTAACTTGATTACTTCTGTGAAGACCCTATTTCCAAATAAAGTCACATTCACAGGTGCCAGGTTAGGGCTTCAACATATATTTTCTTTTCTTTTCTTTCCTTTTTTTTTTTTTGAGGCAGAGTCTCACTCCGTCTCCCAGGCTGGAGTGCAGTGGCGGGATCTTGGCTCACTGCAAGCTCTGCCTCCCGGGTTCATGCCATTCTCCTGCCTCAGCCTCCCGAGTAGCTGGGACTACAGGCGCCCACCACCATGCCCGGCTAATTTTTTTGTATTTTTAATAGAGACGGGGTTTCACCATGTTAGCCAGGATGGTCTCAATCTCCTGACCTCATGATCTGCCCATCTTGGCCTCCCAAAGTTCTGGGATTACAGGCGTGAGCCACTGCGCCTGGCCTTTTTTTTTTTTTTTTTTTTTGAGATAGAGTTTCGTTCTTGTCACCTAGGCTAGAGTGCAATGGCGTGTGGTCTCAGCTCACTGCAACCTCTGCCTCCAAGGTTCAAGCGATTCTCCTGCCTCAGCCTCCCAAGTAGCTGGGATTACAGGCGCCTGCCACCACGCCCAGCTAATTTTTGTATTTTTTAAGTAGAGACAAGGTTTCACCATGTTGGCCAGGCTGGTCTCGAACTCCTGACCTCAGGTGATCCACCCACCTCGGCCTCCCAAAGTGCTGGGATTATAGGCGGGATCCACTATGCCCGGCTGTCTTCAACATATGTTTTTGGGAGACACACTTCAATGCATGAAAACATCCTATATCCTATAGATGTAGAGTCGCTATTTGCTCTACATCTTGGCCTGTTTTCTTCACCCCATGTCATTTTCCACTATCTGAAACTATGCCCCAGAGGATAGTGGCAGCTGTCTAAATTAGAATCTCCCTACCCATTCTCCTTAAAACTGTACAGGTGAGCAAGGAGAGAAGACACCCATTGCTCCTGTCTACACCACATCTAGAAGGCAGAGAAAGGAAAAAGTGTCTTAAAAAAGTAATAATAAGGACCCAGCAAGAGAGCACCCTAGCCAATCAATCGTGGAAGAAAAGGGTGTCGTTGATTAAAGAAACTGCCCTTCACTCTAGCAACAGAAGAGGGAGCAGTTGATCTGCACAACCAACAGGCCGCTCGGGCCTCTAGGCCTCCACTGCATTGTCTGCTATTGCCAGTCCGGGGAAACGCAACAGAAATAACCACCACCAATCACAAAGCAGAAAAGGAGAACCATACTTTCCAGCAGATGGCGCCACTTCGGAAAACAGTTTGGTGCGTCCTCAAAAAATTAAACATATAATTACCGTGACCCGGCAATTCCACTCCTAGGTATACCCAAGGCAAATGAAAACATGTCCACATAGACACTTGTACATCAATGTTCCTAGCAATATTACTCCTTAAGAGCCAAAAGATGGAAACCACTCAAACGCCCGTCAACTGATGAATTGGTGAACATGTTGTGGTATATATCGATACAAGAGACTATTTGCGGTAAATAGGGATGCAATACTGATTGATACTACAACATGGATTAACTTTGAAAACATTGCTGGGGCTCGGAAGCTGATGCCCCGAATTTGATGCTTTGTACATGCTGAACTGAAAAAGGAGCTTCAAGGTCTCTCTCCTCCCTCCTGCCCCAAAGCATAGGCTTCTCTGACATTCCCTTATCTGTCTAAAGTCTGGGTCTATGAAAGAAAAACAATCACCTCCAGTCACTTCCCTGAGTTTTCATTAACTGCACCCATATCTCAGAAAGGAAAACTAAAGTCGGTCAACACACCTGGACAGACTTTTGTCACAAACCATTGTCTGCTCTGCAGGCCCAGCAGACTTTACCGCAGACCGTGGTGTGTTCTTCAAGCCCTTTGAATCTTCCCTAGTCATCATTTATTGCCCCTCCCCAGAATTCCTCTTCTCCCGCTCCCATAACTACGACCAGGGAAGATTCAAAGGGCTAAAAATACAAAAATTAGCTGAGCGTGGTGGCACATGCCTGTAATCTCAGCTACTTGGGAGGCTGAGGCATGAGATTTGATTGAACCCGTGAGATGGAGAGGTTGCAGTAAGCCAAGATTGCGCCGCTGAACTCCAGCCTGGGCAACAGAGCGAGACTCCATCTCAAAAAACAAATCAAAACAAAAACAAAAAACAGGTGATTGTGTCATGGGGGCTCTGCCTTTGTGAATAGATTAACCCATTCATGAACTGATGGACTGGTGGGTTAATGGATTAATGTGTTATCACAGAGTGGAATTGGTGGCTTTATAAGAAGAGAAAGAGACATGGGCCAGCATGTTCAGCCCCCTCGCCATGTGATGCCCGGCACCACCTTGGGACTCTACAGAGTCCCCACCAGCAAGAAGCCCTCACCAGATGCAGCCATTCAACCTTGGACTTCCCAGCCTCCAGAAGTGTAAGAAATAAATTTCATTTCTTAGCAATTACTCAGTTTCAAATATTCTATTATATGCAACAGAAAATGGACAGAGAGAGTTCTTAAGGAATTCCCCATCACATCCGAGGCTTATCCAGAGGTGATCCTTGTCTGGTTCCCCAGGAGGCTCCTGGAGGAAAGGAATGGACACTGTCCACCACCCCATTCATTGGATGCAGGGCCCGAAGGGAGGACCTGTGGAGGGTTTTCCAGCGGCTCCCTTAAAAGGAACCTGGAGAGAGGTGATTGAATTACTTCCTCAGTGCATCTTATTTGTTAATGACATGCTCATTTCAATGATCCATGTCATCCCGGTCCCTATTACCATAAATAACGAAGCATTAGCTGTACGTGGCAGTGGCTGTCTGGAGCAGCAAAGAGCCGATCCCACGGTGTGTCTGCCCTGTCAAAATCATGTTGGCTGTGCTTAAAAATGACACTCCAGCCTGTCCCTGCAATCCCCATGCGTTTTCATCATGAGTCAGAACTTCAAGATGCTATTCATTCCGAAGCCATGTCAGCTCAGCTGTCAAGCAAGTTTATCGCATCTTGTATTTATGATAAACTTGAGTGACATGCAGATTTTGAATATCATATTCTAAAGCCATTTTAATCTAGGCTAAATGCAGCCTGTCAAATTCCCCTGTAAGGCAGGATCCATGGTGGGGGCTGGGGACTGAAGGGAGGTGACAGCAGTGCGGTTGGCAGACAGGGGAGAGGGAAGGTAAGCAACAGAGAAAGGTGCCTGGGTTCCCAAACAGGGTTCCAGAGGCAAGTCCACTCTGCCTAGAAGTAAGATGGCTCTGGGGCAGGACGCATGAAGGGTCTCGCCCAGAACAGTGGTTCCAGCGGTGATTCCCAGGGACCTATAGAAACCCTGAAGGGTGGGGAAGCTTGAGTCACAAGATGTTTCAGGCCTTTCGAGGACTAGGTATTTGTGAACACAGGCCAGCCTTGGAAATTGAATATGCTCTCGACTTACAATGCCACCACTTAAGAGGTTGTTGGGCTGGGGGTTACTCATTCAGGGCACTGTTGTCCCTTCTGGGATGAGAAAAGCCAAATTATTACACGCTGAAGCAGATGTGTGGGGCCCGAGGTTTATGCCACCCGGGAACTCTCTTTAAAGAAAATGAAAACAAAAATTGTGGTAGAGAATTGCTCGGGTCCCTCCAAGGAGCCTACACAAAGGGCCTGCAGTGAGGGGTCCCAGTACCCTAGGCACAGAGGACCATGAGCTGCCCAGGGCCTCATGCCTGGGGAAGGCTAAGATGTGAAGCATGGTGATACAATAAGAAACATAGATTTGGTCCTTGTCTCTGTTCCTGGCACAGAGGGCCTAAGACCTTTGGAATCTCTGCAGTGAGAATAATGAATGTTTTTTGTGTACTAATGAGATGACTGGTGGCTGGGAGCCCCTGAACAGCTTCAGGATGAGGGCTGGTCCCAGAAAGACCAAGGCAGGATTAGGAGGTTGGAACTTTCAGCCCCACTCCCCGCAAACCTCCTCTGGGGAGAGGAGACAGGCTGGAGATTGGGTTAATCACCAGTGGTCAATGATTAATGAATCATACCCATGTCATGAAAACTCCCTAAACATTCCTGAACAACGAAGTCTGGAGAACTTCCAGGTTGGCAAACACAGCCATGTGCTGACAGGGTGGCACACCCCGACTCCATGCGGACAGAACCTCCTGGGCTCCGGACCCTTCCAGACCTAGCCCTGGCTGTTCGTCTGTGTCCATGGTAATAAACTGGTAATAGTAAATAAGTGTTTTCTTGGTTTCTATGAGCTGTTCTAGCCAATTATTGACCTGAGGGAGGTGGGGATTGTAAGAACCTCCTGACTTTGTAGCCAAGTCGGACAGAAGTGTAGGTTCTCTGAGTACCTAAGACTTGGGACTGGCGTCTGCGGTGTAGGTGATCTTGTGGGACTGAGCCCTTGAACCTGTTCAATCTGACATTAGTTAGTGTCAGAATTGAATTGAATCATAGGACACTCAGTTGGTACTGAGAACTGGCTGGTGCGGGAAAAAATCCCACATTTGGTGTGAGAAGTGTTTGAGTAAAAACAGCTCAAGCCCATTCTTCATTTCTCAGCAGGGTGGCTTTTGTTTGCTTTGCTGTTCCAACATTTCATTACTCATCTGGGTCCCAATGGGCCTTTATTAAGAAAAGAAACCTTTTAACATAAAAATTGGCTCCAGATCTGAGCCACTCATTTCCCCTGAACCTCTCTGGGGTCCTTGTGGGCTTTCTGTTTGGACAGGTGATCCCAGCGATTCTCCCAGCTTCAGAGGCTGAGAGGCTGTGATCCCCATCAAAGGCAGCACATGCCACAGTGTCCCCCAAGGAGCCCCCGTCTGCCTTGAATTCCACCTACAGTGGCACAGAATTGGCAGTGGGCACAGCTGGCTGCCATGGCTTCCAGGGGCTGGAAGGAGACGGTTTACTGCAGGGATTCTTTTTTTGTTTGTTTGTTTGAAACAGCATCTCACTCTGTCGCCCAGGCTGGAGTGCAGTGGCGCCATCTTGGCTCACTGCAACCTCTGCCTCCTGGGTTCAAATGATTTTCATGCCTCAGCCTCCCGAGTAGCTGGGATTACAGGCACACACCACCATACCCGGCTAATTTTTTTTATTTTTAGTAGAGAGGAGGTTTTGCCATGTTGGCCAGGCTGATCTCAAACTACTGGCCTCAAGTGATTCACCCGCCTTGGCCTCCCAAAGTGCTAGGATTACAGGCATGAGCCACCGCGCCCGGTTTACTACAGGGATTCTTATCCAAGGGCCTATGGATCCCACAATGGCATGTACAATTTTTATTTTTAAGGTCTTCTTTTCTGAGGAAATCAGTTGTCCAATTTTCAAATGGGTCCTTGACTACCCTCAAAGGTTAAAAATGATTTCCAGGTGAAAAATAAAGAAAAACACTGTTGCATTCTCTATTTTTTTTTTCTAAAAGTCAAATCAAGTATGGGAAATTCCAGTTATCCAGGGTGCCTCAACCAGGGAGCTTCTGGCTGCTTGAACATGGAGTCACCACACACGGTCCATGTGTAATTGCCCAATGGGCTCTCCATACCCACTGCCTAGACAGAGCCGATTTATCAAGACAGGGGAATTGCAGTCGAGAGTTTAATTCACGCAGAGCCGGCTGCACAGGAGACTGGAGTTTTATTACTACTCAAACCAGTCTCCCTGAAAACTTGGGGATCTGGGTTTTTAAGGATAATTTGGTGGGTTGGGGGGGTTGGAAAATGGGGAATGCTGATTGGTTGGGTAGAAGATAAAATTGTTGCTGGAAAGGGGTCCCAATCCAGACACCAGGAAAGGGTTCTTGGATCTCACGCAAGAAAGAATTCAGGGCAAGTCCATCAAGTTGGTGACTCCATAGGCAGGGCAGTGGCATGAGCTGCTCGAGGGAGTATACTTAGTTACTTCTTGATTATATGCTAAACAAGCGGTGGATTATACACGAGTTTTCCAGGAAAGGGGAAGGCAATTCCAGGAACTGAAGGTTACTCCCTCTTTTAGACCATAGGGGGTAACTTCTGGACGTTGCCATGGCATTTGTGAACCGTAATGGTGCTGGTAGGAGTGTCTTTTAGCATGCTAAACATTATAATTAGAGTATAATAAGCAGTGAGGATGACCACAGCTCATTATACTCTAATTATTAAAAGACGTCGCCATCTTGGTTTTGGTGGGTTTTGGCCAGCTTCTTTACCACATCCTGTTTTATCAGCAAGGTCTTTATGACCTGTATCTTGTACTGACCTCTTACCTCATCCTGTGACTAAGAATGCCTAACCTCCTGGGGATGCAGCCCAGCAGGTCTCAGCCTTATTTCACCCAGCCCCTACTCAAGATGGAGTCGCTGTGGTTCAAACACCTCTGACAAAATCACGGAAAGTCGAAGCTGTCCTCTTTTGCTGAATCAGTTCCTGGGTAGAGGCCACAGGATCCCATGTGGTGCCAGCTGATCATCGATCATCATGTGCAGGGTCTACAAATCATCTCAAGCACTGATCTTAGGCCTTACCATAGTGAGTTTATTCTCAGGAGCAATTTGGGATGGCTCAGAATCTTGGAGTCTCCAGATGCATGACTCCTAAACCCTAATTTCTAACCTTACAGCTAATTTGTTAGTCCTGCAAAGGCAGTGTAGTCCCCAGGCAAGAAGGGAGTTTGTTTTGGGAAAGGGCTGTTATTGTTTTTGTTTCAAAGCAAAACAATAAACCAAGTTCCTCCCAAAGTTAGTTCATGCCCAGGAATGACAAGGACAGCTTGGGGGTTGGAAGCAAGATGGAGTCAGTTAGGTGAGATCTCTTTCACTGTCATAGTTGTCTGTTATAATTTTGCAAAGGCAGATCTACCATTTCTCTGAAGGTTGAGTTTGGGATGTGGTAGCCTTTGAGTACCCGTCCTGTTGCTGTGTGTGTGTTCAGGGCAATCCAGGAAATCTGGAGAAACCAGAGTGTGTGGTCCCCCTTCCCCATTTCTCTAGTGGATCAGGTAGGAGGGTGACTGAGGAAATGTGTCCTGGGATACTTCCTGCCTCCCAGGGTGTGTGGGACTCAGCCCTTCCCCAGCCTGCAGAGGATGGGGGGGGGGGGGGGGGGCTTTGCCAGCAGTCAAGTCCTGTGCCCCAGGGGACCAGGAAGCCTGTATCAACTCCTCGCTACCCCAGCCAGAAGCAGCAAACGCTCCACCCTGTCCTGCTGCCTGATGGGCAGAGTTGTTTTTTTTGTTTTTGTTTTTGTTTTCAGACACAGTCTCATTCTGTCGCCCAGGCTGGAGTGCAGTGGCGCAATCTCAGCTCACTGCAACATCTGCCTTCCAGGCTCAAGCGATTCTCCTGCCTCAGCCTCCCGAGTAGCTGGGACTACAGGTGCCCGCCACCATGCCCAGCTAATTTTTGTATTTTTAGTTGAGACGGGGTTTCACCATGTTGGCCAGGATGTTCTCGAACCCCTGACCTCGTGATCCGCCCGCCTCGGCCTCCCAAAGTGCCGGGATTACAGGCGTGAGCCACCGCGCCCGGCTTGAGCACAGACTTTTAATCAGATTTTTTCTTTCTTTAAATTCCTGTGAGACCAGCCGCCTGAGGGATTAAGAATATCGAGGGATGGAAGGGAGAGTAAAAGAACGGGCACTTTTCCCTAGGGAAAAGGAGGCATGCCGGGGGGGCGGAGGGAAGGAGGGGGTGTGGAGGAGGGAAGGAGGGAAAAGGGGGAGGGAGGAGAGGGAGGAGGGGGCGCGGAGGAAGGGGCGGGCTTCCCCCTGCCGGCCTCCCTTCCTTCCCCGCTGCCTCCGCCTCTCGCACTAGCGCCCCGCACCTGTGGCGCCCCTGCTCCGCCCAGTCCCGCGGCCTCCTCGCCCCTAGTCCCCGGCGCTCCCCGCCCCTTCCCGTGGGATCCGCCCCTCCGCCAGCCCCGCTGGCTTCCCCTCTCCGCCACCCCGGACTCAGAACCTCCCCTCCCCCGCCGGGGCCTGGGCGCGCCTGCCCTTCGCTCCCCGACCTCCTGCTGCAGCTCTGGGCCCCTCGGCCGCTCCCTCCCCTCCTCCCTTGCTCACCCCACGGTTGGCCGCGGATCTCCAGCACGCCGCCCCAGTCCTCGGCGTCCCGCAGCGCCTGCCAGGGTCGCCGAGCCTCCCCTGCCTCCTGGCCGCCTCTGCAGTGCCGTCCTCCCGGGGCTGGCTCTCTCCCCAGGCCCCCGCTTTGGCCACCCAGGCACTTTCCGCCCTGAGCGTGGCAGCTGCTGCCGGGGGTCCTGGGACCGCGGGATGGGAACTCCCACGCAGCGTCCCACAGGCTCCTGGCCGCCGCGAGCCCGCGCGACTCGCACGAGCATGTCCACCCGCAGCGAGGGGCCGGTCACTGCTACGGAGCCCGCCAGAAGGCAAAGCCCCAGACAGCAAATAGGGAGGCGGCTGGCACCCAGGGAGGCCGAGGCGGGAGGATCGCTGGAGCCCAGGAGTTCGAGACCTGCCTTGGCAACATAGTAAGACGCCCCCCCACCCCCCGCCCACCATCTCTACAATAAATTTAAGAATTAGCCTGGCATAGTGGCGCGCGCCTGTGGTCCCAGCACTTCGGGGAGGCTGAGGTGGGAAGATCACCTGCGCCCAGGACGGTCGAGGCTGCAGTAAGCCGAGATCGCGCCACTGCACTCCAGCCTGGGCGACAGAGCCCAGACCCCGTAACAAAGCAAAAATGAAGGAGGCGGCGGTTTACTTCTGGAATAACTGCAGAAGATCATCAAGTGCAGGGAGCTGTGGAACTCCCGGGCGCCCAGCCCTCGGCGCCCCTGCACCCTCAGCCGTAGAGCTGGGGTGTTCCGGCCCGGAGGGATAGGGGTTTGCAGGGTGCGTGAGCGCCGAGGCTGCCCGCGAGGCGAGAGAATTGCGGGGGGAGGCAGGGAGGCCGACGGGGAGGGCCTGGGAGGCTGCACGCGCAGCGGGGACCCGGCTTTGTCCCGAGCAGTTTCCAGGTAAGAGCTGAGAGGAGGGGAGGGAGGGAGAGGAGGAGAACCAGGCCCGGATTTTCCCGCCTGGGGTCAAACCAAAGCAAACAAACCAAAGTGGTGTGTCCAAAGTGATGCGCCTCACAGGTGCCTTGCTTCTGCCCCTGCCGGAGTTGAGGTTTGGAGGAAGGGCACTGTGCTGAGTCCCAGCGGGGGTTTTGTAAATGCTGCGGTATTGGTCTCTCACGGTTCACGGAGCAATCACCACACTTGCTTGACCTCCTGGAAAGCCTTACTCTCTTTTTATAATTAAAAACAATTTTTTTTGGCCGGGTGCGGTGGCTCATGCCTGTAATCCCAGCACTTTGGGAGGCCCAGGCCGGCGGATCACCTGAGGTCGGGAGTCGGAGACCAGCCTGACCGACGTGGAGAAACCCCATCTCTACTAAAAATACAAAATTAGCCGGGCGTGGTGGTGCATGCCTGTAATCCTAGCTACTCAGGAGGCTGAGGCAGAAGAATTGCTTGAACCCAGGAGGCGGAGGTTGCAAGTGAGCCAAGATTGCGCCATTGCACTCCAGCCTGGGCAACAAGAGCGAAACTCTTGTCTCAAAAAAAAAAAAGAAAAAATTTTTTTTTAGCGACAGGGGTCTCACTATGTAGGCCAGGCTAGTCTCAAACTCCTGGGCTCAAGTGTTCCTCCAGCCTTGGCCTCCCAAAATGTTGGGATTACAGACATGAGTCACCGAGCCCAGCCAGCCTTACTGTTCAGAATGATGTCACATCTTTGTGGACTGTTGAAAATAAGGTTGTCTTCCTCAGTCTCCTAGAAGCCCCAAAATAGCCATGCAGATGTCCAAGCAGTTCTGGTTTGATTATCAAGGAGCATGTGTAAAATAGCTACGTGTGAATGGGGTCTCTGCAAATGGAAACTGGCGGGGGAGGCTCAGGACTCTTAAGAGGTCTGCAGGAGAAAGTGCATAATGAACACACACCCATGGCCTCTCCCCATGTGCCAGGGCATCCTCCCACACAGGCCGAAAGTGCTCTGCAGAACAAAGTGCTTTTGGTCCACAAAACGCCTCCCAGCTCTTGCCTGCAAAGGGAAGAAAGGATAGCTGAGAATCATGAAGCAGAATGCCGGGAGATTTATGGAAACCCCCTCTGATAGCTCAATCTAATTGCAGCTCCCTCCAGCGTGCCAAATGCTGCTAATGGACAGCCGCTCCTGCCGCTCTGATGTTGCTAGACCTCCTCAGCACTCAGCCCAAGGCAGCCAGGAAGAATGAACGAATGGTGATTCAGAGGGAAAGGAGGAAGCTGCGTGGCATTTCAGAGATACTTATTTTAAAACTGCTGGTGGCCATGTCTTCTTTTCATATCAGAGCTAATGAGTTTTGATATGTGAACATTTCTTCTCCTTCATAGGTAATGTGTTGATTTGGCACTTTAATCTTAGAATAATCATTTCTAAAACCAACCCAACTGCTTTTCTTTACAATTTTGGCCTTAGCAAACAGATGAGTCCGTTGACTTGAGCATTGCTTGGGCACTGTCTGTGTGCAGGTCAGGCAGGGGATGCTGGTGGCTGGGAAACATAGAGGATGGAGGTGTCTTGGGTGTACATGAAGGGGTGGGGTCAAGTCCACAGGGGGTCGGCCCCTGGCAGCAGTCCTGGAGGGCTTCGTGGAGGAAGGGAGAATTGAGTGAGAAAGTGGTCCCCAGGTAAGAGGGAAGAGCATCCAGGGAGAGGAGACTGCTTCTGGGAAGACCAGAGGCATCACCTCGCAGGGGCTGGTATGGTGGTGGCTCAGGTGGGAGGAAGAGAGACCTCAGGGAAAATAACAGGTTCCATTGACAGGAGGCCTGCTCTGGTGGGGAGGCAGGCTGGTGGTGGAGTCATGGCTGCAGGCCAGGGAGATGCCTGACCAACAGGTGTGTTGGCCAGGGTCCCTGTAGCAAAAACACGGAGCTGAGGACCTCATGGCAGGGACCCCATGCAGAGGGAGCCGCGGGTGGCATGGGGATAGTCACCTGGCTCTCCTGCTCTCGGCCTCCTGCAGCTCCCCTCACTCCCTGCCCTGCCACACAAGGTCAAACCCACCAGGAGGCAGAAGGCGAAGGGCGAGGTCCCAGGGTGAGGAGCAGGGAGGAGATGGTGGCAGCAGGGAAGGTGATGCCTGCTGCAGAGTGAGACCTGGGACTGCCAAACACACAGTGACGGGAGCTGAGGAGGCCTGCCGGGGGAGGAAGACAGTGGCTGGCAGTGACAGGAAGGGAGGGTCAGCATGGGGCGGCAGTCCCAGAGCTCAGGGCTCCCTGCCAGGCCAGCCTTTGTGGCCTGTGGGGTGGAGGTGGCAATTGCTGTCATGTCATAAACACGTCAAGCTTACAATGAAATCTCCAGTGTGGCTTGGGAGCAAATACATGTGCAGGTGTTTGAGTATCTGTGCTCTTACCTAACCTCAGGGAGCAGGAAAACGAAAGCTTATCATGTAAACACATCAGCAGCAGGGCTTATGTGTGTCTCCACACTGGAACCCCCAAGACAAGAGACTGGAGGCAGAGTTGATTTCCAAGCCCAGAGTGCTGGGCAGCCTTTGGGTTTTATGTCTGCTTGCTTGGAGCTCAGTGATAGAAATCTAGGCCCCAGAAGAGGAAAGGACTGTCCTGCATAACCAGCACACCCGGGGAATGCTTCAGGTGCAGCTGGATCCAGGCATCCTCAAATAGTGTGATTAGGACTCCACTTTCCTTTGTCACCTTGGCTTGGCTCTTCCCTGCTCTGTGTTGTTTTCAGACGAGGTGGGGCCCCAGCAGCTCTGGTCCTCCTGACATCCTAGAGAAGAGCCAGCCCTTCCCTCCTGGGGTCTACACCGTCCCCTAAGGGACCTCAGACTGGGCTGATGGAAGGTCTCAAGCAGGCCATGTGAAGGGCACTGCACAGGAAACACAGAAACGGGAATCCTATAAGGTCAGCAGAGCTCTGAGCCCTTTGTTCTTGGGCCTGTTTTTATGATCCTCCCTCTACATGTAGCTCACACTTCCCTGCTTCTGTGCAGGCACCAGGTGAGGGGGTTGTCATGGCCTCCTGCCACTCTTGAGGCTGTCAGATATTACCTGTGCTGTCCCTGCATTCTCAAGCTCCAAATTGTCAACTAAGAAATGGTCACTTAAAAAGAGAAAAGTGAGGCCGGGCACGCTGGCTCATGCCTGTAATCCCAGCACTTTGGGAGGCCAAGGCAGGCGGATCACCTGAGGTCAGGAGTTGGAGACCAGCCTGGCCAACATGGTGAAACCGTGTCTCCACTAAAAATACAAAAATCATCCAGGAGTGGTGGCGGGCACGTGTAATCCCAACTTACTTGGGAGGCTGAGGCAGGAGAATTGCTTGAACCTAGGAGGCAGAGGTTGCAGTGAGTCAAGATCATACCACTGTACTCCAGCCATGGCGACAGAGCAAGACTCCGTCTCAAAAAAAAAAAAGGATTTCTGAAATGGACGAAGTTTTTTTCCACTGGCGGTGCCATCAGTGATCGTGTCTGTTCCACTGTGAAGTCGGTCGTGAGCTCTGTGACGTTTCCCTCTCAACTCAAGGCTTTTTTCTTCCGCTTATGGGTGTAGTCCAAATGGTTGGGATGAAAATCGTTTCACAGATAAAGAAATCTACAAGCCCAATCGTGGTGTAAGAAAAAAACTTTAAAACTCTGTCGTTCAGAAGGAAATCAGGAATAAGAATTTCTCCTTTGAGACTAAAAGAAAGTCAGCTTTAGCCAGTGCATTGGGGTGCTGGCTCGATGTGGTAAACAAAGCAAAACATTGTTTTTAAATATCCAAAACATTATTTTTAAATATAAAGAAATACATTTTTCTCCTCTCAACAATGAAGTCATAGTTTTTTTGGGGGGCGGGGGGTGGGTGGGTGGGTGCACAGGATTTACTGTTTTGTTTGTTTTTTTAACCCAAAGAGAAGGAAAATACTTTCCTTACTCCTGAAAATGGTGAGTTTGTACATTGTCCTTTTATATGGATCAATGTCATTTAAGCAACTACAGACAGATAAGTGAAGATGAATCTCATCCATCAGAGGCTGGGCTATCAGGCACCAGGACCAGGGGCTTTTCTTTTAATAAGGGAAACCTCTGCTATCTTTGGATTCCTCAAAGCCTGGAATCTAGAGCTGGATGACAGGCTTGCTTTGGAGAGAATTTCTTGAGACAACTTCAAAGTGGCAGGTTTTGTTGAAGAAAAAGCTCTTCATGGGGTAGTTGGGAACATGGTTAGTCCCTCTGTGGGGACCAGGAGGAGCGGAGAGGGGAAAGGGAGGGAGAGGGAGAGAACAAACTCTCTGCTGTCACTCTAAGAGCGCCAATCCCATCATGGGCCAGACCCTCATCGCCTTATGAAGCCTGATCACTTCCCAAAGGCCCCGCCTCCTGGTACTATCACTCAGCAGTCCCCAACCTTTTTTGGCACCAGGAACTGGTTTTGTGGAAGACAATTTTTCCATGGACTGGGTTGCAGGGATGGTTTCGGGATGATTCAAGCGCATTACATTTATTGTGCACTTTATTATTATTACACTCTAACGTATAATGAAATAATTATACAGCTCACCATAATGTAGAATCAGTGGGAGCCCTGAACTTGTTTTCCTGCAACTAGACGGTCCCATCTGGTGGTGATGGAAGACGATGACACCCGAAGTGTGTTGCTAATGTCCAGTCTGCTCTGTAATCTCGTTTTGGTCGATGTCATTGCAGAAAACTCTGCTTCACAAACACAGGATATTGGAAATGGAAGTGGGCTTTTCAGTGCTTTGGGAACAATCACAGGAGATTCTGCCTTGGCTGTAATCCAGAACGTATGGAGATTTGAAGTTGTCGCAAACATACTTTGAAGGCCACCAGATGCAGCTGTACAATTGAAGTCCATCAGCTCACTTGCCTCAATAAAGCCTGCCACTGCATGCAGCTTGTCACTTGCCACTCACAGATAGGGTTTTGATATGACTCTGCAAGCAATTGATTTATGATGGTCTCTGTGCTGTCAAACCTCTCTGCTAATGTTCATCTGTATTTGCAGCCACTCCCAAGTGCTAGCATCGCCGCCTCAGCTCCACTTCAGGTCATCAGGCATTAGTTAGATTCTCATAAGGAGTGTGCAACCCAGATTCCTCACATGCGCAGTTCACAATAGAGTGCGCTGCTATGAGAACTAATGCCACTGCTGATCTGACAGGAGGCAGAGCTCAGGCGGTCATGCTCACCCACCCACCTGCTGCTCCCCTCCTGCTGTGCGGCCCAGTTACTAACAGTCCATGGACAGGTACTGGTCCGTGGCCCAGGGACTGGGGGCCCCTTCTGTCACCCAACCAAACTGGGTCCACTTGCCCTCAAGGAACGGAAGCCAAACACCGAAGCACCAAGTTTTTGCAATAGGAAGGCTTTATTGCCAGTTGAGTGACATGGAGACCGGAGGAAATGTTCCTATCTGTCTTCCCACTGGCCTTGCCACCATAGATGTAAGAGAGAGATTTTGAGGGTGGGGTTTCGGGGCGGGACGAAGATTGGCTGGAAGGAAGGGGCTTTGTTGAGTCCCTCGGTCACTCACTGTCGCCCTACCTGCTGCTTCATGGGTTGCATGTTTAAAAACAATGTTGGCATTAGCATGACCTGGAAGTGGGGTTTTGGGCCCTCTGACATCAAAAGGTGGCTCGTGGGTGAGTCAGTGCACTCTGCAGACTCTAGTCAGCCATGTTGGCTCCAACTGGTCCCTCCTGGCAGCCCACTTAGTTGCAAATAGAGGGGATTGTAGCAAATTGTCGTCTTCTCCACTGTCCTGCAAAATGAGCTCAAGAAATTTTGCTGGTTAACAAATCCTGTCTAATCCTAGGGCAGGTTTCAGTACCATCCTGTTAGGGATTGGGGCTTCAACATATGAATTTGGGGGGTACACTTCAGCCCATGGCAAGCTGGATACTTGTGCTCCCTTCATCAAGATGAGAATGTGAACACACAGAGGCAAAGCGGCCCATACGAGGTCACAGTGAGAGAGGGTGCCGTGGAGTCAGAACGCACAGCAGGGACCCAGCCCCTAGGTTCCGTCTCTGAGCCCCAGGTCCCATGCTGAGCTGCAGGAGTCACTGTGTGCCTCTGCTTTGTGCTTTGTGACCACACGTCATGGCCAGGCTGGGGTTTTCCACCCTTTGTGCGTTATTCCCATCTTAGTTTGAGGTCAGAGGCCTGCAGGACTTATTTCCTGGTCCCCACGGGATGAAGGAGGAAACCCGTGGGAACTAGCACATGGCCCTAAAAGCAACCTCTCCTTGCCCTCATTGTCCATTAGCACAAGACACTCCCATCAGCACCATGACAGTTTACAAATGCTGTGGAAGTTGCTGCCTTTTCCTTAGAGATTTCCAAATAACCTGCCCCTAATGTGCATGTCATTAGAAGTCAGTATAAGTGGCTGTGAGTGCAGCTGCCTCAGCCCATATGCTGCTGACTCCGGGTGCACTGCTGAGGAGTCAGCCCTGGCCCAGTTCAGGAAAAGTGGCTGCATAATGCCACCAGCTGGCCCTTGCATTCTTTCCTGGGTGAAGCCAAGAACCCTCAGGGGCTAAGCCCCACTGTGAGAGCTCACCTGCCACCTGCATCCAGTGAATAGGGCGCCATTTCCAGGTTTCCCCCCAGTGCTGCAGCAAACATCCCTGTAGGCCGCAACTCACACGCTTGCTTGCATTTTTTTTTTTTCTGTGAGATAAATCTTCAGCAGCAGGATTGCTGAGCTGGGTCTAAAGGCTTTCAAAGTTTTATTTTCAATTTTTTTTTTCTCAATTGTCTGTAAGAGGGCAGAACCACTTTACTCTCTTCCAGTGGCAGATGAGAATGTGCTTCTTAACACCTGCCCAGCCCCAGGGATTATCCCTCATTTTAGTCTTGGCCAATCTGAGACAATCCATGAAGGGAACTGATGACTCGCTGTCTTCCAGACATTTCTTCGGTGGTGGTGAAGTTGAGTATGTCTTTATGCTTATTGGCCATTGTTCTTCCAGGAACTGTCAGTTACTGAGCTCTGACCTTAGATTTGTCATCTTCTAAAAACTGATCTGCAAGAGCTCTTTGTATCTTAAGAGAACTACTTTTACTATTAATGCGTGACAAAATATTCTCCCCATTGACTTGATGTGCTATCCATAAGTATAGTCATGAACCACATAACCACATTTTGGTCAACAACAGATCGTATATAACAGTGGTCCCATAAAATTATAATATCACATTTTTACTGTACCTTTTCTATGTTTACATGCACAAATACTCATGGCTGTGTTACAGCTGCCTACTGTATCCAGCACAGTGCCATGCTGTACACGTATGTAGCCTAGGAGCTGCAGGCTACACCATATAGCCTAGGTGTGTCGGAGGCTGGACCATCTAGGCTTGTGTAAGTGCCCTCTGTGATGTTCTCATAACAATGAAATCATCTAACAACGCATTTCTTCGACTGTGTCCCTGTTGTTAAGTGAAACATGACTATTGCTTTTTGTTTAAAGTCAGTAAAGAGGCACAGTTTACACTTTACTTACCCATATATATGTATGGGTGTATATATGTATGTATTTTTTGCGACAGGGTCTTGCTCTGTCACCCAGGCTGGAGTACAGTGGCATGATCTTGGGTCACTCCAGCATCCACCTCCCTGGCTCAAGCGATCCTTCCACCTCAGCCTCCTGAGTGGATGGAACCACAGGCGTGCACTGCCGTGCCTACTTTTTAAAAAATTTTTTGTAGAGACAGGGTCTTGCCATGTTGCCCAGGCTGGTCTCCAACTTCTAGACTCAAGCAATCTGCTCACCTCAGCTTACCAATGTGCTGAGATTACAGGCATGAGCCACTGCACCTGGCCTATGTGTATTTATTTTTATTGTCATATTTATCTGTTTTTTTTTTCATGACTTGTGATTTTGTGGCATGTTTAGAAAGGCTTTTCTTGTTTCAGGATTATAAAAATAGTCACCTATACTCTCCTCTAGCATTTTTATTATTTCACTTTTCAGATTTAAATTTTTGTTTCATCCAGAATTAATTTTGGTCAAAGAGTTCAATAGGGCTACAATTTATTTTTCCCTGAAGAGGCGGGACAGCTGTCCCAATATAATTCACTAAAGAGCCCATCTTTCCTCTGCCAATCTGCAATGCCAACTTTACTACAATGTCTGCAACTTAATCTCAAATGGTAGAGCAACAAACATATTTAGAGTGTGTGTGTGTTGAAATTAAATCAAATGTGGAGAAATGTTAGCATAGCAATTATTGAATCAAGATAGTACATTTGGCCTTCATTACCCACGGGTTCTGTATCTATCTGCCCATTCAACCAACTGCAGATTGAAAATACTCTGGAAAAAAAATTTTTAAATACAATAATAAAAAATAATGCAAATAAAAACCAATATAACAACTATTTCATAGCATTTACATGGTATTAGATATTACAAGAAAACTAGAAATGATTTAAAGTATATAGGATGGTGCGTGGAGGTTACATGCAAATACTGTACCATTTTATCAAGGATTTGAGTCTTTTCAGATTTTGTTATCTTTGGGGGTCCCGGAGCCAATCCCCTACAAATACTGCGGGACGATTGTATGTAGAAGATCATTACACCATCCAGTTTCCAGTTTTGTTTTCACAGTAAAATTGTGTTTAGGCCAGGCGCGGTGGCTGACGCCTGTAATCCCAGCACTCTGGGAGGCCGAATCACCTGAGGTCAGGAGTTCGACAACAGCCTGGCCAACATGGTGAAACTCCGTCTCTACTAAAAATACAAAAAAAAAAAAAAAAATTAGCCGGATGTGGTGGCACATGCCTGTAGTCCCAGCTACTTGGGAGGCTGAGACAAGAGAATCACTTGAATCCGGGAGGCGGGGGGTTGGCAGTGAGCCAAGATCGCACTGTTGCACTCCAGCCTGGGCAACAGAGCGAGACTCTGTCTCTATTAAAAAAAAAAAATGTGTTTAAAAGTCTAAAAGAAAAGGAGCGTTAGAATGGAGATAGAGTCTCCACTTTCAAAATGGATGGTTGAGCAAAAGTTCCTTTCCTGCAGAAAAGGCCTGGACGGGTGTGGCCAGGACGAGCTGAGACCCGATGAGAAAGGCAGAAGGGCGTCAGGCAGGGCTTGCACTGCAGGAAGCTGCTCTGGCTGTCCCTGAGTAGAGAAGAGAGTTGTGATGTGTGGACAACAACAAGACAACAAGAGCTGTTGGGGGCCTCCAGCTCCAGCTTGAATGACTGTTTCTATTGATGTGGAGCAGAAACCCGTGGGAGCCGCTGGCCCCTGTGGACAAGGGCGGTGAATGGGCCGGCGGGAGCGGGCAGCTGACTTATGGCGAGGTGGTGGGTCTGGGGTAGGCTGCGGCCTTAGGGTTGGTGGTGACCGTGTACCAAGGCACACGGCTGGCTTCCCTCTCACCTGCAATAGCTGGGCCACGGCTCACTGCCCTTCTTCCTCCTGTCACACCAGTCACACTGAGAGAGGGCCCTGCACGTGGTGACAGCATGGGCTGAACCGGTTCCATTTGCCCAAGCACCAGGGACACTCCTTTACCTCCTCAGGAAGGCTCAGCTGTAGAGGAACAGAAGGAAGATCCGAAGATAATAAGAAGGAGGAAAAGTTGGAAGAAGGGCAGGAGTGCAGAGTGGGCCCTCCAGGGAGGGAGGGGGCGAGCGAGCAGCCAGCCCTGCCCGAATCCCCCACCCACACCCTGGCCCCGTCCCAGCAGAACTGGTGACACTTTTCTTCCCAGTGCCTTTCAAATTTCCAGAGCAGCTCAGAATTGCTCAGTAGATAACAGGTTTGGGGTTTTTATCCTTTTCTTCCTAATGACCAGGCTCCTGAGAACAGGAGCAGCTGCCATCTGTAGGGTATTCATCATCCTCCTGCAACGGGGAAATGAGTCATTTTAGCATAAAATGTAGAACTGCCATGAAATTCAAATTGCAGTACTTTGACAAGAATTATAATGTTTGCAGAAAGTCTCATCTAGGAGGCTGAAGTGGTCCTGCGGGAAGCCCCCCCAGTCACCTGAGAGAAACAGCTGCAGTCGCCAGCAGGATCTGACCACCTCGCCCAGGGTGGACAGGACTGAGGCCACCTCTTAATTTTTCCACCCTTTTTGTTCCTGGACATTAAATAAGACAGAGAAAGCAGGAAGGTGGGGAGAGAGCACCCCTGCAAATAAGAGTCATCATCCAAGAGAGTATCAACCAAGTAGGCAGAATTCTTGCCAATTTAGTTGACTATGCATGGGAAGGGAAGTTTCTAGGGCCTTCTGGAAACAGAATATTTTCTTAAAGGGGCCACCAATGATACCCTTTGGTCATTCCAAAATGACCTCTCTGGGCCTGACGCCCCTGTGAGACGTGAAGCCAGCTGGACTTCCTGGGTCGAGTGGGGACTTGGAGAACTTTTCTGTCTTATAAGAGGATTGTAAGACTCACCAATCAGCACTCTGTAGCTAGGATTGTAAAACACACCAATCACCTCTCTGTAGCTAGCAAGAGGATTACAAAATGCACCAATCAGTGCTCTGTAAAATGCACCAATCAGCACTCTGTAAAATGCAGCAATCAGTGCTCTGTAAAATGCACCAATCAGCAGGATCCCAAAAGTAGCCAATCGCAGGGAGGATTGAAAAAAGGGCACTCTGATAGGACAGAAACAGAACATGGGAGGGGACAAATAAGGGAATAAAAGCTGGCCCGGTCTTCAGCACTTAGCCAGCCAGCAGCAGCAACCTGTAGGGTTCTTTTCTATACTTTGGAAGCTTATTTTTTTGCTCTTCACAATAAATCTTTCTACTGGTCCCTGTTTGGGTCTGTGCCACCTTTAAGAGCTGTAATACTCACCGGGAAGGTCCACGGCTTCATTTTTGGTCAGCGAAACGAAGAACCCAATGGCAGCAACCAACTCCAGACACATCTGGTCAGTCTTGTTCTAGATCCAGGGAAAGCAATGCCCTAACGGCAGGAGGGAATAACCCTTCCAGCTGATAGCAGTTGTTCAAATAGTAGCAAAGGCACATAGGAAGTGTGTTGCCAAGCTGCAGTCTGACAATTGCTCCAAACACGAATTTTGCTTCTAAGACCCTGTAAGCTGTGGGTTGTACTCAAAAGCTGTAAGTTCTTTGTGCAAAGGCTGGAGAAGGCAGCGAGCGGGCCACGTACCTGTCTTTTCGCAGAGTGTGAGAAACGAGACTGTTCTCTTTACGTGGCAGGACAGTTCAGAGTCTCTATACCCAGAGCAACCAGAACGAGCTCCCCTTGGAGTCATGGACCCAGTATCTCAGTTGAGCAAATGGTAATTTTCACCAAGGCTGGCTGGCATTGGGTGACTTTAGTGGCCTGTGCACACGAGCGCCCCAGGCCCTTGGGCAGCTGCCAGTGTGGGCTGGGGCTTCCTTGTCGGGAGGGAGCCACCCTGCACCTGTGGGTGAGTTTTGTCTCCTGGCAGCCTGGCAGGCAGGTGTGGCTCATGGCAGGGTGAGCCCCTGGCACGGATCTGCTGCTTTCCCCAGGTGAGAGTTTCTATGTGCCCAAAGGTCACCAGAAACTGACAGCCAGCCCTGAGCAAACCCCAGCCCAGGGTTCATGTTGCCCGAGCAGAACCTGCTGGTGTGGTCTGCAGGCGGGGGCGTTTTTCTTGGTTGGCTAACACTCCTTGGAAGGAGGCATGGGCCAGGCCAGTGTGCTTAGCAGTACCCCAGAGCAGTGTTGGGGGCGGGAGCTCAAGTGTGGGGTCAGTGTGCTCGCACCAGAGCCAAACCCAACACTTCCTGTCTCTTCCTTTCCTGCTGTCAGGTGGGGCTGTTGTTGGGGAAAGAAAAGCAGGGAGGACAGCGTGGGAGGCTTTCTCAGGGCCAGCCCTGGGAATGGGGCACAGTGAGGGGGTGGCATGGGTCACCTGGCCCCACTAAGGGCCAGAGGCGAGGAGAGATGTCCGGCTGGGACTTCCTGGGAGGAAGGGGCGCGCTGCCACGCAGTGCCCGAGGCCCTTGGGTATCTGCGAGCATGGGCTGGGGCTTCCCTGTTGGGAGGGAGCCACGCTGCACCTATGGGTGAGTCCTGTCCCCTCGCAGCCTGGCAGGTAGGTGTGCCTTGGGAGGAAGGCACGCCCTGCCACGCGGTGTCGCTACTGGCTGGCAACTGTTGGAGAATTTATTGAAGCACGTGAAAGAGCCCCACCCTGCCATAGCAATCACCTGCCTTTGGTGAGGCTGAGCCTGGCCGCGGGACCCCATTGACCTCTCCTGGCCTCACACTAAATGGAGTTGCATTGCTCCTCCAAATTCCAACCAAGAGGACCGAGAAGTTGGCCTGAAGCAGGCGCACACGTGGAAAAGAGGAGCTGAAGCCACGCGGGGGCTGCTCCTGCAGAGGAGGTGGCTTGGTCTAACTTTTCAAAGCAATGGCCACTCGGCTGCATCAACCTGCATGCCACGTTCCTGGCTTTGATCATTGACATGTGCCTGGCTCTGCTGCTCTCAGCTCCTGGCCTCAAACTTCCTTTTGAAGAAAATCGCTGAAGCTTGTGGCCTCACTTCTTGCAAGAGGCAGCTACAGACACTCTCCGGGCCTGGCTGCCTGTTTGTTGGGACGGGGCCTCTGGCTTGGGTTTGCTGTGCTTCAACGCCATGTGACTCCGAAGGGCCTCACTCACGCCAGGGCCCAGCACCGGCTCGGGGACAGGCCAGGCTGGCATGACTCTGATTCTGCAGATAGCATTTTTAGTGACTCTGCTGGGAATTGGTTCCTGAGATAACAAAGCCACTGACACAGGGATGACAGATGGTTAACAGCACCTCCCGAGAGTAGGTCTGTTCTAAACACTTGACCTGTGACAGAGCATCCATGCCACGCGGCTGCTCCATGAAGTAGACGCCATCATCGTGGTCTCTGCAGGTCTACGATGGGGACACTGGGGAGAGAGGAGTGACTGTGCTGGAGCATGCGTGGATGAGGGGAGGGGGAAGGGAGGGCGTGAGCCCGGTGGTCCAGCACCGTATTGTCCTGCTCCACTTTCCTCCGAGGCTTGGGTGTGCACGCGCTGGAGCCCTCCCTCTCTGGGTTGGTCATGGCCCTGTCCTGTGAGAGGTGGTGTGTGGATACCTCCTGCTCCTGAGTGAGCCCGGCGCTCCGTAAGGAGTCAGGGAATGGATCCGCCATGCCAGCCCAGCCCTGTGCTGCCAGGAGCCTGTCTTTCTAGAAGGTGGGAGTGCGGGCACAGGCTGCCTGCCCAGCTGCAGAGTTCCCTCCTCAAGTGCACCCTGGAGTGGGGACGGAGGAGCCTAGGGCACTCCTGGGCTCCAGGTTCCCTGGCTCCCTGCCACCCTCATGGTGATCTGTCCTTGCATCTACTGGGGTACTCAAGTACCCCGGGAGGCCTTGGAGTATTTCCACCTATTTTTCCTTCATGGCCTCCCAGTGTATGCTTGGGGAAACTGAGGCTGGTAAGGCTGTAGAACACATCACCCACAGCAAGGGCCAGAGGGGTACATGACCAGGGGAAGACCAGGCCCTTCAGGGCTCATGGCCCCAGCCCATGGCCACAGAGACAGAGAGTTTTCACTTGGGTGGACACTGATGGGTCCTGCTCCCACTGTGAGACCGCGTCCCCCTGCCAGCTCCACCTGGGGCCTACCCTGGGACTGGGAAGTTGTGTTTTAAGTCTTGCCCTGCCTCAGTGTTCCCTAAGGAATCCTGCCTGGTTATGACATGAAGCACACGTGTGGTGTCCCTTTTGTGCTTCTGGAGCTGTTGCCCTGATTGGCATCTTGAGAAGAGTACTGGCAGTCAGGGGATCCTGGTGCCTGCCCTGGCTCTGCCCACCTCTGTGTGTGTGTCAGCCAATGGGACTCTCTGTGTCTCAGTTTCTCGTCTTTATTTATTTATTTTTTGAGACAGGGTCTCACTCTGTTGCCCAGGCTGGAGTGCAGTGGCACGATCACGGCTCACTACAGCCTCGACCTGCTGGGCTCAATCAATCATCCTGCCTCAGCCTCCTGAGTAGCTGGGACTACGGGTATGTGCCACCACACCTGGCTAATTAAAAATTTTTTGGGGGAGAGCCAGGCATGGTGGCTCACACCTGTAATCCTAGCGCTTTGGGAGGCTGAGGCAGTTGGATCACTTGAGGTCAGGAGTTCAAAAGCAGCCTGGCCAACATGGTGAAACCTCGCCTCTACTAAAAATATTTAAAAAATTAGCTGGGCGTGGTGGTGGGTGCCTGTAATCCCAGCTACTTGGGAGGCTGAGGCAGGAGAATCGCTTGAACCTTGGAGGCAGAGGTTGCAGTGAACCGAGATGGTGCCATTGCACTTCAGCCTGGGCAACAAGATCGAAACTTCATCTAAAAAAAAATTTTTTTTTTTTTTGAGACAGGGTCTATGTTGTGCAAGCTGGTCTTGAACCCCTGGGCTCAAGCAATCCTCCTGCCTTGGCCTCCCAGAAGTTTCTCATTTTTAAATGGACCCTGACACTGGACTGAGATCTCAAGCTGGTATCCCAAGAACTGAACCCCATAGGAACCTGCCTTTCTGAAGGAAGTTAGAGAAAGGTGCTTCCCCAGGACATTTGGCCCTACCTCTTCCTGTGGTTTGCAGCCCCTGGCACCCACAGCCTGGAAAGACCCCACATTCCCTGCTGAGGGTCGTACTGTGTGCTGACTGTGCAGACCATTGGAACTTGTCCTTCCCTAGGTAGGTCAGGGTCCTGTCACCACGTTGTCTGGAGGATAGCAGGTGCTCCTGAAGTGTTTCTGAATTGGACCATATGCAAAATGTACATCAAACGAGTCTTAATAACCTATTGCTCCTAGAGTAATTGAATTCACCACTGTTGAAACCCCGCCTGGCCTGAGAAATTGGCTCAGGTGAAGGAGACTGAAGACATGTGGCATGTGCAGGCAACATGGGCCCTGCGCTGGGTCTCACTGAGGGGAAGTGCTCTACAGGGTGTCAGTGGGTCAAATGACTAACTGGAATATGGGTAGGAGACCAGATGCATGCATGCATGTTACATCTCCTAAGGCTGGAGTTGGAACGGCAGAGTAAGGAGTTTGGCAAATCCTCTCCCTAAAAGGTAACAGCAAAACTGGATAAAATGGTCAAAACCATCATTCCAGGACTGGAAAACAGCCAAAAGCAGACAGCATGTTGAGACATGTTTACTTAAGGAAAAAACCCCTGCATGAGAAATGGCATTTTTGCCTGGGCTTCTCATAGCCCCACTTCCCACCTCAGTTGTGTAAATCTGCTAGGCAGGGCATGCCATGGAGCCCAGCAGCTTTACTGCCCTGTGGGGCTGGCTGGATTTGAAGCAGGAATAGTGGCAATCTTGGGAAAGGTCAATATTGTAGCTAGCCTGATGTGGTAATCTGAGCTGGGCAAACATCGGACCAGTAGACTAGCCAGAAATCTGGGAGATTTGGAGAATGAGAACCATAGTGGGCCTTGATAAGTGCCCACATGTCCATGGCAGTCTGGAAGACCAGGTGCATGTGCAGGGCTGTGCACAATACCCAGGAGAGACTGCACAGTCCCCGCTATCCATTGAGTCAGCCTTGCATTTGCAGATTCAACCAACCATGGATTGAAAATATTAAAAAATGGCCAGGGGAGGTGGCTCACACCTGTAGTCTCTGCACTTTGGGAGGTCAAGATGAGCAGATCACTTGAGCCCAGGAGTTCAAAACCAGGCTGGCCAACATGGTGAAACCCTGTTTCTACATGAAATATAAAAATCAGCTGGGCGTGATGGCAGGCGCCTGTAGTCCCAGCTGCTAGGGAGGCTGAGGCAGGAGAATCGCTTGAGCCTGGGATGGGGAGGTTGCAGTGAGCCGAGATGGTGCCACTGCACTCCAGCCTGGGTGACAGAGTGAGACTCTGCCTCAAAAATCAATGAAAAATAATAATACATGGGGTAGTGGGGGAGCATGGAAAATGGGAAAGATTAATGGGTACAAAAATATAGTTAGATACAACGAATAAGATCTAGTATTTGATAGCACAACAGGGTGACTATAGCCAGCAATAATTAGTTGTACATTTTAGAATAACTGAGGGAGCATAATTGGAATGTTTACAACATGAGGAAACAATGAATGCTTGAGGTGATGGATATCCCATTTACCCTGATGTGATTATTAGATTGCATGCCTGTATCAAAATATCTCATGTACTCCATAAATATATACACCTCAGTACCCATAAAAATGAAAATACAAATACACAATACAGTGTAACAACTATTTATATAGCATTTACATTGTATTAGGTATGATAAGTAACACAGTGATGATTTAAAGTCTGTGAGAGGACTGCACAAGTTATATACAAATACTATTCTATTTTATGTAAGGAAATTGAGCATCTGTGAGTTTTAATATCTGTGGGATCAAATTCTGGGTCCTGGAACAAATCCCCTGTTGATGCTGGGGGTTGACTATATATCTCTGGCTGAACATGAGGCCTTGTGCCTGTGCAGAGGAGATGTGAAACCTGACAGACTGTGAAAGCTGGGGCACATTTGTAACACTGCCTCAACTCCAAATGCATTCCCTAAACCACACACAAATCCACTGGTGAAGCGTGGAAGCCTTAGTGGTTAAAGGTGTTTAAGTACATTTGACCAATCATTGGCTGACCACATATGCTAACCCACAGGCAACCACTAGAGGAAGCTAGAGTTGAAAATAACAACAACAACAACAACAATAAAAACCCCAAACTGAACAGATACATCAGTGGCTGCACACTGAGGTTGAGACTGATTCTACAGGATTTGTTCAGTGAAGTCACTAAAACAAAAATACAGCAACAGTCCCTTGGGGGTAAGGGGAAGGAGCAGAATCCAGAGTTGCTACAATATTACATAAAGTGTCCAGTTTTAAAAATTATGAGACATGCAAAGAAACAGGAAAGTGTGATCCCTATTTGGGTGGTAAGTCGGGAGGAAGCTGGGAGGAAGCTATCAATAGACACTGTCTGATGGGGCCCAGATGTTTGAATTTAGTAGACAAAGATTTCAAAGCAGCTATGATAAAATGTTTAAAGACCTAAAAGAAACCGTTTCTTTTAATTTGATGTGACTTTTTTTTTTTCTTGGAGTGACACAGTCTCACTCTGTCACCCAGGCTAGAGTGCAGTGGCACGATCTCGGCTCACTGCAACCTCTGCCTCCTGGATTCAAGCGATTCTCGTGCCTCAGCCTCCGGAGTAGATGGGACTACAGGCACATGCCACCACATCAGGCTATTTTTTTGTATTTGTACTAGATACAGGGTTTCACCATGTTGGTCAGGCTGATCTCGAACAAGTGAGAGGTGATTCGCCCGCCTCAGCCTCCCAAAGTCCTGGGATTACAGGCATGAGCCACTGCGCCCAGCCCATTTTTAAGAGCAATGACTCATCAAATACAGACTATCAATAAAAAGATAGGTATTGTAAAAAAAAAAAAAATCAAATGGAAATTCTGGGGTTGAAAAGTACAATAACTGAAATATTTAGGGTTTAATAGCAGATTTGATTTGGCAGGAGAAAGAATCAGTGAACTTGAAAGGAGATTAATAAAACCCATCCAAATTGAAGAATAGAAAGAAAAGAAAATGAAGAAAAATAAACTGAAAAACAGACCTAAATTTGGGACTCATCACGCATACCAAATACATGTCATAGAAGTCCCAGAAGGAAAAGAGAGAAAAGGGAAGAAATATTTGAACAAATAATAGCAAGAAAGTCCCAAATTTGATGAAAAATACACCAGTGAAGCACAACAAACTTCAAATAGGATTAACAGAAAGAGATCTATAGCTAGATGCATACAGAGTTGAAGGACAAAGATAAAATTTCAAAACAGCAAAGAAAAAAAAAAAAAACCCACAACCTTATCACATACAAGGGAAGAACTACGTTTAACAGCTGTCTCAAGTGAAGAAGACATTAAAATGACATATTCAAAGTGCTGTAGGAAAAATATTTATTAACCAAGAATTCTTTAGCTAGCAAAACTATCCTTCAAAAGTGAAGACAAAATAAACAAAAATTGAAGAAATTCAATACAAGCAGATCTGTCTTATAAAACATACTAAAGGAATTCCTTCAGGCTGAAAAGAAATGACACCAGAAGATAACCTGCATTTAACCCCAGCATAGTAGAAAATACCTATATTTCTTATATGCTGTATATAGATATTTTCTAGTATGCTTTTAATTCCTTTTTTATTGCTTCATTCTTACTTTTTTGTTGGAATTGGTTGCTCTAGGAATAAAGAGAGCAATAAAGGAGAAAGAAGAACAAAAAAGCCTAAGTCATATAATCTTTAAATAAATAGAGAAGTGGCAGGAAGAAATTAAACCATAACAATAGTTAGATTAAATGTAAATGGGATTAAACACTCCAATCAAAAGGCAGAAATTGATAGTAATAAAACAAGATCCAACTACATGTTTTGTATAAAGAGACACCATTTAGATTAAAAGACACAAATACCTTAAAACTAAGTAAGAATGAAAAAAGATATACCATACAAACAGGGACCATAAGAAAATTTAACTGATATTCTAATATCAGTTAAAATAGACTTTAAGACAGATAATATTGCTAGAAACAAAGAGGGATATTTCATAATGGTCAAAAGGAAGATATAGCAAATATAAACATACATGTTTCTAACAACAGAGCTCCAAAATATGTAAAACCCAACTGACAGAATTGAAGGGAGAAAAAGGCAATGCAATAATAGTTGGAGCCTTCAATACCCCACTCTCAGTAACTGAGATAACTAGACAGAAAACAAGCAAGGATACAGAAGACCTGAAGAACAGCAGCAACCAACTTACTTCTCCTCTATCTATAAAAAACCCCACCCAACAACAGAATACACATTCTCTTCAAGAGCACATGCAGCATTCTCCAGATAGACCTTGTACTCGACCACAAAAAAGGCCTCAATGAAGAGGATTCAAATAACACAAAGTATGTTTTCACATCAGAATAAAATTAATTAAAAACAACAGAAAGATATTTGGGAAAGCCCCAAATATTTGAAAATTTTAAAAATTACTTCTAAATAACTCAGGGGTTAAATCACAAGGAAAATAGAAAATATTTTGAACTAAATGAAAATGTAAAAATATCAACATTTATGAAGTACAGCTAAACAGTATCTAGAGGGAATTTATAGCTTTAAAATGCCTATTTTAAAAATATCTGAAATCACTAAACCCAGCTTCCTCCTTCAAAAATTAGAAAAAGAACTGAACCCAAAGCAAGAGCAAGTAGAAGGAAAGAAATAATAAAGACTAGCGCAAACTCCACGCAATGAAAAACAGAGAGCCAATAGAAGAAAATAGATGAAGCCAAAGTCAATTCTTGTAATGCTTTCTGAGGTTAAGTGTAGTGTAGTTATATAAGAGAAGACTCTTGTTCTTAGGTAATATGCATCATGTCTTCAACCTTATGCTCGAATGATTCAGAAGAATATTGTTATGGGCAGAAATGTTTATATCCCTTAAAATTCGTAACCCCCACTGTGGATGCATTTGGACATGGGGTCTCTAAGGAAGTAACTGAGGTTGAATGAGGTCCTAAGGGTGGGCACTGATCTGACAGGATTAGGATCCTCATGAGACACCAGAGGGCGTGTCTGCTCTCTCCATGTGCATGTATCAAGGACAGCCCACTGAGGACACAGAGATGGTGGCTGTTTACAAGTCAGGAAGAGAACCCTTAATAGAAACTGACCATGCTGGCACCTTCTAGCCTCCAAAACGATGAGAAAATAAATAAATGACAGCACAAACTGCAAATTTTCCAAGGAAGCATCTTGGACCTGATCTAAGCCACTCAGTTTAAGCCACTCAGTCTGTGGTATTTTGTTACCGTAGCCCCAGCTGACTACATACCTACCTACCTAGAGTGCACTGCACAGGTGGAAAATTGGCAACACTCAGGGAGTCTAGGTCAAGGGCAGAAGGGAAGTTCTCTGTATTATTCTCGCAAATGCTGTGTTGTTGCAACTGAGCGTGAAAATATGCTAAAAAAAAAAATAAAAACTAACCTTTCCCCTGCCTGGGTGGTGGACACTTAAGTTGCTGGGCTGTGATGGGCTGGAGGCTGTGCTCTCCTGGTTCCCTGACTGAGGTGAGGGCCTTCGGTTTAGTCCTGCCCTCCCTGCACAGGGTTCTTTTTGCCTCTATCCCACTAAGTCGTCAAGACGGTGGACGCAGATCCACTTTCTGCTTCCTCCTGGTGCCTGCCCTGTGTTTCCCGTGGTCCTCCTTGGAAAGGCCACAAAAGTGTTTCAAGAGGACTCAGGTCCAAGATGCTTCCTTGGAAAATTTGCAGTTTGTGCTGTCATAAATGTGGCACATTAATGGTTGCTAAAACTGGGGAGCAACTCCTCAAGGCTTGGTAGGAGCATTTCAACTGAGTTTAAATATTCAAAAACATAAGAACCAAATCCTGTCCCCCAGGGGCAGCAGCACTGGATCCTACTGACCAAGCTTCCACCCTCCTCCCTGGGCCTATCAAGAAGAAACCAATGGGCCGGACACAGTGGCTCATGCCTGTAATTAATCCAGGCACTTTGGGAGGCCAAGGTGGGCGGATCACTTGAGGCCAGGAGTTTGAGACCAGCCTGGCCAACATGGTGAAACCATCTCTACTAAAAATACAAAAATTAGCCGAGCGTGGTGGGGCAGTGAGCCGAGATTGCCCCACTGCCCTCCAGCCTGGGTGACAGAGCGAGACTCCGTCTCCAGGAAAAAAAAACCAATGAAGCCCTGGGACTGTTTGGTGCATGTGTCCTCTACTGAAGAGCAGGCTGCAAAGAAACTCAATTTTGCTTTAAAGCACTCGGTTTCAAATGTTTCTGAAAGCCCTCAGCTTCCCACTACAACGGCAACCGCTGCTTGGTAGGTATCAAGACTGGGGCTGCTCCCTGGGTCTCAACCTTCATGCTTTCCACTTGGTTCCTGCTCATCTTCAAGCTGTCCTTATCCAACATGGAAGACACTCATTCTCAGAAGTGCTCTGGGAAACCCCATGTCCTCAAAGTCCTCTCTAGGAACCCCACTGCCGTCGTTCCAGCCGGTTTCTGCCACACCCCCACTGACAAGAAATGAAGAGTTGCTAGGGTGAATACTTGGCACGCCCCTCAACACTAAACAGCAGCAGCATACTGACCACATGTCAGTTTCCACATTTTCTTTCCTTCTCTGTTTTTAAGGGGGTATGAAATGATTTATACCTGCATGTTTTCAAATCCACTTAAGACCAGGAGGTGCTATGTGGACAAATAGATCAAACTACCTCAAAACTTTACGGTGACAATCAAGCCAAGGTACAAACACGCTAAAATCACCACCTGTGCACCCACCTCTTCCTATTTTTCCGCGGGTGAGTGCCAGAGGAGGGCGTTCCACATGGGGGCTCTAGTGCGTCTCACGAGGTGCACTTCTCTCATGCACCAAGTGAAAACCTTACACATCTTCCCTGCCTGGCATTGCGCCAGTAGGCAGAAAACTTGGTGCAACAAAACTCAATTTTTGTCTTTATTGGCACGTGGTTTCCTAGACAACTATGGACACAATTCCCTCAGAACAGCCTATGGTGCAAAGGGAGGGAAGGGAGAGTGTCAGAATGTGGAAGGCTTGTCGTAGTTGGTTACAGACCTCTCTTCTGAGCACCTTGTTTGTGTCAACTTCTGGCTAACCTGAATGAACACCCATCAGCTGGGAGAAACAAGCACTAGGGGGCACCTTCATGGTCACTGGTAAAGAAAGCCCTAATTATCTACAAAATGGAAATGGAAAACAAACATTTAAAGTTTTATGCATTTTAGTTTTGAACTAGAAATCTTCCAAGTTTAATATATACCTTCCTAGTGAATTCCCCTGCCAAAAACAAACAAAAAACCCCTCCCCTAAACCAAATGGTATTCCTGCATCTTGGGCAACAGCTCCTTCACTGTCAAGTAGTTCCAAAGGAAAGCACGAGTAGGTAAGAGTCAAAAATGCCACTGAGTTTTTGCTGTGATCAAATTGATCAGGAGACAACAATGTGGTTCTGTAAAAATCAGCACATCAACAATGTGTCTTCCCACACTCCATCTGGGGAAACCCGGCTAAGCAGCCTGGAAACAGAGTGCCAGGTCACTCTCTACATGTAGGGCTGCTGGGCAGCCGCAGTAACGTGTGCCCGGATGCATCTGTGTACACAGCTCTCTGGTTTGCTTTCTGCAAATTGGACGGAAAACAGAGCCTGGCTTCCCATCCAGTAAATGGTTTTCAAACTGCGAGTCAAGAAAACCGAAAACTTACTCCCCATCTGCCTGCTAGGTGGCCTTCCTGCATTTACTGCCACATCCCTTCCTAGCCAACTGCTCCCTGTCTAGACGGAAGCCACCCAGTGTCAACGTCTGTGTCTCCTCACCTGAGTCATCTCCATCTGCTCAGTGCCTTGTGTACTGCATTAAGTACTTGCTCAGAGGTCAAGAGGAGGAACTGACTCACGCAGCATTAGTGGATGTTCACTAAGCCTTCTGTTGATTGTAACGTTAGTATAGGGGAAGGGCAAAAGCAGAATTCTGACCCTAAAGCTTGGCCATCTGAATGAACTCACTGCACCATGCTCAGTGCTGTGGGAAGATGGTTAGGCAACAGAAATGTCCTTAGGAAGGAGCTCTAGGTATCTACACCTGACCAGGTGTTCATGCCACATACTAAAAGGTAGGGGGACAAAAAACAGACTTACTGAGTTGTGTCCCTTTCACAATAAATTGTTTCCCTAATTTATCTAAATGAAAACTGTCTTATTTAGGCCTTATATATGTGTGTCTGTGTTTACAATAAGGACACATTTAAAACAGAAAACTCAACACCTATATCATACTACACATAAAGTTAACTCAAAGTGGATCACAGACATAAATATAAAACAAAAAATTCTGAAACTTGAGAAGTCTTTACACTTTGGGCTAAGTGAAGATTTCTCTTAGGATAGAACATCTTAGTGAAGATATGACAAAAGCATAATCTATGAAAGAACAAACTGATTAAACTAGACTTCATCAAACTGAAGTCAAGCGAAATGAAGTAACGTTTACACAAAAACCTGTACGCAAATGTTTATAGCAGTTTACTAATAATCTCCCAAACCTGGAAACAACCCAGAAGTTCCTTAACTGGGGAATGGATAAACAAGCTCTGGTACAGCCACACAATGGAATACCACCTGGCAATAAAAAAGAACCTGCAACATCATACATGAATCTCAAATGCATCATGCTAAGTGAAATAAGCCAGACTCAAAGGCAACATATTGTATGATTCCATTTATATGACACTGTCAAAAAGGCAACTATAGAAACAGAAGAGATCATCCTGCCAGGGGCTGGAAGAAGGGTTGAGTATAAAGGGGTACAAATGATTAGAGAAGATAAAGAAACTGTTGTATGTATTAACCGTGGTAAATAAACAGTATGTGTTTGTCAAAATTTGAACTATACATTTTAAAAACAGTAACTTACTCTATGTAAATTATACCTTAACAAAGATGAAAAAAATAAAATCCACATAGATGGATTCAGTCCACAAAGGTGTTTACTGAAACACTATAGCAATAATCCAAATGTCAACAGGGGTGGCAGTTAAGTAAGTAGGATGTCCACAATGGAATATTTATGCTCACTAAACCCATTTTCTTCCCCCAAATGTGGGTGACATTAAACAATGCCCGTGCTATTTATCTGGGGAATAAAACCATATACAAATGGTTACACGCACACACACAAACGCACGTGTGTCCCCATGCAGGGGTGTTTCTCCACGCAGGGGTGTGTGTTTACCCACAGGGGGAAGTCGGCCTGCTGCCTTCTCCCACTCTGTCTCCAGGTCCTTCTGCCCCACTTCAGTCTGAGCCCTTCAGATGAGCACTGCCCACCCATCTGTACATGCTGGCCAAGGGGAGAAATTCTGCATGCAACACCAGACGACGAGGTGGTAGGTGACGCTGGGTGATAGGGATTTGTGTGCAGGATTTTAAAACAGGATTATAAAGCTGCATGAAACTAGAAAACAGTGGGCAAACAGACCAAGCCAGCACTTTATTTTAAAAAGTTTTATTTTGGAGATTTAGAAATTTGAGATTTTTAATAACGGCAAAAGAAATTCAGTCACACCTAATGATTAACAGAATGTAGTGGTGTATTATCTAAACAGAAATCGTGCTGATGTGCCATAATAAATTGTCTATTAGTAAAAAAATACACTTTAGGGCACAGCATTGTATCACAAATTACAGTAGGGATACTTTGCAAGAATTTAATCAAACTAGAGAATTCTGAGTAACTGTATCTTTTAAATGCAGCACTTAAAAATGTAACAACTCTGTGCATCCTTTTTCTTAAAAAAAATGACCTTGCATGTGTCATAGAAACGCTGCTTTATTGCTGCAGAGGTCAAAGTTCAAGGCTCAAGAGGTACAGGAGAGAATACAAAGGTAGCCTTTAGAAACGTGGTCTTGTTTATGTATAAAAAAGGTAAAGTTTATAAAAGTTAATTTACAAACCAAGAACAAAAGTGGTATGCACGCATTATGTACAAGCATCCTTAAAACATCAAAATTTTCAAATGCATAGCCAGAAAGAACAGAAAACCACCACTGCCCCTTGTCAAAAAAAAAAAAAAAAGAAAAGAAAAGAAAAGAAAAAAATATCCCCAAATCACACCACTATTTTCTTCTGGGTGATAACACATTTCTGAAACCACCAAATGCACAACGTACTCAGTCTTTGTCATGATACAGTATCTAGATAATGCACAAAAGCCATAAAAACTTAGTAACACAAGGAGAATGAGCTAAGAATTAAGAACATGAGGGTAAGGCATTTCTGCTGGTTAGTATGTCTGTGGTAATATGGTGAAGTTAGAGATCTGAAGAGGCCATGGAACCAGTCTCACATGCTTTTGTATCCTTCCCTAAGAAAAATGTGTTTTCATGTACAGTAAGTCATTGTCTTCACTTCACCCTCCCCCAGTTGTAAATCTCCTTGCTGTACATTTCTGTTAAATCCACAACACTGGTTATATATTCCAGGTGCATTTAAAAAATGTGTGCATATTACTTCATGCATAATAAAATAAAATGTGTACGTATGCTAGGCCAGGGCCATAGTAAAGTTTGAAACAGTGTACTTTGGAAAGAACAGACCTCAAATGCACCCCCATTTACTGGCTGGTATTTTAACGGAAATCAATATGTGAAGTTAAGCAGTGACGATAAAAAAATTACAAAAATCACAAAGCAAAATATCTTTGAACCTCTAGCCAATACCAACAGTCCCGTCAATCACAAACATGCAGTGTGTAGCATGTTTTCCGACCATGGTTCAGGGGCATGCTCACTCATCTTTATCAGTTCAAACAAATGCCTCATACTAACAAACTGTAGTATCAACTCTAAAAAAGGTATAATACTTGATAGAGTGGTTCCATTTAGATTAAGTTTAATCCAGTTTCACATTATTTAAGTTCCTATATTTCAAGAGTTAAAAGTGGTCAATAAGGACAGAAACACAGTTTGCTCCAACGAGATAATTTGGATCTCCGGGAAGACACTTGTTTTGCCAGGTTTTAGGATCACCTATGAGAGAAAAGAAGTTGATGTCATTTACAGTTCAGTAAACTGCTATCCGTAATGCTTTGCAATTATAGGGCAAATACGTATATTTAGACATAATTTTCTTCTGTTTCTTCAGCATATTGAATTTGTATCAAAACACATTGCTGTATTTCAAAGCAGATCTGCTGGCATCTAACAATTCCAAAGGTGTTTCACACTTCTAAAAAAATTTTTTTTAAAACGTTCTTTCTAACTCACACCATTAAGAACAGTTTTTTGTTTTTTGTTTTTAATTTTCAGACTTCTCCTTTATTACATTATCAAGTGCATTGGCCTTTTCAAAAAATGAATACAAGTGAGTGATGGCAATCTTATGCCTGGGACAGTCCCAGTTTGCCAGAGCCCACATAATTATCAGTAGCACTTTTTTTTTTTTTCCAGTTTCGAAAGTCTGGAGGATAATTATGTGATCACCTATTTGAGCTGAGAATGAGGACACATTTCTCACACTCAACTATAAACCAACAAATGAAGCCCAGTTCTGCAGAATCTAGTTCTTGAAGACTGTCTTCCCCCTTACAAAAAACAAGCAAAAAAACGAGACTGCACCAGAGCTGCTCAGCTCTGATTCCAGCTGGACAACAAAATTAATCATGCAGCTTCAAAAACTCATTGACTGGGTGTTAGTTAGGTCTCAGGATTTAAGTTTTTAATAAGCTCTTGGTGATTTCTATTAGATGTGAAGGCAGGGACGACTATATGTCTCTGTGGTGTCCAAGCAAGCTGAGAGTCACAGCTGTGGACGTTTGCTTCCCTTACAGAAGTAGCTCTCAAACAGGAATGACCCTGCCCCTGATGGGACATCTGGAGACAGTTTTGCTTGTTACCACTGGCATCTAGGGGTAGAGGCCCAGGGAAGCTGCTAAATATTCCACGACGAACAGGAGGGCCCTACAACAATCATTTGGCCAAAATGTCAACAGTGCCAGCTGAGAACTTTGCTTACAGTACGTTAGACATTACCTAAGCAATATCTGGAGCCAAAAGCATTTCATTTTTCCAGAAAATGGGGTACTTGTAAATATGAGGAAATATGTATTTACATGTAATTTTTTCCTCTGATAACATTAAAATATGCTCTTGCTATAATCTTTAGACCACAAACTTTTATTTCATACTGTACCAAACTAAAACTAAATAATGCTCATCTGATTTATCAAAGATTTGGAAGCTAGACTTTAAATCAGGTTCGCTTAAAGTGATCTACACCCAAAATAAAATTCTAATTATTAACTGACTTAAGTCACTCAAGGAAGTGAGAAATGTGAAAATGCAGTGGAAGCTTTGAAATTATCTCAGGAGAAAAAGTCATTTACAAATAGTGTATAAAAGAAGTAATTTAAAGTATTACACTGAAAAACCATGGCCAAGTATGATCACAATGGAAGATCTTGTTAAGTTTCTCTGGTATACATACGTTGTAGATTAAGAAATTAAACAGGCCAGGCACGGTGGCTCACACCTGTAATCCCAGCACTCTGGGAGGCCGAGGCGGGTGGATCACTTTAAGTCAGGAGTTCGAACCAGCCTGGCCAACATGGTGAAACCCCGTCTCTACTAAAAGTACAAAAATTAGCCAGGCATGGTGGTGGGCACCTGTAATCGAGGCTGAGGCAGGAGAATCGCTTGAAGCTGGGAGGCGAAGGTTGCAGTGAGCTGAGATCGTGCCACCGCATTCCAGCCTGGGCGACAGAGCGAGACTCCACCTCAAAAAACCAAATCAAAACAAACAAACAAAAAATAAATTAAACAATAGTAACCAAAAATAGAAATAGTTATATAAAGGAACAAAGTCATTTTAATAAGGTAAAAATGCCTATTTGTGCAGGACAATATCTCCCACTGCATCCTGAAAAATTTGACAGAATAAATCATTTTTCTGAACACCAAGAAATAGTCAATATTTGGCCAAATTATCAAAAAAAAATTTTTTTGAGACGGTCTCGCTCTGTTGCCCAGGCTGGAGTGCAGTGGCACGATCTTGGCTCACTGCAATCTCCGCCTCCCTGGCTCAAGCAATTCTCCTGCCTCAGCCTCCCGAGTAGCTGGGATTACAGGTGTGTGCCACCACGCCTGGCTAATTTTTGTATTTTTAGTAGAGATGGGGTTTCACCATGTTGGTCAGGCTGGTCTTGAACTCCTGACCTCAGGTAATCCACTTGCCTCAGCCTCCCAAAGTGCTGCGATTACAGGCATGAGCCACGGCGCCCGGCCCAAATTATCAATTTTTAAAAGGCAGAAAGTCTTCTACCTTTCCATATTTATTTACAATATATGCACCACAAATAAATGTGAAAACACTGGTGATGCCTACAAGGCCACAGGAACAGAGATAGAGATTTGCTAACACACAGCATGGGCAGCATCATCAGCCCAGGTATTAATCAACGACAGTCCCCAAAGCTCCCAAAGGACAGAGTGAAGACAGCATACCCGACGAGGAGTCGGATGATTTTAGAGCAAAAGACCAACCGTCAGGAGTCATGGACGCACAGTGTGGTAAGCGCAGCTCCACAGGCTTCAGGAACTTGAGGCCATGGGGACCACACATCACCAAAGGACTCAGCAGTGTTTCACCTGGAGTTGGAAAAGGGGATAGGCAGAGAGGATGGATGTGGTCTTTCTTCTAGAATCCCAGTTTTCCTCACCCTGCTTCTAATTATATGCTTGAAAGCCTAATGGAGTTAGTTCTCTACAGTCGCACTGACCACAAAAAAACGTAACAGCAGCCACATATGGAATCTTAAATTTCCCAGTAGCCACGTTAGAAAGTAAAAAGAAACAAGTGATATCAAATCTTACAATATTTTAATATTTTAACTCAATATAACGAAAACACTGTTATTTCAACATGTAATCAATATATGAAATCTTTGGAACTTGGTGTGTATTTCACATTTCCAGCATCTTTCAATCCCAAATTGTCACACTTCAAGTGCTAGCTAGCCACGTGCAGGCAGTGGCTACTGCATTCAATCATATGGGTCTATAATAAAAAACATATTCAAATGTGCTTGTTGCGAATGTGATATATTTTCCATTTTCAAAATGTTTTGTTTGCTCCATAGGTGGTTAAAGAGATTCATGCAGGGCCAACACAGTCAGTCCTACTGGTTTTTAAAACAGGATATCCCCAAAATCAGAGTGCAGAATCAGATGTCAGTATTCCGGCAAAATACAAAAAAGCGAACTAAATTTGTTTAGGAAGTAAAAGCACTGCTAAAAGATGCTAAATCACAACACACTTCGTTATAATATCCTGGTAGATCCAGGAGGATTATGAAAATAAGTTTCCTTAAGAAGCTCAGAAACATGCTGTCATCTCCTCTGAGACTCCTTCATGCACTCTGCTGAGCATGTACTAGTGCTAGGTTCTGGGGTGATGAATAAGACAGTACCTGTCAAGAGGTTTAGGTTCTCCAATCAGGTGAAGGCACAGCAAAGCCTTTCTGAGTGGGTGTTACCTAACCCATCTCCAGAGACGCAAAGGCTGACTGATTCAAAGACAAATTTGGTTAGGTCAGCCTAGGCTGCTCAGCAGGTGAGACATCCCGTGGCCTGTCCTATGCCATCATTTTTTATTTCACACCAAAAGTAAAAGCAGGCAGTGTGGTCACCACAGCCTTGCTTCAGGCCACCCACTGCTTGCTTGCAACACCGTCCCCAGGGCACCCCTCGCTACAGCACTCATCTGGAGATAGAGAGGTGCTGCATTATTAGCCAAGCACTATAAGCTCTGAAGTGCACACAGGGCAACTCTTAAGTTATCAAAACTAAGGAGAAAAATAAACACATTTACCTTTCTCTTTATCTAAAGGTGGAAGGATGCTGTTGTCCCGGCAGACCTTGAAATAGATTTCCTGCTCAACTCCTTCGGGAATGGCTCCTTGAGGGATAATTATACTAACACCAGTTTCTATGGAACTCAGCACGCCCCCATTGCTGTTAAATATGCCTCGGGCTGTGGCCACCACAGTATGACCATCTTCATCTTCATCCTCTTCCACAGCTGAAGGACTGAAAGTTCAGAAATGGCTAGTGAGTGAATTCCTAATAATACACAGGTGCTTTGCTTTTACTACTACTGTATTACGTGCTTTCACTTTTATTTCTCCATATAATCAAGAAGTTACTTTAACAAGATAAGTTTCTGGCAACAGATTTTACTGACAGGGTTATCGCAGAGAATATTATTTCTTTTTTGTTTGTTTGTTTGGTTTTGAGACAGAGTCTCACTCTGTCGCCCAGGCTGGAGTGCAGTGGCACGATCTTGGTTCACTGCAACCTCCATCTCCCAGGTTCAAGTGATTTTTCTGCCTCAGCCTCCCATGTAGCTGGGACTACAGGCGCACGCCACCAAGCCTGGCTAATTTTTGTATTTTTAGTAGAGATGGGGTTTCACCATATTGGCCGGGCTGGTCTCAAACTCCTGATCTCGTCGTGATCCACCTGCCTTGGTCTCCCAAAGTGCTGAGGTTACAGGCGTGAGCCACCGCGCCTGGCGAGAATATTATTTCTAGAGAAATTCCATTCTAGAAAATTTCAAAAATTCTAGAGAAATGTCAAAAATTCAATTTTTGAAGGCAATCAGTCAAACGACCTTCATTAATGAATTGCAACCTGAAAGTGTAAAATCTGATGCCTTGAACACCCAACTACAGGTGAAGCATCCCTAACCTGAAAATCTGAAATGCTCCAAAATCGGAAACTTTTTTTTGAGTGTCAAAATGAAGCTCAAAGGAAATGCTCATTGGAGCATTTTGGCAATATTCCAAAATCCAAAAAAACCCAAGATATGAGACACTTCAGAACCCAAGAAGTTTGGACAAGGGATACTAAACAGGTACAGAGTTTTATGAAGCACATTTTAAAATCCATGAAATTGGAACTTTAAAACTGGTAAGTCACAATTTAATTGGTAGCCCTGTTCTTCCCTTCCTGTTGTTTTTTGAAATGGAGTGTCTTGCTGTCACCCAGGCTAGAGTACAGCGGTGCAATCTTGGCTCACTGCAACCTCCACCTCCCAGGTTCAAGCAATTTTCCTGCCTCAGCTTCTGAGTAGCTAGGATTACAGGCGTCTGCCACCATGCCCGGCTAATTTTTGTATTTTTAGTAGACATGGGTTTTCACCGTGTTGGCCAGGATGGAACTCCTGACTTCCAGTGATCCGCCCGCCTCAACCTCCGAAAGTGCTGGGATTAGAGGCATGAGCCACCGTGCCTGGCTGTTCTTCCATTTTTAGTGACACAAAACAATGGTGCATCTCACGGCTGACAGCATCTCAGACTTGATAAAATCTCCCTAGGATTTTAAGTGTGCCTGAGTATGGTCCTGCCTCAGCATTCCCTGAGGACCAAGCGCCCGCTCTGGCTGTAGGAGGCAAGGCTTCCAAGGTTCCATGAGGCGAAGACCCTTGTATGGGCATATCCCAAACATCCACGAAAGAGAGACAGTAGATTAACTTAGTAATCACAGAACGCCAAAGGCAAAGGGGATGTGGTATCAATGACTGCTTCAAAAGTAGAGGCTATCAACTTCCTGAAAGTACAGTTTTGAGCCAGGGCTCAAAGGTGAGCAGAAAGACCAACGAAACAGAATTACATGAAGGTAGCTGCCGTTTCACTCCAGCATGACCGGAGTGCCAGGGACGACATCCTACGACACAACATCAAGGGAGCAGAGCGCAGCCTGAGCTGCAGAGCAGAGGCCAGCTCTGTCCGCCCCTGACCATCTGTGGATGTGCAGAGCTAGGAAGGCAGTGACCGCCATAACCATCCTTTCTCTTGGAAAGCAGACTCAGGTGGCCATCCTGACCTTTGGTTCTCCCTGCCTGCAAGTGCTTCTGCTTTATGGTGGCGTGAAAATGGAACTGGCTGTAGGAGGCTGAGATGAGCTTTTATGTATGGCCAGAATCCATCTGGTCAATCGCCGTGGAATGAAAGACAGGAAAGAGGAGCTGCAGGGAGGCTCCAGGTGGGCTCACTTTGTCTCATTTGCTCAGCCATCTCACTAACTGCTGCTCTTTAAACAGTCAGAGGTTATTCTATTTTTCTTCTTAGCATCATTGTGGAACAAATAATGAATGAGGAACATAGATACTTAATGTTTTTAGATGTCCTCCACATGCACCTTACCAGTAGGTCAGGAGGTTACAAAAGGTCATGGCTGGTTAAGAGTATGGGCTCCTGGCTGGGTGCAGTGGCTCACGCCTGTAATCCTAACACTTTGGGAGGTGGAGGCGGATGGATCACTTGAGATCAGAAGTTCAAAACCAGTCTGGCCAACATGGTGAAAACCTCTACTAAAAATACAAAAAATTTAGCCAGGCGTGGTGGCACACACCTGTAGTCCCAGCTACTTAGGAGGCTGAGGCAGGAGAATTGCCTGAACCCAGGGGGTGGAGGTTGCAGTGAACCAAGATCGCACCACTGCACTCCAGCCTGGGCGACAGAGGGAGACTCTTGTCTCAAAAAAAAAAAAAAAAAAAAGCATGGGCTCAGAGGTCGGATGACCAGCAGCTAAATTGAGGCTCACCTCACTCTAGCTGTGACCCTGGGCAAACTGCTTACTGTCACTCAACCTCAGTTCTTAGTAAAACAGGGATGATGACAATACCTACCAACCATACACGACTGTTAGCTTTATTATTTTACCAACATCTTGTACCTCCTGGAGGACCTTCTATGTAACAGCATTCATTGCAACAACACTCTTCAGTTTAAAGGTTGAGTTAAAAAGATCACTTTAAAGTCCCAAGTCAAATAAACTACAACAAACTCACATGAGAAAAATCACAGGGCCAATGCTTTGAGCAAAGGCATAAGTCTTACCTCACAGGAATAGCTTTAGGCACTGTGCTGATATTATTTATTTGATATTTAGGCTTCTCTGCATGGATAGAGAAAGTTTCAACTCCACTGTCAAACTCAGGAGGCTGTGCCAAACTGTGCGATTTCACAAGAGTTTTTGGAGAAGTGGGAGTTTTTGAAGACAAGTCAGGTTTATGTGCAGTTTCACTTGGCAGAAGATTGTGATTGAATTTAGGACTTTCAAACTTGCGTTCAAATGGTCGGGCAGAACTTGTATATGGTTTTGGTGTGAATCGATTGTATGCTGGAGTGACTGTTTTCTGAGTCTGTTCAGTTCCATTAACTGGGGCTTTATCTGGAAAACTTTTCTGGGGATAGAAAGCTGCCTGAGCAGTATCTTCTCGGTTTGGTGGTCTGAAAGTTGCTGGCTTATTCTGAGATGGAGGTGGGTCTGGTTTGGACACTAAGGAATTCTGAAAATCCAATGACACTGAATTACCTGAAAAACAAACGTAAGCATTTAAATAACTTTCTGAAAAAAGTTATAATAGCCCTGTCCCAGCTTAACTTGTCCTGGTGCTGGAGTCGAGGCCCAAATGTGGGTCGCACAGCCAGAGCCTGACTCTTGAGCCCTGGAGGCTAGGTGTGATGCTGAGGGATGAGGGCAGCATGGACAGGTGGTGCCATGAATATATATACCCTGCTGCCCTGGAGTCAGGGTCCAGCTGCTAAGATTCCTGGCCTCCAAAGATTGGCACTAGTCTTTGTGAAAACTAGAATGCCCAATAATCATATAATAAGGATACTCACTATTAATTAGAAAAATGTAAAACAAAACCAACAAAAAGCATTAAATACTATTTCACACCCACTAGAATGGAAAAACCGAAAAGTCTGATGATGCCAAACATTGGTTAAAAAGTGGAACCACAGGATTTTTTATGCACTGCCAGCCGCAGTGTAACACAGTACCAACTGAACTCTGTGAAATAATTAAGGACACTACAAGACAGGAGAATTATTAATCCAAATACCTCATGAATATAGTAATATAATTTTCCACAGTACGAGAAGAAAAATCATATGGTCATCTTAATACATGCAGGAAAAACATCTGACTGCTTTCAGCAAACTCTGAATATAGGGAATGTCTTAAACATGATAAAGGACATCTACGAAAATCCTAGAGCTAACATTCTAAAGGATAAAACATGAAGTCCTTCCTCCTTAAAATCAGGAACTAGCAAAAGAGGTCCAATTTCACCACTTACATTTCAGAGTTTATTGGAGGTCCTGGCCAGTGCAATCAGCAAGAAAAGAAAGAAGGCTAGGTGCGGTGGCTCATGCCTGTAATCCCAGCACTCTTGAGAGGCCGAGGTGGGCGGATCACCTGAGGTCAGGAGTTCGTGACCAGCCTGGCTAACATGATGAAACCCTGTCTCTACAAAAAATACAAAAATTAGCCGGGCGTGGTGGTGTGCGCCTATAGTCCCAGCTACTCAGGAGGCTGAGGCAGGAGAATCACCTGAACCCGAGAGGCAGAGGTTGCAGTGAGCTGAGACTGCGCCACTGCACTGTAGCCTGGGCGAGAGCAAGGCTTCGTCTCAAAAAGAGGAAAAAAAAAAAGAGAAAAGGCATAAGGACTGGAAAGTAAGAATTAAAACTGTCTTTATCTGTAAACATGGGCATGTGTGAAAAAAAATCTTAATAAAAGATAGCCTCAATCCAGAACTATAACACATCTGCTTGAAGACTCACAAGCCCAAGGAGGTGCCTCCTAAGGGAATAATAAGAGAAGTCTGTGCTAGGAAAATGCCTGTCCACAGCAGAAGAGATAACCACTTTGTGTTATATGCTGAGGGTAAAATGTTACAAAGCTCTTAAGATGAATAATCTGGAGCTATATGTGATCTACCTGGTATGTAAATGCAAAAGTCAAGGTGTATGGGATACATTTTATATGAAACATTATGGCTTTTCTATTTGGGTGTGTGAGATAAAACATAGTAGGTTTTACAAACCATCTTTACATATACTGGCAAACACTACTTCCAGAAGATTTAGAGACTAGCATAAAATAGATTAAAATCTGTTTAGCTAAAAGGCTTGTCCAAAATAATGGTCTTGTAAAAACAGGAGACATACTTTTAACAAAATTCTTAGTTTTTACTGTTCCCAGCCCAAAGGTTTCAAGCATGTATTTTTTAATGTAAAAACCATTTTGCCTAGAAACCACCAGAATTTTACTTCATAAGCATTACTGTGTTAAAATGTCTACTTCCGAACTTCCTACCTTCACCATGTGCTCCCTTAGAATGTATGTGGAGAGACGCGCTGGTGACAGGCTGAGATGGCTGGGCATACTGCGAGGGCAATGGAGGAGGAGGGGGAGTGGCCTGGATGGGTTCATAGCGTTTCTCGCCAAATGATCTATCCACACCATCAGCTTCAGGAGGCTTTCCCCTGTTAACAAATGAAGAAAATGCCAACACCTGAAAATGGACTCACATTTACAAAACAAGTTCTCATTTCTCCATGTATCTCTAAGTTAAAAAAAAAAACTAGAAATTTCACAATTTATTCTCATGAGTATGGGTAGCTACTCTACCAAAATATAAAAACAGATTCGACCATTCATCGGCACAAGAAATGTCCAGACACACAAAAACTTTAAGAATATTAGTAAAACATCCAGAAGATGGCAACCAAAGGCAGGTGAAATTTTGGGTATAGTTTAATTGTTATTTACAAAAGATAGTAACGTTGACAGATTTAAGAAAGTCTTGCAAATATTCTGAAAACATATCATGGCACAAATTTTCCTGAGACCCACTTTTTTTGTTTTTGAGACAGGGTCTCATTCTGTCGCCCAGACTGGAGTGCAGTGGCGCGATCTCAGTTTACCACAACCTCTGCCTCCCAGGCTCAAGTGATTCTTCTGCCTCAGCCTCCCGAGTAGCTGGGATTACAGATGCCAGCCACCACGCCTGGCTAATTTTTGTACTTTTAGTAGAGATGGCGTTTCACCACGTTGTCCAGGCTGGTCTTGAACTCCTGACCTCAAGTGAGCCGCCTGCCTCTGCTTCTTAAAAGTGCTGGGATTACAGGCATGAGCCACCGCACCCGGCCCTAGACCCACTTCTGATTTTGTATCTGGCATCTGGCATACTCGGAGCACCATAAAAACAGATGTCACAGACTAGGGGTTGGCAAACTTTTTCACTGAAACACCAGAGAGTAAATGTTTGTGGTCTTTTGGCCCATACAGTCTTTGTTAGAACTATTCAAATTATGCGGTTATAGCCTTGAAGCAGCCACAGACAATGGGCATATCTGCGTTTCGGTAAAACTAAAAAAACTGGAGCTTTTACTTTAAAATTTCCCCTTGAGTTACCAGGTCCATTTTTTGGTTAAATGACTGCTAGAGCAGCAGATCCTGCTTTATTTTACAAGGTTCATTTAAGTCAAATTGTGCCATGTATGTTTATTTTTTCAGATTGCCAATTGTTAATATGTAACACAAAATTCACACAAATCTTTTTAAAAGACCCATAATTGCAACATTGCCATCTAAACCTTACTGCTGAATGCCAAAGCTGCACTAGCTTTATGTGCACCAACAATAACATATACATTTGGAATACTCCTGGTCATTTTCATAAATTTTCATTGAAGAAGTCTTATGATTGGCTTTTTTATCTTGCTTTCATGAATTTAGACTAAGCCCTTGATGATGACATTAAAATCTGAAAGTGCACATAATGCCAGTGACACAGTGAGGGACACCTTATGGAACAGCCTCACATTAATTGCCAGTCTTACCACTTGACGTTCCTTTTCAAGTAGTCATAGCTAGTGTAAGAGCCAAGAAATCTAGGTGATGGCAAAGCAAGCGCAATAGAAAAATGAAAGAAAATGGTCAATCTAACTAAGTAAATTTGCAGCAAATGGAACTCAAATGTCATTTAAAAATATCAACCAACATCCACCATTTCACCATAATTTGGTCTATAAAGGAACATATCACTAACTCTCATTTGGCCAAGGAAATTGAAGATAAATAAAACACAATCACTTAGTTATGTCCCGTCTGCTGGCCCATCCTTCATGTACTTTAACTGTTACTGCAGTGAAAAGCAATGTGTTTGAACTTTGCTCCTTCTCCACCTCTGTTGCAGCTGCTAATAGTGAGCAAAGAAATTTATCAAATCAAAGAGTGGTGATCAAGGATAATTAGCAGGTTCTGAATAAGTGGGAGTGACATGTCCCATTAAAAAAAAAAAAAAAAAGGCTGGGCAAAGAAATTCTGCAAGTGAAGACACAGGAAAAAGTAACACAACAGAAGAGCTACATTGAGCCCCTGGGAGGGGAATGGTAAATGGAGAGATAGAAATATGCCTGGCTTGAAACCTGGCCAGGCTTCACATGTTCCTTTCTAGCAAGACCTCCTCCATCTCCAATCATAAGCTGGGCCCTGTGGTGGTGGAGTCTTACTGGTGAAGCTGCATGCTTGATGCTCAGGCTCTCTCTCATCTAATGATGTCTCACAAACACAAAAACAACTGAACATCAGTCTCTCACATTTAGTTCTTTAAAAGCTACAAACCACCATCATTTATTGAGACCTGGAAGTCTCACATAGTGAGTTGAGTCCTGAAAGGTAGATTTGATAACAAAAAATCCCTGGTTGTCCTGAAGAAGTTGACTCAATCTCTGGACTGAGACATGTGCACAGCCCTGGAGGGACACTGCTCTTCTTGCACTGTTTTAGAATCCTGGAAACTTCTGATTTACTTTGGAGGTGAATGTCTAAGCTACTGTCTCCTAACCTTTCCAGTTCTAATCCAGCTCTATGGAACTGTTAGACTGGGTAATATCTGCTTGCTTCCTGGGGCATCTGTCCTGTGCTAACAAAGATTATTTTCCATATCTAATTCTCACCATTTCTGAGGTGTGTTTTTAAGTGAAGCATAAGCACACATCATCTGAAGGAAGAAAATTTTGCTACTCCTGTATTTACTGAAAGAAAGAAATGCCTGAAGGCAGTCTTATTTAGTGACAAACAGTAAATGGTTTTGAAATGCAGGACAGAGTCCTATATTTTAAGCTATTTTCCAGTTGATGAAGTTGTACTCATTGGACAAGAGTATGAAAAAGCATTACAAGGGAAACTTACAGAAACAACTACCCTCTTAGTTATCTTCCATGACCCTTATTCTCCTTTCCATTTCTCTAACCATTAAATACCTATATGGGAAAATGCAGCACAATTATAAAGAGTTTCAATTTCACACTACAAAGGAAAAAAAAGTATACTGGTATCCAGCCCAAACTATACTTTTCTCTCTCACAGCAGCAGGGAGTAAAATCAAACTGAGTTCTGAGTAAATTCACAAAGACAGATGTCATCTGTTTCACAATATATCCCTGTGAAAACAATGACCAGGTAATACAGGTTCCTTCCAGAGCTGTGTTAATGAAAAGAAGGGTGGTGGATGCACCTAGTATACCATGCCCTGTTTTGAGCTTCATTCACTCAACAATTACTGAGCCCCTACTGCATGCAAGGCAATGTTCTACACCCTAAAGTTATACATCACAAATAAGCTAAGTCTTCTTTCTAGAAAAACAAATTAACACAGAAAGCAAACATGCATTTTGATTGATTCCCTGGCAAAACAACTTACTTTTTAGACCTAAATATACTCCTTTTTTTTTTTGAGATGAGTCTGGCTCTGTCGCCCAGACTGGAGTGCAGTGGCGCGATCTCGGCTCATTGCAAGCTCCGCCTCCCGGGTTCATGCCATTCTCCTGCCTCAGCCTCCAGAGTAGCTGGGACTACAGGCACCTGCCACCATGCCCAGGTAATTTTTTGTATTTTTAGTAGAGACAGGGTTTCACCATATTAGCCAGGATGGTCTCGATCTCCTGACCTCATGATCCACCCACCTCGGCCTCCCAAAGTGCTGGGAGTACAGGCGTGAGCCACTGCGCCCAGCCTTTTTTTTTTTTTTTTTTTTTGAGACAGAGTCTCACTCTGTTGCCCAAGCTGGAGTCCAGTGGCACGATCTCGGCTCACTGCAAGCTCTGTCTCCCGGGTTCACGCCATTCTCCTGCCTCAGTCTCCCGAGTAGCTGGGACTATAGGAGCCCGCCACCACGCCCCGCTGATTTTTTTGTATTTTTAGTAGAGATGGGGTTTCATCGTGTTAGCCAGGATGGTCTCGATCTCCTGACCTCATGATCAGCCTGCCTTGGTCTCCCAAAGTGCTGGGATTACAGGCACGAGCCACTGCGCCTGGCCATATAATCTTTTTAAGGTTGTATTCTATTTACCAAATATGTAAAACGATAAATAAGAGATATCTTTAAACTAAACACCTGAGCCTTCTTCTGACAGGAATGAATGTGTTTAACGGTGTTTAGTAAAAATAATAACTAAAGGGTACACCCTTCTGCCTTACCAAAGGTGAGCTCCTATGGCTCAGTGCCTAGCTCACTTTAGGCTAGTCACCATTTAGATGTTACTGTGATAACTGTGTAAATGAATTCCTGTAACACTGTAAATGTAAATGAATTCCTAATGACAAATCCACATCTGTTTTTGTTCTTGTGGGTTTTGTTCTGTTGAGGTATGAACCCAGCTGTGCACCTGTGTGGGTTTATATTGTGCTAGCTCACTTCAGTCCAGACACCATCTAGATGCCACAACCCCTTTCTAGTGTTGTGCTAAGGGGTGGTTCACAACACTAGTACAAGACACGTTTTGCATTTAATACAACCCCCACTGCAGCACTCTCAGTTTGCATTTGGATTCTCATAAACTGCTTTCCTCTGTAAACATAAAGCCTTAAATATAGGACAGTGAAAAAAGTCTTCACTACAAAGGATGTCTTAGAAAAAAGCAGTGGTAATTAAAATTAGGTTTTAATGTTAGTGGTTTTAAAGTATGTTCTAAAACAATTTACACTCAATAGTAAATGACAAATAGGTCATTTCCCAAGATAATCCCAAGCCCACGCAACTAAGTAAGGAAAAATCTAGGTGCTTTTAATATAGACACAATACTATGTGTGATGAATTCTAATATGTCAATCTGGCTAGGTACTGCCATGAAGGGATTTTTCAGGTGTAATGTCCCCAAGTCAGTTGAGGGGAGATGGTCTTGGGAGGGCCTGGCCTAATCAGCAGAGCCCTCTGAATGAGAATTTAGGCCTTCCCTGATCTCACACTCCCCAGTAGCTCAAAATCTTCCCTTCCTGACCAACTGCCCTCTGAAATAGGACTTGCTTAGCCAGCCCCTGTAACTGTGTAAATGAATTTCTTTTGACAAATCCACATCTGTTTTTGTTCTTGTGGGTTTTGTTCTATTGAGGTATGAATCTACCTGTGTGCCCGTGTGGGCTTAGACACAACTATCAGTACCAAATTCTCTTATCAGTCAGGGTTCAACCAGAGACACAGAACCAGTAGGAGACACAAACCCACGCAGGCACAAGAAAGGAGAACAAACCAACACGAAACCCAGGGATGAGTAATCGGAGGGGAGCAGCAAGCACAGGGAAAAGATGACTGGGAGTCAAGAAACTTGGGGTTCAGTCCCAGCTCTGCCCTGTCATTTTCCCTCACCTGTAAAACTGGATCAGAAATCTTACAAAAACAAAAAACAAAAAACCTCTTCAGTATTTCCCTCAAACAGGATCCTCCTCACATCTGTATTTATATTTAAAAAATAAAAACAGAAAAGAAAAAGAACCAGCATGACATCATTAGGTGTGTGTACAGAAGTGAAGACTGATGATTACCTATCGATGAGGGTCCTTGTGGTTGACACTGTCTTCCGTCAAAACCCTGTGATGTTAGCATCTTTGTGAATGCAAAAACTATGTACATCTAATAGCAGACTTTAAAAACAAAACACACATCCCAGAACTAAAAAGTATGTACAATGCTGAACCACTAGAGCCTACAGAAATCATATATTACACTTAAATTATTTTTCTTCAAAATATATTGAACTGCACGGGATTAATATGCTGCATCCTATTTTTAAAAGCCAGGTGAAATAGCTTACTTTGAAGAATAACTAGAAAAATTTGATTGATTCTGAGAATGAGCTGGCTTTGCAGGCTCGGAGAGATGGCTGGCAGCAATGTGTGCAGGAGGCTTATTCTCAAAACTTCTTCGGTCAAAGTATGACAGCTGTTTTCGATAATATTCTTCATCTTCTTCAGGGTCATAATGATTGGACCGAACAATATCTTCAGGTGGCTTCAGTTGAGGTTTTTGAGGTTCTGGGATCCTAACAGATAATGAATGACAAACGGAACACCTTTTTAAATATTAATGTTATGAAGGAAGTAGAATATGTAAGTCTTATCTTGACTAAAAGGTCAATAATTACTAACTGCTGTGATTACTGAGGATCTGAGCAGTCCCAACAGTTAAAATGGATATTTCAAATCCCATGTCCTCACAGAGTATACTCAAAAGGCAGCCCCCTTCTGGCTCATGAGTCCTTTAACACAATATAATAAGCTAAACGATTACATGATTAGGGAACAGCAGGTTAGAAGTAGTTAATCAGAAAGACAAAGGGCAATGTAACCGAGACAGTGAACATCTTGAGAAGTACATATACCAAGGTCAAGAACAGTAAATGATAGACTTTAAGAACTTTCAAAGGGATTTTTAAGAACTCAGTCCAGGATCTCAATGATTCTCATATGAACAAATAACTCTATATGGTCTAAAGTTCTAGAAGGCATACAAAGCAGATGAGGAAGAAAGCAAGTCATTAAGTAAATTCATATTAGACAGTTCTCTTCTTTATCCTAAGTGCAAACATATATTCAGTCAAAAAACAAAATCAGAAGAGCTGTATTCAAATCTAATCTGTCACTTATTGGCAGTGCAATGAGGCCATGGGAAAAAGCTCAGGCTGAGGAGCAGCAGGCCAGGTTTCTCTTCCAGCTCTAAGTCTTGTAAGCTACTTAGCCCCTCTCAGCCTCAGTGTCTCTCTCTACAATGCAGAACAACAACAGTGTCACCTCATTATGCTGATGTGCTTAGCACAAGGGCAAGCACCTTATGCATGCTCACTAAATGATTTAGTTATCTTAACCAATCTGAGTCTGTTTCCTCACCACTGGAAACTAAGAGTTCACATGTCGAAAAGCACTTTTAAAACTAAAAAACATAATACAAATGTCAGAGCTTAAAAATGTTTATTTAATCATCTGCTTGGAGAATATCTTTCCGAAAGTCTGCTAAAGGTATAAAGATTTGTCAGATTTGTCAGAAATAAAGTTCTACTTTTTTTCCCCCTAGAATCACTGTTTAGGAGAGCTGATAGTTTTTATTTAAGGACAAACTCCTCCTATTCACACCTCTCCTCTACTAACACAGTAAAAGGTTTTCTTATTGACTAAGAGGGTTAAATTCCTGGTCAGTTCTATGCCACAAAGAGCACAAAGTGTACTCACCTGTACAGAGTTTTGTCATGTTCACTGAATTGATTCTGAGAAGTGGGTTTGGGACCAATGATGGGAGCACCTGAAGGTTTAGATGCTACTTCTGGAGGCTGTTTAAAAAAAAAAAAAAAAAAAAGACAAATATGCCTAAGGAACAGATAATTAACAGAATAGATATCATGTAATGGCGGAGGGGAGAGCCAAGAAGCCTTTTAAACGGTGTGCCCATGCATCCAAGGCACTAAAGACATATTTACCTTAAAACTGCCAGTGTCATTTACATCCTTCTTGGTCTCTAAGGATGCAGATCTTTTGTTTTCAAACATCTTAACTCTGGTGAGTACAGACTGTGGCTTCATTGCTGGATCTTCCTCTTCTTCGGTTTGAGTTGGGGGTGGAGGCAGTGGTTTGGTGTTTGAAGGCAGAGCTTCTGGCTTATGCTGAGATGAAGGTATCAGCGGAGGGACAGCTGCAGCACCATGGAGAGGCTCAAAATGACCTGCTCTAGAGGTAAATCCTTGGGGTGGTACTTGCTCGTAACTGCGTGAATATTGCTCAAAATACTGCTTGGACTCTGCAGGCTTGGGCCCTGCTGAAGGGTGGGGCTGGGCTTCCGGTCTGAGTCTACCATGTGTGTCATACCCAGGAGCTGGCTGCTCTTCGTGCCGCAGGGCGGATGCTCTAGGTGCCTGTTCGTAACGTGGTCTGCTGTCGTAAGACAGAGGGGCTGGCTCTTCAAAACGTGGAAAGTACCCTCGTTCTGAGGACTCTTCGGGATGCTGTCTGGAGTCAAGGTCTTGAGAGTGCTGATTATCAAAAGGTGGCCGAGATGGGTAGGGCTGTTTGTCATCATAATATGACCACTGTTCTTCATACATGGGGACGCGATCTTCGTATCGCAGACGATGTTCATAGTTTCGAGAAAACTGGTCCGTATAGCTTGAGGACTCGTATCTGTATGTGGGCTGCTCGAGGTCTCTGCTGGCTTGTTTCTCTACGTATGGGAGTTGGGGTTCATAGGTCAGATTAGGCTCTTTGTCTGGCCTGTGCCCTGGGTGACTAACGGCTGGCTGTTTCAAAACATGGTTCTGCCTCATCATTTCCTCGGGATATGGATCCTTTCTATACACCTGTATAAAAAATTCACATTTAAGGACAAAGTCTTGTTTCTAATTCTAGTCTATTTTATTAGACTGTGATTAAATATTAAACTATGATTTAATATGTGAAAATGGTATGTTTTACCATTTATTATCAGGATAGACAAGATTAGTGGAAAAAGCTGGTTTAAGTGAAAGCTCAAAATTTATAATGCAGGTAGGGGCTTTTATGTTTCAGCATGTACTAAATAAACAGTGAGTTAAAGATAAATATTAAATTTAGTAGAAAATTAATGCACTATTGATTACACTTCATTTTGACACTGAAAAATCCTAAAGAAGATTTATGGGCATCATAATTTGTATTAACATAAATATGTTTATGATGGGTTTCGATTACATATTAAGGAATTCTGGAAGATACTGAAAGCCAAAAATAAAAATAATAAGCACAAATCTCAATTAAAAGGCCTGTTTTCAAATAATCAGTATACCAATGGAAGCCATGCAAACTACGAAACTGAAATGATTTGTATTGATTTGAAAGCATTACAGTGTATAAGCCTGCAGTAAAAAAGCAAAAGGAACACTTAAAGGGCAAAGCAAAAATGATCATGTGCCAGATTGATGGACAGCAACAAATTAGTGCAACACCGCAGCACAGGTACCTTTGTTGGATCTACATGCGACGACAATGATGGTTCTTGATCTCTTAGCATTATGTGAGCTGCCTCAGTACTTGGTGTTCTTAAAGAATCAGCTTGTGGTGAGTAAGAGGTGGAAGGAGCTGGGGTGGGCTCCTCCAGTCTGACATTAGTTAAATTTACATTATGATTAACAGCAGAGGTTGATGATGCTGGGTTTGTTTCAGGCGAAAGGTAAGGGACTGGAGATGAAGCTTCTGCTTTCTGTGAAGTGTTTAAAATATTTTAAATATAGTGTTTCTGTTTACTGCTAACTTTCCACTTCAATTTATAGTGATTGGTAGACATACATTTTAAGTGTGCTGAATAACAAAATTATGACCTCATGTCCTAAACTTTTTGGGAAAAAAAAAAAATCCAGTACATTGCTGTGTTAAGACAAACACACAAAATTTAGAATTAAGCCCTTGGTACTCTCAAATTGAAATTGAAGATTAATTCTTAATCTGGAGAAAGGACAACATATATATTTTTAACTCAATCACCACATTCTAAAATTTAATAATGCACCTCTATCTACAAAACGTTGAATGCTTGCTGCTTACCTGTTGAGAGGCTGGCTTAAATCCAGGGGAGTCTATTCTATGAATTGGTTGTGGCTGCGCTTGTGGTGAGTAAGGAGGATATGTTTGGTTTTCATGATGCATTCCAGAGGAGTCCTCTCTTACAGGCTCAGAGGACCGTGTAATGGCAGACTCCGGTGGAGTCCCAACCTCATCATTAAGAGTTTCATCTAGTTCTTGATCAGTGTAGGCCCCGCCTTCTGTGTCTGTGTCTTCATAGTCAGAAGTGTGTCTACTGTCCGTGCTATACATTGAGTATTCACTACCTGGAGCTGACAGGTAGGACAGACGATCATCATGCAAATCAAGGTCATCACTTGTAGCACCATCCGCCTGGGTCAAATAAAAGTAAATTACAAATTTTATTCAGTAGTTCTTTAAGAGATGGCCTTTATCGTACAAGGCAGATTGAAAAGGATATCTTTCTCTGGAGAAGTCACATCTACTTCTTGAAACTTCTGGTAAGGAAAAGTCAAGAAGATTGTACAAGCACACACGCAGACACATGGAGCACCCCTTGAGATCTGAAGGGCATGGATGAAGGAAACAGTGGCCGGTAAGCCAGGACAAAGTTAGACTCCAGGGCCCAGCCCTGGAAGACAACGAAGAAACTCTGACACTGCTCAGATTTATAAAACCTACTCACTAGCTCTTCAGCCCTTTTAAGCAAGGGGAAGAGGGAGAATGTTACCAAACTAAGCTCACAGAAACAAGGACACACTGACAGAATAGCACATGGAAGAATACCTATGAAATAAACCCAACAGTTCAAAAGTTGAATAAGAGCTAATATATTTATGTTTAGGAAACAACTGATATGGTTTGGATTTGTGTTCCCACCCAAATCTCATGTTGAATTGTAATCCCCAGTGTTGGGGGAGGGGCCTGGTGGGAGGTGACTGGATCATGGGGGTGGTTTCTAATGGTTTAGCACCATCTCCCTCACACAGTCTTGTGATAGAATTCTCCCAAGATCTGTTTTTTTAAGTGTGCAGCACCTCCCCAACTCTCTTCCTCCTGCTCCAGCCATATAAGACATGCTTCCTTCCCCTTCCGCCACGATTGTAAGTTGCCTGAGGCCTCCCCAGAAGCAGAAGCCTGTACAGCCTGCAGAACTGTGAGCCAATGAAACCTTTTCTTTATAAATTACCCAGTCTCAGGTGGTTCTTTATCACAGTGTGAGAATGGACTAATACAGTAAATTGGTACCAGAGAAGTAGGGCATTGCCAAAAAGATACCTGAAAATGTGGAAGCAGCTTTGGAACTGGGTAATGGGCAGAGGTTGGAACAGTTTGGAGGGCTCAAGAGAAGACAGAAAAATGAGGGAAAGTTTGGAATTTCCTAGAGACCTGTTGAATGGTTTTGACCAAAATGCTAATAGTGATATGGACAATAAAGTCCAGGCTGTGGAGGTCTCAGACAGAGATGAAGAACTTACTGGGAACTGGAGTAAAGGTCATTCATTCTTGCTATGCTTTAGCAAAGACACTGGTGGCACTGTGCCCCTGCTCTAGTGATCTGTGGAACTTTGAACTTGAGAGAGATGATTTAGGGTATCTGGTGGAAGAAATTTCTGAATAGCAAAGCATTCAAGATGCGACCTGGCTGCTTCTAACAGCATGTGTTCATATGTGTGCACAAACAGATTATCTGAAACTGGAACTTATATTTAAAAGTGAAGCAGAGCATAAAAGTTTGGAAAATTTGCAGCCTGGCTATGCAGTAAAAAATAAAAACCCATTTTCTGGGGAGGAATTCAAGCTGGCTGCAGAAATTTGTTAAGTAACGAGGGACAGAATATTAACAGACAAAACAATGGGGGAAAATGTCTCCAGGGCATTTTGGAGGCCTATGCGGCAGCCCCTCCCATCACAAGCCTGGAGGCCTAGGAGGGAAAAAATGGTTTTGTGGGTGATCCAGGCCCGGCCCTGCTGCTCTGTGCAGCCTCAGGACATGGTGCCCTGCATCATGGCTGTTCTAGCTCCAGACATGGCCAAAATGGGCCAAGTTACAGCTCAGGCTGTTGCTTCAGAGGGTGCAAGCCCTAAGCCTTGGCAGCTTCCACATGATGCTAAGTCTGCGGGTGCACAGAGGGAGACAGTTGAGGCTTGGGAGCCTCTGCCTAGATTTCAGAGGATGTATGGAAATGCCTGGATGTCCAGGCAGAAGTCTGCTGCAGGAGCGGAGCCCTCATGGAGCACCTCCAGGGCAGTGTGGAGGGGAAATGTGGGGTTGGAGCCCCCCACCAGACAGTCCCCACTGGGGCACTGCCTAGTGGAGCTGTGAGAAGAGGCCCATTGTCCTCCAGACCTTAGAGAGGTAGGTCCACCAACAGCATGCACCATGCACCTGGAAAAGCCACAGGCACACAATGCCAGTCCATGAAAGGAGCTGCAGGGGCTGTGCCCTGCGTGGCTACAGGGGCAGAGCTGTCCAAGGCCTTGGTAGCTCACCCCTTGCATCATTGTAGCCTGGGTGTGAGCAGTGGAGTCAACGGAGATTATTTTGGAGCTTTAAGATTTAATGACTAATCTACTTACTTTTGGAATTTCATGGGGATTGGAGCTCCTTTGTTTTGGCAGACTTCTCCATTTTGAAAAGGGAGTATTTACCCAATGTTTATGTCCCCTTTGTATCTTGGAAGTAACTAACTTGTTTTTGATTTTACAGGCTCCTAGACAGAAGAGACTAGCCTTGTCTCAGATGAGACTTTGAACTTCTGAGTTAATGCTGAAATGAGTTAAGACTTTGGGGCACTGTTGGGAACGCACCATCATATTTTGCAATGTGAGAAGGACATGAAATTTGGGAGGGACCAGGAACAGAATGATATGGTTTGGATTTGTGTCCCCACCCACATCTCATGTTGAATTATAATCCTCAGTGTTGGAGTGGGGCCTGGTAGGAGGTGATCACGAGGGCGGTTTCTAATGGTTTAGCACCATCCCCCTAATACTATTTTGTGATAAGAGTTCTCCCAAGCTCTGTCTGTTTAAAAGTGTGTAGTACTCCCCCCTTCTCTCTCTTCCTCCTGCTCCAACCATGTAAGACATGCTTTTTCCCCTTCACTGTCTTAAGTTTCCTGAGGCCTCCCCAGAAGCAGGAGCCTGTACAGCCCACAGAACTGTGAGCCAATTAAATCTCTTTTCTTTATAAGTTACCCGGTCTCAGGTAGTTCTTTACAGCAGTTCAAGAGCAGACTAAAACAACCTGTTAAACATTTGGCCCTTAAAGCTGTTATGAAACACAATGGAAAATCATCACCTACATGGTGGTTGCTACATTAAGAAGAAATTATTTATTATTTTTCATAGAAACAGTATCCAACAGATGGAGAGGAAGAAATACAGTAATGCTTTTCTTTTGTTAAGTAATTAAGAACTCAGTTTCTAATAGTTTATGTTGATTATCTTCTGAGTAGATCAGAAAGAAAGTGAGAAGTATTTGAGGGAAAGGAAGCTACAGAGTTGCAATCAACAGGTTATCACTGGACACTAACGTGACACTAGTACCTGGATGAAAAAGAACACTCCCTGAAGACCCTGCCTAGACACCGTGCTCAGTTACTCATGAGAGCTGAAGGATCTGGAATCCAGGAATCAGAAAGTATTTCTTCCACTTCAGTATGGAATGAAGGACAAACATGAAACTCTTGTCCTCCAGAAAGATGCACTGCTATTAACTAGCAGGTTTGGTGTGGCTCTGCAGGTCTGCTGTGCCAGAAGCATGGTCTTGGGAGTCAAGTTGCCTGAATGGAGCTTTCCACGCAGTCCCCATGCTTGGCTCGTTAAGACTCTGACCTTGAGCACTGCCTTCCTGATAAGAAAGACTAGGGTGTGTCAGGTCTCCCCATGCTCCAGTTTTCAAGAGAGCATCTGCCAGGCTGGGCTGGGGAGAGTGGGAATCCAGGGATCTATCCTGTTAGAGCACAATCCCTCTGAACAAGTCTCAATGGCTTCTCAACTCGGTAACAGCTGTTGCAGAAGAAAAGTCTTCTTGCTATCTACTCTAATCTTTAGCTTGCCAGGGTTCTGAATACTATAATCCAGTAGCCAGTCAAGGAAATATTGAAAGTCTGGGCAAGAATAACTTAGAACTAATCAATCCACTTAAGTTTTTAAAGCTGGTTTGAAATGCAGATGTAAGCAAGAACGATGGGTTGCTTTGAACTAGGAAATATGTTAAGAAAGCCTCAGGATGACTTTTCCTGGTTTAGCAGGGAATATGTAAGACTGTGTCAGATCTTGTAAAAAGGAACTCTTTCTAGCAATTAGGTCAAAGTAGTTGGTTCAGGAAAGTCAATGTGAAATGAAGTAGTTTTAGTTTAAGAATCTATTCTATGAAATATACTTGAAGAGAAGAGGACAGGAAGATAAGCTTTAAGTTGTAACAACCTTTTCTGGCTTACAAAATGCATCAGTCTAGCCTGATAATAAATAACCTATTTTTCCTCACATAAAAAGCTAGAAAGTTGGACCTTTATTTTAAAACCAAGCAAAGAAAGCACACAAGACTATCACTAAAATACTTTATAGAAAATTAAGATTTGTGGATTTTAAAAAAGCCTCTCAGATACTACAAATGTATACTTTGTGCATTTTGGGAAAACATTTATAGACTACTTTCATTTTAAGAATTCACTAGTGAAAGCTATTAACATTGGACCTGCCAAAGGATGTTAACAGAATTGTGTTGCTATAGAAGGTTAGTATGAAGACTACAATCCTTTCAAGTGCTGCAAAAGTAGAAATTAGTAATAGTGTGTTCATGTAAAGTGGTGTGGTTTGTTTCCACCTTCATTTTCCTATCCAGTTCCAGCTGACATGTTATTCAGAGTGGTCTTAGGCTCTCGTATGCATGGTCCATCCCCCAGACTGGTTCATAATGAGAAAAACCATAGTTCTGACACATTACTATAGGTGAGAACAATAGACACTGCCTCTCAGTGTTAACAGCTCTCCTTGCAGAGGCTGTGTATGTCTGGGTAGAGGACATGGGGGGTCCTAAGCATGCAGCATGCACTGTCAGAGCATCTGTAGCCACAGCCAGGCAGAGGAAGGTAGGGACCATGCGGGGGCAAAACACAACAAAAACCAAACCAACAAGGAAGTACAAAGAACAAAATAAAAACCAGAGATACTCTCAATCTTCCCTAATAACCAAAACTTACTGCACTGATCTGAAAAAGGTAAAAGACATTTAAAAAAAAAAAGCTTCCCTCAATGGTGTATTCTGAGGAAATGATTAACTCTCCAGACAAAATAAACAGACCTTCCCATCAAAGATTGCTATAAAACCAGAAAGACTGACAATAGAAAGTAGTTATTTTAAAGCTGGCCATTTGGACGTATAGAAAACCAAAATTCAAAGCCAGGAAGGATCTATTGCTTTGTTCAATATCTCCCAGTATGTTGTGAGAATGTTAACAGGTGTTGAGTGAAAAATAAATGCAAGGAAATGCATGAAGTCGGCTTTTTAACTTTTAAGATGTCTCAGAGCCTTTAAATGCCAGTGGGTACGAGGATACTCGTGAGGGGTCTAGGGTTTATTTCCCATCCGCTGCTTGCCTTCATAGTGCCTTCTCTCTTAGAGCAAGTCCTGAATTGAGCATGCTGAGGACAGCACTTTGGGAGATGCTCATCTAGGCCATCCAAATCCCCTCATTTTCAGAGGAGGAAACTGAAGCCAGGCTCAAAGTCATCATTCATAGCCAGACAGGGGCAGCATCAGAACTCAACCTGCTCTTCATTATAATTTAAGATTCTTTAGGAGACAATCCTACTGCAGTGGTAATTCAACAGGTGAGAAAATTTAAGAATTCTCTTACCATCAGAAACAACTTTCATAACCCCTACACACAAATTATAAAAACCTAAAAGCTAACTTTCCCCAAATTTCTCCAATATGTTGATCTAATTAGAAAGCACTGGTATCTCAAAAGCATCTCTGATTAGTTACATAATTTACTGAACTAGTCAAAAAAGTAATAGGAAATGTCTTACCTTTCCCTCGGAAACCCATACCAGCTGGTTTTGCTGTTGTTGAATTGCTTCTTTCAGCGCACCATACCAACCATCATTCATTGAATTTAAGTTAATTGTAGCTGAAAATAAATTAACGATGTAGTTTTATGGTTAGAGCACTGCCAAAAGTCAGAATTAATTCAACCCTGCTTACAGCTAAATCGTCATTACTGAAAGATGGTATCTGAGGATGCAAACATTTGAAATTTCTATTTTGCTACTGTATATTTTCTTTTAACCAAACAGCAGGTGTTAACACAACAGGAAGCTTTCCAAGAAAGTATCATGTAAGTTTTAGTATTTGAACACCGTAACATTTTGGCCTACTTAATGTTGCCCAGACATTGTAAGCTGAAAGAAGGCCTTTATTAACATACTCACTTGTAAAAAGATGGTGATTATTTTTACGAAGTTTATGAGATCGCTCGTATAACTTCCTGGCACTTTTCCGAGATTCTGGACATAACCTCATTCTCATTGTTTTTACTCCTTGCTTAGAATCAGGGTTAAGAAATACAACAATTGGATACCACTGGGCATAGTTAAGACGATCAACTGCATTTGGTGTTACATCTAATAAAGCATGTTTGTCCTAGAAACAGAAAGAAAAATATATACAAAGACACAAGACATCATTAATTAAGAATCACCAAATTCAGCTGGGTGCAGTGGCTCACGCTACGCCTATAATCCTAGCACTTTGGGAGGTCGAGGTGGGTGAATCACTTGAGGCCAGGAGTTCCAGACCAGCCTGGCCAGTATGGAGAAACTCTATCTCTACTAAAAATACAAAAACTAGCCAGGCATGGTGGTGCACGCCTGTAATCCCAGCTACTTGGGTGGCTGAGGCACAAGAATCACTTGAACCTGAGAGGTAGAGGCTACAGTGAGCCGAGATCACACCACTGCAGTCCCACCTGGGCAACACAGCAAGACCCTACCTCAAAAACAAAAACAAATACAAACCAAAACAAAACAAAACACCCCATCACATTCAGAAAAAGTCAAAAGTCTGTACTATATTTCAGTGGTAACAGATCTCTTTGTATTCTAATGTCTCAGGAGCACATATTAAAAAACTAATTGTAAGTTAACTCAATTCCATTTCTAGCCAAATTTCTAAAAACCTTTCTATGAAGCTCACTTTTAAGACTTAGCCCTAACACCGCAATCTGACAGTATTATCCACGTACAGTTAGAATAAAAATGTTTAAGAATTTAATGTTCCTGACATTCCTTATGAATGTAAATAACAAACTACAACTTGAATTGTACTGATATAATATATAAGCAGTCTGTTAATTACATCTAAAAATCATACACTTGTTTTGTGGTAATGAAAAATCATCTTCTGATGCCTACAGTAACTATTCTCTTGAAAGTAATCATTATAATGCTTTTCAGTAAGGGCTTAATTTTCTTATAGTATGTCAGTAATAGTCTCAGAAAAACTACCTTCTACTTTCAAATTAACCAAATCCCATCCCACTCAAAACCACAATAACATAATGAAATGGGTCAAGTTTTAATAACTTACTTGATCTATGATTTGCTTTATTGTATGCAGGCGAATAATGCCAGAGCTACGTTGGTCAGTTCCAGCGTCTCGTGGTTCACTCTCTATTCATTATGTCAGGACAAAAATAAGACATCAAATTTTCACTGGTTAGACAGGAGTTTCTCAACTACTGGCCACAACTGATATGCCGGACTGGATAGTACTTTGTTTGTGGAAACTGTCTTATGCATGCAGTACTTAAAGTGAGTTTTAATATGCATACTTCCCTTTTTTTTTTTCACTATTTTTTCAACTACTTTAATATTCTGGAAAAAAACTTAGCCATTAAAGAAGAAAAAATATACAGGAATGCACATTTTTTTCTTTTGCCTGGGGCTCTAATATGGCTCAACAGGGCACTACTTCCCACCCTTTTTCACACTGTAACATCCAGAGAAAATATTATTTGTATGGCACACTGAGATAAACTGAGGGGGCTGCTCCTTTGCCAAGCTCTAACCAGCCACTACTGGCTTAAGAGGTCAATACCTTGGCATGTCCATCAACCATCGGTAATGGTGCTATAGTGGATTGCCTAGGGAGTTCTGGGTTAGAGACCTTAGTTACATCAGTAGAAGGGGAACCTGGGGGCAGGAAGCTGTTCATCTGTAACTGTGAGACAGCCTATGGCTTCATCCTGGCAACCTGTCTTCACTGGTGTATACTGTGCCAAATGCAGCTTGGGCTGGTTTCCAACCAACCATCTCAGAGCACAGCAACGTTTGTGACTCTGGTCACAAGGAAAGTTTGAAAGGAAAGGAAGAGCTTTGGTGTTTCAGAGATCAGACAAAGGCAGAGATCTGGAAAGACAAGTCACACTGAGGTTCAAGATAAATGATTTTGGAGAATGAGACTACCATAAGACAAAGCACCATGGGCAAGCAGGGCAGAATTTCAAATCTAGTGAACACTGGAGAATTAAGAAGAAAGATCAACTGGGAATTTTGGCTGGAAAAAAAATGCTACTAACTCCTCAACTCAAAAGACTGTCATTAGACTCAAAGAAGATATAAAACTAAGCTACCTGAATTCCCTGTTGTGGAGTAAACCTGATTAAACCAATGTATTACCCTTTAAGGCAGAGCTTTGTAAGTCATCATACTTGCTTTTCCCATATCTAAAAATCCTAAGTTTGGTTATGGGTAAGGGTTACCACCAACTTCCTTCAGGTGAAATGTCATCTACAGATAACTTAGCCAGGTGCGGTGGCAGGTGCCTGTAATCCCAGCCACTAGGGGAGGCTGAGACAGGAGAATCGCTTGAACCCAGGAGGCGGAGGTTGCAGTGAGCTGAGATTGCGTCAGTGCACTCCAACCTGGGCAACACAGTAAGACCTTGTCTCAAACAAAAGAAAACAAAACAAAACAAAACTTCTTCTGAAAAAACTAAGAAATAAACATTTTCTAACTTGCTCAGATTTTACTCAAATCATTTGTCTGCAAATCTTCTGATGTTCAGAAAATAAATATCCTTATTCAACTTCATTGGCAATGAAATGAAAAGCAATATATTAAAAAAAAAAGATGATGTTCTGATTCTTTAAATTAACACTATGCAGTTTAAAGATGTTACTGAGGGTCGGCTGGGTGCAGTGGCTCACGCCTGTAATCCCAGCACTTTGGGAGGCCGAGGTGGGCAGATCACGAGGTCAGGAGATCGAGACCATCCTGGCTAACACGGTGAAACCCCGTCTCTACTAAAAAAACAAAAAAATTAGCCGGGCGTGGTGGCGGGTGCCTGTAGTCCCAGCTACTCGGGAGGCTGAGGCAGGAGAATGGCATGAACCCAGGAGGTGAAACTTGGAGCCTGGATCTGAGATCGTGCCACTGCACTCCAGCCTGGGCGACAGAGCGAGACTCTGTTTCAAAAAAAAAAAAAAAAGGTTACTGAGGGTCATATAGTGCCAGTGGGAACAAAATCCCCAGCACAACTCTCTGGAAAGCAGAAACTTCATCATAATTATGGGAACAGCTATATTCTTAAGGATTTAAATCCTTTGGGAAACAAAGCAGGGCATAAACAAGCAAACAAAATATGGACAGATTTCTGTATCTTTTGTAATAGTAATATAAATTCGAAACAAACGATATAAAAAAAGCCTAACTGAACCAAAAATTGCAGGATAAAATGAAAATATGCCATTACCTATGAAAAAGAAAAATTGGATATAAACTTTTCTAAACAGTATAAATAAAACTTTGCCAAAATATGCTTAAAAGAGTGGAAGAAAATACAATGGAATAAAATTTAGGGTGGTGATATGTGTAAAAATTAACTTTCCAACTTTTCCAAACACAGAATGGCACTTTTATAATTACAAAAACAGTTTAAAAATAAAACAAAACTGGGTACAGTGGCTCACACCTGTAATCCCAGCACTTTGGGAGGCCAAGGCCAGAGATCACTTGAGCCCAGGAGCTCAGGTTCAGCCTGGACAACCTAGTGAGACCCTGTTTCTACAAAAATAATAATAATAATAATAATAATAAACTAGCCAGGCGTGTTGGCATGTGCCTGTAGTCCTAGCTGCTTGGAAGGCCGAGGTGTGTGGACTGCTTGAACCCATGAGTTTGGGACTACAGTGAGCAATGATCTAACCACTGCACTCCTGCCTGGGCAAGAGTGAGACTCTGTCTCTGAAAAAAAAAAAAGAGGAGCAGTGTGAAGAAGAGGCGAGAACGACCCCCGGACCGACCAAAGCCCGCGTGCCGCTGCATCCCACGTCCAGCACCTACGTCCTGTCGCCACCGCCACCATGCCCAAGAGAAAGGCTGAAGGGGATGCTAAGGGAGATAAAGCCAAGGTGAAGGACGAACCACAGAGAAGATCCGCGAGGTTGTCTGCTAAACCTGCTCCTCCAAAGCCAGAGCCCAAGCCTAAAAAGGCCCCTGCAAAGAAGGGAGAGAAGGTACCCAAAGGGAAAAAGGGAAAAGCTGATGCTGGCAAGGAGGGGAATAACCCTGCAGAAAATGGAGATGCCAAAACAGACCAGGCACAGAAAGCTGAAGGTGCTGGAGATGCCAAGTGAAGTGTGTGCATTTTTGATAACTGTGTATTTCTGGTGACTGTACAGTTTGAAATACTTTTATCAAGTTTTATAAAAATGCAGAATTTTGTTTTACCTTTTTTTTTTTTTTTTTAAGCTATGTTGTTCGCACACAGAACACTTCATTGTTGTTTTTGGGGGAAGGGGCATATGTCACTAATAGAATGTCTCCAAAACTGGATTGATGTGGAGAAAACACCTTTCCCTTCCAGTTTTGAGAGACTTCCTCTTGGCTCCCAGGAGGAGGGATTCCTTGACTTTGACACACATGGCCACCTTGGCACAAAAGCCTTGTGCTATGGAAAAACAAATTTGTTTTTATGTCCTCTTCTCCCTTTCCACGTTTCAGCATAGACTTAACTCCCTTAAGCCCAGACATCTGTTGAGACCTGACCCCTAGTCATTGGTTACCAGTGTGTCAGGCAATCTGGACTTTCCAGTGATGCCACTGAGATGGCACCTGTCAAAAGAGCAGTGGTTCCATTTCTAGATTGTGGATCTTCAGATAAATTCTGCCATTTTCGTTTCACTTCCTGAAAGTCAGGGTTGGCTTGTGAAAAGTTGTTAAACAACATGCTAAATGTGAAATGTCAACCCTCACTCTCAACTTTCCCTGTTCAGAGCATCAGATGAAGACTTCATTGGGTTTTATAGTGGCTTTCTGATTTTTGGTAGTCCATTGAAGAAGGGAGTTTGAAAGTTGTTGTATACTGTTAACGATTGTCTGCCCATGTCCTGCCTGAAATACCATGATTGTTTATGGAAAGTATCTTTAATAAAGCTGGATACAGTTTGGCTTGGAAAAAAAAAAAAGAAAGTAAATAAAACAAGGATCTGTAAGCAAAACGTATTTGGCATACAAAGCACTGCAGCCTCAATACTTATACTTACTATCTTATTATAAATGTCTGCAATAACAACAGCTGATAATATTAGCAATGTTTTATTACCCTTTTTAACTATTTGTGTATTTGTCAGTTTAATGACTAAAAGAGCTGGAATGGAGCAAGAAAGGGCTGTGGTCAAAGCCGAGTCTTGTCACTTGTTCACTGAGGGCCACCAGGAAGTTTAGACTGAAGAAACTGGAAAGGATCCACGCAATGACCATCCAAGTCTCAGGCTACTCAACTGTAACATGGATATTATACTCCTTACCTCAGAGCATGACTGGGAGGATTCAATGACATTGTATGTTATGCAATTTTCATATGAAGCCAAGAGTTTCCTAAACGGTGACTTTTCTCATTAAAAGAATTGGTGGAACAAGGACATGGTCACTGGGGTTTTCTCACCAAATTAAAAGAATGGGATAAACTGCTAATTTTTCACTGACAAAAAGTCTTATTTTTATTGAATGAGTGAATCAGAACTCACTCACTTTAGAGGTGTAACTCCCAACCTCATTTAAGTTAGCCTTGAGGCTACTTACTTGCAATTTGATAAATATCTGGTTCTTCTCTTGCCAGCTTTTCTCTGGCAACATCAGCTATTGGTCCAAAAATGGTTACAGGCCTCAGAAATCCAGCTGGAGAGAAATTCACATGAAAAACAGCATATTTTATACCTTTTCTTTCTTAAACATATTGACGTTAAAGGGTATTAGGTTAGTCTGTAGAAAATAAACTACCTTCTCGAAGAACCACTCTTTCATAAGCTGGAAACTTTGTTTGAACAGGCTGAGCGGACAAATCCTCTCTGCTTTTTCGAAGATTTCTCTTGGAGCTGCGAAGACCTCTGAATCTCCAGAAGTCAGCACGGTCTCCGCCTGCTGTTTTTGGAAGTGTATACTGTACACTGGCTAGCTGCTCAGCTCTACACAAGAAAGGAGAAAATTAAAATAAGGGCATTTAAAATGCAAAATGGAAAAAGACCCACAATGAAATGAAATATACAATACTGGATGGAAGTTCACATACAGTTTAAATCTTAATGGTTATAATAAAGAGGAGTTTGTAAACCTAAGTCAGTTATAGATACGTTGAATACAATGAAAAAGAATTCTTTACATTACCAAAATTTCCCAGTGGGATTGAAATGATCTATCATCATTTACTTGATTCACTCTATGAGAAGTATCCAAGCATTCATACCTGTTCTTATTAGGGATGATGCCTCGTTCTACCTCCTTATGATTTTTACCAATTCGAATAGCAAGCCAAGAGCCCAGTTTTCCATTGTACAAGGTATCCACAACACGGAACACCTCTCCTTTGTTAAAACTAAGTCCATAGGGAGATTCCTTTTCATATTCAAAATGGGTTCTAATATAGAAAGAATCTCCTACATCTGATTCTACAATGCGACGATAAACTAAAAGGAATAAAAACAAACACATTATCAATATTTAGTGGGATAACAATCTGAAAGACAGTACATTATGTAAAGATGCTATGATAATATCAATAATAATATCCAACAAATTCTTACTATGTGCCAGGTACTGTATTATTTCATGTATTCATCACTGTAAGAATTGAAACTCTTAGTACTTCCATTTTGCAGATGAGGAAACTGATGCAGAAAATACATCAAGTAACTTGTCAAAAGCCACATGCTTGTTTTCTATTATATCATCTAACTTATCTGCAAACATTATAGACATTTCCATATCTAAATCAGCAGTTCTCAAATAAAGGTAATTTTATCCCTCGCCATCCAACATTGGACATTTGCCAATATGCAGTTTTGACTGCCCCATCTGTGTACTGAAAGGGTAAGGGGTGTGTGCTAGTGGCATCTCATCTAGTGAGCAGAGGCTAGGAATGCTCCTAAACATCCACAATACACAGGACAGCCCCTAAAACCACATTATTTGGTCCAAAATGTCAACAGTGCCAAGGCTGAGAAACCTGGCTCTAAGTGAAAATTGTATCACAGAAAAAATGGAGTTTTCTCTTGAATTAATGCTAATAAACATCTGAGTGTATTGCTTAGAAACATCAGTACAAAATCTGAAAGCTGCTCATATATACTTTTGTATGGTTCTGATGGCTAATAAATCAACACTTTCTATCACTTGTAAAGGGTTGGATGGCATTTTATTTAAATTAGAATACTATAAAGGTTAGTCCTATTAGCATGCTCTGCTAATGAGAATCATCTGAAATTCTGTGCTCCTAAATGACTTAGAATTACATAACTTTCTTTGAGATTAACAAATTCATTCATCACTCAACTATGAGTGACTTATTTTTTAAAAATGGAATAAATCCCTTTGTAAGTCCTCAAACTCTACAGGTTTATCTCCTCCATTTTCTGACAGCATCTCACCATCCTTCTTCTTCTGAGCCAATATGGTCACTTCTTCTCCTTTAGGGAGGTCAAGCAGGAAAAGGACGGCTTCTTCTCTTATGATATTTGTAAAATCTACGTTGTTTACCTAATAAATAAGATTTCATAAATCATTCTTGGCTGTTTAAGAATATGAAAATAACATACGCAGGACACAGATACTCTCAGTCTACCTAATTTGAAAATATCACATCTTTTTTTTTTTTTTGAGACAGAGTCTCGCTCTGTCGCCCAGGCTGGAGTGCAATGGCACGATCTCAGCTCACTGCAACCTCCACCTCCCAGGTTCAAGTGATTCTCCTGCCTCAGCCTCCCGAGTAGCTGGGATTGCAGGTGCCCACCACCACACCCAGCTAATTTTTTTATATTTTTAGTAGAGATGGGGTTTCACCATGTTGGGCAGGTTGGTCTCAAACTCCTGACCTCAGGTGATCCGCCCGCTTTGGTCTCCTAAAGTGCTGGGATTACAGGCATGAGTCACCACACCCGGCCGAAAATATCACATCTTTTAAGACCAAAAACTTTATTTTACTTTGGAGAAAAGAATACACTCTAATTTTAAAAAAACAGAAACAAATAAAGTGAGTTAAAGGTATAAATTTATTTAAATAGTATTCAGTGTGTCCTGACATTAAAGATCTGTGTAAAATTTAACCAGTTTAGATGAAAAAAGGTAACTTTTTACAAGTTGCTGAGAAAAAAAATCAAAAGAAAATGGGACTAAAAAGACAATCTGCACTGTAGCAACCCTGTAAGAGCATCTGTGTAATGCAGGCTCAGTGTTTGCCAAGTTAATATTTACTTCTATTAGAAGCTTCTAAATGCCAAAATGAACTTATTAAAATGTCACCAGTGACTGTGTGCAGGATTACAGGCAGGTTTTCTTCTTTCCACCTTTTGGAAATTTTCCAGATTAAAAAAGAAAAAAAAAAACCCTAGAAACAAAAAAACCTGACACGCACCACTTACTTTTATGATACAAAACAAAAGTGAACTATTAAGAAACATTTTTTAGCCAGGCGCAGTGACTCATGTCTGTAATCCCAGCACTCTGGGAGGCCAAAGTAGGTGGACTGCTTGAACCCAGGAGTTTGAGACCAGTCTGGGCCACGTGGTGAAACCCTGCCTCTACAAAAAATACAAAAATTTGCCACGTGTGGTGGCTAATGCCTGTGGTCCCAGCTACTCAGGAGGCTGAGGGGAAGAATGTTTGAGCCTAGGTGTTTAAGGCTGCAGTGAGCCGTGATCACACCACTGCATTCCAGCCTGGGTGACAGTGAGGCGCTGTCTCAAGGAAAAAAAAAAAAAAAAAAGAAAGAAACGTTTAAAAAAATGTATGCCCTGATTACTTCAAAACAGGGTTAAGAGATGGGTAAGAAAATAGGTCTCTTTACTTTCCTTGGTATAGTGAACGTTATTATACATGTTGTATTTAAATGTTTTTGACCTAACTTGATTGACAACAATGTAAACATCATCAGAAAGAATGACCATATCAGATCAGATGGAAATAGGTCTGAAGTCACCATGATGCCTTGACTTTTTGACATGCTAAGTTTGAAGGGAAAAGGAGGAGGATTCAATGAGAAAATGACAGAGCTCAGGAAATTGCTAAGTGAAAAGACTTTGATTACGAGCTGCTCACTTGAGCAACCAAACCCAAGAAAGAGGCAGTGTAGCAAGAGAAGCAGAGAGTTACCAACATTCTCCAAGTTTTAAAAGTATCAGTAAAGAGGCAGGAAAAGAATAAAAAAATGTACCAGAATGGCAGTATTATGGAATCTAAGGAAAAAAGTACTTCAAAAAAGATTAAGACAGTCAAAACGCTGCTAAAAAATAAAGGAAAATGAGGCTTGAGGATGACATTAACTCAGCAATGGCTTATTGAAAACTGAGCTTCAGTGTGGTGAAGGTGGAAGCCAGGCTGCAAAACTGTATGACCACAATGATTGAAAAGAAAACAGGCAAGGGCCTCAACCACATCCTTCAACAAGTTAAACAGCAAAAAAGGACAAATAAGACAGTGGAAGATAGATGAAGAACCAGTGGAGAGAGAAAGACAAGAAAGTGAACAAAGCTACAAGATTCTGGAGCAGACAGGAGGCTGAATCCAGGACACTGGCAAGAGGCAGGCTGAGTACAGAAAGAGACCAGAATAGAGAGGCCACGGCAAAGACTTTGTGGTAGAGAAGCAGAATAAATGTAGGAGCTCACAATGGACAGATACCTTCTGATTAAAATGGGACATAGTTTAATCTAGCAAATCAAATGGAGGTTTGGATATTTTAAAAAGAAACAGGAGACAGATTAAGATGGTACTATGTCACTAGGTGAAACCGTTTATGGGGAAGGAAGGGAGGACTCTATAGACTCTACTGATACTCTGCATCTAACCTGGGCTTTCCTGATTTGTGTAACTAATCCTGTCTCTTGTGGAGTATGAAGTTTCAAAGCCAGGCAGCTTACACATTTGCCTTTGATGTGAATTCCATCTCCCTGTGTCTGAGCCATTATCTGGGGTTAAAAAGGTCCCAGAGGTTGTGTGGATTGCTTCAAGATGACTCATATGGGAGAGGAACACTTGATGTTGCTTGCTGCCAAGTTGTGGCCCATGGCAGAGTCCTGCCAGTCTGAATGTTTAGTTGAACTTCCAAAGACTACCTGGTAGATATTATCATCGGGATATAAGACTTATTTTCTTTTATTTCCATGAACACGAGTGGTAGAAATGAAATGTTACATTCTTTACTAACACAAAATATAGCAGTAAACAAGAGCAAGATACAAGAATGGGAAGTGAGAAGTCCAGCATAAGGTAGACCTGATGGATTTTGACTTTCAAAGTTTAACTGGCTCAATGGAGACTGCTTACAGATTACAATCTAATTACAATAGTAAGCTTGTTGTTTGATACCTTTTTCTGGTGATCCAAATACTTTTTAACCCACATAAGTTGCAATACTGACATACCCTGAGAATTTGATCACCTTCCTCTAAGCCTTCCTTGGCTGCAGGGCTATCTTCTAGAACGCCAGCTACAAATATTCCAACATCATTTCCACCAGCCAGCCGCAAACCCACACTATCTCCTTTTCTGAATTTTACCAATTTCATGCTGGGCCTGTTAAAACAGATATTTCATTTGAAACAGTTAAGAAGAGCTTAAAACGTTATAGCAATCACTACAGTGAAAACTATATTCAGAATTAAATAAAGAACCATCATTTCTAAAACTTCTCTCATACCACTATTTTACTAAATAAAATTTAGTGTTAGAATTCAAATCAGACTTAATAACACTATTTTCTGATTAACAGTTTTGGAATATTCAAATTTAATATGCAAGTACTATTTTACATAACTAATTTATAAAATTACTTTGTAAAACAATGTTTTCTCAACTCTCAAAGAGTTATGGTACATTCCAAATGGCTAAAAACATCTTCCATTTTTTCCACCCCAATTCACACATCATTTCTATTAATAACTGAAAAGTCAAATTTTTTAAAATAAAGGTAGAAATTGAAGTATAAATTGGCTAATTTTCCTAACACGATGGACTCAAAATAAGGCTCCAAGCATTGTGATTTCTACATGTAACAGAGAGTGATTTTTAAAAAAACTTTGCAGTTGGTGGAGTCTTTCAGTAGTTCACAGAGTAGTTCACTTACTCTGCTGCCCCTCTGAGTTTTACAATACAAATCATATAGTCATTCAGCCTTTCTACATTAGCCCCATATCCATTCTGTCCCTTTCTAGTTCTCTGAATGGAAAAAAAAAATAATGCATACACACCCACCTCTAGCATCAGTGTAGTGTTGAAACCTTGTGACACTCCTTAAAACAAATACTAAAGGATGCCTTCTAAGAACTGACTGGATAGAAACAGACTGTAATTAAAAATTACCCACTATATTTCCCTTCTAGGGATTCATAAGTACTCTCACATTCCTAGCAAGAAAATACACTATTTTACCTATTCTGACAAGAAGTGTAGAAAAAAATCCCTATACTCTTTATTATGTAATACTAACCAAATTATTAGAAACTAATAGATAACAATAACAACAACAACAACAAAAAGTCAAATAAATGAATGAAATGTGTTGAGGAAGGAGAGATTTCTAGTCTCTTTAAGCCAACTAAAGAGATCGCCTTAACTTTCAGAACTTACTATTTATTCATTTCTGATTGGGTTACCTGACCTGGAACTAACATCAGCTAGTCATAAAAGTAAGAGCCTGAGAAATCAGATGAGGTCTCTCACTGGCTGGTGGCATCCTTGATCCCTCCATGAAACTATTTACCAGCTTTACTACAAATGGTCCAAGCCCCTTGGTTGTAGTGGTATCCTAGCCAGGTCAAAAGCATTCTCATAGATTCCTCTCCTAAACCCATTGTACTGAAACCTCTTTAAATATTTCCTCAAAGTCCTTAAGACTCCAGGTCTCAGTTGGGTGTGGCAGCTCAAGCCTATAATGCCAGCACTTTGGGAGACTGAGGCAGGAGGACTGCTTGAGCCTAGGAGTTTGTTCCCAGCCCTGATCAACACAGCAAGACCCTGTCACTACTAAAAAAAAAAAAAAAAAAAAAAAAAAAAAAATTAGCTGGGTTTCGTGGCTCGTTGCCTATAGTCCTAGCTACTCCGAAGGCTGAGGTGGGAGGATTCCTCGAGCCTAGGAGTTTGAGGTTATGGTGAGCAATGATCACACCATTATACTCTAGCCTGGGTGACAGAGTGAGGCCCTGTCTCTTTAAAACAAAGCAAAACAAAAACAAAAACAAAAGATAGGACTTTGGAAATCCTCTTCTAACCCTGACCCATCTAATGTGCTTCAAAAAGCAAAAACAACTGAGCACAGTATCCACCCTTTAGTAAAACATGGCTTCTGAAAACCACTGTTAGAAGACAGCTTTAGGCCATATCTCACCAACAGTGTCATGTGCCTTAGATGACTGACATTTTATACTTTGTCCTGCCTGCATTATATTAACTACTTGCAGTAGCAAAACAGACTCACTAACTTCTGCATCAAATCCATTCATTGGCTTTAAATGAAAAACCAAACCTTTCCTGGCACAGCTACTAATCCTGTCCACGTCCTCAAATCTTCCTTGGTATTTGTTCTCCCAGGGAAGGAGGTCTCTGGAATTTTTCTTTTTTCTTTTTTGAGATGGAGTTTTGCTCTGTCACCCAGGCTGGAGTGCAGTGGCGCGATCTCGGCTCACTGCAAGCTCCACCTCCTGGGTTCATGCCATTCTCCTGCCTCAGCCTCCCAAGTAGCTGGGACTACAGGCGCCCGCCACCACGCCCGGCTAATTTTTTTGTATTTTTAGTAGAGACGGGGTTTCGCCGTGTTCAGCCAGGATGGTCTCAATCTCCTGACCTGGTGATCTGCCCACCTCGGACTCCCAAAGTGCTGGGATTACAGGCATGAGCCACTGCGCCCGGCCAGTCTCTGGAATCTTATCATTACAGTTTCCTAAACCTCAAACACTTACACAAGTTTTCAAGCAATTCCCAAGAAAGGAAAAGAAGGGGACTATCTATGCCTGCACAATTTATAAAAGGTTGAATTATCAATTACCTAATATTAAAATTGTACAGTTTTAAACTTGTAAAAACCCCATCTCTTTCAGGAACTACTTCTATCTACCTAGCTGGGTCTAAATCTAACCCACTTGAGGAAATCTGCCAATTTTCTTTTTTTTTTTGAGACGGAGTCTCGCTCTGTCACCCAGGCTAGAGTGCAGTGGTGTGACCTCGGCTCACTGCAAGCTCCGCCTCCTGGGTTCACGCCATTCTCCTGCCTCAACCTCCCGAGTAGCTGGGACTATAGGCGCCCAGCTAATTTTTTGTATTTTTAGTAGAGATGGGTTTTCACCATGTTAGCCAGGATGGTCTTGATCTCCTGACCTCGTGATTCGCCCGCCTCGGCCTCCCAAAGTGCTAGCTTTACAGGCATAAGCCACTGCGCCCGGCCCGGAATTCTGTCAATTTTCAATTATTCACATCATGTCCCCTTTACCAGTGCCAATAAAAAACTAATTTGGGCTGGGTACAGTGGCTCACATCTGTAATCCTAGCACTTTGGGAGGCTGAGGTTGGTGGACTGCTTGAGCCCAGGACTTTTAGACCAGCCTGGGCAATGCGGCGAAACAAAACCCCGTCTCTACTAAAAATACAAAAATTAGCTAGGTGTGGTGGTGTGTGTCCTTTCATCCCAGCTACTCAGGAGGCTGAGGTGGGAGGATTGTTTGAGCCCAAGAGGCAGAGGTTGCAGTTAGCCGAGATTGCACCACGGCACTCCAGCCTGGGCGACAGAGCAAGACCCTGTTTAAAAAAAAAAACTAACCAAACAAACAAAAAACTAATTTGATAATCATGATGGTTTGAAATTTGTTTACAAATTTACATCTCAATTCTACCAAGTATATAATGTAAAGTAATGAAAGGTGTTAAGATAGTAAAAACTTACTTTTGGGTTGCTAACTACCCTAGAACAGGTTCTCAACCAATCTCAACCATGATTTTGCCCCCAAGGAAACATCTGGCAATGTCTAGAGATAATTCTAATTGTCACAACTAGGGGACTGCTACTGGCATCTAGTGGCCAGGATTGCTGCTAAACATGCCACAATGCACAGGACAGCCCCTCACAACAAATGCTTACCTGGCCCAAAATGCCACTAGTGCTGAGATTGAGAAACACTGATTTTTTTTTTTTTTTAATGCTCCATTGGAAAGCTGTGGAAATTCTGATGTCTGAATAGAATTTTTTTTTTTTTCTAATTCCTAATTTAAAAGCTAGGCAGGAGACAGCGGTGAGAAAGAAAGCATCCAAAAAGTTCCTTTGTTGTCTAATTTCTAACTCACTATCATATATAAGTAGCAGAATGTTAAATATAAAAATAATCATAGTATTAGGTGGTATGTACTATTTTAAAAAATATATGCAATATGGTTTACAATTAAATTCCTACTCTGAATAATGTTAATAATGAACAAAGAAAACAATACAACTTTAAAATTGTATTACCGAAGAATCCCATCTTCATGAGTTGAATTAGGTAGGACACCATCAGATGGACTGACAGGTAAATCCACATCTGGTTGCCCAACTTGGGCATACACAGGCTTTGGTTCTAAGAAAAAAAAAATTGAGTAGGACTCACTTTAGAAAAACATGGAATAATAATGCAAGCAACCAAGCAATATATGATTCATAAGTTCAGAGAACCTGATGAGGAACATATCTACCATATGTATTAGAGTACATTTTATAGTAATAAATTCTGAAGTCTTTATAACAAGTAGGTATGTTACACAGTCACCTGTGTTTTCCATAGTTCCAGCAATCAGAATTTGAAAAATCTATTCTTTAAGAACGAATAACAAAAAATAGATATGAGAAGAGAGAATTCCTACACTTCCCAGTTAAGACTGCCAAAGTAGCTACCTTTCCTCATTATGATAAAATGTTTTTAAATAACCATATTTCTGCCACTCAGCAAGCAGAGCAAGAAAGATGATTTGAGAAAAGGAAGTGAAAGACATCAGAAACAAAATCTCCAGGCCTCCCAGGCAACCGATCTTAGCACCTTGCTGATTCTGTTTTGTCTTCACAGACAGCTTTAAAAGGATGCTTGGGTCAGACACAGTGGCTTGCACCTGTAATCCCAACACACTAGGAAGCTGAGGTGGGAGGACTGTTTGAGGCCAGGAGTTGGAGACCAACCTGGACAACAAAGCAAGATTCCATCTCTCCAAAACAACAACAAAAAACAAAGAAAACCCACAAAAAAACCCCAGAAAACCCAAAATAGCCAGGTGCGGTGGTGCACACCTGTAATAGGGAGGATCAGGTGGAAAGACAGCTGGAGCCCAGGAGTTTTGAGGTTACAGCGAGCTAATCACACCACTGCACTCCAGCTGGGTGACAGAGTGAGACTCTGTCTCAAAAAAAAAAACCCAAAGACAATAAATAAAGGTATACTCCATAAAATGTTTATGAAAACACTTTCAAAAAAGCAAAATAACTTTTCTTTTTAAATTTTTGAAGCCAATCTCATGTTTCTCTTTAAGGAGCAGTGTTGGAAAACAACTTTACTAATTGCAAGAAGTTGTTAATGATAAATATTTTCTATCTAGAAAGTAAAGGAAAACATTCATGAAAGGCAACTGATTTGTGCCAACCTGCTACCCATAAGGAAAACGCTGGAAGTCATATGCAGACAAATTCACACATGAGAAGAATAATAATTGCATCTTTAAAATCTTCTGTAAATCCTAACAATTACTTCACTCTACTTGCAAATGTTTCTTGAACTTAGTGTTTCGTTATGCTTACCTGGAAGAGAAGGTGTTTGTTTCTCATTTCTTTCAACTGTAACTTCTTCCACTGTTTTAGGTGTGTGATCATCAGCATGCTTTACAGGAGTTGAGACAGCCCCAGGTTTAGAAATTCTCTCTTCATCTCTACTCCGGAGACTGTGTGTCATTAAAATAAAAAATCAAGAGCATAAGAATGATTCTGGAAAGCATCTGTAAGAGAACAGTATAAGAAGAGGCAATGCAACTTCAAAAACAATGACAACCTGCTCTAACAGATACCAAAATATTGTAAAAACCTAGTAATTAAAAATAGAGCATTACCACAGAAAAACCAAATAGATTCATGTAATAAAATCGAAAATGAAGAAATATATCTATAATAGCAAAATTTATCATGAAAGTAGCATTCCAAACAAAACTGTTGGAGAAGGAACATAACATTTAATAAATGGTGTCGGGACAACTGTCCACAAATGTAGAAAAATTAGATCCGTATGTTTAACAATGACAAAAATAAACTGATTTCAGATGAAATCAAGTCCTAAAAAAAGAGTTTAAACATTCACATAATCAACAGGAGTCTTCTAAAGTAAGACTCAATGAAGCCACAGTATATCAACAAAAGTGATTACATAAAAATAAAGTACGTGCAAATAATTGGGAAACATATATAATACTGGGCTGAACTAAATGAAATGGGAATTCTTTAGTTCAAACAGCTCGATGTTAACTATTTCATACAGTTTAACTAAATACAAATGTTGACTATGTACTGACCTAAGTAACATATATAAGAATTTGGTACTTAAAAAAAGAAAAGACAGGCATGATGGCTCACGTCTGTAATTCCAGCACTTTGGGAGGCCAAGGCAAGAGGACTGCTTGAGCCCAGGAGTTTGAGACCAGCTGGGCAACATAGCAAATTCCATACTCTGTAAAAAAAATTTAAAATTTAGCCAGGCACTGTCACTTGTTCCTACAGTCCTAGCTATTTAAGTGGCTGAGGTGGGAGAATTGCTTGAGCCGAGGAGTTGGAGGCTGAAGTGAGCTATGATAGAGCCACTACACTCCAGCCTAGGCAACAGAACAAGACTCCGTCTCTTTGAAAAAGAAAAAAAGAACTATAAATCAATCAAGACAACTCAAGAGAGAAATGCAAAAATACAAAGAAGCTTTTCAGCAAAAAGGATGTACAAATACGTAATAAATATGCAAACACATTTAACCTCACTAGGAACTAGGGAAATACAAATTAATTAGAAACTGTATTATCGGCCGGGCACAGTAGCTCATGCCTGTATTCCCAGCATTTTGGGAGGCAGAGGCAGGCGGATCACGAGGTCAAGAAATCAAGACCATCCTGGCCAGTAAGGTGAAACCCTGTCTCTACTAAAAATACAAAAATTAGCCCGGCGTGGTGGCATGCGCCTATAGTCCCAGCTACTCGTGAGGCTGAGGCAGGAGAATCAATTGAACCCAGGAGGCAGAGGTTGCAGTGAGCCAAGATCGTGCCACTGCACTCCAGCTTGGTGACAGAGCAAGACTCTGTCTCAAAAAAAAGAAATCATATTATCATCCATGAGAACTTTCACATGATAACATCACTGGTAGGGAAAGATATGGAGAAACAGACATATTCACAAAATGATGGTAAAAGTGTATGACTATTTGAAGGCAAAATGGAAATTATCAAAACAAAAAATGTAACTAGGTCATACACTATAATTCCACTTCTATATTTATTCTAGAGAAATACAAATGTACTCAAGAAAACATTTATAAGAACATTCATTCTAGTATCAGTTTTAGTGGCAAGAAACAAAATAAAACTAAATGTTCATTAATAATTTCCCCAGATAAACAGAAATCATAAAGTGTACCAAGACAATATATATTTTAAAAGAAGCCAATAAATATATCTTGAATAAAAAGATAAATCAAGATCTATAATTTTACAAAGTATCACGTATATATGGTTTTACAGCTGCATTCTCCCAACCTCGGAAAAACAAAATAATTTGTTTAATTATCCTGGACCACAGAAAAATATAAAAAGCTCTCTAATTCACTTAAAAAAAAACTTTATTTCCAAACATATACAGCCATACAGAGAACAGTATCATAAAACCCCATGTACTCATCGTCGACAATTATCAATACTCTAGTCATCAGCATTCCAATCTGAGGCTACCAGAACCTTTAACATCCAAATCTTGATGACAAGAGTACAAAGAGAGAAAATAATATATTTTTCATTATGAATGGAGGAAAAAATTCTAAATAAATAAAATACTAGCTAGGAGAATACAGTAGTGTATTAGAAGACTATCATCAGGGTTATTTCAAGGGTGCAAGATTAGTTCGACATTAGGAATTTACTGACACAATTCATTATTATGCACAAATATTTACAGAAAAAAGTGTTAATATCAAACTGGCATGAGAAAATTTGCAGTCATTCCTAAACAAAAACTGAAATAAGCAATATAATTATGAAAGAAACTATTTTCTAAAACCAAGAGCAAACATCCTATCAAATAGTGAAATGCTGAATGTATTTACACTATTTACACCAAACTCAGTAACAGGACAGTGATACCTGTGAACACTACTGTTATTCACTCTGATTTTGAAGACCCAGGTAGTATAATCACGAGCTAATGGTCCCAAAATATTGAAAAAAAAAAAAAAAAAACTTAATGAATATTAAAGACTACTGAAAAATTTCCTGAATTAAGATAATTTTAATTACATAAAAAAATCTTTTGTCAATATCGTCAACAATCAGATGGAAATGAAAGGGAAAAAATAACACCAGTAACAAGAACATTAAACATTCTAAAACTTTAGACTGGGGGAAGCCTTTGCAAGTAGGATAGAAATTCGGAAGCCATAAAGGCAAGATAAAAATATCTGACAAGATTAAAAACTTTTACTTGCACAGGAAAAGATATTATAAAGACTTACATTTGAAACACAGCTATATCAGTAATCTGGTACTAGCCATTAAAAATTTTGAACAACACAAACACACTCTTTAAGGACTTTAGAAATAAAATGCACCAGCACAGTACATGAAATCAGGTACGAAGGTGCTTACTGCCATGTTTTCGCAGGCAAATACCTAGAAACAAGATGTCCATAATACGGAAAGTTTCTTATCAAAAGAATAAACTGGATGTTCACCTTGTATTGTTCAACTGAAATAATTTAGCTGAGTAATAATTCAAATCCTGATCTCTTAATTATTAAAAGAAAAACCCAAACCCTATATATGATACCAAATGTCAGTACGAGTCTGGAGAATGGCTTAATTCAAGAAGAGTGAGAACTGGGGGTGAACTGGGGGTGAAGTGGAGTTGGTGGATTTGATCTATTTCACTTGTTCTAATAAGCATGCATTGTTTGTAAAAGACTATTAAAATTAGGTGTAATGAAATAGAATGATATGTACAGACATGAAAACTTTAAAACGGCTGGGCGCAGTGGCTCACGCCTGTAATCCCAGCACTTTGGGAGGCTGAGGCGGGCGGATCACAAGGTCAGAAGATCGAGACCATCCTGGCTACGGGTGAAACCCTGTCTCTACTAAAAATACAAAAAAAATTGGCTGGGCGTGGTGGCGGGAGCCTGCAGTCCCAGCTACTCTGGAGGCTGAGGCAGGAGAATGGCGTGAACCCGGGAGGCGGAGCTTGCAGTGAGCCCAGATGGAGCCACTGCACTCCAGCCTGGACGACAGAGTGAGACTCCGTCTCAAAAAAAAAAAAAGAAAGAAAATAACTTCAAAACAAAATGCCAAATAAGACACACAGATTACAGAATACATATAGCAGGATACCATATAGCTATTTAAAAACTTTTCTCTAAAATATAAACAGACATGTTTGCACATGCCCATGTACAGACAAGCAACAGATACCAAATAAGCAACAGTGGTTCACCTTGGAGGGAAAAATAGCCAAAATAGTAGCCAAGAGGAATTTTACAGTTATCTCTACTATTTCAACTTTTACAAAAATTTACTTATTATAATAAAGATTGAAAAAATATATTTAAAATTATTTTTAAAGACTAACTTTAAACATAAAATTTGGTTTTATTAACGTATATTATTAGTAGTCTCTTTTCAGGAAAAGGTTTCTTTCTATGTTGTCTTCCTGAAGGAATAAAAAATAAGTACTTTGCATAGTTTCTATTTTTGTATTCTTTTAACCATTCTGTGGAGGTGTATTCTACTTTTAAGTTGGTATATTCTTAATGAGCTGCACTGAAGTAGAACAATCTTTTAGGAAAAAAAAAAAAGCCAAGATATTTTCTAGCTCAAACAAGGATGAGCTACTTTTAAATTGGAAAAGATTGGCCGGTTAAATATGCAAATGATGTTTAACATGAAACATCACTCCTGTAATCCCAGCACTTTGGGAGGCCGAGGTCGGTGGATCACCTGAGGTCAGGAGTTCGAGATCAGCCTGACCAACATGGTGAAAACCCCTCTCTACTAAAAAAACAAAAATTAGTTGGGTGTGGTGGCACGCACCTGTAATCCCAGATACTTCGGAGGTTGAGGCACAAGAATCGCTTAAACCTGGGAGGCAGAGGTTGCAGTGAGCCGATATTGCGCCACTGCACTCCAGCCTGGGCAAGACAGCGAGACTTTGTCTCAATAAATAAATAAATAAATACAATAAATTGTAAAAGATCAAAATTTTTAGCCGTTACTTGTGTAATAAAATATCACAATTAGCTAAGTATAAATCAACAAAATTAAGCTCTATCCCCAAATTGTGCTGTGCTCCTCAGATTAAAAGGGAAGTGCAAAATAGTAAATTATCCCTGCATTGTTTGCATTAAAAAATATGATTAATATATTATAAATACAAAATTATTTTTAAAAAGAGAAAAGTGAAAAAATAAGTTAAAATGAGTATTTTTAAAGAGAATGAGTTACCCACAAAATTTTAATAGTTCTACAGATTTCTATTGCTCTGTACAAAGCAGAATTTGTTTAGAAAAGGTAAGAATTCCAATTAATTTTCTTCTTTCTTGTAACTGATCAAAACTTCTAAAAATTAAAATGTGATTAACAGACATTACCATCTTGGTATTTTAACTTACAATATTTTAACTCAAATGCTCTCCTCAATGATAAACGATAGGTCGTCATTGGCTATACATGTAGGGCTCTTGCTCCATATATCACACAAAACTTCTGGGAGTATTTTTATCTTTGGCCAATTTGCATACCCCATTGCTAATTACCTTTTTGTCCTGTGATACAATCATTATAACATTAAATGCAATTAGCCTTCCAAAACAACATTTCACATAAATGGGACTCACACCATTCTATTCAATTTTTCATACAATTAATATTTGAAATATTAGCTTTTGTTAGTGCATTTCCATTATCTACCAAAAGATGGAGGCATTTTTCAATAATACATAAAGATCTAGAACAGTACTGTTTAAGAGAATTATAAAATGAGCTGCTTACGTAATTAAAAATTTTCTAGAATCCATGTTAAATAAAATAAGGCGAAATCAATTTATAAATTTTATTACTCAATGTATCTAAAGTAGTATTTCATCATCTAAGTTATTAATGAGGTATTTTACATTTTTTGCATACTGTGTTTTCAAAATCCAATGTGCATTTCACACTAACAATACACCTCGATTTGGACTGGCCACATTTCAAATGTTGAACAGTGACATGTGGCTACTGGCTATGGTGTTGGACTATGCAGATCTAGAGTTACAGCACAAAATAAAATAATCAACTTTTCCAAACATTAAAATGTTCTTTCACAAGCAAATGTGACTATGAAGTCAAGATAAAATCTGAATTTACACATGAAATTAGTCAACAATCAGTGGCAATTATTGAAAGAAATTGTGAGGTTGTGATAATGAATCACATTTTTCCCAAACCTTCCTAATTCTTTTTTTTTTTTTTTTTTTTTTTTTGAGTCAGGGTCTCAATGTTGCCCTGGCTGGAGTGCAGTGGCACAATCATACTTCACTGCAGCCTCAACCTCCCAGGCTCAAGCAATCCTCCCACCTCAGCCTGCAAGAGTAGCTGGACTACAGATGCGTGCCACCATACCCTGCTAACTTTTTCTACTTGTTGTAGAGATGGGGTTTCGCTATGTTGCCCAGGCGAGTCTCGAACTTCTGGGTTCAAGTTATCCTCCTACTTCGGCTTCCAAAAGTGCTGGATTACAGGTGCAAGCCACCATGCCCAGCCCTTCCTCACATAATTCTATCCTAATGGCTCTCCATATTTAAGCTTAAAAATGTGTGTGTGTGTGTGTGTGTGAGTGTGTGTGTGCGCGTGTGCGTTTGCTATTATGAGGAAAGCTTTCTATAAAAATTATGTGTTCGGAGTCAGGTTCATGTTTACGTATTCCAGCTCCTGGTAGCCTAGAAGGAAACTTTGGGCATTTTAAGGTACCTCAAGATCCTCTTATGGGCACTTTTGCTTTTCCCCAGAAGGGTAAGACGAGTTTCTGTTGTTTTTTTTTTTTTGTATTAACTTGCACGTATTAATCTAAAGGTAATGACCTTGTTATCTGGAGGCTATGAGCTAGTTGAAAGCTCTAGACAAGACAGCTGACAAAGATGGACTGGAAAGGAGTCTCTGAGAGAGATTTTATAGGTCACATGAACGGACTCACTGTTAAGCAGAGCCTACTTTAGGTCTTACCCAATCAAATGTGTGACCAGTGTAGCCGATTAATACACACTCAATTAGATTAGCAAGGAGTAACATGCTGTTTCAAGTAAAAAACTTTGGTTGTGAAATTGCAGCTGTTTGGAGCCATTTAGTAGAGGCAGAGGGCATGCAGCATGGTCAGTACAGGGTCCTGGGGAGACGCTGTAGGAGAGAAGGTGCATCCCCTCAGCATGCTCCTGCAGTGCCCAGCATCCTAAAGTACTCGGTGGCCAGCAGCCTGCTCCAGAGACTCTCTCAAACGGTTCTGTTGTGTGAAGTCTCCCATGAGATACCTCCCCAGCACATGGGAGTACAAATACCATGCAAGTTCGTCTGGTGACATACCACAGCAAATTCTCGGCCACTCAGTGAGCACCGTTGTTCCCTTTCCAAGAAGGCCAGATCTCAGCCCTGAGGATGAGTGAGTGGGAGCCTCTTCCTTTGGCACTCTATCTCAGCACCAAGGAGAGTAGCTGCTCCTTCTATCTGTGGTTCTTTTGTGCTTTGTTTTTGAGACGGAGTCACGCTCTGTCACCCAGGCTGGAGTGCAGTGACGCAATCTCGGCTCACTGCAACCTCCGCCTCCTGGGTTCAAGTTATTCTCCTGTCTCAGCCTCCTGAGTAGCTGGGATTACAGGAGCATGCCACTGTGTCCGGCTAATTTTTTTTTTTTTTTGAGACTGAGTCTCGGTCTGTCACCCAGGCTGGAAGTGCAGTGGTGCGATCCTGGCTCACTGCAAGCTCCGCCTCCCGGGTTCACGCCATTCTCCTGCCTCAGTCTCCCGAGCAGCTGGACTACAGGCACGTGCCACCACGCCCAGCTAATTTTTTGTATTTTTAGTAGAGACAGGGTTTCACCGTGTTAGCCAGGATGGTCTTGATCTGCCCTCGTGATCAGCCCGCCTCAGCCTCCCAAAGTGCTGGGATTACAGGCGTGAGCCACCACGCCCGGCCTAATTTTTTGTATTTTAGTAGAGACAGGGTTTCACCGTGTTGCCCAGGCTGGTCTTGAACTCCTGAGTTCAGGCAATCTGCTCGCCTCGGCCTCCCAAAGTGCTGAGATTACAGGTGTGAGCCACTGCGCCCAGCCCTATCCGTGGTTCTTAATCTTCAGAGCTCTCTTTAGTTCTTACCAGTCAATCCCTCATTACTCCTGTTATGTTTAATTTCTTTACATTCAACTTTCTCTGTTCATGGAAACTGTGCTTTCTGTCTCCTGATTGATAAGATATGCCTGGTCGCCATTTCATAGCCCTTTCCCTCTTACTTCTAGCTCTATGAACACCTTTCCAATCAACTTGATGTGCCTTATTTTAAAAATAACCTTAATACAGGAAATAAATGAAGCGCTGAACATTCACTCTAGTAGAATATCCTTTTATAAAGCCAACTCCCCATTACAAATTAAAGACTTATACTACAAAAACGGATTTATACATACTTTTCACAAGTTCATTAATTGCATAAGGTAGGCAAGAACACCACAGTTTAGGTTGAAAACAAAAGCTAGCTACTAATCCCTTTAAAAGGCATTGGATTATCTCAACCACAATTAACAATAAAAATATGCTAAGAATTTAAGTTAACTGTATTCCAAAGTTTTTTCCACTGACAGGAAAATTTCAGCCTGGAAGGCTCTATTGCAAAAAGACAGAAAAGTGAAGGCACACTCCAGTTTCATACTTAGAATGTTGCAATCACTGCTAATCCTCTGATTTTATATGGAAACAAATATATACACATTGAAGTTCCCCCTTCACAACGATTAAAAAATGGTCTCTCTCTGCACTGGTACCCAAAGAATTCTGGGGATGAGAAAGCAAGAGATACAGGGCTGGTACTTGGGAACAAAAGGTAAAAAAGTTGCCCAGGAAGTATGCTGAGAAGGCAGGAAAATAATTACCTTAATTCCACTTTGTCATTTTGTAAGCTAATTTCTCACAATGTAAATCTGTCCTTTACATGTAATCTGCTTTCTAAAACATACATGTGTTCATGAGCATGCTTCTGAAAAAATCTGAGTCTATTTCACTGTGATATTGTTTTTAGGCAATAATTTAGATGTATGTGTTTGTGGAGCTTATTCTTCTGTACAAGTGCTTCTCATCTTAAACATTCATCTATTAATCTAGTCCATCCGCATTAGAAGAAAAACAGGTCTGTGGTTCAAAAGTAATTTTCATGGATATGGACAACTTTTAGTAAGAAACAACTGAGGAAAGCCCAAGAGGACTTTTGTCTCACTTAAAGAATTGTGTTGTTACACCTTCATTGGTGGTATAATGATTATTCTGTACTTTGACTAATACTTATGACTAACATAGCACTTTGTGCAGTTTATTTGGTAGATTTTATAGTGGGAGACCAATGTCACAAATCTTATTAGGATTCTCTCAGAGAAAACAGAAAATTGTCTCACATTTAAAAAATCTGCAAATAAGTTTTTTTGTATATTTACTATTTTAGACAAGTGGAGCAGTTTGTTTTTAAATTTGCCATTTTTAAATATTGTACTTGTAGAAGAAAACAAATCTCAGCTGATGGAGTAAATAAACTTTATACTTTTACTTTTTATTTTTGTACTACTTATTTTTGAGACAGGGCCTTGTTCTATTGCCCAGGCTACAGTTCAGTGGCGTGATCATGGCACACTGCAGCCTCAACCTCTTGGGCTCAAGCAGGCGATCCTTCCACCTCAGCCTCCTGAGTACCCAGGATCACAGATGTGCACCACCACGCCCGGCTAAATACACTTTTTTTTTTTTTTTCCCCCAGACGGAGTCTCGCTCTGTCACCCAGGCTGGAGTGCAGTGGCATGATCTCGGCTCACTGCAACCTCTGCCTCCCAGGTTCAAGCGATTCTCCTGCCTCAGCCTTCCGAGTAGCTGGGATTATAGGCACACGCCACCACGCCTAGCTAATTTTGGTATTTTTAGTAGAGACTGGGTTTCACCATGTTGGCCAGGCTGGTCTTGAACTCCTGACCTCAAGTGATCTTGCCCACCTTGGCCTCCCAAAGTGCTGAGATTACAGGTGTAAGCCATCGTGCCTGGCCTACTTTCACTTTTTAAACGGGATATATGATAAATATTGAAGCCTGCCTTTCTGCTATTTGATCCATGATCTCCTCTTAAGGGTTAAAATCTAACAGCAATCACTGAATACCCCATGACTACACTTGGGTTTCCATTAACTAGAGAAACTTAATCAACTAAAATCTTCCCTCTTTTGGCCCCTCACAAAAGCACACTGAAAATAAAACCTCACATTGGAATTTCAATGAAGTAACCTGAAATCCCCTCAAACTGAAAATAACAGTTCGTTCACAAAAGTTCAGGATGTCATCGATATTCCACTCACTTTGAAATGTTAGATAAAACATATTAGCAAAAAAGCATTTAATAACATTTCAAGTAATAAACAACATTAAAAAAACTTTCATGTTCTAACCAAATTTTTTAAAACAGAAAAAATTCACTTCTTGGATCTCCAAATCACTTTCTCCCTTGCTCTTATGATGTAGCCACATGGGCTATATTGCTGCCCTTCCAGTAGGTCGAGTTTCCATCTCAGGAGCAGTACACGCTTTGCCTTATTCCAGAATGACCTTCACCTGCCAGGGTCTTTCTTACCCAGTTCAAAATGATGTGACCTCAGAGAAGCTTTCTTCCCTGAGCCTGTTATTTAATATTGTCCCCTCCTGCTTCACTATTACACTACCCTGATTCTCTTTATAGCATTTAACCACTAACGAAAATTTACTTTTTGTATTTTCAAATTTATGTATTTGCTTTGGATATAGAGCTTACATCCAAATGATAGCAGGGATCTTGCCTAAGATTGCTCAGGATATGGCCAGGCGCAGTGGCTCACGCCTGTAATCCCAGCACTTTGGGAGGCTGAGGCAGGCAGATCACGAGGTCAGGAGATCGAGACCATCCTGGCTAACACAGTGAAACCCCGTCTCTACTAAAAAACACAAAAAATTAGCCAGGCGTGGTGGCGGGTGCCTGTAGTCCCAGCTACTCAGGAGGCTGAGGCAGGAGAATAGCGTGAACCTGGGAGGCGGAGCTCGCAGTGAGCCGAGATCGTGCCACTGCACTCCAGCCTGGGAGACAGAGCAAGACTCTGTGTCAAAAAAAAAAAAAAAAAAAAAAAAAAGATTGCTCAGGATATTTATCGCCATACACTGATAACATATATGTGACATTAGTAAGTATTTGGCAAAGGACGAATGAGCAGGATAACATCCACATTACTGGTAAAATCTTTCAACCTTCACTACAGAAGGAACATTCACTGTGGTGCCGCCTGTTGATCACTCAGAACTATGCACATTGGTCACGGTGTAAGGTACAGGAGCCACGGGAAAGAAGTCACTGATTCGACTCGCTGATTAACCATTGAAATACTTAATGAATCATATCTTTCTAACTGGCACCCTTTCTATCTTTCTCAGATGAAAGGGAAACAGAAAAAAAAAAAAAAAACAAAGGTAAAGGACCTCATGGTGAGCCTAAAAAAGAACACGTAGTACTACCAACACCATGTTCACTACCAACAATATATGTAATTCTTGTTTAGAATAAAGCACTTATCAAATTGGAGTTATGAAATTTATTTAGACAAAAGACTAACACCAATGATCAGTAAATAAAATCTGAAACTCACCAATCAGGGTATATACCCAAGGAATATAAATCATTCTACCATAAAGACATATGCAAACAAATGTTCACTGCAGCACTATTCACAATAGCAAAGACATGGAGTCAACCTATATGCCCACCAATGACAGAGTGGATAAAGAAAATGTGGTACATATACACCATGGAATACTATGCAGCCATAAAAAAGAACATGTCTTTTGCCAGAACATGAGTGGAGCTGGAGGCCATTACCCTTAGCAAACGAATGCAGGAACAGAAAACCAAACACTGCATGTTCTCACTTGTAAGTGGGAGCTAAATGGTAAGAACTTACGAACACAAAGAAAACAACAGGCACTGGGGTCTACTTGAGGGGGGAGGGTAGGAGGAGGGAGAACAAGAGAAAACTATTGGATACTGGGTTTAACATCTGGGTGATGAAATAGTACGTACAAAACACGATGACACATGTTTACCTACGTAACAAACCTGCATATGTACCCCTAAACCTAAAAGTCAAAAAAATTAAAAAGAAATTCACTAGTCAGAAGATCGTTACCTCTCCACATTTGAAATAGAAAAAAAAATGCTCATCAATATTAGGATGTTTCAACAATAATTTTTAGCCTATTGGCAAAGTTGCACAGGTTAAGCATCCCTTGCCTAAAATGCTTGGGACCAGAACTGTTTTGGATTTCGGATTTTGGAATATGTGCATCATACTGGTTACCCATTGAGCAGCCCTAATCTGAAAATGCAAAGTCTGAAATGCATTTCCCTTGAGCGTCATGTTGGCACTCAAGTTTTGGATTTTGGAGCATTTTGGATTTTGCACTTTCAGATTACCTACGCTCAACCTGTATGTAAGTTTCAGAGAAAATTAAGCAATATGTGACAGAAACTATATACAGTAAGATGAAATAATATTTATAGTTCTCAAATGCTGACGAAAACAATTATGGAAGGTAGAGGAAAAGGTGTGTAAATAAAAAACTAGATCTTTAATTTAAAAGCTAAGACCACATAAGGATATTTTAATCAACAATGGACCCCACAGACAATAGTGGTCCCTGAAGATTAAAATACTGTAGTTGTACTGTCCTTTCCTACGTTTAAGATACACAAATGCTAACTGCTGTTTCAACTGCCTACAGTATTTGGTACAGTAACCTGCTGTACAGGTTTGTAGCCTAGGAGCAATAGGCTACACCATATAGCCTGGGTGTGTGGCAGGCTCTACCACCTAGGTTTGTGTAAGTACACTCTATGATGTTCACACAAGGATGCATTTCTCAGAAGGTATCCCCATCAAGTGACACGTGACTGCACATTATATGCTCTACCTGCATGTTTATTTGGACTTACTCAGCACTCTTGGAAAACTCCTAATATGGAGTGGATTGTATAGATAAGAGGTTTTGATCCCAAATATATGATCTTAACTTGGCCAAACGTGAATTTAGGCTAAAAATTTCTGATTCAGAAAATTCAATTTTACTGTCATGTATTTGCTGTATCATAAGCTGTATCAATGCTGACACACCTTTTACTTTAGAATTCAGTAGAGGCATTTCTCAGGAGGAACAATGAATGAAGAGATTAAATAACTGTTACAAAGTTTCAATCTTCTGAAAACACTGCTTTTAAGTTTCTCAGAACTAACCATTTTCGTAAAATGGATTTGCTAAATATAAACTGGACTGTTTTTCTATTTGTGAAAACACATTCCCCAAACACTTTAGAAAACAGTTTAGGCCTTAGATGAACTCTGTTGGTTTCAGGGAATGAGTGTAACAAATGTAAATGGGTAGAATGCCAAATGTAAATCTTGACAATCCAAATTTCCCACATTTCAATTTCATCCTGTTAGTCTGAACTTTTACTGTAATAGAATTTTTTCAATATTGTACCTGCTTATGACTAATCATGCTCACTTTTATAAAAATTTATAGAATAAAAAAGGTAAACACCTGTTGTTCCCTCTAACATACAATGTTAGAGGGAAACATAAAATGGGTCTGTTAAAATAGCTGTAAATATGAGGAAGAATACAATCTAACCAAGCAGAGGCCTAGATCATACCCTGCAAATCAAATACTCTCTACTTATGCAGGGACTACAGGAAGATCAGTGAAATCTCTTTTCAATGATACCCACTCAGTAATCACCAAGAAGCAAAGTGTCACCATCAACTGTGGGCTCTCTCAGTATTCCCAGCTCCTACAGCCCAAGTCTTGGCCCAGACTGGGCTCTGCAACAATACTAAGTGAAATACAAAACAAAGCAAACAAGCCCAGCAACAAGCATCAAGTTATAAGAAAACCACTGTAATTATTTTCCCTATGTATATGTATTTTTTGAATTTAAAAACAAAACTATTTTAACATTCCAGACAAAGCATTTGGAAACTTTTTCTGTAATTGACTCCCTTGGCCATATAGTCTCTCTTATAACTTCTTGATTATGCCATTGTGGAATGGGTTTCCAATAAAACTTTACAAAAGGAGGAGGCTGGATTTAGCCCACACAGTGCAGTCTGCCAACTCCAGTTCTAGACAACAGTGAGGATACTTTGTTCATCTAATTATAATGAAGAACAAGCTTGTGTGTTTTTCTCAGAATTCTCTCCATATGTTTGCTCTCTAAGAAAAGAATATCACACAGAGGAACATAAGTAGGTCATGACAACAATGGAACGCTGGTAGATTTTAGTTTCCTGAAGATTAAGTAGTAATTAAGCTATGAAATTTCTTTCTCTACACCAGTAAGGTCAAAGATTTGGGTCAAAGAGCCAACAGTTTTAATCCTGGCCCCAATCCCAGGTCAACAACATAACCCTGGACTTTATTGCAACCTCTCAATTTTAGTTTGCTTAACTATATAGAATGAGGAAATCTCAGAAAATGGTTAAATACAAGCAGATAAGAAAGCACATTTGGAAATTCTAACTTATGATACTATTATTACTACTATGAATCACCATAATAATTACAGTAGCGAACACATGTGCCAGGTATTGTAATAACTAATTTCTCACCATTCTGTAACGTATGACCTGCCTGCTTCACTGCATATGGGGATGCTGAAACACAGAGGTTTCAAGGTTATGCAAGTAACCAAAGGCAGGCTGGGACATGAACCCAGGAAGTCCGGCTCCAAAGCCCTAAGAATTCACTATATTCTATCACTTCTCACAAAATGAAGATGAAGAGGTTATTATTCTCAGCAGATAATCGCACATCCTAAAAATATACAAAAGTATTCAGAAATCTAGGAAGAGAACAGGGCAGGGCTGATGTTTGCCAAGACAGACTTCCTTTTACACTCAAGTGAAACCTTTCTCACAGAGACCAGGTCATTTTTTTATCACTTCTTTAAAGATAATTTACATACAATTTGTAAAACAAAAAGACACTTATACAGCCAAAATTAAATAAAAAAAACAAAAGACTATATATGGAAGTCCTTTAGTGTTTTTTTACACTAGCATTTTACTCTTATAATGTATCTAAGTTGTTTCTCAAAATGCAGGGAATGCTCTAAATTAAAACTCCACAGTTACAGGATTTGAAGATTCAACTTTGGGGTGGAAATGAAACCTTTAAGCAACTGGTACTATTTATATCTTGTCTGTAGGCAGATTACTAAATTTTCAGGAATTAAATTCTCACCACAAAAAATATGAAAAGAACCTGAAGAGATTTTTCCTTCTGTAGTTGAAGTTACCTTTTCTTTTATACACTATACTTTCTAACCATTAGTTCCCACATCTAGCAGTGCACATAAGAGAAAGATGCCAGGAGCTTAAAAACAAAAAAATACAGTTGACCCTTGAAGAGCATGAGATTTAACTGTGTGGGTCCACTTACACTCGAATTTTCTTCCACCTCTGCCACCCATGATACAGAAAGACCAACCTCTCCTATTCCTCAGACGACTAAATGTGAAAACAAGGATGAAGGAAATGAGCAGTGAAGGAAAACGAGGATGAAGACCTTTATGATGATCCACTTTCACCTAATGAACAGTAAACGTATTTTCTCTTATGATTTTCTTATTAACACTTTCTTTTCTTTAGCTTACTTTAAGAATACTGAATATAATACATCTAACCTACAAACTTTGTACTGTTTATGTTATCAGTAAGCTTCCACTCAACAGTAGGCTATTAATAGTTAAGTTTTTGGGAAGTTAAAAATCACAGGTGGATTTTTGACTGTGTGTCGGGGGTGAGAGGGAGGTTTTGGTCCCCCCTAAACCCCAGGTTGTTCGAGGGTCAAATGTATTGCCTGCTTCCGTCTCAGATCAACTGAAAGCAAGCCCCAGAAGTTTGTATTTTTAAAAGCTCCCATATTACTGGTGCTACCCATGAAAATACTTAAGATACCTAGGAGAAAAAAAAATCACAATATAACACAAAAATAGTAATTTTAGGGGGGAAAAACCCTCCACTTTTAAGTTAAGGTTACAGATTCTAAGTGCTGAGGAACTCTAAATGAAGAAAGTGGACATCAAAAAGAATTTTCTAAGATTGAAAATTTTTTACAATCTAAACTAATGGCCCAACATTTGAGATTTTGATTCAGATTGCGTTATTTAAAAGGGGAAATCATGTCCAAATTACTTAAGCATGGTTTCTAGCTGAGAAATAGATGTTAAAATTACAGCTGCTCCCGTGAATCATCAAAGGTGCTATATCACTGTGTGTGTGTATGTGTTGCGGCAGTAATCCTTTTCCTGATAACAATCTATGCTGTGCCAGGAAGATTTTTAGAATATATTAACTGCAGCAATTAAAAATCATCATCAGTTATAAGATAAGCCAACTTTACACGTAACATGCCATAATATTCCTTTAAAAAATCATTACATCCTTAAAATAAACACCAGGGTTCTCATAATTTATAAATCTAGGTTTGAAATTTAGAAATAATCAGCTTCACAAATACATAAAAACTACAGTAGATACGAATTAGCAACCACATTCATAGCTCTTACAAGTTATCCTCTTCTCTTACTAGTTCCCATTTTAGTAGAATGCGAAACACTTTACAGTTTTAACTACCACTGTCACTGCGGTTTTTTACAAACTTTAAAAAAGCTCTCTCCTGGCTAGGTACGCCTCCCTTTTCTTACTTCTCCCTCGCCTCTTCACCTTCCTAAAAGAACGTGCTCCCTGTTATCCAGTTCTCTGCCTTCTTTCCAAACTGTTTCTCTTAGCAATTTTAGTGACTTCTATGGCTTCAGCTAACACCTCTATGCAAGTTAAGTCTCAATTCAACATCTCTAATCCTAAATCATCTCTTCAGATCTAGACCCAAATTTACTTTTTCTTTCCAGCTTTACTGAGGTCCAATTGACAAATAAACATTGTATCTATTAAAGGTGTACAACAGTGATGTTTTGATATACATATTCAAATGATGACCGAGACCAAGTTAATTAACATATCCATACCTCATAGTTACTTTTCTTAGTGTGTGTCAAAAGAATGCCTTAAGATCTACTCTCTTAGCAAATTTCAAGTATACGTTATTAACTCTTGTCACTACACTGTAAATTAGGTCTCCAGAACTTACTCATCTTATAATTGAAACTGTGTACCCTTTAACAAACATCTCCCCATTCCTCCCCACCCCTAACCCCTGGTAACCACCATTCTACTGTCTGTTTCTATGAGTTCAACTTGCTTAGGTTCCACAGTAAGTGAGGTCATGCAGTGTTTGTCTTTCTGTGTCTGGTTTATTTCACTTAGCACAATGCCCTCCAGGTTCATCCATGTTGTTCCAAATGGCAGGATTTCCTTCTTTTTAAAGGCTAAATCACATTTCATTGTGTGTGTGAACATTTTCTTTATCCATTCATGTGTTCGACATTCAGGTTGACTCCATACCTTGGCTATTGTGAATAATGCTGCAACAAACATGAGAGTGCAGATATCTCTTCGAGACAGTGATTTCATTTCCTTTGGATATGTACCCAGAAGTGGAATTGCTGGATCATGTGCTAGTTCGTTCTGGTTTTAATTTTTTGAGGAACCTCCATACTGTTTTCCAGAATGGCCGTATCAATTACATTCTCATCAACAACGTATAAGGGTTCCCTTTTCTTCTAAACTGTCTCTTCAGCCCTGGACTCATGTTTCAAGTGATCTTCATGTGGACTGCAGTTAACCATGGGTCAGGTGGTGGCCTATAGAGCCTTGGGAGTCTCCAGAAATTGTATGCAATTGCTGCGTGTATGTGCACATGCACATTTTTCTGGAGAGAAGGATCATAATTTTCTTCAGATTCTCAAATGTACGTGTGACTCTAAAGAAAGATAAACTCAGGTAGGTCATATACTACCAGTATACCAGAACCTTTGGCATAAATACTAGTGTTTTGTTTTGTTTTTGAGAAAGAGTTCCGCTCTGTCACCAAGGCTGGAGTGCAGTGGTGCGATCTCGGCTCACTGCAACCTCCGCTTCCCAGGTTCAAGCAATTCTCATGTCTCAGCCTCCCGAGTAGCTGGGATTACAAGCATGTGCCAACACTACCTGGCTAATTTTTGTATTTTTAGTAGAGACAGAGTTTCACCATGTCGGCCAGGCTGGTCTTGATCTCCTGGCCTCAAGTGATCCGCCTGCCTCGGCCTCCCAAAGTGCTGGGATTACAGGTGTGAGCCACCGCGCCCGGCCAACACTAGTGTATTTTTAAAAGAGAAAACAAAGTCCAGGTTAATGTGTTTATTAAAGGACTTCTGTAGTTAACTTTCCCAAGCAGTAGATTTCTGAAGCTTGCTAGCATCTTCTAATGCAATAGTATGACAAACTGCAGCTGCGGATCAACCGCTTTTGTAAATAAAGTTTTATGGGAACATAGTCATGCCCATTCATTTACACATTGTCTATGGTTGCTTTTGCAGTTGAGCAGTGAAAAGAACTATATGGCCTGCATGATTGAAATATGTTTACTATCTGGCCCTTTAAGGGAAAGTTTGCGGTTATTTTAGATTTAAAAAATGTCTAAGTTGAGAAAAACAGATCTAATCTTGAATAATCAAAAGAAATACATCTTTTAATTTTATTTGTAAGCAATTTCAGATACTGGTATCAAGCAAACAAAACCCCTGTATTTTTTAAAAAAATAGGGTGTCTTACCTGCCATTGCTTGGCTGCTGCGGCGAGTGCCTGGAATGATCAGAAGGCTCTGACCGCTGGTCAGGAGATCGTGACCGGCTGCGGCGGGGAGGCCTATCGTGTGATCGACCAGAATGATCTGATGCCAGTGACTGAATTTCTGAAATGTCTGTTAATAAAAGGGTGCTACTTATTTTCCCACAAAAATAATTACAGTCAAGTATAAGGTACTCCAGTAATAATGAAGATAAGCTAGTAAGTAAAATTATATATAAAATGGAAGATTTATGCATTAATTTCACCTGCCAGCAATCATATCAATAGTGGTGAGTTGTCTACAGGAAAAAATGTATATAAAACTTATAGATTTTGAAGGTGTTTGGCTGGTAGAAAATTATCATTTCATTCAAAGATGTTCAATCTCCCTAGTATTTTAAGAAAATAGGTCACTTAGAGGGAACGTTCAAACAGAATCACACTCACCGTCTCTCTCAGAGGCATTAGCAGAGTGGATGCTGTCAGAAAGATCAGGGACATTCAATAGCGTAGCCCGTTCATCTCTTTGAACTACCATTTTTAATTTGCCTTTAGACCTTTCTATCAATGTCTTTGCATCTGTCAATGACATATTTTCTGTCACAGTACCATTTATCTGCAACAGAAAATAAATTACAGCTTGAAAGTAAATAATAAAATACAAATGTTAACTTAGTTTGTTATAAACAGAAATATCCAAACCACTCCTTGCTATGAAAACCAAAATATTCTCTCTACACTTTTCCAAACTGTCAAAGTATTCCACCTTCTTGAGATGATAAAATCTTTACTGTACTGTTGCTGTCAGAAAAACCCATAGTAGCATCCCCTAACTCCTTCTTTGAGGCTGTCACTTTCTATTACTTATAAACAAACGAATAAATAAGCATTTCAATAGTATCTGGAAGCAATTATCAGAACTTTTTAATGTGTAAGAACAGACATATCTATCTACAAAGTAGTACCGGCCTGTGAATAATTATCTCAGGATGACCCTGTGATACCTAAAGCATTGGTGTCGACATGTAATAATGCATAAAGGGAATTTATATCCCTCTCCCCCAAACACTGATTTTTAATTCTCTTTGGCAAAACTGCTTCAAACAAGAGCACAGACTACATGGTAACTCTAGAACTTGTTTTCTATTTCAGTTCATTAAAAAGTAAGAATATGATTATACCTTCAATACAACATCACCTTCTTGAATATTGCCATCTCTTGCTGCCAAACTATCTTGTGAAATTTCCTTAACAAATATATGGCTTGCCAATCGAAGACCATATTCTGAAATAATGTAAGTAAGTGTTTTTAGTATAACATCCTAAGACACCTAAATAGATTTTACAAGTATACAACTAAACTAATTAACTACTGCATAGAGTTTTCAAGTACAATCAATAACAAGAAATATTTCTTGGCCATCCTGCAAATAAGACATTCCCTCTAATTAGCAAGTCTGCAATGTCTCCGTGAAAGCCAAGGGAAAGTGTATGGTTCAAACGAAGGACTGATAGACCGTGTTCCCATATTACTGAAAAGGAGAAAATCCCCAAGAGGACACCATTTCTTTTTGACCAAGCATTGATACACTAGCTCTTCAGAATGATTAAGGAATACAATTTTCTTTAAGAGACAGGGTCTCACTATGTTGCCCAGGCTGGACTTGAATTCCTGGGGCCAAAAAACCCTCCTGCCTCAGGCTCCAGAGTAGCTGGGACTAACAGACATGTGTCACACTATGCCTGGCTAGAGATATAATTCTAAAGAGTAAACTGCTTGAGGTTTGAAAAACTTTGAAAAGATTGACCATTTTATTGATGACTATTATCATGCATATACTACTTCTATTTTTCCCAGCTCCTAGACCAAAAATATTTCTGATCCTATACACCCCATGACACTGGATAGACATACTCAGAGTACTAGCATGTACTAAGCATGAGTGCAAAGGCTTACAACCAGCCAGGCAGATGTGGGCAGGAGTTATAATGCCAATCCTTTCCTTTAAACAACCAACAAAGTATCCAAGAGTGAGAACATCACTCCGTCTGTGGGTAAGGAATGTTGGAAGTTGAGGAAATTACTAGCAGAGTCCAGAGAACTGCCCAGGTTCCTGCAACAGCTGCAGAAAAACATATTTTAAGAAAAATAAGAACAATGACTACAACTATCAATATAATGTCAATAGTAAAAGGATTGCCCCTGGTTCTGTGAGGAGAGTCTTACTGCATTAAAAACAAAATCAAAAACCAAGATGGAAAACAGAAAACTGTTTTAACATGGGATAAATTAACAGACCTATTACCTAAGTGTTTAAAAATTACATAAGAGTAGGCTGGGCATGGTGGCTCATGCCTGTAATTCCAGCACTTTGGGAGGCCAAGGCGGGCGGATCACAAGGTCAGGAGTTCGAGACCAGCCTGGCTAGCATGGTAAAACCGTCTCTATTAAAAATACAAAAAATTAGCTGGGCATGGTGGTGCACACCTATAATCCCAGCTACTTGGGAGGCTGAGGGAGGAGAACTGCTTGAACCTGGGAGGCAGAGGTTGCAGTGAACTGAGATTGTGCCACTGCACTCCAAGCCTGAGAGAGAGAGTGAGACTCCGTCTCAAAAAAAAAAAAAAAAAAATTACATCAGAATTACAGTTTAACTTAAGACAAATATACAAAGAGTACTCACAGCCAGAAATAGAATCAGGGTGAAGAAAACGGCCTTTTAGGATATCTGGGCAAGGAATGAGGCAGTCATCCATATGGTCATTACATCACAGAAGGATAGGGTATTGGTTAAAAGACTGTTCTTCAAGATTAAACACTTATAAATGACCATTACACAGATGACCCCAAAATATTTCTTGTATATTAGTTTGTTCGTTCATTCTAAATATTTCTTGGGGTATATATGAACTAGGTACCAGGCATTAGGGAGAAAGCAGCAAATGAGATAGTTCCTGCACTCTGGCAATTTGCAGTCAGTGAAAAAAAGGATGTTAGCATGGTAATCCCAAATGCGGTGAGTTCAGAGGGCAGAAACACAAGGGTTCTTCACTTACTAGGGGGAAGGAGAAGGCCGCCCTGAGGAAGATATACTAAAGTTAAAACTTTACCTAAGAAAGACCTAAACCTGAAGGGTATGTTTGTGGGGGAGGGGATGCATGGGGTGAGTGACGGCTGAAAAGTTCAAAACAAATGCATCAAAGTAATGAAGAAAAAAACCTGGTGGACCTAATGAAGTCATAAGTCTAGTGTAGCTGAGACTGAGAACTAATAAAGAAAGGGGCAAAAGAGTAAGACAGAAGTGTCACAGAGGATCTATGAAGAAATCTGCAGAATCAACTTAAAGGGATCCAAGAGACAACCTATGAGACCAAATGAGTCTATGTAAGAGATGACAGTGGCTTGGAAAAGGGTGGAGGCAGTGGAGAAAGAGTGGGATGGATAAGAGTGGTATTCAGGAGTGAGGACATTCATCATGCATGGGAAAAAAAGAGAAGGCAAGGGTAACTACCATGTCATCTGGGAATGGCCTGAGAAACTGGATCAATAGAAACACATTCAACTGAATACTTCATGAGAAATACAAAGAAAAATTTTAAGAGGGAGATGAGTTTCATTTGAGATGTGCTGTGTTTCAGGGACCTACAGGAACATCTAAGTGAATATGCCTAACAGTTGGAACACAAGAGTGTAAAGATTTGGGCTGGAGAAAGAGGTTCTGCCATCATCAGCAGTGACTGGAAGCAGGGGAGCAGATGAGATTGCCTAAATTAATTGTTATTCAACCTGAGGAAAAGAAAAAAAAAGTTACCTTAAGTGGAAAAAAAGATTCTAGGAGAGAAACTGACAGAACGTTATAAAGGGCAGGGTGAGGAGAATGAGCTTGCAAAAGATACAGAAAGGTGGGGGAAAAAAACAGAAAGATACAGTACTACCAAAGAAGACATTATTTTTGAAAATAAGGAGTGGTTAACCATGTGAAATGATACTGAAAAGGCAAGCAAGCTAGAGACTGAAAAACTTCCACTAGATTTAGTGTGAACATTTTTGGGGGCAGAGCGGAAAAGATACCAGACCAGAGAGGATTGAGGGGTAAGTAGTGAAGTAAAAACAGCAAATGTTGACAACTTCACTGAGACTTCACTGAATGGGGGTATGGAATACCACCTAGGAGATATGCCAAGTGGTAAAGCAGATCAAAGTAAGTCTTGATAATATTCCAACTGTAACACCCTTTATATCAAAATGATCAGTCATGCATGCCCACAGGAGGAGCAAGCCACAGTCAGATCCATTTTTTATCAAATTTAATGAGGCATGAGGGAAAGCAGCTGAGTTTCAGTTTCAAAAACTTCAAAGAAGTACTGCATTATGGAGAAATGCTCTATAAGGGGTTCCTTTCCTTAAATTCCTCCATTTAAAAAAAACAGTCTGGAGTGAGGGGGAAGAAGTCCCAGCAGGGCACAGTGGCTTCCCGCCTATAATCCCAGCACTGTGGGAGGCCGAGGCAGGTGAATTGCCTGAGCTTACCAATTTGAGAACAGCTTGGGCAACACGGCAAAAACCCTGTCTCTACCCAAAATAAAAAAATTAGCTGGACATGGTGGCATGTACTTGTACTTCCAGCTACCAGGGAGGCTGAAGTGGGAGGACTGCTTGAGCCTGGGAAGCAGAGGTTGCAGGGAGCTGAGATTGTGCCACTGCACTCCAGCCTGGGTGACAGAGCCAGACCTTGTAACAACAACAAAAACAACAACAACAACAACACTCCCAAGATTTCTCTCCATGATTACACTACTAACAGTTAAGAAAAACACTGAATTTCCATTTGGTGATGGTGTGACATTTCTTGTTAGCATAATTTGTACCTGGCTATTCTCATCACAACAAATCCAAAAGCCAAGCCCTGGACAATTCACTTGAAGTGTTATCTGTTCCAACAGAAAAAATGAACAGTCCCTGAAGCCTGCCATAACAGGATTTGACTTACAGTGATAGAACACAAACACAAAGACAACAAAGCAAAGACATGAAGAGACAGCAACTGTACTTCTCATTAAAATTAGTTTTAAATTTTCATGTGAAAAAAACAGCAAGAGTTGGCAGAGAATACCTTCATTTTTCCGGGATTTCACCAGTGTGACTTTAGTAGGTTTAGCAGGCTGGCTGGAAGCCACTGACCGCCTGTCTGACCGCGGGGACAAGCTCCTCTCTCTACTTGCACTTCTATCCCTCGGCCAAATCTTCTCACTCCTTCTGTTAACCACACCACTCCGGCCACTTCTTGGATCATGTATTTCCTCATCATAACTATCTTCTTCATTATCAGATACTGGTTCAGGATCAGGACGACTTACTGGTATTTGAACTTTCTTCTTCCTTCTAATTGTCTGCAAGTTAAAAAGGTTAAAAAATAAGTTGACTGATTTTCATATATGTACGTTCAGTTCCAAAGAGAAAGGAATATTACACTTCTCATCCCATATTAACTATGAACCAGCAAGAAACAATACACAAACAACTACAACAAATTTCTAAGGAATACATTTCCATAAAGGCTGTGTTTTCTGTTCTCCTGATAAACAGATCTGGTTAAGCACAAATAAGAACGAGTGGGCCTAAAAACCTCTTTATTTACTTCACACAGAAAGATCTTCCTGGTGTAATAATCACAAGCTTACAGGGAAACTAACAACTGTTGGTGGTTTGAATAAAAAGGACAGCACTGTACTCTAATGCCATCAAATATACTCTAGGTGCTACCAAAACCACAGCAAACTTCCATGCCCAACTTGCTTCCTTAAAAATTTTAGAATGCATCAATATCAAAGCCCACAATTGCCCCAGACCTCTAAGAGATAATTTATTCTATAGCCGCACTAACATTCAATAATATGTTGGAGCTAATTAACTCAGCCGTACTTCACCAACACAAACTGCTTTCAGTCTCTGGATCTCTTCAATTTGTACTCCCAGTCTAGGTGCAAATTCTTCCCTCTGGCGTTCTTTTCTCAATGATTCTGGTAACTGGCTCTGTATTGCCTGTCCACTTATTTCCTTCATTCTCTGCAAGCTGACGATCTACATGTATTACACCTGCTGACTGAATGGCCCTGTAATCTGTGGACTACACTTTGCCTTCTCACAATAGTATACACTTGACCTCACTGTAGTTCTACAGGATCTCCTTGTGTATCACTCCTTGTCTTCTATGTCGGACACCTTGAGCTACTGAAACTTTTCACTATCTTATTTCCAATTCCTTCATCTTAGTTCATCAGTTCCATCCTGGTTTCACTCGCATTCCCCCTAAGTTTGCATGAGACATCCTGTTGCCATATTTAAATGACTTTTTCTTGACCCCTCAATCATCTGCCCTGACAAACTCCAGTCCTATTATTACCTTCACTTCCACACTTTGCTGATGAGGCCCTCTGTAAATTCATTTTACAGAAGTCTTGCTCTTGTTCAGCAATCCTTTCATCTACATATTGTTGCCTCTCTGTGGAATTCGCTAATGTAGGTATTCTACAACCATTCTTCAAGATCCCAGCCACTCAGCCTGCTTTAAGATCAGTGCCATTTTACTCCCCCTCCCCTCCTAAATTTTTTCAGTATTTCCCCTCCTAAATTTTTTCAGTGTCTCATTTATTTGGTCCTCTTTCCTTCTGGTCTCAAAGACCAAGGCAATCTTCTCCCTGGATGAACAAAACCCTTGTATTTGAGCTCTCATTCTCATCCCTACCTACCTCTAAGACTTTTTTCTTCATCAATTACCATACTCCAGGTTACCTGAAACTTCAATCTCTTTATTTACCTAAAATCTGTCCTCTACCTACTAAGCTCCCCCAATTAATCTTCTATTTCTCTGTCTTGCTATTCACCTGCATGTTATCATCTTTTCTCTCTTCTCTATGTGCCTAAACTTCTTCAAAGGGCTGCTCTACACTTAATACCACTGCTTCCTATGACTACTACTATTATTATCAGATACTGGTTCAGGATCAGGATGAGGGCCTGAGCAGAGGGCCATTCTGAGGAAACAACGCTGAAGCTCAAGGATGAGAAACAGCAGAGGCCAGCATGTGAAAAGGAGGACAGCCAATGCCCTGTTATGAACTGAAAGAGAAAGGCTGCCCTTCTCCTATTGGAGCAACCCACAGCTGAAGTCCTTATAGGGTAATATTTTCTGTAAAGCATTCCTAATGCTAGCTGCCTGCTTTTACATCTCACTTCTATTTAATTTCCAACATATTATATTGGAAGCAATACCTGGTATTAGTATTTTAATCTTCAGTTCCTCCCTAGTAATAAACAAAAACAAAGTTGAGCAGATGAGCACTCAAGGCTTTCCCTATCATTCCTGTAAGAGTGCGCCACCTCTTTGGGATCCTACTGTACCTGACCTATCAACCTGAGATGACGTGCATTATATGGTTATCAGTATGTATACCTATCCAGCCCACTAAGATTTGAGTTTTTTGAGAAGTTCCTTACCATGCATTTAACTGTACATATAATGCAATGCTTGCATCTAGTAGGTGCTTAACTTATTGAAAGGTAACCAGTCCTATTGTGATTCTCTACTTATGAATCAACAGTTATAAACATGAATAATAATTAGTAGGTGTGACAACTATGCTCGATTTTAACACTATGAAAAATTTGGAATCAAAATATTTAGGAAAAAAAATGCCTACTTCAAAATAGTTTAGCTTAACTAAGTCTCAAAGGTAAAATAAAACAAAATGATGCCATGTAAGTACTAGAAAAAAATACAACAGAGAGGCTTTTGCAATTAAAAGGCTTTTGGAAGCATGACACCAAGGCAGAACCAATAAAATGAAAGTCTGACAGACATGACAAAATAAAAATGAAAACATTTCAATGTTGTAATAAAATGATACAAAACAACAAACACAAACAACTTACAAGCATTCACAAAAGCAAAGAGGATAACAACACATGAGGTATGTATGACAAAAGGCTAATAATCTGACTACAGAAAACACTCTAGTATGACCATCACCACCATATAAATGCAAAGGACATGAACAGGTAAATGAAAAAACAAATGGGTAGTAAATACACCATGAGAGGATCAAATCCACTTGTGATTTAAAATGTTTCATTTGAAACACTTGTTTAGTTTATCAGTTTGGCAAAGATTTAAGACCTGTTGAAAACTGAACTCTCAATAGCCTATTGATTTTCTGAAGGACAAACTGGCAATACATACATCAAAAGTCATTCAGGCCCTTTGACTCTGAAAAGCCACTCCTAGAAAATTATTCTAAACATTAACTAAACAAGTAGGTAGTAATATGATGATTTTTGCAGCTGAATTTTAAAAAAATACTTGCGGACTGGACACTGAAATGCCTGTGAATGAGTGGGTTGGATAAATATATATGCATAGTGAAATGCTGCATGGCCATGTGGATACCTACACAGTCATGCACCATGTAAAACAACGGACAGCACGTACTGCAGGGGCCCCATAATATCACAATGGAGCTGAAAATCTCCTATCACCTAGGGACGCCACAGGGTCATAATGTCGTGGGTGCACTGCAGTACTTATGTTGGTGGTGATGCTGGTGTAAACAAAGCTACTATGCTGCCAGTGGAATAGAAGTGTAGCAGATACAATATGTACAGAATATAATACTTGATAATGACTATGTTACTGGTTTATGTATTTACTATGCTAAACTTTTTATCATTACTGCAGAGTGTACTCCCTCTACTTATTTTTTTTTCTACATGTTAACTGAGAAAACAGCCTCAGGTAGGTCCTTCAGGAGGTGTTCCACAAGAAGGCATTATTGTCACAGGAGATGATGGCTCCATGCGTGTTACTGCCCCTGAAGACCTCCCACTAGGACAAACTGTGGAGGTGGAAGACAGTGACACTGATGACCCTGATCCTGGGTAGCCCTAGGCTAATGTGTGTGCTTGTGTCTTAGTTTTTACTAAAAAAGTTTAAAAAGTGAAAAATAAAAAATTTTAGGCTAGGTGCAGTGCCTCCTACCTGTAATCCCAGAACTTTGGGAGGCGGAGGCAGGCAGATCACTTGAGGCCCGGAGTTCAATACCAGCCTGGCTAACATGGCAAAACCCCATCTCTACTAAAAATACAAAATACGGGCTTGGTAGCGGTCGCCTGTAATCCCAAGGCTGAAGCACGAGAATCACCTGGACCAGGGAGGCGGAGGTTGCGGTGAGCCAAGATCACGCTACTGCACTCTAGCCTGGGTGACAGAGCGAAACCGTGTCTTAAAAAAACACAGCCTGTAATCCAAGCACTTTGGGAGGCCGAGGCGGGGCGGATCACGAGACAGCCTCCATCAGGAGATCGACACCATCCTGGCTAACATGGTGAAACCCTGTCTCCACTAAAAATACAAAAAAATTAGCTCTGGTGGCGGGTGCCTGTAGTCCCAGCTACTCGGGACGCTGAGCTTGCAGTGAGCCAAGATCGCGCCACTGCACTCCAGCCTGGGTGACAGAGTGAGACTCTGTCTCAAAAAAAAAAGAAAAAAACCAAAAAGAACCCAAAAAATTTTAAATATTTTTGTACAGCTGTACAACGTGTTTGTTATTACGAGAGTCAAAAAGTTAGAAAGTTTATAGGTTAAAAAAGTTTCAGTAAGCTAAGGTTTATTATTGAAGAAAGAAGACTTAAATAAATTTTATAAATTTATAAAATATTAAATACATTAAAAATATTAAAACGTTAAAAATTTAGTGCAGCCTAAATGTACAGTGTTTACAAAGTCTACAGTAGTGTACAGTAATGTCCTAAGATGTCACATTCACTCACCACTCACTCGCTGACTCACTCAGAGCAACTTCCAGTCCTGCAAGCTCCATTCATAGTAAGTGCACTAAACAGGCATATAATTTTTTTATCCACTATATATTTTTACTGTACTTTTTCCATGTTTAGACATACACATACTTACCATTGTTTTACAGCTGCCTACAGTATCCAGAACAGTAACATAATATATCTATTATGAGAAGTGAATTATCAGGCAATTCTGTCTTTGTGTGAACATCACAGAACGTTATCTTCCCAAACCCAGATGGTATAGCCTACTACACATCTAGGCTACTTGGCATAGCCTATTGCTCCTCCGTTACAAGCCTGTACAGCATGTTAGTGAACTGAATACTGTAAGCGACTGTAACACAATGGTAACTATGTGTGTATCTAAACACGGTAAAGGTAAATACAGTACTATAATCTTATGGAACCACTGTCAGATATGTGGTCTGTTGTTGACCAAAACATTGTCATGTAGCATGTGACTGTAGAGGAGGAAAAGAGGAGGAAACATTAAGCCAAAAAGAGGTAACTATTTGGCCGGGCGTGGTGGCTCATGCTTGTAATCCCAGCACTTTGGGAGGCCGAGGCAGGCAGATCACGAGGTCAGGAGATCGAGACCATCCTGGCTAACACGGTGAAACCCTGTCTCTACTAAAAATACAAATAATTAGCCGGGCGTGGTGTCAAGCGCCTGTAGTCCCAGCTACTCAGGAGGCTGAGGCAGGAGAATGGTGTGAACCTAGGAGGCGGAGTTTGCAGAGAGCCGAGACCGTACCACTGCACTCCAGCTTGGGCGACAGAGCGAGACTCCGTCTCAAAAAAAAAAAAAAAAGGTAACTATTTAACTGTCCCCTTTCCTTTTTCAATTGAAAAAAATCCTGGTATCTAAACTGAGAAAATACACGTACCAGTGACATACCACACCAGTGTTAGAAGAAACACTCAAGTGTAAACAAATAACTTTGGAACTATTGTTTCAGTTTTCCTTAAATGGGAAGGATAAATTCAAATACCAGAAATGTATCAACAATAAAGTTGGGGTACCTTTACTAAATTACAGAGAAAAGATACTTACAATTTTTGCATTTTTCCCACTTTTCCTTAGTTGCTGAACAGCAAAAGCATGTTCAACATTATCCATTGAAACTCCGTTAACCATTGCAACTCGGTCATTTTCCCTAAGGGGAAAAGGGCACAAAATAATATGTTAGAGAAAAACATTCTGGTAAGTTTATGATGATATTTCCAAGATAGGTACTTCTAAAATGTAATCTAATTATGAGCCAATTAATTAATTTCTCTTTAGATCAATGATAAAATAATGTCAACTGACTTACTTTCAGATTTCTCTGCAGAATGTTTAACAAGTAACTAACCACAGGTCCTTAATTTTTTTAAGTCATTAACAAAGTATTTCCCCAAAAGACTGAACAGATATCACATACACGAAATGATTCTTGGTAGTACAGTTACAGGGCATTAAATGATACTAAGTCATACAGCTGGAAAACTTACTCCCTTTTAAGTTTTTCATCTTTTAATTCTCTTTTAATTCTTCTAATTATAGTGCCACTATTTTGCTAGTGTATTTTGTGTTTCTCTTTATCTTACTAATCTTCATAGGGAATAAAAAGGGTGGCAAGACTTGGGGAGGAGGCTTCTGAAGGCTAGATTCTACCCAAAAGGAGTTATACATTTTCTTTTTCACTATTTTTACAGTTACACATTCTATTTAAAGTGAGTGATACTAGCTTTCCAATTTTCATAGGGATAAAGCTTCCTTTATTTTCTTTGGAGACAGGGTCTCGCTCTGTCACTTGGGCTGGAGTACAGTGGTGCAATCATGGCTCATTGCAGCCTCAGATTCTTAAGTTCAAGGGATTCTCCTGCCTCAGCCTCCCAAGTAGCTGGGACTGCAGGCACAAGCCACCATGCCCAGCTGATTTTTAAACTTCTTTTGTAGAGATGGGGATCTCACTGCATTGCCCAGGCTGGTCTCAAACTCCTGGTCTCAAGTGATCCCCCTGCCTCAGCCTCCCAAAGTGCTAGGATTACAGGAGTGAGCCACCACACCTAGCCAGTTTCCCTCTTAATATATGTTAATTTAAGGAAAAATATATGAAGCATGGCACAGGTGGAGTGTGAATATGACAAAATCACTAAGACAGTGTAAGACAGTACGCCAGTGCCTGAGGAGAGGAACACTGCTTGTTGCACAGTGCCCACGATAAGCAGCACTCTTACTGTAGCTGTCCTTCAGCTGGTCCTCCTTTCAGCACATCTGAAATCACTATTGACGTTTCCCCACTCTGAAAATGAGGATTATCTCGTCCACCAGATATTGCAATTCCAAATCCAAATCCAGGAGCCTAAAGTAAAAATTACAGTAAAATATTGCTATTAAGGACAAAAATAATTGTTATATCATACTCTACAATCTAGAGAAGCCAAAATATAAAAATTACAATCTTAATATATCTGTGATCCATAAACACTCACCTGCATGGTTACCTATTAGAATTATCCTTGTACAAGAATGCATGCTCTAATAACTACTGGACATAACAGAATATTAAAAATCGCCAACTATATACATGTTCTTTAAAAACCAAAAGACAATTAAAAATTATTAACACTGAGATCCTGACTTTATTTTTGATCAGAAGAGGTCCTGAGGAGACTGGCAGAGCCCAGTGTGATCATCAGCCATCCTGGCAACTGATTTAGAAGATGACAGACTTATCCAGCATACACACCCTTTGTCATTTTACATAAATATCAATTGCTTTGAAAATCAAGTATTAGTTATTTCAACTTCTTTCAACAACTTCTGCCAACTCCTAAAAATCTCTGTAGAATATAATGCCTTGTGCACACTATACAATAGAAGGTGTACATTAGCCATATTGAACTAACATTGTAAAATTACCTTTTTAAAAAACTAAATTATAATAAGCTACGCACTTCTGAAAGAGCCAAGAATCTTTACCACAATGACTCAGGACAGGCCGGTATAGAAAAAATTCAAAATATTTTCCAGGTTGTTAAAAAATTACCTAATCTCAAAGAAATCACTATTCCCTAGAAAGGATATGAAGTACTTAAGAGTAGTTTAAAGAGACAATATACATTTTCTTAAGGCTACAGAATCATTAAGCCAGAAATGTATGTTTTTGTATAAAACTGTACAATTCAAACTGCCTGAGGACAAAGGTAACAACTTCCTCCCTCAGCTTTCCAGTCCGCAACAGAGGAGACTATTTTCACCATGAATAGTGCATACATCACCTTTCCTCCCATCCCAAAGCCTATAGAAGTAGCAAAAGAAAAAAAAAAATCTTCTTAAAAATGAATAAATACCAACTATTCCAAGTGTCCATCAACTGATGAATGGATAAAACGTGATATATATCCATACAATGAAACATTGTGTGTAAAAAGGAATGAAGTACTCATACATAGTATAACATGAATCAACCTTGAAAACATCATGCTAAGGTGAAGAAACCAGTCACAAAGGTTAATAGATTCTATTATTCCGTTTATATAAAATGCTCAGAAAGGCAAATCTATAAAGACAAAAACCTGAATGGTGGTTGTCTAGGGCTACAGGGATTGGAGGGGGTGATAATTCAATGGGAGGTGTTTTTTTTTTCCCCAGTAATGAAAATGTTTTAAAATGGACTCTGGTGATGGTCACACAACTCGGAACACGCTAAAAACCAATGAACTGCATACTTTAATTGTTTGGCATGTGAATTATATGGCAATAAAGCGAACACAAAAAAGTTAATATGAAAAAAGAAAATAATAAAACAGGGAAATTTCTGAGTAACTGAAGATAATGGCAACCATCTGAATCTGTTTCTCTATATATTCTCCCAAAATTTAATAGAACAAAAATAGACCAACTACAGTGGTTCTCCCTTATCCTCGGTTTCATGTTCTTTGCTTTCAGTTACTTCAGGTCAACTGCAGTGTGAAAATTTTAAACGGAAAACTTCAGAAATAAACAATTGGTAAGACTTAAATTGCACACCGTTATGAGCAGTGTGATGAAATATTTTGCCATCCTGCTACGTCCCATCTAAGATGTGAATCATCCCTTTGTCCAGTGTCTCCACGCCATAGGGGCTCCCCACCCATTAGTTACTCAGTAGCTGTCAGTTATGAGATCAACTGTGGAGAGGTAACACAATGCTTGTGTTCAAGTCACCCTTATTTTACTTAATCATGACCCCAAAGTACAGTAGTAGTGATGCTGGCAATTCGGTATACCAAAGAAAATCTGTAGTGTTTCCTTCAAGAGAGAAGGCGAAAGTCCTCCATTTAATACAGAAAAAAAAAAAAAATATGCTGAGGTTACTAAGATCTACAGGGAGAAGGAATCTTCTATTAGTGAAATTGTGAAGGAAAACAAAATTTGTGCTGGTTTTGCTGTCACACCTAAAATTGCAAGGGTTTCGCCACAGTGCATGGTAAGTGCTTATTTAAGATGGAAAAGGCATTAAACTTGTGAGTGGAAGACAGGCACAGAAATGTGCTCCAATTAACAGCAAAACTGGGTTTGATACTATCCAAGAATTCAGGCATCCACTGGGGGAACATACACCCCATGGCTCAGAGGGGACTACTGTACACAAAACCATACACTCATCATAATTCAAAGACAATATCCAAATTTCAAATTAAAAGCAGGACTAAAACTTCAAAAATAAACAATTAGAGACAAATGACTATTAGAACAGCATTAGAAAACATAAGACACTACAGAACAAATTCAAATAAATTTGAAAACCTAAAGGAAACATAATTCCTGAGGAAATATAGATGGCCAAAATTGACCCTATTATAAATAAAAGGCTTAAACGGCCCAATTTCTGGAGAAAAAAGCAGCAAAATTTATGAGGGAATTATCCCACAAAAAGGCACCAGGCGCAAATGATTTCCCAGAGAAATTGTGCCAAAACATGCAATATCCAGACAGCCTCAGTACAATATATTGTTTCAGAACACTGATATCAAGGAAAGCTTCTAAATTCTTTTTATGAAGCAAGTATAATACTGACACTGAAAGCTGATGACTGTCCATGATAATGACTAACCCCCCAATATTACAGCTCAACATAATTTATTTGTATCAGTGCAAAATACAAAATAAAAATAAGCAAACAAAGGCCAACACTACATAAATACTCCATGAAAAAGGGATTAATTCCAGGAATGCAGGATTAGTAGGAAATCCACTGGCATAATATATCCTATTAATAAATCTAGAGAAAAAAATTATATGATTATCTCCAAGATCCTGAAAAAGCCTTTGACAAAATTTGACTTTCACCGCTGAAGAGAAAACAAAGTTTGTGAAAAGGCACTGTAACAAACCCTGTAAGTATGTTGCTTTTTGTTAAAGTACACAAAGAAAATCCAGCTTTTCATACACAGATACAGTCATTGAAAAAGAAGAGTTATTTTAGTAGACTTTTTAGGTAATTACGAAAATTCATGTTTGACTTTATGCCAAAAACTTAATAAATGATAGTTTCCTAAAGGAGAGTAACAATGTACAGTTTGAAACCATATCATTCAACTGTCTGTACTGTTGCATGAATTATCTATTGGCCTATTTTACACTCTGAATGAGTATTTTATCCATGTATAATTTTACTATAGCATGCCTTAGTCTTTCGGAAAATACTGGTTCCCTGAGTTAGGTAAATCTTCCAAATGATGCCACATTTCACCACACAGTGTATTTTAAAATCATGTGTTAATATCACTATCAAGGTTATCAAAAGAGTCTTTAAGTACTGAAAAGCTACTGAGCTTATGGTGGCAGATAAAAATTTCTCAAATTTTAAATTTTGTTTTAAAAATCAGTTTTCATTGTTAGCAACAAATACTATCAAGAATTGTTCTCCTTGAAGCAAGGTACTCATTCATTTTGGAGAAATATGTTTGTCAAATATTCAAGTTTGGATAACCATACATTCCTTCAAGTAAACAATTGTTCAAGTAAAAGTGATGCCTGCCTTCCACCCCCCCCACTCAATACACGGCTGCAATTCAAATAATCACACAAGTACTTTAGTACAAGGCAGAAGTACTTTAGGCACACTTCCTGTTTGCATACCTAGACTACTGAAAACGTGTGTATTCAAGGGTTGGAAAGTAACAAGACACAGTTCTTACTGTTTCAAGTCATTCTTAAATAAAACTGAAATTGTTCTTTTAATCTACGAGTGTGTGACAATGACTATTATACGGTTTGGTGCCCCTGCCTTGATTTGGGCTACAAAGCCCACAGTTTTAACCGCCATTGTTTCTGAACCTTCAGTCAAATAATTACACAGCGAAGAAGATAAGAAATACCTTCATATTGAATAAAAAGAGTTTTGCCCTTGAACCTAAAAAGGTTTCAGGGACCTTTAGGAGTCCACAGACCATACTTTGAAAATGTCGATATTAAGAACTACTTAAACATGAAGGGAGAAAAATAAATAAATAAATAAAACAATGAAACAATTTACAAAAGATACATGAGATGTTAAAACCCACAGATAAATGCAAATTAAAACCAAAGAACACCAAGAACAGAAACATTAAAGTATAACATATTTCAGAAAAGGGAGGCTATAGCAAACAGTCTACTACTGATGGGCACACAAATTGCTACAACTTTCAGGAGAGGAATTTGGCAGTAACCTAACAAAACTACAAATGTACTATCTTTTGACAGAGCAAACTAACTTCTAGAAAGTACCCTAAAGATACACATACCTCTCTCACAATACAAAAGTAACAAACGCACAAGGTTATTCATTGCAGACTGTTTGTAATTGCAAAATGCTGGGAAAACACCTAAACACCCCAGCCTTAGTAAACGATTATCCTTTCCCTTTTTTTCTCCTTCAAAGAAGTTGGGGCTAATCTTTGTAATTTAGTAATTTGAAAAATTACTCTATGTAATTTTACAGTATGAACTTACATCTTGTTTGGTAGTTCTTTTATTTTCCTCTTTTATTTAAAAGTTAAAAACATAAAAAGATTAAAAAAAACCAAAAACATTAGGAACTTTCAATAAGCAAGGCAGGGATGCGAGCATACATTTAAAAAAATTACTTGTGAGCAAGTAAATGCAGTTCCGGCACCTAGTAGGGCAGGTAATCCTGCTACATCAGTGCTTACCACAGTTCACTTAATGACTATCCAGGAGCCCTGCGACTTCTTACCCAGGCTGCAGGTAAGAATCACTTGGGAACAATTTCAAAACTGCTTGCTGATGCATGATCCTCAATCTATACCAATTAAGTAAAAATGGAGAAGAGGAGTTGGTGGACTTAAAAAAAAAAAAATAGCCCCCAGGTGATTCTAATGAGCAGCCAGGAACGAGAGCTGCAGCTTTCAATGTTTTCTGAATATAAGATCAGTTCATTAAAAATTTCAAAAGGTTCAACTTTTCCCCACTTTCCCTTCCCTCTACCTTCATAATTGTCTTATTTGGCCCTTTCAACAGATTTCTCACCTCCACTGCACTACAAGTGTTGGCAGTGCTGTCCCTCTAACACAAAGACCCTAATCCAATAGATCCTTGCCCCAAGTCCAAATTCCTTAGCATGCAGTGCCTTTGAATACAACTCCAAACTTGCTTCCCAGCACCCCAGTCTTTGCTCTAAACCCACCTAAATACTGATTCCTGCTTAGGGAGATCATGCAATATCAAACTATGGCTTAACATCTCCTCTCTCCCTAGGATTTCCTTACTACCTTATCAATCTTGCAAGCTTCAGCTCATCTTTCAAAACCCAGGTTCCATGTCACCTCATTCATAAAACTACCCTTGGCTTTCACAGAAGTGGTCCATCCTGTACATGTGCTGGGGCACATGTACACACTTGTGCTACTTAACACACAGCACAAGTATCCTCGGTTAGCAAGGCCCTATTTGGGAGGAAGTCACATATTTAAAATCGAAGGCTAACCTGATTAAGCCCGCCAAACTTAACCTGTCTTTTTCATCGCTTACTTCTAGTTGATCTATTTTAAACTCCCCACTAGCAAGTCACATAGCAAATCTCCCACGAACTTCCTTACAGATAACTTCCGAATGTGGGTCACTACAGTAACGGTTGCTTAAAGTTATTTCCAGGAACCAGTTGGCAGCTCTTGTCCACTTCAAGCTGATTAAGACCACCGACCCTTCAACTGGGCCTGCATGAATGCCCAAAGAGAGGTGACTGTTTGATGTCAGAGGGCCAAAACCTCCTTCCTCAGATCATGGTGATACTGCCATTTTTCAAACATGCATTCTATGAAGAGCTGTGTAACTTGACTACATGTATGCAGATCCTAACTAACTCACTTTTCCTTACCCCCAATCTTTCTCCCCCACACCTTGGAGAACCTTGGTACTCTATTCCAAAAACATCCTTAAAATCCCATCTTTGGAGAGGTGGGTTTGAGATTTGTTCTCCCATCTCCTCATTTGGCAGTCTTGTGAGTAAAATCTTTTCTCTTTGCCAAAACAAGTCATCGCAGTGACTGGCTTGCTAGTTCAATATATTCGTATACATCTTTCAACTCAATGCAACCCTGCAGAAGCCTGACACAAAGTGGTTCACGAAGTTAGTGAACCTCAACAAGTATTTGATTGATTATTCAATTTAACTTTAATTCTATTTCCCTTTATAGAGACTCTTTTTTTAAACTAGCCCTAATTAGAGCACTAAAAACAGAATTCTGGAAAAATTAGCAGCAATGAGAGTAGGCATGAATGAATCTTCCTGAATAAAAACAGGCAGTCGACTACATAACAAACCAAGAATCCAAGTGCAACATTTACAACAAAACTAGGGGGTCAATGTATCCCCCTTGAAGTGCAAAATGCAACGAGGAGGGGATAAACAACCAGCTATGGAGACTTCCTTAGCATGTGAACGAAGCCATATTCTAAAACAAACAAACAAACAAACAAACAAAATCCTCCCCGCCACCTCCCGAAGGAAAAAAAAAAAAACCACCACAAATTACAGGCAAAAATGAGAAAAAACGATCAGAATCAAACCCTCTATACCAGCAGTCCTCAACCTCTTTGGCACCAGGGATTGGTTTCTTTGAAGACAATTTTTCCACAGACCGGCAGGTGGAGGGGATGGTTTCGGGACAATCCAAGTACATTACATTTATTGTGTACTTTATTTCTATTATGATTACACTGTAATATATGATGAAATAATCACAAAACTCACCATATTGTAGAATCAGTGGGAGCCCTGAGCTAGTTTTCCTGCAACTAGATGGTCCCATCTGGGGGTGATGGGAGACAGTGACAGATCATCAGGCATTAGATTCTCATAAGGAGTGTGCAACCTAGATCCCTTGCATGCATGGCTCACAACAGGGTTCACACTCCTGTGAGAATGTGATGCCGCCACAGGAGGCAGCGCTCAGGCAGTAATGAGAGCAATGGGGGGTGGCTGCACATACAGGTGAAGCTTTGCTCACTTGCCCGCCACTCACCTCCTGCTGTGTGGCTCAGTTCCTAACAGGCCAAAGATCCGTACATCTCTGTGGCCTGGGGGATGGAGACCTCCGCTCTACATAAAGTTACTATATAATGGATACTGAGTAGCAGAATAACATCTCTGCAGACAATAAAAGTATGCCTGAAAGAAGGCTTAAAAGAGGGAGAGGATTAAAACTGTTATTAGCACAAGAAGATACAAGACATGAAAGAATTAGAAAAAATGTAGAAATGAAGAGGAAGAATTCGAGACCAAATCTGAAATTTTAAAAGGTCATTTTAGATAGGAATATAAGACCAAAAAACATCTTAAGAGAAAAAGTAAAAAAGAAATCAACCTAACATCCTAACATTAAATCAACAATACATACGACATTAACAACATTACATACATTAACAACCTAACATCACAACAAAAAGAACTATAGGAACAAGAGCAAACCAACTCCAGAGCTAGCAGAAGACAAAAAATAACAAAAAGAGCTGAACTGAAGGAGCTAGGCACGAAACACCATTCAAAAGACCAACGAATTCAGGAATTGTATTTTTGAAAAAAAATCAGTAAGATAAACTATTAGCTAGACAAAGAAGAGAGAAGATCCAAATAAACACAATTAGGACAAAGGGGATACCACTGACCCCACAGGAATACAAGTAACCATCAGAGAATACTATGAACACAGCCATGCACACAAACTAGAAAATCTAGAAGAAACTGATAAATTCCTGGACAAACCCACCCTCCCAAGACTGAACCAGGAGAAACTGAATCTCTGAACATACCAGTAACAAACGCCGAAAGTGAATCAGTAGTAAATAGCCTACCAACTAAAAAAAACCCCAGGACCAAATGAATTAATAGCTGCTCTACATGTACAAACAAGAGCTGGAACAATTTCTACTGAAACTATTCCCAAAAACTGAAGAGGAGGAACAATACCCCAACTCATTCTATGAGGTCAGCATCATCCTGATACCAAAACCTGGCAAAGACACAAAAAACAAAACTTCAGGCAAATTATCTTTGATACACATTGATGCAAAAATCCTCAACAAAATACTAGCAAGCTGAATCCAGCAGCATATTAAAAAGCTAATCCACCACAATCAAGTAGGCTTTATCCCTGGGATGCAAGGTTGGTTCAACATATGCAAATCATTAAATGTGATTCATTACATAAACAGAACTAAAGACAAAAACCACGTGATTATCTTAATAGATGCAGAAATGGCTTTCAATAAACTTCAACTCCCTTCATCTTAAGAACTCTCAATAAACTAGGCATTGAAATTGAAGGAACACACCTCAAAATAGTAAGAGCTGTATATGACAAACCTACAGCCAACATCATACTGAATGGGCAAAAGCTGGAAGCATTCTCCTTGAGAACCAGCACAAGACAAGGATGCCCTCTCTCATCACTCCTATTCAACACAGTACTGGAAGTCCTGGCCAGAGCAATTAGGTAAGAGAAAGAAATAAAGGGCATCCGAATAGGAAGAGAGAAAGTTAAACTACCCTGTTTGCAGATGACATGATTCTGTATCTAGAAAACCTCATGGTCTCAGTGCAAAAGCTCCTTAAGCTGATAAAATAACTTCAGCAGAGTTTCAGGATACAAAATCAATATACAAAAACCACTAGCATTCTTATAAACCAACAACAGCCAAGAGCCAAATCAGGAATGCAATTCATATGGAACCAAAAAAGAGCTCAAAAAGCCAAGACAATCCTAAGCAAAAAGAACAAAGCTGGAGGCATTAGGTTACCCAGCTTCAAACTAAACTACAGGGCTACAGTAACCAAACAGCATGGTACTGTAACAAAGACAGACACACAGACCAATGGAACGTAACAGGGAGCCCAGAAATAAGGCCACACATACGACCATCTGATCTTCGACAAAGCTGACAAAAACAAGCAATGGGGAAAGGATTCCTTATTCAATAAATGGTGCTGGGATAACTGGCTAGCCATATGCAGAAGATTGAAACTGGAACCCTTCCTTATACCATACATAGAAATCAACTCAAAATGGATGAAAGACATCAATGTAAAACCCAAAACTATAAAAACCCTGGAAGACAACTCAGGCAATACCATTCTGGACATAGGAACTGGCAAAGATTGCATGACAAAGATGCCAAAAGCAACTGCAACAAAAGCAAAAATTGACAAATGGAATCTAATTAAACTAAAGAGCTTCTGCACAGCAAAAGAAACCATCAAAAGAGTAAACAGACAACCTACAGAATATGAGAAAACATCTGCAAACTATGCATCTGACAAAGGTCTAATATCCATCATCTATACACAATTTTACAAGAAAAAAAACAACCCCATTAGAAAGTGGGCAAAGGACAAGAACAGACACTTTTCAAAAAAAAAAAAAAAAAACACGTTGCCAATAATCATATGAAAAAATGCTCAACATCAGTAATCATCAGAGAAATGCAAACTGAAACCACAATGAGCGGCCGGGTGTGGTGGCTCACTCCTGTAATACCAGCACTTTGGGAGGCTGAGGCTGGTGGATTACCTGAGGTCAGAAGTTCGAGGCCAGCCTGACTAACATGGGGAAGCCCCATCTCTACTAAAAGTACAAAAATTAGCCAGGCGTGGTGGTGCATGCCTGTAATCCCAGCTATTCAGGAGGCTGAGGCAGGAGAATCGTTTGAACCCGGGAGGCAGAGGTTGCAGTGAGCCAAGATTGTGCCACTGCACTCCAGCCTGGGCAAAAAGAGCAAAACTCCATCTCAAAGAAACAAACAAAAACACAAAGATATCATCTCACACCTGTCAGAATGGCTAATATTTAAAAAAGTCAAAAAAAAATAACAGATGCTGGCAAGGCTACAGGGAAAAGGGACTGCTTATACACGTTGGGGAAGGCAGTATGGCAGTTCCTCAGAGCTAAAAAGAAAACTACCATTCGAGCCAGCAATCCCATTACTGGGTATATACCCAAAGGAATATAAATCATTCTATCATAAAGACACATGCACGTATATGTTCACTGCAGCACTATTCGCAATAGCTAAAATGTGGAATCAACCTAAATGCCCATCAACGAAAGACTAGATGAAGTAAATGTAGTATAACTATGCAGCCATAAAAAAGAATAAGATCATGTCCTTTGCAAGAACACGGGTGGAATGGGAGGCCATCATCCTTAGCAAACTAACACAGGAACAGAAAACCAAACACTGCATGTTCTCACTTATAAGCGGGAGCTAAATTATGAGAACACATGGACACAGAGGCAACACACTGGGGACTACCGGAGGGTGGAGGGTAGGAGGTGGGAGAGGAGCAGAGAAAGTAACTATTCGGTACTAGGCTTAGTACTAGGTGACAAAATAATCTGTACAACAAACCCCTGTGACACAAGTTTACCTACATAACAAATCTACACATGTACCCTGAACCTAAAATGAAAGTTTTTAAATAAACAAATAACATTTTTAAAAAAAAGAACGCCAGAGATTTTATAAAAAGGATTTGAGGAACATTACAAACACTAAAGACAAGCAAAAGCAGCATGATATATATGAACAGTAGGAGTCCCTAAAGAAGCAAATCAAAAGAAGGGAAGAGAAAAATTAGTTTAAAAAACAAAAAAAACTTCGCTGATACTATTTTTGAAAAAATTGAAACTAGGTACTGAAAGAGTTTACATCACTGTAAATATGTGAGTTATCTGAGAATATCAACTCAGGAGGACTAATACCAAAAATATATTTAAATGACTAAATTTTAAGAAAAAAGAAATAGCAACTCAAGGATTTTTTTTTTCTTTTGAGACAGAGTTTCGCTCTTCTCCTCCAGGCTGGAATGCAATGGCTTGATCTCGGCTCACTGCAACCTCTGCCTCCCGGGTTCAAGTGATTCTCCTGCCTCAGCCTCCCAAGTAGCTGGGATTACAGGTGCCCACCACCAAGCCTGGCTAATTTTTTTTTGTATTTTTAGTAGAGATGGGGTTTCGCCGTGTTGGCCAGGCTTGTCTCGAACTCCTGACCTCAGGTGATCCATCCCCGGCTTCCAAAGTGTTGGGATTACAGGCATGAGTCACCGTACCCAGCCGAGTCAAGGATTTTATATTCAACACAACTGACCTTCAAGTACAAAAAACACAAATAAACCAGTCAACATGCAAGAACACAGGAAATATTGTCTTTATGATCTCATCCTAAGGAATCTAATAATATTCTGACAATCAAAATGACGAGATACATGGATAGGACTGGTGATAAGCATCACATATATACTGTACTTATTTATAACACCAAGATTAAACGAGGATTAAAGGGTTAAATGATGTAACAGCTATATGATCTAGATATGGTAAAAACCATTTTAAAACAGAGAAATAAATGATAGCATGCGCAAAAAAAAATTTTTACTGTTTCCAGTAATCAAAGTTGACAGAGGTAGATTACTCTGAGGCAATAATATGCTCTCTGTATTAGACTTACTAAGAGACTATCATGGTACCTTCCCAAGGGGTTTTCAAAAGAAATGGAAAATGTGCCATTTTTTTCTCATCTATCTTCAACGTAAAAATTGTATAGTTCTGCCAAGACAGTTGATTTTTAAAAGTATGTTTACATGAGAAAATGTACAGGATAACTTTTAGCTTCTGGGGATGGAAGAAAGAGCATCAAAGACTTGCCGTATTTCAAACTTTTGAAACCTTAAGCAACCATGAGCAGCAATAACTTCTGTGTTTATATGTCTACGCCTGGCTAGACAACTGAATTTATGTTAGAACTTGGAAACAGGGTCCTGGAATTTTTTCAGTTATGTGTCCTGTTTTACTGGACACTAGCCATGCCCATTCCTTTACATATAATTATGACTGCTTTTGCACTGAACAGTTCCAACAGGGACCTTGTGGTGCACAAAGTCAAGCTATTTACAATCTGGCCTTTCACACAAAAGGTCTGCCCACCCACTGGTTAAAGTATTTCTTGGTTCCTTAAAAAAAAATTCCTGAAAGTTGCTCCTGTTTCAGAAATAACTGCTTAATTTATTCTCCAAAGATTCCTCTCTGTTCCTATTGAATATGCCCAATTACCTACTTAAGGATTCCACTTGTTGCCTTTTATTTTATTCTTCCATTTTTCCATATTAGGCTTGTACAATCCGCTAATTATAACTTTCCTCACTAATTCTAGTCTTACTTTTCTCCTCTTATTCTTCCTATTAACCTTTCAATGGAATTTCAATGAACATTCAATGGAACCTGTTCTAGCCATTTGTTTTCACAGTGGCCACTGAGATCACAGAATTTGAAAACCAGATGGAGCCTCAGCAATTGTCTGTTCCAGCTCCCTTCTTACAGCTGAAGTCAGCAGGCCTGGGTCCTGTGTGTCTCTATACTACTTGCCAATCATGACCTTATGGAAGACCTCCACAGATTTGAGTTCCCTCATCTGAATAAGAGAGATTTTAATGTTATCAACTTTAATATACTTTGATTCCATGGGGATCCCAAGAGATTTAAAGGCCTTTTCAAAATTAGTTAGTGGTAAGCCCAAACAGATTAGAAGTCACAAGATCCAAGCACTGCAGATTTTCTACCAACTTGGTAGTTCTCAAAATGCTGTTCAATCTTCTATGACTGTCAGATTGATTCGGTTTTTTAACAGTTATGTCCCTTGGCTAGTCAAATTGTGTGTGTCTTCCTGTTTATTCTTACTCTCATTCTTTTAGTTCTGATACCCAAATCATAGTTTTCATTTCTCATTCCTGTTCCATTTTCTTATTTCCAGCTTCTTACAGAATACCTCCAAGTCCCCTTCTTTAAGACTGTCATTTTCTCTATAAAATTAGCCTCACCACCAATGTTCTAAACAAACATTGGCTCCTCTATTGCCAAATTACCTACCCTTTATTTTATTTACTTTATTGCATGTATAGAGAGACCTTTGTTTAGTTTATGTGAATTACATGAGTTCTTAATTTCAGAAATTATGTTCCATAAACTTTTTGTTTTTTAGAGACAGGGTCTCACTCTGTTGCCCAGAATGGAGTGCAGTGGTGCAATCACAGCTGACTGTAACCTCAAACTCCTGGGTTCAAGTGATCCTATCGCCTCAGCCTCCTGAAGTAACTGGGACTACAGGTGGACACGACCATGCCTGGCTAAATTTTTTGGGGGTGTGTAGAGATAGGGTCTCACTATGTTGCCTCCACTGGTCTTGAACTCCTGGCCTAGAGTGATGCTCCTGCCTTGGCCTCCCAAAGTACTGGAATTACAGGTGTGAGCCACTGTGCCAGCCACATTTAAAAACTGTAAATTAAACGTGACATATAAATGGAAAGAGCACTGTATGCTGAGTCCAAACCTGGGTTCAAGTTCTCGCTCTTAAGGGGCATTTTACTAGACCTTTCTGAGACTTACCTTACTTCACATGGTTAACACCTACTTCACAGACAAATATAATGAAGGGTCTGAAAAACTTATAATGTACTAAGTACAAACAATAGCCTTCTACCAGATAAAGGGAGTGTATCTTAGATTACATGTTTGCTTCAGCTTAAATACTTTATCAGACAGCAGTTTGGAGCTGCTTGACCGATAAAATTCCTTTTATCACTTTACTGATATATAATTCATATATCATAAATTCACTCTTTAAAGTGTATGATTCAATGGTTTTTAGTATGTACACAGTTGTAACCATCACTGGTTACAGATGGTGCCAGGACAGCTGGTTAACCACATGCAAAATAATGAATTTGGACCCCTACCTCACAACATCTACAAAAATTAAGTTTAAAGAACCATAGGTCTAAGTATAAGAGCTTAAACTCTAAACCTCTTTGAAGAAAACACAGGAATAAATCTTCATGACCTGAGTTAGGCAACAGCTTACTGAATATGATGTCAAAAGTATAAGCAACAAAAGAGAAAACACATACATTGGACCCCATCAAAATTTTATAACATTTTCACCACCCTAAAAAGAAACTCCGCATTCTTTAGCCATCATCTCTCAATCCCCTAGCCTCATCAACCACTAATATAACTCTCTATTCACCTATTCTGAATACTTCTTATAAATGGAATCACATAATATATGTTCTTTTATGACTGGCATCTTTCAGTTAGCATAATGTTTTCAAGGTTCATCAATGTTGTGGCATGTATCAGTACTTCATTTCTTTTTATTGCTAAATAATATTCCATTCTATGTATATATCATGTTTATTCATTATTCATCAGCTAATATAGCCAGATCTATTATGAATAATGGTGCCATTAACACTCATGTGTAACTTATTATGTAGACATTTGCTTTCATTTCTCTTGGGTGTATACCTATGAGAGGAATTGCTATGTCCCATAATAATTCTATGAGGAATTCTCAAACTGTTTTCTACAGCAGCTGCACCATTTTACAGTCCTATCAGCAATGTACAAAGGTTTTAATTTCTCCACATCCTTGCCAACCTTTATTGTCTTTCTGAGTACAGCCATCCTAGTGGGTGTGAAGGGGTATTTCACTATACTTTTTGATATACATTTCCTTGAAGGCTAATGATACTGAACATCTTTTCATGCATTTATTGCACATTCATACATCTTCTTTGAGGAAGTATCTATTCAAATCATTTGCTATTTTTCAACTGATTTGTCTTTTTATTGTTCAGTTATAAAAGTTCTTTATATATTCTAGAAACAAATCCCTTATCAGATGTATGATTTGCAAGTATCTTTTCCCATTCTGTGGAATATCTTCTCACTTTCTTGATGGTGTCCTTTGAAGCACAAAAGTTTCTAATTTTGATGGGGTCCAATGTATCTGTTTTCCCTTTTGTTGCTTATACTTTTGACATCATATCCAATAAACCATTGCCTAACCCAGGTCACGAATAATTATCCCTGTGTTTTCTTCAAAGAGGTTTAGAGTTTAAGCTCTTATACTTACACCTATGGTTCATTTAAACTTAATTTTTGTAAATCTTGTGAGGTAGGGGTCCAAATTCATTATTTTGCATGTGGTTAACCAGCTGTCCTGGGTCTGTTAATGACTGTTCTTCCCTCCAGTGCATTGCCTTGGCACCCCATCCCAAGTTTACCTCTTATGCAATCACCTCCCTAGTTTAAACACTCACTGGCTCACCCTTAAAATTACCTGACTAGTTTCCTTGCTTTCTATACTCATCTTTTAATACTTTAGTATACAAATATTTAATCTTTTACATAATTCTATTTTAGAAAATGAAAAAGCAGAGTAACGACGAGCAACTCATTCCTGAGGAATTCACTTCATTTCCCAAAGAATTAGAAAAATGTATGCATTTTCTAAGGGCGAGTATCTGAAAACTAAAAAGGTGTGGGTGTGTTACAGCAGCAGGAGAGGTGAACACATGTGGTTACCATCTGAAGCTACACACCTACACTAATACGATAAGCATCAGACTTGTGACTATTAAGCACTTCAAAAATGGCTAGTGTTACCTGAAAGGTGCTGACATTGAAAAGTGAACAATTTTGTAAGATCAACTCATCAATTTTTAAACTTATCACATGTTGAAATATATTTTGTGCATACTAAATAAGACCTATTATAAAGTTAGTTTCACCTGTTTTTCTTTTTTTTTACAGTTTTTAATAAGAAGACTAAAAAATTTAAATTTACATATGTGGTTTATATTATACTGCTACTGGGCGGTGCTGTTGTAGACCTCCCAAGAGTGACTTTATTCGACATGGTTAGTGTCCTAGGGAATTAAGTTTTTTGGGGCAGAACTAGGTACCAAGCACTAAGGAGATAGAAAACGGACTTAAGATTTCCAACCCTTGTGAAAGTTATAATGTAGTAGGAGATGGGGTAAACAACTATCTGATGTACATATTCAACTGTCACTGAGGACCAGTAGAGAGATCAGAATCCATGAGGAGGCAAATTCTGCCTGTTTTTTTCTGATATAATTCCAGGGCCCACAAGAGTACAACAGTGCTTGGCATACAGTAGAACACTAAAAAATTACTTAGTCTTTAAGAATGAATAGGGTTTCAATGGTTTCTAGAAATATAAGATGAAGAAAATATCTTCTGGAAATACAAATGAAAGAATGAAGCATATATTATTCTAGACAGTAAATAGCAGAAAATGTTAGGTTCTCATCAATTAAATGGCTTTTTTATAACATTACCTCCAACTTTCATAAAATTGACTGTCAGATGTCAAAGAATATGGATTTGTCTTTATTTGGCAATACAGAGTATCTATACTCCAGGTTATTGCCAAAAGAATACAGTTTCAAATTATCCCCTTCACTTACTACCACTGCCAAAAGCCCACTTGCTCACCTCAGAGAGAACAAGCTTTCTGATTCCTCTGTGTTTCTTAAAAGTGGGATGCCAGAGGCCATAGCCCTCCATTTCAAACTGAAGCCTATTTAAAATACGTGTTAGGGATCCCAGCCCAGACAAACTGAGTAAGAATCTCTGATGGGCAGGGACTGTGCAGTTGATCCCTCTTTACAATAAAACCTGGAGAGCCACTGCTCTAATCAGCAGTCAGCACACTATGGCCCACAGTTGGAATACAGCCACATTCGTTTGCCTGTTGTCTATGGTTGCTTCTACAATACGGCTGCAGGGTTGAGTAGTTTTGACAGAGATTTATGGTCTGCAAAGCCTAAAATACTTATTTACTATCTGGCTCTTTATATAAATACTTTGCTGATCCTGCTCTAGATAGTCTAAATTTTATTCGGCATCATCTTAGAACACCAAACAACTAAGACAGTTGAAAGTACCATTCTGTAGCCTCAGAGAATGAAGTCAATTAAGTTATGCTTTGGCATAACTCAGCTCCCACTGGCAAGACTTTTTCATTGTCCAAAGATTTTAAAAATGTTTTTATTTTTAATTATTATAGTAAACAGTAGTTGTATATATTTATGGGATCCACATCAATACATTTTGATACAAGTATAATGTGTAACGATTAAATCAGGGTAACTGGGATATTCATAACCTCAAGTATTTATCATTTCTTTGCTGTTACGAACATTTCAATTCCACTCTTCTAGTTACTGTGAAATACACAATAAATTAACGATAGTTGCCCTATTGTGCTACTAAACACTGTATCTTACTCCTTCTAACCATATTTTTGCACCCATTAACCAAGTCTTCCATCCCTACTTCCCTACCACCCTTCCCGGTCTCTGGTAACCATCATTCTACTCTCTGTCTCCGTGAGTTCATTTTTCTTTTTTTTTTTTTTTTTAGTTCCCACGAGTGAGAAAATGTGGTATTCGTCTTTCTGTGCCTGGCTTATTTCATTTAACGTAATGTCCTCCAGTCTCATTTATGTTGTTGCAAATGACAGGATTTCATTATTTTTTATGGTTGACTAATATTCCATGGAACATATTTACATTTTCTTTATCCCTTCATCAACTGATGTACACTTATGTTGATACTATAACTTGGCTATCACGAATAATGCTGCAATAAACATGGGAGTGCAGTTATCCCTTTGATATACTCGTTTCCTTTTTTTTTGGACGGAGTCTCACTCTGTCACCAGGCTGGAGTGCAATGGCGCGATTTCGGCTCACTGCAATCTCTGCCTCCCGGGTTGAAGCAATTCCCCTGCCTCAGCCTCCTGAGTATCTGGGACTACAGGTGCACACCACCACATTTGGCTAATTTTTTGTATTTTAGTAGAGACGGGGTTTCTCCATTTTGGTCAGGCTGATCTTGAATTCCTGACCTCAGGTGATCCGCTCACCTTGCCCTCCCAAAGTGCTGGGATTACAGGCATGAGCCACCGCACCCAGGCCTTTCTTTGGGATATATACTCAGCAGTGGAAATGCTGGATCATATGGTTGCTCTATTTTCAGTTTTTGAGGAGCCTCCATAATATTCTTTTTTTTTTTTTTTTTTTTTTTTGAGACAGAGTCTGGCACTGTTGCCCAGGTTGGAGTGCAGTGCAGCAATCTAGGCTCACTCCAAGCTCCACCCCCCAGGTTCACGCCATTCTCCTGCCTCAGCCTCGCGAGTAGCTGGGACTACAGGCGCCCACCACCACGCTCGGCTGGTTTCACCGTGTTAGCCAGGATGGTCTCGATGTCCTGACTTCATGACCCACCCACCTCGGCCTCCCAAAGTGCTGGGATTACAGGCGTGAGCCACCATGCCCGGCCTCCATGCTATTCTTCATAGTGACTGTACTGGTTTACATTCCTATCAACAACGTATAAGAGTTCTCTTTTTTCTGCCTGCTCACTAGCATTTGTTATTGCCTGTCTTTTTGATAAAAGCCATTTTAACTGGGATGAAATATTTCATTATACTTTCGATTAGTATTTATCTGATTAGTGATGTTGACCATTTTTTCATATACCTGTTGACCATTTACCCATATGTCTTCCTGAGAAACATCTATTCAGCTCTTGTGCTTCAGATCTTTTGCCCATTTTTAAATTGGATTTCTTTTTCCTATCGAGTTGTTTCAGCTCCTTACATATTCTGGTTATTATCTCATCAGTTGGGTAGTCTGCAAATATTTTCTTCATTCTGTGGGTTGTTTCTTCATTTTGTTGACTGTTTGTTGTGCAGCAGCTTTGAGCTTGATGTGATCCCACTGTCCATTTTGTTGTGGTTGCCTGTTCTTTGGAGGTCACACTCAAGAAACCTTAGCCCAGACCAATGACCTTTAGTGTTTCCCAATGTTTTCTTCTAGTAGTCTCATAACTTCAGGTGCTTAATCCATTTTGATTTGTTTTAGTATACGGCAAGAAATAGGGGTCCAGTTTCATTCTTCTGCATGTGGATGTCCAGTCTTCCCAGCACCATTTATTGCAGACTGTCCTTTCCCCAATGTTCTTAGTGGCTTTGTTGAAAATGAGTTGGAGGTAAATGTGTGGATTTTTTTCTGGGCTCTCTATTCTGTTCCACTGGTCTGTGTCTGTTTTTATGCCAGCACCATGCTATAGCTCTGGAGTATAATTTGAAGTCACATAATGTATGTAATGTGATTCCTTCAGTTTTGTTCTTTTTGCCCAGGATTGCTTTGCCTACTCTGGGTCTTTGTGGTTCCACAAAAATTTTAGGATTGTTTTTCCAACCCTAAAACATAATTCTGTGAAGAATGTCATTGGTGTTTTGACAAGGGTTGCAATGAATCTGTAAATTCCTTTGGGTAGTGTGGACATTTTAACAACACTGATTCCAACAATACTGAATCCATGACCATGGAGTATCTTTCCACTTTTTGGTGCCGTCTTCAATATCTTTCATCAGTGTTTTATAGTTTTCATTGTAGAAATCTTTCACTTCTTTGGTTAAGTTTATTCCTAGGTATTTTATTTTATTTTATTTGTAGCTATTGGAAATAAGATTATTTTCTTGGTTTATTTTCTAGATTGTTTGCTCTTGGCATACAGAAATGCTGCTGATTTTTATATGCTGACTTTGCATCCTGCAATTTTACTAAACCTCAGTTCTAACAGTTTTCTGGTAGAGTCCTTAGGTTTTTCTAAATTTAAGATACTATTGTCTGCAAACAAGGGTAATCTAAATTTTTCCTTCCAATTTGGATGCCTTTTCTTTTCTTCTCCTGTTTAATTGCTCTGGCTAGGACTTCCAGTACCACGTTGAAGAAAGGTGGTGAAAGTGGGCTTCCTTGCCTTCTTCCAGATCTTACAGGAAAGGCTTTTAGATTCCCCCCTCATGATACTAGCTGTGGGTTTATCTGTCTGTGGCTTTTATTGTGTTGAGGCATGTTCCTTCTACATCCAGTTGAGTTTTTATCATGAAGGGATGCTGAATTTTACTGAATACTTTTTTGGCATCTATAGAAATGGACATATGGTTATGTCCTTCATTCTTTTGATGTGATGTATCGCATTTACAGATCTGAATATGTATTAGGTGGTTCTCACATTGCTATAAAGAAATACCTGAGACTGGGCAATTTATATAAAAAAAGAGTTCATTGGCTCACTATTCTGCAGGCTGTACAGCAAGCATGACAGCATCTGCTTGGCTTCTGGTGAGGCCTCAGGAAATGCATAATCAGGGCAGAAGGCAACAGGGGAACACACATGGCCAGAGTAGGAGAGAGACAGAGAGCAGGGAGGTTTAAACAATCAGATCTCATGAGAACTCACTAACTATATAGTAGCAAGGGGAGATGGGGCTAAACCATTCATGAGAACTCCACTCCTATGATCCAATCACGTTCCACCAGGCCCCTCCTCCAACACTGGGGATTACAATTAAATGTAAGATTTGGGCAGGGACACAAACACAAACCATATCAGAGTATGTTGAACCATCCTTGCATCCCTGGGATGAATCCCACTTGATTACAATGAATGATCTTTTAAATATGTAGTTGAATTTGGTTTAAGGATTTTGCATCTCTGTTCAAAGATACTGGCCTGTAGTTTTCTTTTTTTGTTGCGTCTTTGTCTGGTTTTGGTACCAGGGAAATACTGGCCCTTTGGAATGAATTTGGAAGTATTCTCTTCTTAGCTTTTGTGATATAATTCTTCTTTAAATGTTTGGTAGAGTTCAGCAGTGAAGCCATCAGGTCCTGGGCTTTTCTTTGATGATTTTCTTTTTTTCTTTTCTTTTATTACTGCTTGCTCTGAAAATATTTCTTTTTTAATTCAAAAAACCAAAAACAAACAAAAAACAACCAAAAAACCATTCCTGGAGGGATGGCTGGTGAGGACTTTGATTTTGTCATAGTCTCTCTGTGATGAGGCTCAGAGGAAACCCAGCTGTTTTCCTAGTACAACAGTTAGCATATTCAACAACTGAAGAATTGTGAGTTATATACCTCTCTTATCTCAATGTATCTTCTGATGACATTTTCTGGGCTGCCCTCTCATGGCAAAAAAATAACTGAGGCACAGAAAGAAGCCAGGTACAAAATGGAACCTACATTAATCATCTAAAACGGCATTATCATAACAGACTTGCCTGAGCCATTACTTACCACAATGAATTGGTATGACACTTCTAACAAGGTCAGAAAAATCAGATTCTGTTTTCTTAATATTGAGGATCTTTCCCACTTTCCCTGAGCTAATGAGACACAGGTCTGTGGCAAATACATTTAGTATTTTCCTACACATGAATTCCTAACAAAACCAAGCAAGAGCATACAAAGGGAAACATACTTTAGCTAATTTAAAGGTGTCTTATGTTATTTTGCTTATTGAAAAAACTGAAAAGGTAGTAAGGAAAAGATGTAATGTGGTAATAGCAAATTGCATCTGTGGTCTCTAATGAATAATCTCGCTTCCAGTAAAAAAAACTATCAAAAGAGCTTAAACTCAAGGTAAACAAAAGGATGAAAATATTAAAATAAGAGCAGAAATCAATGAAACAGAAAACAGAATAAAGAATGTCACTGAAAACAAAAGTAGGTATTTTGAAAAGATCAATAAAATTGTCAAACCTCTAGCCAGACTGACCAAGAAATAAGACACAAATTACCAATATAAATAATGAAACAAAACAAAACAGCATTATAGAACCATCCAAAATTAAAAATAAGGGAATATTATGAACAATGTTATACTCATAATTTTAACAACTTACATGATAAAGACAAATATTTTGAAAGACACAAACTACCAGTCAGGCATGGTGGCTCACGCCTGTAATCCCAGCACTTTGGGAGGCTGAGGTGGGAGGATTGCCTGAGGTCAGGAGTTCAAGACCAGCCCAGCCAACCTGGTGAAACACCGGCTCTACTAAAAACACAAAAACTAGCCAGGCTGGTGGTGCATGCTTACAGTCCCAGCTACTCGAGAGGCTGAGGCAGGAGAATCGCTTCAACCGCAGAGGTTGCAGTGAGCCATGATGGTACCACTGCACTCCAGCTTGGGTGATACAGCAAGACTCTGTCTCAAAAAAAAAAAAAAAGACTACCAAAAAACAAAACAAAACAAAACAAACTGTAACAAGGAAAAAATACATAACCTGAATATTCCTATATAAAATTAAAGAAACTGAATTTGTAATGAAAACCCTTCCCACAAAGAAAACTCTAGCACCAGGTAACTCTACTAGTGAATTCTAACAAATATTTAAGAAAAAAATAAAATCAATTGTACATGAACTCTACCAGAAACCACAAAAGGAAGGAACACGTCCCAACTCCTTGTTTTGAGGTACAGCTTTTCCATGATACCAAAACCAGATATAAACAATGTTAAAAAAAAGTACTGACCAATAAAACAAGAATCTTCACAAAACATCAGCAAATCAATCCAGCAACATCTGGAATGGATAACATGTAAACAATCAAGTAGAATTTATCTGAGGAATGCAAGGCTGTTCAACAAACAACAAGAAATCCACCATATCAACAGATTAAGAAGAAAACCCATATAATCCCAGTCATACACACACAAAAAAAAGCACTGACAAAAATTCAACTTTCATTCATGATTAAAAACAACCACCTCTCAGTAAACTAAGATAAAAGGGAACTTCCTCAATCTAACAAATGGCAAAATAGAAATACAAGGGAACTTCCTTAACCTGATAAAAGGCATCAACCAAAAAAAAAACCACTTACTGGTGAAAGACAGCTTTTACCCAGTATTAAGAGTAAGGTAAGTATGCCTGCTCACCATTCCTAATTAACAACATCCTGAAAGTCCAAACTAGTGCAATAAGGCAAGAAAAAGAAATAAAGAGCATTCAAAAGGAGGGAAAAAAACTGCCTCTATACACAGATGACATGACTGCCTACACATAGGAAAACACCCAGGAATCTAAACAAGAAAGTTCCTACAACTAGTAATTTTAAGACTGCAAGGTTGCTATAAAAAAAAAAACAAAAAAAAACCTGCATTTCTACACAGTAACAAGGAACAATCAAATATTGAAATAAAAAAAAAAAACTATTTACAATAGCACCAAGAAACATGAGATATTTAACTATAAACCTAACAAAAATGTGTGCAGGATCTATTTGCCAAAAACTACAATACATTAAAGAAATAAAACAATGAGGAGATAACATTATATTCATAGTTTGGAATATTCAATATTGTTAAAATGTTAATTATCCCCAATGATTTGTAGATTCAAATGCAATCCCAATAAAATCCCAGCAGTTTTATTTTCTTTGAGGGAAGGAAGATAAAAGTTGACAAAATTATTCTAAAATTTATACAGAAAGGCAAAGGAGCTAGAATAGCCAAAATAATTTTAAAAAGTATTTGGAGGATTTGCCCTACCTGATTTCCACGTTTAATATAAAGCTACAGTAATCGATGCATAAGTAACTGGTAAAAAGGCAGACACACAGATCAACAGACCAGACAAGGGAGTCCAGAAATATATGGTCAATTGATTTTTGACAAAGCGAGAAAGGCAATTAAACGGACAAAGTATAATCTTTCAAACAAAATGCTTCTTCAAAATAAACACTGGACATCTGTATGAAAAAAAAAAATCTCTCTGCCCGTATCTCATGGCACAAACAGAATTTAACTGAAATAAAACTTTTAAAGGAAAACAGAGGAAAAATTATTCTTGATTTTGGGTTTGGCAAAGATTTCTGAGATACAAAACCAAAAACATGATTGATAAAGGCAAAAATTAACAAACTGGACTTTATCAAAAATTTTTCTTTCTTTCCTTTTGAGACAGAGTCTTACTCTGTCTCCCATGCTGGAGTGCAGTGGCACGATGTCAGGGTCATTGCAACCTCTGCCTCCTGGGCTCAAGCGATTCTCCTGCCTCAGCCTCCCGAGTAGCTGGGACTACAGGCACATGCCAACACTCCCAGCTAATTTTTGTATTTTTAGTAGAGACAGGCTTTCACCATGTTGGCCAGGCTGGTCTCAAATTCCTGGCCTCAAGTAATTTGTCTGCCTTGGCCTACCAAAGTGTTGGGTTTACAGGCTTGAGCCACTACACCTGGCCAGAGCTTTATCAAAACTTAAAGCATGTACTGCAAAAGACACTGTCATTAAGAGAAAGAAAAGGCAAATCACAGAATGGGAAAAAAATACTTACAAAATAATACCTGATAAAGAATCTGTATCCTGAATACGTTAAAAAAAAAAAAAAAAAATCTCAAAACTCAGTAACTTCTGTGTACCAAAAAGAATAATCACAGAGTAAAAAGGCAATCCATGGAAAGGAAAAAAATATTTGCAAATCATATATTTAACAACTGGTTAATATCCAAAATATATAAAGACTACTGCAACTCAACAACTAAAAAACAAGCAACATAGAGCTTAAAAATGGGCAACAGTCTTGAATACGTGAAGTCTATGTTGTATTTTGCCGCAATTTTATAAAATCTCAATAATAAGAAAAACCCAATTAAAAATGGGCAAAAGGTTTGAATACATTTTACCAAAGATATATGGACAACAAATGAGCACATCAAGAGATCATTAATCTTCAGAGATAAGCAAACTAAAACCACGTGTGATACCGCTAGATACCCACTGAATGGCAATTGGTCTTGCTCTGTTGCCCAGGATGGAATGCAATGGCGTGATCTCGGCTCATTGCAACCTCCATCTACTGGGTTCAAGTGATTCTCCTGCCTCAGCCTCCAAGTAGCTGGGACTACAGGCGCCTGCCACCACGTCCAGCTAATTTTTGTATTTTTAGTAGACGGGGTTTCACCACGTTGGCCAGGCTGGTCTCAAACTCCTGGCCTCGGGTAATCCACCAGCCTCTCCCTCCCAAAGTGCTGGGATTACAGGTGTGAGCCACTGTGCCCAGCGTTTTTTTTTTTTTCTTTTCTTTCTAAATCTGACAATACGGATTGAGTATCCTTTACCTGAAATGCTTGGGACCAGAAATGTTTCAGATTTCAAATGTTTTGGATTTGGGAATATTTGCGTTATACTTACCAGTTCGGCACCCATAATCTGAAAATCCAAAATTCAGAATGTTCCAATGAGCATTTCCTTTAAACATGACGTCATCACTCGAAAAGTTTTGAATTTTGCATTTTAGATTTCAGATCTGGGATGCTCAACCCATATCAAGTGCTGATGAGGATACGCAACAACGGGAGCTCTTATACACTGCCAGTGGTGGTGTTAGATGGTACAGAGAATTTGACCATTTCTTTAAAACTTAAATAATTACCATGGGACCCACAGCAAGTCTTTTCCTAAGTATTTACCCAAAAGAAATAAAAAGTTATGTTCATACAAAAACCTGTACACTAGAGGTTTGTTCATAATCAATGGAAACTGCAAAACACAAATATACCACAACTGGAGAACGAACACACAATTATACATTCATACAATGAAATGCTACTATGCAATAAGAGAAACTACTGATAGAGTAACATCATGGAGAAATCCCAAATGCATTAGGCTAAGTGTAAGAAGTCAGCCTCAAAAGGCTACATGTTGTATGAGTCCATTTACATGACATTCTAGAAAAGGCAAGAATGTACAAAAAGAAACCATATCATTGGTTAAGTGGACGTGAGGGGACCGGGATGATTAAAAATAGGTGTTAAGAGAAAGTTTTTGTATTGAAGTTGTCTTGTATTTTAATTGTGGTGGTTACATGACTGTATATGCTTGTCAAAACTCAGAACTGTAAGGGTCAATTTCACTGTATGTAAATTATACCAATAAAAACAATAAAAGTCTTAATAAAAATAAATGTAATATGATAAAAAAAATACCAAATCATTGACATCGCCACTAGTCATAAGGTAAGAAGTTATTTTATATGTTTAATCATATGTATCTGATTTAAATATGCTACCTATCAATACATTTCAAACAAAGGAAGGCCATGTTGCAGGTTTATGAAAGTTAAGGTTAGTATTAGATAATGATTTCCTTCACCATTTAATAATGAAACATTAAAAAGTTGACTATATCTTATCAGAAAAAAAAATTTTTTTTTTTTTTTGAGAGGGAGTCTCGCCTCTGTCACCCAGGCTGGAGTGCAGTGGCATGATCTCGGCTCACTGCAAGCTCTGCCTCCTGGGTTCACGCCATTCTCCCGCCTCAGCCTCCCGAGTAGCTGGGACTACAGGCACCCGCCACCACGCCTGGCTAATTTTTTTGTATTTTTAGTACAGACAGGGTTTCACCATGTTATCCAGGATGGTCTCAATCTCCTGACCTCGTGATCTGCCTGCCTCAGCCTCCCAAAGTGCTGGGATTACAGGCGTGAGCCACCACACCCAGCCAAAAACAACTATTTTTTAATAATTAATTTACCCATTATCTACTATGTGCAGATCCAAACATTCGTGAGATAATCAGGGGCAGAGTCCAGCAACATGATTCTTTCCCCTTTCCATCTTCCTAATAATGGATATAGCTGGTAGAAATAGTAAGTGTAAAGTGCAAGGCCAGTATTTAAATATTCTCTCTTTCCATACATTCTCTAAGAAAGGGAGTAATCAGTAGATTCAGCTCTCTTGAAAGAGAGGAAAGAGAATTTTGAGAGACACTTAACTTTACAAATTGGTAAAGCATGAACTGGTGTCAACTTGTTCCATTTTAAACTTGTGAAAACCAAGGTTTTCGAAGGTGACTGAATCACTTCCCCATTTCTAAAGCAAGAGAAAGGCAGAACCAGAATTCAAATTGATAGCAGTCTCACTTCGGACAAAGTTCTTAGTCCCACCAAGTAAGAACTCATCTCTTACTACTACTCATCTCTCTTCTCGCATCTGCAATTGTTTAAGCAACAGCTTGGGTCAACATGTTTGAAATCAATTAAGTATCTTTTAGGATTTTATTATGCATACAACCTGGTTTAATTTCAAACTTCACTCCCACAATGGATGCATATATACTCAGAAAGGTTGAAGCAGTTTATAATAATTTATACTAATGTACAGAGTCTTTTATCTGATCACTCAAAATTTTAAAAGCAAATCACTTTTTAAGTCAGGAATAAAAACAGCAAATACTCAAAAGGATATATGAAAAAGTAATCATGCTCACTTTTGACCTTAATAAAAAATTATTGTAACTCTAATTTTAAACAAAAGAATATAGAAAAAGTTTCCTCCTCCCTCTGGCTTCCTGACATCTGGCTTTCCTCTATTGTTTTCAAAGCTGCCAGTATCCTGAGTTATACACAGATTACTTACTGCAACACAAACTTACCCTGTGAAGCGTCACTGTATGTTGTTCCCATATAGCTGTTTCCTCCATTGCTGTGCTCTGATAAAGGAAAAGAAAAACAAATCATTTACCTTTTAAGAAAATGTCCTTAATAAGGTGAGCAAGAACATCCAACAATTCAGCACACTGAAATACCAAAATTCACAGTTAATATTAGAGACACTCTGAAAGGACCTTAATAATTATGGAAAGTTTTTTGTTTGCTTTTAAGAGACAGGAAACGACACACAGGAACTTCCTTTGTTTTTAACTTAATTTGGACAGCTGCTCTATATTCATTTCATGCAAGCTGAAATCAGTATTCAAGCTAATTCTGCAACTTTATACTTAGAAAAGAATAAAAGTTGGAGCGGTATTATCTTAAAATATCTAATGGCACGTAAACATTTAAAAGCATCTCTTATGTTTTACAAACGAAGGGAAAGTTAAATGCCTCTGAACACAGTAATTATAAATATACATGTCACAGGAAAACAGATAAAACCATTAATAGGTTTGGCAAATGGCTGCTTTAACGTCACAAACATGACTACTCTACCTAGTTTCAGTTTTGCTACAGAATTACTTCTCAAGCTTCATTTATAACCAAAAGAAAAAGAACAGCTTTTCTAGTATATGTATCACACACGTAGATACACACAAGAAACAAAAACAAAAAAGAACAATCTCCCAAACTCCCCCAAGAATCATCATAAAATAAAAGCAGTAAGAGCTCCAATACAGGTCCTGCCCAAATTATAGCGTACTTCAGTTTTACCTCCTGTCATGAGCCTCTCAATAGAGAGGAAAATAAATTATTATTTTTTTTTTTTTTTGAGACGGAGTCTTGCTCTGTCGCCCAGGCTGGAGTGCAGTGGCGGGATCTCGGCTCACTGCAAGCTCCGCCTCCCGGGTTCACGCCATTCTCCTGCCTCAGCCTCCCAAGTAGCTGGGACTACAGGCGCCCGCCACTACGCCCGGCTAATTTTTTGTATTTTTAGTACAGACGGGGTTTCACCGTTTTAGCCGGGATGGTCTCGATCTCCTGACCTCGTGATCCGCCCACCTCGGCCTCCCAAAGTGCTGGGATTACAGGCGTGAGCCACCGCGCCCGGCCGAAAATAAATTATTATCTAAGGCAGGGGTGTCCAATCTTTTGGCTTCTCTGGGCCACACTTGAAAGAAGAAGAATTGTCTTGGGCCACACATAAAATACACTAACACTAATGAAAGCTGATGAGCTTAAAAAAAAAATTACAAAAAAAAAAATCTCATAATGTTGTAAGAAAATTTACGAATTTGTGTTGGGCCGCATGCGACCTGTGAACCACGGGTTGGACAAGGTTGATCTAAGGAATTAGCAGTAAGGAATTCAAAATAAATTTCTTTTAAATGGGGTTAATTGCTCTTGGAGACTTAAAATATTTCAGTCTCTCTTAATGTTACCATTTTATGAAACTGGGACTCCTAAAATGTATTTACAAGTAAATTTAAAAAAGATTCTTCAGAGTTATCAAAAGGTAAAGTAAAAAGGGAGAAGGCTAAGCATGACACTCTCAGATCACTAGTCACCCATTACTATAAATGCCTATTTCATAAGTGAGGTCTGTTTTCTCTTACTGCTGTCATTAGCATCATGAGAATATGCCTACCAAGGTGCCATGGGCCCATTCTCTCCTTTCCCACAGCGACTTTAATTGAAGATTAATGCCATTTTAGAAAGTAAGTCCCTATAAAGAAAGCCTGCTTCCCTAAATTCAAAGCAACTAGATTATCCTGCCAGATGAATAAGAGAGGAGAGAGAAAGGATCTCTCTGTTCACTCCCATAGATAAGAACTGCCAACCTCACCAGCATTTGTTTCAATCTTCCAATGAAGTGCACCAAAACCTCCCTTTAATGAGACCTCCACTGGAAACAAAGCTGTTTTTTTTTTTTTAAACAAACATTGACCGGGATAATGCACTAAAAAAAAAAATTCTTCCATCAATGAGAAGCAACAATAGTATGAGTAAATCAGCTAAACATCAACAGTCCCACTAACATACACATGATAAAAGTATCTGCAAGAGTTGCCAGTTTGTCCAATCTCAGCTGATATTAAGAATGAGAACTGCTTGCATAGCTCTCAGTTCATCTTTTCTTGATCTATTTCATTAACCAGTGACATTGTTTTACTGCCTTTTTAATCTTTTTCCTATCAGTCCAAATGGCAAGTGATGTGATAACATGCACTTAACTCTCTTTGATAACATACTCTATGGTATGAAACAGTTCATCATCCTCTCTAAGGTCTTAATGAACACAGTTTTCCATTTTGTAAGAAGATGTTAATCAAATGGGAAAATTTATTTAACATTAAGGGGGGAGCAGGTTGTAAAACAGCGTGTACATGGTTATCCTAATTTTGTTTAAACATTAGTAGGGAATAAAGGCTCAAAGGATAAACAAAATGTTAACATTGTTTATCACCTTCAAAGTAAAGGGACTGTGGGTGACATTTTTCTATCAGGTGTTTTATCTTCCTGCTTTCCTTTCTCCATTCCCCATCAGAACAAACTGGCAATGTATTTTAAACTATATTCACAAAATCTCATTCCTATTTGACATTTCGAATACAGACAGTCCCTGACTTAGGATGGGTCAACTTGATTTTCTGACTTTACGATGGTACCCATACAACCATTGTTTTTCATTTCCACTACAGTATTCAAGAAATTATATGAGATATTCAACACTTTATTGTGAAGTAAGCTTTTGTGTTAGATAATTTTGCCCAACTATATACTAATGTAAGTGTTCTGAGCATGGTTAAGGTAGGCTGGGCTAAGCTTATGATACTGGGTAGGTTGGGTGTATTAAATGCATTTTTGACGTAAAGTATTTTCAACTTACGATGAGTTTAATCAGGACATTGTTCTAAGTGAGCTGAGAAGCATCTGTATCTGTTTTTCCACTTGGCTTTTAGGAAAATCAAATAATGCTTAAGAGGATTAATGTTCTTATTGTTAATTATAAAAAATGTTTATTCTCCTGTTAGTAAGCAATCTATACATTAAGGTCTTAATGTACAGTCTCCAGGAGGAGTGCAATAAGAGAAACTTGCTTTGTACAAGGGAGAAGACTAAAATACTAAAACATAATTGCTCTCACCATTCCACATCAAAATCAATATAGTTTTTCTTTGGAGGACTGGAAAAGTCCACATCTCAAAAAACTTCTCTGTTAAACATCAATTATAGCTTGATTTATCTGAAGGAAGACCTATGTAGAAGAAAGTAATTGAGAATGAAACATCAAAAGAAGTGGTTAGGCTCTTGACCAGCCACTAAACCAACTTAATCCATAATATAAGTGAGTTACTATGTTTTACCACTCCTTATCTTTAAAAAAAAAAAACAAAAAACAGAAAAATATATTCCTAGTTTAAATGATGGACCATGTCATCTCTCTCCATTCTCTAGCCTTTCATTTGCTTCTGTGGCAAAAGTAGCAAATTCTATCCATGGTTGTTTATATAACCAGGCAGTACTGATGAGGAGTTCTGAATGAGGAATGGAAGGATGAACAAACACGTAAATATGTAATAATGCAAATACAGTAAAATGATAATGGTAGAATCTTAGTGGTTGGGATTCAGGTAACCATGGCAGACTGCTTTCAATCTTGTTACGTGTTTGAAAGTGATCATAATAAAATGCTGAGGAAAAACTAAGAAATCCTTCTAGTAAATCACTCAGAAATCAAAGCTAAAATTGATATGAGACATTTTTAGTACCAGTAAATTTATTAACCACTATTTTAATGAGCATTCCATAAAGAAAAAATGTTCACTAATGACTGAGAATTTTGATGCATTAGAAAAGCAAGGGGTGTGGAGGTTCCTTTGGAAGAATACCTAAGAAACGCATGGCTTCTGGAGTGGAGAAAGGAAAACCAGGTAGGAGGAGTCTCACTTTTCACTGGGAGCCCTTTGTACTTTTAATTACATTCATCTATTACTTATCAAATTATTTTTAAAACTTAATATCCTTATTGTAAACTTGCTTGTCATTTTCTCATTTCAAACATGCACAAGGGATAACTGCATAACTTGCACAAAAAGCTTCTGGTAAATTACCAGTCTCAGGTTCAAGACATTTAGGCTTGTAGGAGACCAAGGGGAAAATGTATTACTCCTCTAAGCATGATTCTAGCACTACCATTCCCTAGTAACTCAGACAGATGCTGGTGAACAGGAAATGAACTAGACCAGGCATAAGGAGACCAGAGCCGAAAGGTATCATCAACTAGAAACGTGATCTTAATTTTCCTCACCTACACAATTAGGGAAATGGGTGAAATTATCTCAAATGAAAAGACTTTTCTAGCTCCAAAATTCTATCAGACTATAATTCCAATGAACAGGCTACAAATTCAATAATTAGTGAAGCACTGCAGGCATCAAAAGTGACTGCAATTCATGGTTGCTGGATTCTGAGTTCTGCGCACATTTCTAAGTCAGCATCAACTGACTAGAATCACAATTTCTGAAGAAGCAAAAAGCTGTATTTCACAATCTGCCAAGAGTTTGTTTAGTTTCTTTGTTCTAAGCTCCAGCTGGCAAAGACACTACTCAGATCACCAACTCTGAAGGGCTTCCTGCCAAAACTTCAGATCCCAGTTCTAGGCAGTTTCACTGTCCTTCAGGACTGATTACTGAATGGGGAAAGATAGGAGGGCACAATAACTGAAAAGACAGGATGAGCCTATAACTGGGAGAAGAACAAATCCAAAAGAGAAGATATAAAGTATACTCCAAATGAAGAACTCCTTAACATTATCTAAATACACAGCCAGTTAAATTTTACTAACCTTATGGCTGTAATTTCAAAACCAATCCATGTATCATTCATTCATTCATTCATTCAACAAACATGTATCAGACATGGTAAGTGTTGGGGAGGCCAAAAAAAGGTCCCTCTCCCTCCCTAGGGGCTCAAAGAAGCAGCTGAGAACACTAAATGGTATTTAGGTTGGTGCAAAAATAACTGCAGCTTTTGCCATTAAAATGGCATCAAAAGATATGAGCTTTTTGCACCAAAATAAATAACTTTTGCACCACATAGATAAGAGCTGTTATGGAAGATGCAAAAGGACTGTGTCTGCTGTGAAGATCAGAGATCTGTTCCCTGAGACAGCAACGTTTTGAGTTCATCAAGCTTGAAGGATGTCCAGGAAAAAAGTGGAGAAAGATGTTTCAGAAGAAACAGCATGTCAGCAAGATTGTGTGATGCTACACATGACGCTGGCTTTGATATGACTAAGTTGTACAATTTATGGAACAAGGAGAGAGTAAAAGGAGAGAAGGTGCAAGGGTACCAGATCACAACAGGCTTTATAATATAATGCCAAGGACTTTAAACTCAAATGGAAGACACTAAAGAATTTTCGACGATCAAATGATATAAGAATTCATCCTGAAGGCTGTAATGGGAAAATGATTTGAGAAAGGGAAACCAGTTAGAAAGTTAGTGAGAAGTGTGGGTGGAGTTCAAAATGGCTCTTGAGTAGTCAACCAAGTAGCAGTGCTGAAGTCAAAAGGAAAAGATGTAATTACCCAAGGACTAAGATAACCCTGTGGACAACCAAAGGAATTTGAGAAGAAGCAGACAATGAGGATACATGAAAACCAATGGAGCTAATACAAAACACTACTTACTGTCCAGAGAATACACCAAAGCTTAAGATCCCTCAATTTTTTAGATCAATACACCTCATTTATCTGACATCATAAAATAATAAAATTTCCACAAATCTTCAAGGAACACCCTTTCTTGATGACATGCAGTTCCCCATTAGGAAAACCAATAGTAAAGGTATTAAGAACACTCTGTGAACCCTCCAAGTTCCTTCTGTGAGCAAAGCTGCTACACTGAACGGCTTCTCATTCCTTCTGAACTCCAAAGTGTTTCTGTTTTGGTCTTTTTGGCTTTTTTCCATCCAAATTGAAAGCAAGATCATCTATGGAGATGAGGTTGAGCCAGGAACTTAAGGAGAAGGACAAGGTAGGTTTCAGTGAATAAAACAGATGACCCCTGCCCTTCAATGAAGTTTCAATTACATAATTTCAAATTGTGATCACTGCAACACAAATGAAGTACAAAGGGAATAGTGCTACATGTTAAAAGGTAAGGCAAAATATGTATATTTGGACTGATCTGATGGGCCGTCATTTAAATTCCCAAAATAGAAATGTCCAGGAGGTAGTAAAAAAGATCACTCTAAAATAAAATGAAGAAGGGTCCTAACGATATTCAGGGATTCAACAAACTTCATGAATAGAAGATAAAAATTCAGGAAACATAAGAATTAAAATAATGATCAAAATAAGAAGGCAGCAACCATAGGATAAAAGTCTCAATAGAAATTTAGTAAATTTAGCATCCAACACCCCACTGTATTCAACACTGGTTAAATTTACAAATGTATCACTGTGTCCATCCCTTGGTTAACAGTTTAGGAAACAAATGATGAGATGGATATGATTAGGAAATATTAGTCGGAAAGACAGACACAGTGAACCTGTAATTTTCTGGTTGATCAAAGCTGAAGGTCTGCTAAAAACATTAAGTTCACAGATAAGCTGCTACATTAGCTATAAAGTAAGAGTGAAAGAACATCAGCTTAAAAGTTACCATTATGTGTACATTAAATATTGAGAAAATCTCAGTAGGGACAGTTACAAATATTCTTGGAAACTTAAAATCTAGAGTGCTTTCAAGTTATCAAAAATAAAACTATTTTTAGGTATAGCATCTTCTAAAGGTTGAAGATAGATACAAAGATCTCTCACAATTTATTCAGGTAGACAGGAGGAGGAAGGGAATGGCATAGCAGAGATGAAGAGAGAGTGACAGTCCTCTGAGTATATCTTTTTGCATAACTCTCTTTCTTAGACCACAGTATTGTTTCATGACATTACCCTTCACAGATCAAAAAATTAAACTATTAAAACCAAAAAGACATGAGGGGAGGGGAGGAAATCAAAAACAGAATAAAAACAGTAACAAATGAACATAACTATATTACAGATGGAGAATGTAACCACACTAAAGAAGAGTTTAACTTTTCTATAAATCTAATATTTTAAAATAAAAAGTTTAAAAAAGTTATAATGGTATAGAAAAATGCAGAAAGATACCAATTTTGGAAAAAATATTTACGTACTCAGAAAAAAAACTTGGTTTCAGAGTTGTATATTTTAAGTTTTTATACATCCTACAATGAACACATGAATTTCATAATCCTTGAAAACTGGTAAACATCACATCTGAATTACGAAACAAAAAATGGGCAAAAGTGGCCAGGCATGGTGGCTCACACCTGTAATCCCAGCACTTTTGGAGGCTGAGGCAGGCAGATCATTTGAGGCCAGATGTTCAAGATCAGCCTGGCCAACCTGGTGAAACCCCGTCTCTACTAAAAATACAAAAATTAGCCAGGCATGGGGGCACATGCCTGTAATCCCAGCTACTTGGGAGGCTGAGGCACGAGAATCACTTGAACCCAGGAGGTGGAGTTTGCAGTGAGCCGAGATTGCACCACTGCACTCCAGCCTGGGTGACACAGTGAGACTGTCTTAAAACAAAAACATAAACAAGAAACAGGGAAAAGTGATCTACACTGTTAGAAGTTGGGACAGGGTTACCTTTGTGTATGAAGTAACTCGAAGGGATGGAGGTGGGGGAGCTTCGGGACGTAAAGTAAATGTTCTTCCTTGATCTGAGTTGTGGGCAAATAGGCATATTCACTTTGAAAATATATCAATCTGTGTACACCTATGATTTGCCTAATGTATTATGTTATTTAAAAATTCAAAATAAAGTAACCTGACAGAACTGTAAGTAATTTGACTGCAATGGATTAAAATAAATCAAATATGCTTCCATCCATCCATATGCCCACAGTGATTTTAAAAAATGATAAGTGCTGGCAGAACTCATTATTTTGAGAAACTGGTACGTATAGGGAAAGAATAAGATATTTACTCTGTCTTTCCTATACAAACAGTACCAGTGGGCGATCAAAATAGTAGATGAAGGAGAGTTTCTTTTTTTAGAAGCACTCCAGCTAACCAATGAAAAAGGAATAATAAAAATTGAATATCATCATTTTGTAACACCTAGTGAATTAAGGGATCTACACACTGATCATCAATGGCTGCAGACATCATCCAAAAACAACAGAAAAAACCCTGGGACCGAATGCCACTTATGAAGTAGAACTGTAAAAACAAACAAAAAAATCAAATCTGAATCTGATCAAGGCTCTAGATCTGTGCTATCCAGTACAGTAGCCACCAGCCACATGGGGCTACTCAGCACTTAAAATGTGGGTAGTCCAAACTGAGACATGGTATATGTAAAATATATATATGATACGAAATATGTGATATGTATTATGATATGCTATGTGCAAAATATACATGATATGTAAAATATACATGCAACAGTATTCAGAGACTGAATATGGAAAATAATTTAAAATATCTCACCTATAATTTTATATCATTGCATGCTAAAATGGTAATATTTTGGATATGTGTGTTAAATAAAACATGAAAATTAATTTTACCTTAAAGTTTTGGTGTGGCTACTACATTAGACAGAATTGCTCTAGCTACAGTTAACCAATTTACAGGAAATACAGTGGGCCAACCACCATTGTAATCACCACAAGGAAGCAAATACCAAAATTCATACTGTTAAAATTTCTACAAATAATCCTGTTTCTCAACCAATAAAGCTGCAAGGGAAGAGGGGAAAGAGAGAGACAGAAATGGGGGACCTCATATGCCTAAGAGAAATGTTAAACAATCACAGTAAGAGGACCTCATCAAGGAAAGTTGACATTTAACACAATTAGAAAACACTAAACATGGCTGGGCGCGGTGGCTCATACCTGTAATCTCAGCACTTGGGAGGCCAACGGGGGTGGATCGCCTGAAGTCAGGAGTTCGAGACCAGGCTGGCCAACACGGTGAAACCCCGTCTCTACTAAAAATACAAAAAATTAGCCAGGCATGGTGGCAGATGCCTGCAATCCCAGCTACTCAGGAGGCTGAGGCAGGAGAATCCCTTGAACCAGGGAGGCAGACGTTACAGTGAGCCAAGGTCATGCCATTGCACTCCAGCCTGGGCAACCAGGAGCGAAACTCCGTCTTAAAAAAAAAAAACCAAACACTTAAGTACTTGATTTGGAGTTTATTTTAAAAGTGTGCTAATGATAATGTAGTTATAGTACTTTTAAAAAAGACATCTTTTAGAGATATATATTCAGACACATGTTGAGTATTCCATTCTATCTCTTCTCTGAAATGCTTCAAACCACGTGTTTCCGATTTCAGGGTGAACCATCCAAAATCCAAAAATCTGAAATCTGAAATGCTCCAAAGAGAATTTTCTTTGAGCATTATGTCAGTGCTCAAAAAGTACTGGATTTTGAAGCATTTCAGATTTGGGATGTTCACTATGTACTAACAGATGAAAAGATATCTGGCATTTGCTTCAAAATAATGGGGAAGAGAAGACACAATGAATGAAGTATAGATGAAATGAGACTGGCTGTAAGTTGTTAACCATACTGGGTGACAGTAATGTGGGAATTCATTATATTCCCCACATCCACTTTTCTATAGGTTTGAAAATTTTCCACTTAAAAGAAGGTAACTTGAGGGGACTAGAAATTAATTACTGATTTAGGAAAGACCCAAACCAAGAATGCAGCTACCATGATGCCAGGATATTAAGTAGTATTTCCATGAGCTGGCTATTCCAGCAACTGCTTCCCCTCCCCTTTCAGAATAGTAAGAAAAATGCAACTAGTCCTGGAGATGGATTAGTACCTTCCTTCTGCTGCTAAGCTGAATTTAAGGTGGTCTAACATTACCAGTAAGTGAGTTAACAGCATTGAAAAGGCAACTCTTGTCTAGAAGGGGTAACAGATACTAATCAAATAATAGCAGAGAACTAAGTACAGGTTATCATAAGTGCTATAAAGGGGTACACAGAGTTTAAAGCACAGAGTTTTGACCTAGTTTCTGGGCTCTGGGCAAAGTCCTTGAGGAGAAGAGACAGCTATGAGGTGCATGAAAGATGGAGGTGGCAAGGTTTCCGGGTAGAAAAAACAGCACGTGCAAGAGCCTAGTGTAGGAAAGTGCATCTCTCATTCATTCAAATAATGTTTTGAGAGTTTCCTATGTACTAGACACTGTGTTAAACTACACGAATAACTGGACACAACTAGTATGACCTTTGTTCTCAAGGAGCTTACAGTCTAGCAGGAGAACCAAATGATCGAAAAACTCCATGGCTAAATATATAGTCACAAAGTTAAATAAGTACTATGAAAGAAGGAAAAACAGTGCCATGAGGAACTCAAAGAGAAAGTTGACAGGAAGTACACTTGCTAGGAACCAAAAAGAGGAAAGCACAGTTTGAGAACAAGAAACAAGGAGGAAAAAGATACGATGTGGCTAGAGGGGTAGGCAGGGGCCAAATAATCCACTAGGAGCTTACTGACCATATTAAGGATTTTGATCTTTTACTCTAAAGGTAGTTAAGCAGCCTAGGAATTTTAGGATGAGTGTTCGCATGTGTGTGTAGCGGGGCGGGGGAGAGCGGAGAGAAACTAATCAAACCTGGATTTTGAAAAGATTATTTCAGAAAAACAGATTGTAAGGGGAAGAGGGGGGTATGATACTTAGGAGGCTATTACAGGAATCCAGAGGGAGGATTACTTGGGTGGGGGTGGGGGGGTGGTGGGAGGGAGAATGTAAATGGTTGAAAGTACGGATAAAACAAGTAGAAAGACCTGAGGTGCTCAGCAAATCAAAGCTGAATAGAACTTGCTAATCAACCATTCACCATACTAGGTAGACATCCAAATTGAGCCAGGTACCCTGGATTTGGAATAGTCTTTCAACTCTATTGCCTAATCCATCAGACTAAAGACTGTATCTCTTATCTAATGCCATTGTAATAATTTTTTCAAAAGTATCTCAGGAACCCAAGGAACCTTCCTCTGAAACCATAAAACATCTTGCTGGGCTGAAACTACTAACCTACAGGCTGATTGATCTTTGTCCAGAAATAAATAAATGAATCCTCCTTCTGAAACCACAAAACATCTTGCTGGGCTGAAAACTACTAACCTACAGGCTGATCTCTGTCCAAAATGAATGAATGAATGAATGAATGAATGAATGAATGTCTTAAATAATCTACAGGCCAACCTTTGTCCATAAATAAACAAGTAAATAAATAAAATTCCTATATGCCTCCTCTCTGATATTAAAATAGGCTTCACTTAAAATGTTTTTAGAAGACACAGCTAACATAATAGCTTAGTATGTGCTGAGCCCACAATCACTCTGAGATGGGTCTTGTTTGCATTTTTACATTTGCATTTTGTGTACAGATGAGAAAACAGCCATTTAGTGGCAGACTCAGGATTCAGATTCCAGAGGCTAAACTCACATATAAGTAAAACTTAAGAGTTGCTCGGTGATAATCTTTTCAGTCCTTATTTTACTTGACCTCTCTGTGCAGGATCTGGCCTGCTGACAGGTGAATGGTGTTTACACGGGTGTTCACTTTATAATAATCCATTAATGTACATTTGCTTTATGTACTTTTGTACACATGGCAATATATTTCACAATAAAAAGATATAAAAAACTAAGTCAACTAGCAAGACTTAAGTCAGGGTAACTTACATGAAAATCCGGATTTGCAACCTCTTGAAAAACTGGGAGATCTGGCCTGTCTTCTTCCAAGAAAACAATCAGCTGGGGCTGAGCAAGAGCTGCTTCCTTTAGACAAACTGGCTTGTGCTCTGATGGAGCAGTGCCCTCTCTTCTGGCTTTCATGATTCATGCTGCTTTTCTGGTCTAAGACTTACCTAACACCATCCCATACTCTTCTCCCTGGTGCTCTCTTACAACACACGAACATAAAAGGATGTGAATGTATGACTTATAGAACATGTAAGTAGATGTATGATTACCTATGGCAAGTAAATTTAACCTCAGATCCTTCACCTGTAAAAACAGAGATAATCGTAGTATCTAACAGAATTGTGAAGATTAAATGGGATAATGCACATAAAACACTTAGCTCAGTATCTGTCACAGAGTCAGCATGCAATATAAGGGGCTACTGTTTGTTTTGACACATATTTCTCACACTTATAACTAAAATGTAAGCCTACTTGCCATGGCTACTGACTTGATTTTTATAGGTGATACAGCATCAAAATAGTGTACTTCTGTATTAACACTCCAGTAAGTATTAATACTCCAATAACTGCCACTGTTAGAAAAAAAAAATCAGTAAATAAACCTTCCTTAGTACCTTTATATGACATTACCAGGAAAAACTTCCACAATTATATTTTGAAAGGCAGACTCATTTTTGCCAGATTCATGTATTTCCCCTGATTGTGGCTTTTGGTGGTCTGATCAGTCAGGTAAGTGGATATCTTACTACTAAAACATACTTCAATACTTACTACTAAAACATACTTTAGTATGACAAACATCTTAGTCATAAAATATCCTCCAAACTAAGACCAACTTGATTTTTCAAGATAATCATAGGAACACCAAAAGAAGCTTACTACCTTTTGCTCAGCTGTTGGTACTCCAATGACTGCCTCATAATGCATATCTAATTCTTGCCCCTCAGACAGACATATACAATATTTTTCTCCAAAAAGCCACAGAAGTCTAACTGAAACTATTTTCTCCCGAAACCAATAAAGTCCTCATACAATGGAATACCATGAAGTACAAGAACTGAATGAAAACTAATGAGCTACAGTTCTCCACAACATAATCTTACAAACATAATGCTGAGCAAAAGAAGCCATATACAACAGAATTCACACTAGAAGATTCTGTATGCGCAAAGTTCAGAGAGTCAAAACTAGTGCTTTCAGAATGCATAATTAGGTGGTAACTATAAAGAAAAACTAGAAAATGAGAAACCTAGAAGACAAGATACATGCAATCTTTGAAGAAGGGAGGATATGACCCAGAAAAGGCATGTTAGGGATTCTAGCACTTATCATTATGGACAGAATTTTATTTGCTGCTCTCTACCCGCACCATTAAAATGCCCTATCAGTACAGAGATGTGTTCACTGCTGCATCTCCAGCACCTACAACAGTGATTGGTACACACGAGGTAACCAACAAATATCTGCTGAATGTAAAATTCCGCTTTAGGAATCCAAATTGTTACATATTTCACAGCTTCTTGAACCCTAAATGTAACAGTAACAGCTAGTATAGTGTTCATTTGCCTTGTCAGTATATTCAAGGAGCTGTTAAGCATATAAGCCAATTACTTTATAATTCTTAATGTCTCCCTCCTATTGAGATATTGATACCAAACATATGCAGAAAACACTTACATCAATGTATCCAGATTCAATTCAAACATTTAAAAACATTAACAAGGAAAAATACAGAAACTCTGCTAAACAGCAAGCCCAGGTTTAGAAAATGACTTTGTCACCTCCTCCAACGAAGAAAGCACACAAGAATGCTCTGTTATTACAGGATGACCATAAGTTTGCTCGTATTTTTAAGAGTAAACAATGCAAATCCTTTGTTTCTTCAACAATGAGTTACACAATTCACAAAGTGATCATTACAGCGTATAGCAGTTGAAAACTGTAAATTTCTAGGATCGGGATCCCAAACAAAATGTACTCATTTAATATGTGTTAAGCTAACAAAAAGAATTAGTCATTACTGGTATCCTCCTGAATTTTAAAATTACATACTAAATTAAGTGAGCTAATCTTATATTAAGTTTAACTGGTGATATTCAGTTACCAGAAACTGTTGTACAATCTCCAAGATAATGACAATTCCAAAAGCGTGAAAATTCCTAAGATAACCAAGAAGAAAAATGAACTTTTCAGTCTTTGGGAATTTACATTTTTTTAAAAAGGAAAAAATATTTCGGTAAGTCAAAAAAAATTAATTAAACCAGGTATACGCTAATCTTATGTTCCTAATTAGAATCCACAGAAAGTAATATCAGCTTCTGTTTTACCTCCTTTCCGGACATGATAAACTAGAATTGAGATCATTCACCAGTTAACTCACTTCCCAGTATTTTCAGTATATCAACTGAAATATATCCGCAACACAAACTAATAAAACCTTATCTCTTGATCTATCCCAAAGTGAGGGCCACCTGAGATTCAGTATTGAGCACTACATATATGACAGGGTTTTGTTATCACATTTCAAATGGTGTTTTACAGTACAAAGTTTGGTAACATTGGTGTTCTCATGATCTAAAGCTGTGTTCTTGTGGTAAAGGCAATCATTCAGAGTCCATTTATTTTCATCCATGCTTAGGATATAAGATAAAACTCCCTACCCACGTATTCCCCACATACTGCTCATTATTAAGAATTTATCTGTTTAAGAGGAATGGAAATAAAGCACCTGGCTAGCCCATAAAGGAGCAACCTGAAGCCACTCTTCTCTGCAATAAATAAATAAAGATGCACTCTAGGTCAGAGAGAGCAAAAGTCTTATTTTTATTGCTGGCTTATGCAAGAAATACTGCAACACACCAATTTTATAGGATTAACTTTAAAATCTGTAAACTATCCTAATGTCTATTTCTTTCTACAAGACTAAAAGTTGTTAAAGTAAAAAGGTTTTTCAAGATTTGCTTTCAAAATTCAGAGGTGCAAAGCAAGTTCCAGTCAAATATTCCAGGAGGATCATTCTAGACATAAACTATCTTTTTATTTAACATATCAAAACTTTGCTAATTAGAAATGACTGGCTCATTCCACTAGCTTGCCTTCAGCTACTATAATGCTCAGTCATACACAATGCTGAGCACGTGAATGCTTTCAGGCAGGCCTGAAATGAGCAATGACTGAGCAGTCACAGATGGGTGGCACTACACATGAATTTACAGCTGGACTCATGGTCTTTCAGTAAGGTGAATTTTTATCATATCAGGGGTATGTCAAGTAACAGGATTACGTCTTCAAATTTTCCACCAAAACTATTATTTTTAAAGACATTTTCCTTAGCAGCATGGTGATCTATCATATTTATACACAGTTTTATTCTTAGAACTGTACAGAGTTTACATTTGGTCTCTAAACAGAAAAGAGATTAAAGAGCAAGTAAAAGTCAGAGCCAGACCTTGTTTCCAGGATTGGAGGGGAAAAAGGGAGTGGAACTACTGTACTTTTTTTCCTTCAAATCAAACGGGAAGCAGTACTACATATACTGCGTTACAGCCCTCGAAGCCACAGATTGGTTTCCACCTCATTATTTATTGGTGTCTTTCCTTTTTTTTTTTTGAGACAGACTCTCACTCTGTTGCCCAGGCAGGAGTGCAGTGGTGCTATCTCGACTCACTGCAACCTTGGCTCAACTGCAAACTCTGCTTCCTGGGTTCAAATGATTCTCCTGCCTCAGCCTCCCAAGTAGCTGGGATTTTAGGCATGTGCTACCACACCCGGCTAATTTTTGTATTTTTAGTAGAGACGGGGTTTCGGCCGTGTTGGTTGTGCTGGTCTTGAAGTCCCGCCCTCAGGTGATATGCCCGCCTCAGCCTCCCAAAGTGCAGGGATTACATGCTTGAGTCTGGCAAATTGGTGTCTTTCCTAATAATATAATGTAATTTGTGCCAATATATAACCTGGGGGGGAAAAACACCACAATTTGAAACATAACTATCTTATGAAGCTGTCCTGAAACAAATGTAAGAGTTGTAAAATGTAGTTAGGATTATCAGCCAACTATATAAATTAAAGCTTTAACCATGATGGTCTAAAATGCCAAACACACACAAAAATTATTGCTACAGTGAGGATCATTAAAAGTTGGCAGCCAAACTTCAGTGACTTCTCACAAACTACAGTGAGTTTTTCACTTTTAAAACAGTATGAAGCAAGTATGCATTGATCAGTAACTATCATAATTAAAACACTGCATCACTCACTCAAGAAACAATCCCTATATGTAATGACTGACTCTTGTCATTAATTTTTGTTCATTAGCTTGGCCATTTTCTGCAGCTCTTAAGGTTTCAAAAACGTTAAGATATCAAGAAAAGCCCACTGTATACACAAATTAACTCAAGATGGATTAAAGACTTCAATGTAAAACCCAAAACCATAAAAACCCTAAAAGAAAACCTAGGCAATACCATTCAGGACATAGGCATGGGCAAAGACTTCATGATGAAAACACCAAAAGCAATTGCAACAAAAGCTAAAATTGACAAATGGGATCTAATTAAACTAAAGAGCTTCTGCACAGCAAAAGAAACTATCAGAGTGAACAGGCAACCTACAGAATGGGAGAAAAACTTTTGCCATCTACTGATCTGACAAAGGTCTAATATCCAGAATCCACATGGAAGTGAAACTAATTTACAAGAAAACAAATATCCGTATCAAAAACTGGGCAAAGAATATGAACAGACACTTCTCAAAAGAAGACATTTATGCTGCCAAAAAAAAGGAGGTATTTATGCGGCCAACAAACATATGAAAAAATGCTCATCATCACCGATCATTAGAGAAATGCAAATCAAAACCACAATGAGATACCATCTTACACCCGTCAGAATGGTGATTATTAGAAAGTCAGGAAACAACAGATGCTGCCGAGGCTGTGGAGAAATAGGAACGCTTTTACACTGTTGGTGGGAATGTAAATTAGTTCAACCATTGTGGAAGATAGTATGGCAATTCCTCAAGGACCTAGAACCAGAAATACCATTTGACCCAGTAATCCCATTACTGGGTATATACTCAAAGGAATATAAATCATTCTCCTATAAAGACACATGCACACATATGTTTACTGCAGCACTATTTACAATAGCAAAGACATGGAACCAACCCAAATGCCCACCAATGACAGATTGGATAAAGAAAATGTGGTACATATATACACCATGGTATACTATGCAGCCATAAAAAAGAATGAGTTCATGTCCTTTGCAGGGACACGGACGAAGCTGGAAGCTATCATCCTCAGCAAACTAACACCAGAACAGAAAACCAAACACCACATGTTCTCACTCATAAGTGGGAGTTGAACAATGAGAACACATGGACACAGGGAGGGGAACATCACACACCAGGACCTGGGGCCTGTTACCCGGGTTGGTGGTGGGGGGAAAGGGAGGGAAAGCATTTAGGAAAAATACCTAATGCATGTGGGGCTTAAAACTTAGATGATGGGTTCATAGGTGCAGCAAACCACCATGGCACACGTATACCTATGTAACAAATGTGCACATTCTGCACATGGATCCCAGAACTTAATTAAAAAAAAAAAAGCCCACTGTGCTCCACTTGATACAATAAATCAATTCCTGGGTATCATGTAAATCAGTGTAACAGTAAAAAATGACATAAATCATTTTCATACTTACATTATAATTTCAGATAGCCACAGCGGGCAATACTACTATTCCCGAGACTTAACAAAAACATTTAAGTATTCAGCAAAATCTAATAAGCATATACAATAGCACAATCTTAAATTAAATTTTATTGCTTCCTCCAAAGGAAAACAGCTTGAAAACACAGAAGCCACTGAAACTTCCTTCAGCCACTTTTCTGTGATTCAACCAATGAAATCGTTTCTTAACAATGATTCATACCACTTTCTTACACATTTAAACAATTCTTTGGTGACGCAGAGAACCACCCTAATTCTTGTTTTTCAACTTTCTAATAATCTTAAATCAAATACACCAGTAAACAAAATTCTGACTGCGAACGCAGACGTTTATCACACATATAAAAAACGTTTTTTTCCTTTATTTATTTATTTGAGACAGCGTCTCGCTCTGTCGCCCAGGATGGAGTGCAGTGGTGCGATCTCGGCTCAATGCAACCTCTGACTCCCGGGTTCAAGCGTTTCTCCTGCCTCAGCCTTCCCATTAGGGGGGATTACAGGTGCTCGCCACCAGGCCCGGCTATTTTTTTTTTTTTTTTTGTATTTTTAGTAGAGACGGGGTTTCACCATGTTGGTCAGGCTGGTCTTGAACTCCTGACGTCGTGATCCGCCCCTCCTGGCCTCACAAAGTGCTGGGATTACACCGCGCCCGGCCACGTTTTTTCCTTCATTACTTTTTGTTTTTGAGACGGAAGCTCACTTTGTCGCCCAGGCTGTAGTGCAGTAGCCCCGATCTCAGCTCAATGCAACCTCCGCCTTCCAGGTTCAAGCAATTCTCCTTCCTTAGCTTCCCAAGTAGCTGGGATTATAGGCACGCGCCACCATGCCCGGCTAATTTTTGTATTTTTAGTAGAGACGGGGTTTCACCATGTTGGCCAGGCTGGCCTCGAACTCCTGACCTCAAGTGACCCACCCGCCTTTATTACTTCTTTAGTATCATGCACGGAGGATTCTTTTCAATCTAGGTACATACATATTTTTAAGTAGTATTCTACATTTTCTTCTATTTTAGAATTTTTATTGCTCTTTGTCATTTAGATTTCCTTTGATTTTTTTTAGCCTATGAGGCAGAAAACATTTTTAAAAAATGGATAACCAATAGTCCTAGCACCATACATTGAACAAGCCACTTTCTCCAATAGTCTACAATATTATTTTTTACCACATATTCGTAGTTTTCCACCTTGCTGGCTAAATGAACTTAAAAGTTATCGTATCTCTGTTTCAATTTCTTCACCAAAAAGTAGAGATAATAGTTCACTTCATAGGGTTACTGTGAGAATTAAATAAATTGAGCACTTAGAACAATACCTGACATGCAATAATACTGATGATCATAATTACTAAAAGCCCATAAATGCACAGATGTTTCTGGACCTCCCTGGTTCCTGAACTGACGGGCTGCTTTAAATGACTGTGAATTTCTAACAAGTTTCCTGATACGGCCTTCTTTTTCCAAAATTTTGTCGCTATCATTTTATCATGTAGGTTTTCTTATCAATATGTCAAGTTTTCTACAATACAACACTAGAAGACACTGACTTGGGGAAAATTAGTAAATTCTACAACAGTGACTGTCTCCATCCAGAAAATACATTGTTTCATCTCGTTTATTCAGATCTCACTTTATGTCCTTCATTAAGATTCCAGTAGCTCACCAATATTTGTTATATTTATTTCTAGGTAGTCTTTTTAGAGAAACATTTAGTAGTATATATCAGAATTTAAACTGCACATAGCCTTTGCCTCGGTAATTCCATTTTTAAGAATCTGATATACAGTAATATATGTGTACAGATATAAAAAGGCTACTATTCCAAGAACAAAATCCTGGAAACAAATGTCTATCAAGAAAGCAAAGATAATCTAAACAGCAGCATATTCATAGGATGACAAACTATTCAACCATTATAAAGAAAACCGAATCAAAAGCACTGGCTTATTAGACAAGAGTTTCCCAAACTATCATGCTAAAACAGTAACAGCGAGCTTCCAAATTAATGTTGCCTTTTTTTTTTTTTTTTTCCAAACTGAAAGGAGGGTGGGGAAAACAAACGCATCATATGTAAAGCACTGAGTCCAGCCTGGCTCTTAGTAAGCATTTTAATCACCTTCAAAAATTAATTGTGACTTACGGAAACAGGTCACTGAATATTATTTCATTTCACTTATTCATTTATGGCCTGTTTTGCTCTATATAAAATTCTGAAGTGGCTCCATAATACAGCATCTTAAAAAAAAGCTTTCAACTTGCCCTTTACTCGCAAATGTTTACAATGCAAAAAAGTCCCTACAACGTAATATTTAACGAGTGATGCTTTTCAATATGCCATACAAATCTCAATACTATAATTCAGGAGAAGTACTCCTCCTACCTTACTGTGGCAATCCATTGAAAACGTATTTCTCTCCATACTTGAAATAACCTCTTAAAAAGTGTGTTGTCTTGCATATTAAGTACCAGAGATCACACTTCAGGAACAAAGTGACATTCTGTGTAATACGGAAACAAAGCCTTTCCTCCTAGGAAAGAAAGCCCCAGAAAAGACAAATAATGGGAGCTTATTTTAAAACCAAAGCAAAATGTTGCCTTTTATCCTAAATCTCTGGATCAAGTTTTACCTTTAGATTGTTCTTCCTCAATGTAAGGTCAAAAGGTGCAAGTTAAATTTTTCTTAAACGAAGAATACTATATCCCTTAAAACAATCTATTCATTAATAAGTGTAACCGCTAGCTTCTCCCAGCCAGCAAACAAGCTTCTGTGAGAGTTCAAAAGTTTCAGAGGCATAGTATTCCTGCTCCCAGATGTTACGGGTAAGCATTTCAAACAAAAATACACACAGAAAACCACTACCTGCCCAAGTATCTCGATACTATTTGAAGTAATGAATTGATATTCTTTAAAGGGCAGATTTTTTACTCCTCACATTTCTGTATTCCTTTGTTTGAAATAACAAGTACTATTTTATGATGAAAAAATTAATATACAAAATGGGAGGAGCATCCTAGCTGTTTTTCAGGAACTTTGGCTTTTTAATGTAATACACAAGTTAGTTTCAAAGCAATGGGAAAATGCAATAATATTTCAGAGCACATAGGAAAAGTAACAGGAAAAACGTTACTTTTTTCGGCTGAACTCACCGGCCTTTACTAATTTTTAAGTGCTCATCTTATTGTCCATTCGTAGGAATACTTTGTATTACTTGTGAAAGTTTAATTCAAGTTAAATTATTAAATGTTAAAGAGGTTATTTTCAAAGTTACCTTAAATAAGTAATACAGCATGAAAGAAAACCCGACCTACTACGCCTCACAGGCTGAGTGGAGTGTTTTGCAGTCTCAAAGCCTTATCGCTGGCGTGCGCATACCGCAGGGAGTGACATCAGATCGAAACTACAGGGTTTCGCCGGGGACCAACCACTCCTCCAAAGACAGCAGCTCCCGGCCAGCAGGAGGTGGCACCCCAAGCCCCGACCCGCTGAGAGCCGGCTTCCAGCCCCCGAACCCTCACTGGAGCCGAGTTTCTCCGCGAGGGACCTGTTGCGTGTCCCCGCCCTCAGCGAGCCGCAGCCAGGCACAGGCGCCGGCAGCTATGCACCTGCCCAGTACGGCGGCCGGGCGCCCGCAGCCCCCTCCCCGGCCGCCCCCAGTGCGGCCCGCGCCGCCCCCGCCCGAGGGGCTCCCCGCGGCCCGCGGCCCGCGGCCCGCGGCCCCGCGCCAGCCCTGCCCACCCCGCCGCCCCGGGGCCCAGACAGCCGCCAGCGAGGGAGGGCGGGACGCGGGCCAGATGCCGGTGGGCGGGCGGCGACGGTCGGCCCGGTCTGGCCCTGGCGGCCGCGGAGGCGCTCACCTTGGCGGCCGCAGCTCTGGCGGACATCTTGTCTCTCTCCAGCGCCGCGCGAGGCTCCTCGGACCCGAAACTCCGCGGCGCTGGCCCGCCCGCTCCTCACGCCACAGCCCAAATAAACATCTCCCGAGAGCGAGCGGGGCACGGGCGGGGGCGGCCGGAAAGGCCCGGCCCAGGGGGAGGGAATTCAACTCGGACAAAAGTCCGGGAAGCGCCCGCCCCGCCCGGGTCTTCTCCACGGGGCGCGCCCGACCGGCACCTCCCTCCGAGCGCGGCCACCCACTCGGCCTCCCGCAGCTTTCGCAGCCCGGCCACGTCGGCCTCGCCCGGTCGCCCGCCCGTCAGCAGCACCCGTGGCCTCCCGGCGTCTCCTCGGAAGCCGGCTTCGCCACGTAACTTCCCGGGAACCGGCGGCCGCCAAGGAACGCGGCGTCCGCTGGCTCAGCCGGCGCCGGCAACTCAGCGGCCACGCAAACCTGCCGGCCCGGCCCACTGAGCATGCCCGGCCCGGCGGGGGCGGGGCTGGACGAGGCGAGGCGAGGCGAGGCGGGGAGGGGGCGGGGCCGCGGCGGGGGAGGGGGCGGGACGAGCGGCCGGGGTCCCGACCCCAAGCGCGGAAGGAAAAGCCGGGTAACCCAAGTAACTTGGAAGACAGTTTCCGCTGCCGTGCGAGTCTTCCTGTTTGTTTTTATCCAAGGTCTGGCAGAATTCGCCCCCAAGGAGAAAGCGCCTGTGCACCAAAGCTTTCCTTAAGAGACTTGTCCACTTGCTCCTCGACAAGCCACGCACATCATGGGGTGAGCCCCATGCATGAGTGCGGCTGGAAAGGCCGGCAGAGCCGATACCCGACAGTTGTTTCCTTCACTGGGCAAACAGCATGGTCACGGCTGTCACCGCGTGCCTCGGCGTTGTTCCCACGGAAGGCGGAATGCATTTTCTGCAAGGCGCGTCATGGCTTTCATCTCCGAGGAGCTCCGGCAGGGTCAGAAGCGTTGCTCTCGTTCACCGGCGCCGACTGCCAAGGCTGAAACTGGTGATGAGGTCATGGGCACCCGGAGGCAGCAGCCTGAGAAACACCCTAGAGACCTGTGACATCTCGGCCCACACCCCACATTAGACCTCAAGATATATCCAAAGTCTCTTTCCCGCCCATCTAGACAGGAATCTTGAAAAGTTTATTTTTGGCCATCAAGATTGCTGAAATTCTTGTTGACCGAACGGGTCAAGCTGCCCTGCATTCCAATGCTGTCCCTCCAACTCAAAGTTGGGCAGAAAAGGGTGTAAACACGTGCAGTCCATGGTCCAGTTTAATCAGCCACTACACAAACTTCCCACAATGTTGACGGCTTTGCTAAACACCAAGGAACATGGTAAGAAACCAATCCTAGACTCACTAATCTACACTTGTAAATGTAAAGGTCTTCAAAAAATGCCAGAAATCCTTAGTAACATCAATGATAACATCTTTAAAGTATCTGGTATAGTGCCACAACCGGCACAGAAGAAATGGAAGAAATCATAAACATCAGGCTTTAGACAATGGTTTTCTCTTTAGAATTCAACTGTATGAAAAGAACAAATTTAACAAAGAAGTATGTGTAGGTGATACATAAGTATCAATTAAGGCTTCGAAGTGCCACACATCTTGCAACCCAAAGCTGTCTGAACCAGAAAAGAGCCTTCTGCAAACCAAACCCTTATTCCTTTTTGTTCTTCATAAAAATGGTTGAAGTCATTTTTGTTTTAAAGTCATGTTGTAATTGTTTTGCTTTTGGACAAAGTATTATTTATTCTTTTAAGAATTGTGGGCCAGGCGTGGTGGCTCACGCCTGTAATCCCAGCACTTTGGGAGGCCAAGGCGAGCGGATCACGAGGTCAGGAGTTTGAGACCAGCCTGGCCAATATGGTGAAACTCCGTCTTTATTAAAAATACAAAAATTAGCCTGGTGTGGCGCGTGCCTGTAGTCCCAGCTACTCGGGAGGCTGAGGCAGAAGAATCACTTGAACCCAGGAGGCGGAGGTTGCAGTGAGTCCAGATCGTGCCACTGTACTCCAGCCTGGGCAACCAGCAAGACTCTGTCTCAAAAAAAAAAAAAAAAAAAAAAAAAAAAAAAAAAAAAAAAGGTGGCCAGGCGTAGTTGCTCACGTTTATAATCCCAGCACTTGGGGCCGTGCGCAGTGGCTCAAGCCTGTAATCCCAGCACTTGAGAGGCCAAGGCAGGCAGATCACTTGAGGTCAGGAGTTCGAAACCAGCCTGGCCGACATGGTGAAACCCCATCTCTACTAAAAATAGGAAAGTAGCCGGGCATGGTGACAGACGCCAGTAATGCCAGCTATTCAGGAGGCTGAGGCAGGAGAATCGCTTGAACCCGAGAGGCGGAGGTTGCAATGAGCTGAGATCATGCCATTGCACTCCAGCCTGGGCAACAAGAGCGAAACTCCGTCTCAAATCATCATCATCATCATCATCATCATCATCATCATCATCCCAGCACTTTGGGAGGCCAAGACCAGAGGATTCTTTGAGGCCAGGAGTTTGAGACCAGCCTGGGAAACAGTGAGACCCCATTAAAAAAAAAAAATTGTGATTAAATTTCTTCATATGCAAACACCATTTAAAAAGGTTTGGGAAGTATTTTTTAATTTTAAAAGGTGGTGATGAAAGACCTTTCACATTATCTTTACCATTTAAGAAGATGTGCAATTGCATAAGCTGCCTAGAACTAGGTGTGGTGTCTTTAATAGCACCTAAATCTAGAGACACTATCTACAAATGCACTGACATTTTTCACTTTTCCTTATTTGTCACTTTTACAAGTTGCCCAATGTGTAATTTAAATGCTAGATTGCAACTATTTGTCACTAATTAAAAATAGTTATATATTTAACAGTTTTATCTTTGCCATGGTTTAAAAAATGAAATCAAACAAAAATATTTCATCTTGAAAATATTATTCTTTAAAAATTATATTTAGTATTTCAGTGACTAATAGTATCACTTTAAAATTTTTCAGTGGTATTTTTAATATCTAAATTAAACTTCATAAAGTCTGTTCTTTAAATAAACAAGAGAAGGCTTTTATCATCTGTAAAATAAAGGTAAAACTGTTGCCAACAATTAAAAACAAAGCTTTATTCCTGCAGTTTATTTTTTAGGTAGGTGCTTTGACAACAAGTGGAAAGTATAAAGAATAATCTGAAAGAATCACCCATTTAACAATTAAAGAGTTTATCCATGGAACACCAAAAAAGTATTTTCTGACTTTTATGCTTACACACGCATGTCATCATAGCTCCTCTAGATCAATATGGGAAGAAATACAAGTTAATTAAGGATTCTCATTTAGAGTTACTATAATGTTTAACCACAAATCTCTTTCGATTGTACAGATTTATCTTATTTCTGATCATCTCTGCAACTGAACAGGAAACTAAAAAACCACAACACTTAAAAGACAACTTCCTGTGGGATTTTTGGTGTCTGCGGCTCAGAATGAAAAAAGCATTATGTGTGCAAAATCTTTACACATTTTAGATAGAACTACTTAACAAAACAGCCTTGACCAAATGAACAACTATATCCACACCTAATTTGTATATATGTATATGTATGGTTTTAATTGCAAAAAAGATCCTTAGGAAAGCATATTTATGTTATTTTTATATGAACTGTGAGTTTACGCTTGACAAAGAGGAAGTATTTATTTACGGTAGTGAAGCATTAGACAATCTCGATAATGTCAGAGAAGAGAATATATACAAAATATTAGAAGGAGAAGCACTTTATCAAGATGTTATAACAACCAAAAGTAATCCTGATTCCACTCCTATGCCATACCATTAAAGATTCTACAAATTGTTACAGAATTTTCCTCTGCCAATAAAGTCATGTAACAATGTTAAATGGGGGAAAGATTCTTTTAAGGCTCATAATGTTTCTAAATTTCATAGACCAGTAAAAATTTTAAAACGATCTTAGAGGTGCAATATAGGAGTACCAACTTTTTAATCTTATAAAGTAAAAACATTTTAAAACAAACATTATAAACTGTATATGTAAAGATAATTAAAATGGCAAATTTTATATTATGTACATATTACCACAGTTTAGAAATACAAAAAGAAAGCTATTACCAACACCATTTCATTTTTTTTTTTTTAAAAAGACATAAACACTAAAAAACAAGTCTTTTTAAATTCAATTCCGTATACAGAAAGTTATTCCTCGAAAGAATTCCTCCTATGGGGCTACCCTTACCTCTGACTGGGGCTAAGGTGGAGTTTTCTTTTTTCAGGGTCCCAAATATTGCACAACCAGGCAGGTCGGAAGCTCCATAAATCCATGACTGGAATCCAGGCAGGCTGGCATACAGGCCTCTGGCTCATCCCTTAGCGGTTTGTCCTCCATTCTTCACAGCTTCTCCACTCTGATCTACACTTTCCTATGATTCCTTTAAGACTCCCTCCCCAGCCCAGGCAAAACATCTCATCTCATAATCCATAGAGAAAACAGACATTAAGGAATAGAAACTCCCTTCCCTTCCTGCCAAAACACTGACAAGTCTACCCTGGGCATCCGCTTTTCCTCTCCATCTTCCCCCCAAGGGTTATGAATTCCATCTTGGGGGGCTGACCCTCTCAGCTGTGTCCTCTTTCTGTATCATCTTCATCCTGTCCTTAGCTAATGAATTCTACCTCTGAGAATTCAAGCGTCTTCTAGTGTTTCCCATCTTAAACACAGTCAGGGCTCCCCAGGCTACCTACCAAGGTGTGCACTACTGCAGGTATACAAGACCCTAGGGCAGAAGGGCTTGCAGTTGGGGTTTAATGTGGTTGCTGTCTTGAATTGTAAGGACTTTCGTTTTGGATGTGTGTTTTGTAAGTGAAGGTCAATGGGAAAATGAGGCACACACTGGGGACTGGGGCCTCTGCTCTCACAGGGTCCTGTCGCCTCCTAGGAGGGTATCTGGGCTGCCCGCTCCCACAGCTCTTGATACCCCTGCTGGTCCTCTCCCACTCTGCTCCACTGCCACTGCTGAAAGGGATCCAAGCAAGGTGTGGGGTTTAAGTATGCATACCCACAGCATCTTGAGTGCACAAAAGCCCCAAACGGGCAGTATCACTTTCTGTCTGGTGGCTGCCTGGCTGGAGGCAATCTCTTGGTGAGGGTGAGCCTTTGGCCCAGCCCGGATTCCAGATCCAGTCATGGAGGTTTAAGGATCCTTGGTGGTTACCATCTGCTGTGGGTTGGAGCAATAGGCCCGTGGCTCAAAGTCCCCAAACCCTGTCCCCAGCAGGGCATTCAGGTCAGGAGGTTTGCATGAATGTCATCACAGCAAGCTATCAGGCCCAGCACACATTAGTGGGACCCCAGGGCCCTCTGACCGTCTGTATTTGCTCTGATTACCCACCCCTAATCCTCTAGGGCCCCAGGGCCAGAGTGTTCTCTGGGCTGTTTCCCTGCCTGGGGATGGGATCCTCTCCCTCCTTCCAGCCTTCCCGAGTCTGGCTGTGTTCAGTCTCTTCTAGCCGGCTTGAGGCATCCTCCAGGGACAAGCCACAGAATATAAACTGTGTAATTTCAGTGACTCCACATGAGTTAAATATTCTGAAATTTGCATTTAAAACTGGTGTTGCACAATATAAACAGTAAAATTCATGCTGATAATTCACATTTTTAATTGTTCTTTACTCTGAACATGAAATAGTGCATAAAAAACATGACAAGTCAGGATGGAAACCCTGGAAGAAAAGAAAAAGCTTTAGGTGTACCTTTAATGACACTTTTTTCCTCCCTTTGAAACAAAGGGCCCCTAGATTATAGAGGCAGCTCTGAGTCCACCTCTTCCTGCAGATACTGTTCTGTCAGTTTGTGACAAGCTTCTCAAGAGTCGTCTGCCACAACTAGGTCTTTCTGTTGTGAATGCATGCCCAGGTCTTTTGGCATTCTTCCCCCTCCCCACTTTAATTTCACAAGTAATACTGGCATACAGTCCTTCTGTAAAAGATTCATGCAATTGATATATTTTTTAAAGTCCAACAGAACAACATCCACTGCATTCCCATTCCTATAATTACCCAGGAATACCATGATCTAAGCCTAACTAGAGAGTGTATTTCTAGATCACTTTCTGTATATTTATTTACGTGATATGTATGTGTGGAGACAGAGGAGAGAGAGAATATATGAATATAAGAATGTATGGTTTTGTGTGTTTTAAACTAATGATAGATAATATTTATATTCCATAACTTTTTAATGTAATATTTCACCTTGGAGATTATATCAAATAATGAAAATCTGCTTCATCATTTTAAAATGGCTGTTTAGTATTCCATAATATGGGTGCATTATAGTTTATCAAACTAAGATTATTTCTATTATAATGTCACAACAACAACAAAAAAATATATATATATCTTTTTGTATACATGTATAAGTATTTCTCTAGGAGAGACATCCAAAAAGGAATTATTTTCTGGATTAAAGAATATGCTTACTTAAAAAAAAATTTCACTGATACTGCCAAATTGCCGTCTAAGAAAACCAGATCAGCTTATTTTGTTTCCTCCTCTCCCCCCATATGAACACTTGATAATATTAATCTTTTATAGTTTCACCTATCTGGTAGACAACAATGGTATATCATTTGCCTATTACATCACTTACCCATTTTGCTCTCTCAGGTTATTTCTTTTAATTTGTTAATGTGTTCTTTGGAACTGAATGAATTGAGTCTTTTTTTTTTTTTTTGAGGTAGAGTCTTGCTCTGTTGCCCAGGCTGGAGTCCAGTGGCTTGATCTCTGCTCACTGCAACCTCCACTTCACGGGTTCAAGAGATTCTCCTGCCTCAGCCTCCTCAGTAGCTGGGATTACAGAAGCCTACCACAATGCCTGGCTAGGTTTTTTGTTTGTTTGTTTGTTTGGTATTTTTAGTAGAGACGGGGTTTCACCATGTTGGCCAGGCTGGTCTCGAACTCCTGACCTTAAGTGATCCACCGCCTTGGCCTCCCTAAGTGCTGAGATTACAGGCATGAGCCACCATGCCGGGCCCCAATTCTAAGTCTTGGCTCTTGGCCGGCTCTATGTGTGTGTGTTAAGTACAATTTGTTTCAGAATAAGTTTAGCTTTACAGAAAAGTTGCAAAGATAGTACAGAGAGTTCCTGCTGACTTCCCCTAATATTAATATCTTGCATAACTATGGGACATTTGTTGAAAACTAAACGATTAACGTGGGTACAGTATAATTAAATTGCATCAAGTTCTGCCTGTTTTAACTCTTTAATTTCTCTTATATGCTTCCAATTTTGCCAATTCCTCCTACTTTCCAAATGTGAAAACTATTTTGGACATGTTACTTTCGAGCCTCTGGACTTTCATAAGCTTAGGTGTGCGAGGGTGCCTGGAGGAGGCAGAGAGCATAAATACAAAGTCACATAGAGGGTCCACGTGGAGTTTCACATTTCTGATTCAGTTCAGGAAACTTTTTTCCTCATGCTCACCTTTATGAAAGAACTGCTGTGAGACATTTCTGAGCCTCAAACACTAAGGGGAGAGTAGAAGAAATTTACAGCTCTTTAGATTAGTCTGTCCTCCCAAGATGGCAGGGAGTGCCAAATTCATTGCCTTAAAAAAAAGAAAAAAAAAAAAAAGATTTCTTAAAAGCAGCAGAAGACTCCCCCAGAGTATAATGTTTGCATTTTTTTACAATGTGTGTGTTATAAAACCTTTATAATAAGTCTTTCAAAACAAATAAATGTAAAATACAGAAAAATTAGTAGAACTTGCTAAAACACTGCATTTTAAAAAGAGGTAAGCATACTTTTTATTTTAAAAATGTTTTAAAGGACGATAAATACACATCTGTAAAAAGAAACACTGGAAGGAAAACTAAGAACAAGTAATAATGGTTACTTTTAGAGGAGACAGAGGGCAGCAATGATATGAGACTTTTCTAGATATGCCCTATAAACCACTTTGGCTCTGGAAACAAAAATTCTTACATTAAAAAAAAAATACAATGAAATTTAAAAAAAAAGCCATCTCTAAAAGCTGAAAACAAATTGAAGAAAGAAAATTAATTTACATTAAATCAGTGACCTAACTAAATAGATAAAAGAATTATTTCCAATGATACTAGCATATTCTAATGAAAGTGGCACTGTAAAAAAATCTTAAATTTAATTCAGTAGTCTTTTAGTAATAACACTATTACTCTGAAACTGCTCTATATGTGTGTATGTGTACATCAACTAAAACTGTTACATATTCATTAGCATGTCATCTAATATGTAATTACACATGTCAGAATAATATTATTTATATGATAAATGTATAATAATTATATATAATGTATTGTCTAATATATGATGTAATATATATTAGTACATTTTACGTCTATTAGCAATTAACACACATCAATTTATATGAACATTACCATACTATGTATATAATAGTTTTGAAGCTACATATAAATATATAAGAATTTCAAAGTAATATTAACATTATTATATATTAGTGTATAATAATGCTAATATTACATATTATTACACTAATATATATTAATGTGTGTTAATGTTGTTAGAAACCAAGATTTTCTGTTTAAGAGAAAAGAGAAACAAGTATAAAATAAAAAAAGTTAAGATTTTGCAATTCTAGTTTAAGTTGAAAAACTCAGCATTAATTTTTTTTTAATATAATGCCTAGCTCTGGCCATTGAAAAGGACTGGGAGTAATGGAAATTCAATAGCAAGGAGTACTCCTAATGTCCGTATTGTAATCTCCAACTAGGAACAGCTGATTACAGGTCTGGAGCAAGAAATATACAAGATAATATTGGGACATTTTGGGCCAGAAAGCAAGGAAGTTCTCAAAGAATAATGAGTCAAAAGGATACAGAAGCCAACAACAAGTAGCTCTTATTGGCCAAAGATGATACAATTTGATCCTCAAAAGAAAAGAAACAAACAAAGGAAGAAAAGAAAAAGAATGCACCTGACTGAAAAACCCTGAATATCTAAAACCCATTAATTCACAATAACAAAAAAGAGCAGGAAAGCAAGAGAGCCCCCAAAACAAACAATAACCTATTGAACACCCCTGGATAAAACTTGGGAACCAAGTCCGTACTCTGTAAGCTGTCAATTAAAAGAGGAGAAAGAGGAGAATATATTTTGTATGAACTTTATTTCAGATAGCCAAATAACTCTAATTGCTGAGGGAAAGTTTTTCTTAATAAATCTGGAAGGAATTATAGAAAATCATCATCCTGTACTACTTAATGAAATAATAGATTCAGGCAGTGATCATCAAAGGATCAAATGATCAATCTTAGCATCACTGAAGGCAAGACAAGCAAACATTTATGCCTCCCATGTGAGGCAATTGGAAGCACACAGTAGTATCTATGAAGGATTCCTGCCAAAAAGTGAAACCTGAATGAAATCCAGTCTACAGGGCTAATGTGCATAAACAGAAATACAAGGGAAGGAGGTACAAGTTAAATGACTCCAAAGGCAAGCTTTACAGACGGATGTGGGAGGGCCTATATAGGAAAAGAGACCCCATTTTAAAAACAAGTTAATAAAAAAGAAAAGGAAAATGGGACTGCTGTGGATTTTATGTGGATTTCTTTTCAAATCTACTCACTGTAAAACGACATTTTAAAGACAACTAGAGAAATTTGATTATGGACTGAGTGTTAGATGGGACCTAGATGTGACAATGGCATCATGACTACATAAGGAAGGGACCCCTTTTTAGGAGATACATGTTGAAATATTTACAGTTGAAATGACATGTTTGGGATTTGCTTTTAAATACTTCAGCAAAGAGAAAAATAAAAAATAGAGGCAGCAAATGCGGCAAAATATTCAAAATTGGTGAATCAGGCGATGAGCACATGGAGGGTTTATTGTATTATTCATCTTTCTTTGGAGTATGTTTAAATGTTGGTGTACATTTGACAGTTCTTTATCACGCAAATCAACAATAACATAAAAACTGAAATATTTCTGTCAGCTAAAATAGGTAGACTGTAAATAATTGCCATACATTATTCCTGTCCCTGTTTGGATGTGCCACTGTGGCTCTTCTCATCAACAGATGGAGTCTTTTCTTCCATCCCTTGAATCTGGTCAGCAGTGAGAACTGCTTTAGTTAAAGGGTAAACATGACACAAGCAGAGGCTTGAAAAGCACTAGGGCATTGGGGCGGCTGAGAGCCCTGGGCCTACCACAGGAGAAGTTCAGACTAGCTTGCTGGAGAGGTCATGTGGAAAAGAAATGAGACCCTGGCTGAGGGTCTGCCAACCTGTAGACATATGAGTGAGGGAATTGTAGACCACACAGCCCCAGCCAAGCCACAAACTGACTGCATCTGCAGAGTCAGCCCAGGCAAGTCTAGCTGTCTGAGCCAGATTTGCCGACGCACAGAATCATGATTGTTTTTTAATATGCTAAATACTGAGGTGGTTTGTTACATGGCAATGACTGACTGATACATAAGGATAAACCTATAGAAGTACTATACACATATGCAGAAAACTGTCTTAGCTTCTTAGCACTGTGAGGGACATGCCATGTACTCAATAAGGATGTCTGAATGGGAATTCCATGTCACTAGAAAATGGTATATATGGAAACTGTCTAAAGGCAATGGAAGGCTTAGGTAGACTACTTCCTTTTGTGTATATGAAGTACTATCAAACCAAGTAGTTACTCCACTGATAGAGGCAGATGTGGGAAGATAAACTATGTAGAACTTTTTTTCCTTGGAAGACTAAAAAGGTCTGGCTTTGCCGCTGGTCAACTATGACCAGACACTACGGAAACAGTCATTGAGATTGCTGGCAGATGGCCTGGCCTTTCTCCCCTGACACAATTCTGCAACCCAAGTGGCCAGTGTGTGGAGAGAACACACATCCCTGTGAGAGGCCGCCTAGCTTTTCCTCCCCTAAGGGCCACACTGGGCCACCCTAGCACACATCAACTTGGCTGGCACACTTTCCTGCAAAGCAGATTCCACTCTGTGTACTCTGAGAACAAATCATGTTTCCTCCTTGCCAAAGGTTTTTGCTTGCAAATGTTGGATCCAGGTATAAGGATTAATGAGGGAATATTTAGAGTGCCACAAAAAAAAAGTTCTATATAGAAGCCACAGAAGTACATGTGGATCTTCTAGTAGAGGTATTTTTTACTAAAAGAAAATACCAAAACATTTTCATCTTAAAAAGCTCAAGTAAATCTGATCAATTTAGCAGAATCACATAATTTGTAATAATATACGTATAAGGATTGTGTAGTTAATCTTAGTATCATTAGCAAAATACTATACTTGTAAAAGAAAAATTCAAGATAGTTAAATATTTCTCCATAATAGTAGCTATTTAATTGGAAAATTTTTTGTTTTCTTTGAGACAGTCTCGCTCTGTCACCCAGGCTGGAGTGCAGTGGCATAGTCTCAGCTCACTGCAACCTCTGCCTCCCGGGTTCAAGCAATTCTCATGTCTCAGCCTCCCGAGTAGCTGGAATTACAGGTGCACACCACCACATCCTGCTAATGTTTGTATTTTTAGTAGAGATGGGATTTGGCCATGTTGGGAGGCTAATCTTGAACTCCTGACCTCAAGTGACCTGCCTGCTCTAACCTCCCAAAATTGCTAGGATTACAGGTGTGAACCACCACACCCGGCCTACTTGGAAAGTATTTTTAAATTAATTGATACTTTAATCTTTGATGAATATAGCTATTCTCAGTATATTAAAATGACTACTCACACAACGCCACCCACATTTACATGCTAATTTATCCAACCTCCTCATTTATATTTTTAAAGATGCAATATAATTTTTGTAAGTATATATATATATATATATATATATATATATATTTTTTTTTTTTTTTTTTTTTTTTTTTTTTTTTTGAGACGGAGTCTTGCTCTGTCCCCAGGCTGGAGTGCAGTGGCGCGATCTCGGCTCACTGCAAGCTCCACCTCCCGGGTTCATGCCATTCTCCTGCCTCAGCCTCCTGAGTAGCTGGGACTACAGGCGCCTGCCACCACGCCCGGCTAATTTTTTGTATTTTTAGTAGAGACAGGGTTTCACCATGTTAGCCACGATGGTCTCAATCTCCTGACCTCGTGATCGGCCCACCTCGGCTTCCCAATGTGCTGGGATTACAGGCATGAGCCACTGGGCCCGGCCGTAAGTATATTTTTTAAAGCTTAAGAATCTTGTGAGTAAATAGGGATTTTTTTTTTTTTTGAGACAAAGTCTCACTCTGTTGCCAGGCTGGAGTGCAGTGGCGAGATCTCGGCTCACTGCATCCTCCACCTCCCAGGTTCAAGCAATTCTCTGCCTCAGCCTCCAGAGTAGCTGGGATTACAGGCGGGCACCACCCGCCCAGCTAATTTTTGTGTTTTTGGTAGAGACAGAGTTTCACCATCGTGGCCAGGCTGTTCTTGAACTCCTGACCTCGCAATCCACCTGCCTTGGCCTCCCAGAGTGCTGGGATTACAGGCATGAGCCACCGCACAGCCGGCCTGAGATGTTTTATACTATTTTGCAGTAGCAAACTTCTATCCAGTAAATGTTTCAAGTATCTTTTTGAACCATGACTTTGGAGTTAACATTATTCAATGAGGTTAATGACACAAAAAGATAATTAAATATGGTGAACGGAAAGAATGGACAGTAAAAGCTAAGAAAAATTGGTGGCAGCTTCATTATTTGTGAAACTAAACTTGAAGGGGACAAATTAAAACTTGCAGCTGAGCTTCAAGTGCAGCAAAAACCGGCAGAAACCAGGGTCCCCACAGGGATTCTGCGCTTTGGGGAGAACTTCTGTTCTTCTGCTCCTGTTTTGTCCTGTTTTGTCTTTCTGAAAAGGCAACACAAAGAGCTGAGGAAAAGCCAATAGATTCATTATCATTCTACCTAATAATAAAATAATGTTCTCTTAACAAAGTGTGGACACACATGGCGAAGGCATCAGAAAGAACCTGATGGAAATAATCTGGAAAAGGTCTTTTGGGAATGAAGTTTCCTCATCTGCAGAATGGAGGAGGGGTAATGAGAGGGGCTTGTTGGGGGCCAGGAGAAGTGGGCTGGATGAATTCCAAGATCCTTTATAGCTATAACTTTCAGTGATCTAGGTTAAAAGCTGAAGATCTTTTTCATCCCTGACTATGAGGCCAATGTGAGATGTGGTTATCTGTAGGTCTTACAGTGCTTATTATAAAACTATATATTAATACTTTGTTTCCATGAAAAGCTCTAATTTTAAATGTGTGTAATTTTAAATGTGATTAATATTTCCATAACGGAGTGCATATTATATGAAAATCAAAAGTTTTATAAAAGCTGGGCACATTTAAAAACATACAAAATCCCAGCTCAGCTTAAGTATATGGTTGCAAGAGTGTGTGTTTTCAAAGGGTGGGGCTTCCTGTCTCTGGATTGTTTGGAAACATTCTGACAAAGCCAAATTCATTTCACTGATATCCTGAATGCAGCAAGGAACTGGTGCCTAAAATAGCACAAAATTGCCTGTAGTCCCAGCTACTGGCGAGGCTGAGGTGGGAGGATCACCTGACCCCAGGAGGTTGAGGCTGCAGTGAGCTATGATCGCGCCACTGCACTCCAGCCTAGGCCACAGGGCGAGACCCTAGCTGCAAAAAAAAAAACAAAAAGCACAAAACATGATACTCTAACATGTAGAATCAGTTTAAGTCAACTAAGAAATGTGATAAACACCCAAAAGATTTCAAATCTGTATTCTCTAAATCCTTTTGAGAGAGTCTCCACAATTAGCTGGACTGGAAAACTTAGCAACATTTAGCATACTTTTCGGTCACATATTCATTCATTCTTTTTTTAACTATTCAACAAATAGGTAAATAGATGGACGGGGAAAGAGAGAGAGAGAGAGACAGAGAGAGACAGAGAGAGAGAGAGGAGATAGATACCTCTTACTACATGCCAGAAACAATTTCTTTTAAAATTTTTCCAGTTTTTTTCTTCTTTAACTTCATACTCCCTTTGTCTCCTGTCTTTGTTGGGTATGATTATTCAAGAATACATTTAACTTGTGGCACTAAATCCAGAGCACTCTCTAATAGGGAGAAAACACAACCACTGTGGTGTCAGGAGGAGGAAGTAAATGTGTGAGCAGCTTGGTACACTCTTCACTATCCTCACCTCAAAGGAAATACAGAGGTGGATCAGGAAGCCAGTTTCAACTGGACTTACTGCTGCTTCTTGCTGACACTATTGTTACGTTATCTGTGGGATGATCAACTTTTTTTTTTTTTTTGAGAGACAGAGTCTTGCTCTGTCGCCAGGCTGGAGTGCAGTTGCACAATCTCAGCTCACTGCAAGCTCCGCCTCCCGGGTTCACGCCATTCACCTGCCTCAGCCTCCCGAGTAGCTGGGACTACAGGCACCCGCCACCACGCCTGGCTAATTTTTTGTATTTTAGTAGAGACGGGGTTTCACCGTGTTGGCCAGGATGGTCTCCATCTCCTGACCTCGTGAACCACCTGCCTCAGCCTCCCAAGTACTGAGATTACAGGCCTGAGCCACTGCGCCCAGCCGGGATGATCAACTTTTAAAGAGTCAACCTGGGACACAGTGATAATGACAAAAACCATAACAACATAACATTGCTATGGTCTGAATATCCCCCCAAATTCATGAGTTGAAACTTAATCACCAATGTCATAGTATTATGAAGTGGGGCCTTCAGAGGCAACTAAGTCATGGAGACAGAGCCCTCATGAATGAGATTACTGACCTGATAAAAGGGCTGGAGGGAGAGAGATCACCCCTTTTTACCCATCCATCATTTTTCTGCCTCTGTCATGTAAGAAAACAGTCTTCCTCCCCTCTAGAGGATACAGCCACAAAGTGCCAACTTGGAAGCAGAGAGCAGCCCTCAAAGACACCAAACCCACTGGCGCAGCCCCCTTGGACCTTGCAGCTTCCAAAACAGTGAGAAATAAATTTATACTGTCCATGAATTACCCAATCTATGATATTTTGCTATAGCAACACAAATGGACTAAGACAAACATAAAAGAAGTAATTACACACGTGTTACTGCTTTAACACAGAAAAGATGTGGAGGTGAAATATATTATTCCGTATTATTTACTTTTCTGTAACATAAATGTTATTATTTAAACAGAACAACAATAGAACTAGTTAATGATAGTAATTAATAGTAGAACAAATTAAGCAATGTGTGAGAAAAATATAACAATACTTTTAAATGTTTCTTTCTGTTCTCTGATACAGGAGTTTATTTTAACTATTTTTTTAAAAAGTCTTCCTAGCACTTTGGTAGGCTGATGCGGGTGGATCACCTGAGGTCGGGACTTCAAGACCAGCCTGACCAACATGGAGAAACCCCATCTCTACTAAAAATACAAAATTAGCTGGGAGTGGCAGTGGGTGCCTGTAATCCTAGCTACTCAGGAGGCTGAGGCAGGAGAATCACTTGAACCCGGGAGGCGGAGGTTGTGGTGAGCCAAGATGGCGCCCTTGCACTCCAGCCTAGGCAACAAAAGAGAAACTCCGTCTCAAAAAAAATTAAAAACAAAAAGTCTCTATTTGTTATTTAAATTTTGTAGGCTTTATATGTTGTGTATTCTTAACACATATAAATGTACGACTTTTACAAAGAAAACATAAATACAACATGGCTAATTTAAAAGATAGTACCTATATTTAGTAACAACAGCAAAAGATCATGTCCTGTTTCTTTCTGCCCCATGACACAGTGGGATATCTTTACTCTTTCTGTTTCCTTTTCCAATAACACTTCTTTGAACTGCCTGCAGTGGTAAGACATATCTCTTTTGACTTGCACCTCTGCTCTTCTCAAGCGCACAATACACTGATTCCTGGTATCAATCCAATGTGATGACATCAAGCTAAATATCCTCTCAAAAGCATCTGAGTGTGGAATACCTATAATTTTATTTCCTAGCAAGAATAGGATTTTAGACTTAGGAGGATTCATTTCCAGCTCTCCAAAAATGTCCATCCCTTTGTTAATTAGGTTGTTAGCATCTATAAATTCATCATATAGGCTACACATATATAAAATATCCACTGTTCTATAAAACCTTTTATTTTGAAACAATCGTAGATTAACAAGAAGTTGGCCAGGCGTGGTAGCTCACGCCTGTAATCCCAGCATTTTGGGAGGCTGAGGCAGGTGGATCACTGGAGGCCATGAGTTCAAGACTAGTCTGGCCAATATGGCAAAACCCTGTCTCTACTAAAAATACAAAAATTAGCCAGGTGTGGTGGTGCACATCTATAATTCCAGCTACTTGGGAGGCTGAGGCATAAGAATTGCTTGAACCCAGGAGGCAGAGGTTGCAGTGAGCTGAGATTGCACCACCGCACTCCAGCCTGGGTGATGGAGTAAGACTGTGTCTCAAAAAAGAAAATAAAACAAGAAGTTGCAAAGAAATGTACAGGGTAGTACAAGCTACCCACACCCAGCCCCTCCAATGTGAAGAATACCTTACATAACTCTAGAACAATATTCAAACCAAGAAATTGACATTGGTACATTCCAAACATGTTATTCAGATTTCACCTGTTATACATGTACTCTGTGTGTCTGTGTGTGTGTGTGTGTGTGTAGTGTGCACAGCTCTCTGCAACTTTATCACAATGTAGTCTTTCTTGTATAACCATAACCACCACCACCACTGAGGGATTTAACTATGCCTTCACCACAAGACTCTCTCATGTTACTCCTTACAGCCTACACCCATCCTCTCTCCCCAGTCCCTAACCCCTGGCAACTACTAACCTGTTCTCCCTCTCTATAATTATGTTACTTCATGAACATTACATAAATGGAACCATACAGTACGTAACCTGCTGGAATTATGTTTGTTCATCACCGTAACTTCCTTGAGGTTTATACAAGTTGTTGCATGTATCAATGGTTCCTTCCTTTTTATCAGAATAGTAATCCACAGTAAAAATTCACCTTTTTTTTTTTTTTTTTTTTTTTTTGAGACGGAGTCTGGCTCTGTCACCCAGGCTGGAGTGCAGTGGTGCCATCTCGGCTCACTGCAAGCTCCGCCTCCCGGGTTCACGCCATTCTCCTGCCTCAGCCTCCCGAGTAGCTGGGACTACAGGAGCCCACCACCATGCCCGGCTAATCTTTTGTATTTTTACTAGAGACGAGGTTTCCCTGTGTTAGCCAGGATGGTCTTGATTTCCTGACCTCGTGATCTGCCCGCCTCAGCCTTCCAAAGTGCTGGGATTACAGGTGTGAGCCACCGCACCCGGCCTAAATTCACCTATTGAAGGACATTTGAGTGGTTTCCAAATTTCTTGCTATTATAAAAATAGTGGCTGGGTACAGTAGCTCATGCCTGTAATCCCAACACTTTAAGATGCCAAGGTAAGAGGATCACTTGAGCCCAGGAATTCAAGACTAGCCTGGGCAACATAGTGAGACCTCATCTCTACATTTAACAGTTTAAAAATTAGCAGGGTGTGGTGGTGTGCACCTGTAGTCCCAGCTACTCAGGAGGCTGAGGTGGGAGGATTGAGCCTAGGAGGTAGAGGCTACAGTGAGCTATGACTGTGACACTTTACTCCATCTTTGGTGACAGAGAGAGAACTTGTCTCTAAAAATATAAATAATAAAATAACAAGAAAAATATTATACGAAAACCGTGAAACTGTTATGAACATTCCTGTACAAATCCCCATGTGAAAATAACTCTTCATTTCTCTGGAATAAATGCCTAAGAATTGAAATGATAAGTTGTATGGTAAATTCATTTTTAGTTTTGAAAGGAACTACCAAATTGTTTTCCAGTGTGGCTGTCTCATTTTATATTCCTACCACCAATGTAGGAGTGATCCAGTTTCTTTGCATCCTTGCCAACATATGATGTTTTCACTATTTTTTCACTCTAGCCATTCTGATTTGTGTGTAATGATACCTTGTGGTTTTATTAAGAATTTGCATTTCTTCAAAAGCTAATGACATTGAACAGCTTTTCATGGGCTTACTTGCCACCTGCATGTCCCCTTGATGAGGTGTGTGTGTCTTTTGTCCAGTTTCTAATCAGATTTTTTTAAACTATTGAGTTTTGAGAGGTCTTTATATATTTATGTGCAAGGACTTTGTTGAATATGCGATTTGCGAATGCAGTATTTTCTCTCATCTAGTTTGTTTTTTCATCCTTTCAGCAGACTCTTTCCCAGAGCAAAGGTTGATTCTGATGTGTTCTAATTGATCAGTTTTTCCTCTTATGGATTGTTTTTGGCATCAAGTCTAACAGGTCTTCACCCAGTCCTAAGTCCTCTCTCTTATGAATTTTCTAGAAGTTTTATAGTTTCACATGTAAGTTTGTCCATCATTTTTAAACACTCTGAAGAGATGTTATTAAGTTAAACGTCTCTTTCTCAGGTTGGGCAAGAGGGAAGAAATGTAGGTGAGGATAGACGAAGGGGCGATAAGAAAGGGTGACGGAAGACAGGCTCGGCAGACTTTCCCGTGAGAGAAATGCTCCAGACAGCACCCTGTTCCTCCAGGAGCTGAATCTTGGGCATGGATTCTCCCTACCCCATCCCCGCCCATCCTGCCCACAACACTGCCCCAGGACACGCCTCCTGAGGCCAGGCAGCCTCCATCTTTATGTGGCCAAAGGGGGTCTAGGTAGTTGTCAGCTTCAGCTTCTGGAAAGAGACCAGCTGCTGTATCCAGTGGGTCCCAGTGGTTTGCTTAGATAGGATGCCACTCACTATGCCAGGTGTTTGGGATAGAAGAAAGAATAACTGGAAGGTCTCAGTATTCAAAGAACCTACAGTCCAGAGAAGGACACAAAATAAGAAAGAAGAGAGCAAGGGCTAAGGGTACAGGTAGGAGAGAGAAGCAGAAAAGGGGAGCATAACTGAGACTTCGGGAAGGCTTTCCTAGGAGATAGCACTGTAGATGTGTGGCTATCTGAAATTGCAAACTGTGAACCAGAGAATAAGAGTTCCTGCATTTCAAAGTCCTTGAAGTAGATTTCAAAGGGTACCAGTTTGAGGGCTGCTCTTCTAAAAATAGGACACTGGCATTTCCCATGAGCAACAAGAACTCACAAGAAGGTGGAATGTGACTGGATAAGGCTGACAACAAGGGGAAGCAAGCCTGACATTCTCCCCACCAGCCTGGAAGTCTGGGCCTTAGCAAATGTGAAAGGCTAGGGTTCAAGCTGAAACCCCGTGTCCTTATGTAACCTAGACGAGGCTGCAGTTTAGTTGGGCTAGGCTACGGCCAAAAGCTTACCAAGCAGAAATTCAGGGGGAAAATATTTCAGCAAAAATATTTAACCCACTGAAAATAATTTATACTTGTTCATATGTTTACAAACAACCTGCTGATTAAAATGGCTCTTAACTACTCATTAAAAGGAGGCCCACCCTTCAGGACCTATACTTTGCAACACTTAGTTACTATTTAATTGGAGATACAGTATAAGCAAAAATATGAAAAGGCTGCATTTCTTTATATGCTATAATTTTACTTTGTGATGATTCTAACTTTCTCTGCCCTCAATTAGTCTGATTTAGTGATGTCTTGTCATGTATAGGCTATAAAATCCTGATGCTGTTTCTCAACTTGCCAGTCAGAATAGCAGGATTAATAAATTCTCAAGATTTTTAAAAGATCAAAATTGGAGCCCCTGTTTTTTTCCTTCCTTCCTCCTCCTCCCTCCCTCCCCTCCTTTTTCCTTCCTTTCTTCCCTGATTTTTAGTAACATTTATCATAAAAAATACAACCTATATATTTCTTGACCATAACTTACATGTGATTGAGAAGCATCGAATTAGAGTTTGTGGTCTCTGTCTTCCAATATCTTGTATGTACTATACATAATAAAGTTGGTTCATCATCATAACTGGGGCTTTTTAAAGCCAGAACCCCATCAAGAATTCCCATAAGTAGGAACATTTCCAGAAGTGGTAGGGTACAGTAAGATTTTTTGATCTGCTGGTAAACGCTGACGGGGATACCCACTTAGGCTATTTTATTTTGAAAGAGCGATGAAAATTTGAGCAAATGATAGCTTCCAGATACAGTAAGTCCTCACTTAACATCATTGATAGAGTCTTAGAAACTGCCACTTTAAGTGAAACGACGTATAACAAAAGCAGTTGTATCATAGGTTCATTGATATAAACAAGAGTTAAGTTCCTGGAGCATATTTCTGGCCATGAAAACATCACCAAACTTCTAAATAAAAGCCCCAAACGCTTCTAACTATTAAGCATTGAAATAAATGTGAGCTATACATACATTTAAGTAAGATTAATAAGAACAAGTAAGATAGCTATTTACTCAATTCTTCCATTATCAGGAATAATTAATTGAGTCTGCCAGATCGTGTCCCAACAGCTCAGGGTGCAAGGAGGGAACCAACCCTGGACAGTATGCCATCCCCACCGCAGGTGCACCCACACACACCCACACTCACACTGGGACCAAGCAGACACCATGGTTCACCTCACATGCACGGCTTTGCAATGTGGGAGGAAACCAGAGTACCTGCAGAAACCTACAGAGACATGGGGAGACCATGCAAACTCCACACAGACAGTGGCCCCGCGCCAGGAATTGCTTTCTAGTCAATGTTGTAAGAAAATGACATTGAATGAAATGATGTTATTCAAGAACCTGCTGTAAAGGAAGGCCAATATATGATCAGAAGTGCACATCTCTAATGAAGAAATCAGGAAGAGCCATTTTGCTTTCCCTTAACCCTGCTGCCCCCAGGTAACAATAGTAAGTTTCCTTCAGTTACCCCTTTCTTTTCCACATAGAAGAAGGAAATTTCACTTTTGAAATGTTGAATTATCCTGTTTTCACGCAAGCAAAGTTGCATAATGGTCTTGGCTTTGCCAGCTACATGGTGTCTACAGGTGGACAAAATGCCTATTTCTGTGTCCTTACCAATAAAAATGGGATAATCACTGATTTTTTTAAAAAGTCATTGCTATAAAGATTAAAACGAACTCCTGTATGAGAAAGTAAATAAAACCACTAAAAAATATGAGTAAAAATGCTCATTTTGTAACCAAATGATTCTTTATGTCCCTTTTATTTTGTCCTGCTATTTGCTATTGATTGCTGTTCCTATCTTTGACTTTTCTTTCTGTTTTTTTTCTTTTTTCTTTTCTTTTTTTTTTTCTTTTTTTGAGACGGAGTTTCGCTCTTGTTGCCCAGGCTGGAGTGCAATGGCGCAATCTCGGCTCACTGCAACATCCGCCTCCCGGGTTCAAGCGATTTTCCTGACTCAGCCTCCTGAGTTAGCTGGGATTACAGGTGCCCACCACCACACCTGGCTAATTTTGTATTTGTAGTAGAGACGGGGTTTCTCTATGTTGGTCAGGCTGGTCTCGAACTCCCAACCTCAGGTGATCCGCCAGCCTCAGCCTCCCAAAATGCTGGGATTACAGGCGTGAGCCACCGTGCCCAGCCTACCTTTGATTTTTCTATCAATGCAAAGTTGGAGGAGTTAAGCAACCATTCCTAAGATGAAGAAAGTTATCTTCTAGACCAAATTCAATTTTCAGCAGTAAGGAACAGACAAAAAATCCTCTTCCCCTGCCCCACAGCTTCCATTGTACTAGAAAAACACAGACAACAAATAAAACAAATAAGAAAAATATGTGAAATGTTCAATGGTAGTAAGTGCTAGAGAGGAAAAACTAAGTGAAGAAAGTGAAGGAGGAGGATAGGGCATCTGTGGGGAAGGCAGGGGACGGCTCAATCTATGGATTCAGGAAGGGTGTGGTCTGCGTGCTCCCAGTGTGAGTGTGGGTGTGTGGGCTGGAAGAGGCCAGGGAGTGAGTCACATGTACATCCAGGAAAATGCTTCCAGGCAGAAGGGACAGTAACCACAAGGTGGGAGAGGCCTTGATGTATCTGAGGACAGCTGGAGATCAGTGGGCTGAAGCAGAGTGAGAATTGAAGGGGAGGAGAGCAAAGAAGCAGCAGAGCTGGGCTAGGGTGGGCAGAGCACCAGAGTGACTGTTTTTTTGTGTGTTGTTTTGAAACAGAGTCTTGCTCTGTCGCCCAGGCTGGAGCCTTGAGACGGAGTCTCCCTCTGTCTCCCAGGCTGCAGTGTGCGGCTCACTGCAACCTCCTCATCTCGGGTTGAAGCGCTTCTCCTGCCTCAGCCTCCCGAGTAGCTGGGACTACAGGCATGCATCACCACGCCGGCGGATTTTTGTATTTTAGTAGAGACAGGGTTTCATCATGTTGGCCAGGCTGATCTCGAACACCTGACCTCAAGTGATCTACCCTCCTCAGCCTCCCAAAGTTCTGGGATTACAGGCATGAGCCACTGCACCCGGCCCACAGTGGCTGTTCTAACAGAAACGCTGCTGCTGTGCAGAGAAGGAAGGCAAGAGCAAGGGTGGACACAGGCCAGTGAGGTGGCACCAGCAGTGACCCAGGGATGAGGTCATAGCAGCCTGGACCAGACAGCATCAGTGGATGTGCTGCTGGACTCCAGACACATGGTGAAGGCAGAGCTGACAAGATGCGAGGGTAGACTGGATGCATGGTATGGAGAAAGCGGGGAGTCAAGATTTTTTATCTGAGCAACTAGAAGGACAGCACAGCCATCTAGTAAGATGGTAAAGACTTCTGGAAAAGCAGGTTTTGGAGGCTGATGTCAGGAGCAAGTTTGGGGCACGTTATATGTGAGTCATGTATTACATATCCACCTAGAAATGTTGAGTAGGCAATTGGTGAGATCAATCTGGACTTAAGGAGAAATATTCAGGTTGGAGGTACAAATAATCATCAATTTAAGATGCTATTTGAAGCCATGAGGAGGGGCTAGCTCACAAAGCAGGGTGTAGATACCAAGAAGAGATCCAAGACCAGGCTTTGGGCATGCCAATGGTAAGAGGTTTGGGAGAAGTGGCAATGGTGACTAAGTTTGAGTGGACAGTAAGACAGAGTATGGCATCTTGGAAGCCAACTGCAGAACATGTTTGAAAAAGGAACTGATTGACCGTGACCTGTGTCAAATGCTATTGTTAGGCTAAGAAGATGATAACAGAAAAATGACCAAAATGGATACTCCCAAGCCCTCAAACAAAGTATGCTAAAGCAGTTTTTAATGTTTTAATAAGGTCTTAAGTTTAAGATGAGAATTTGCACAAATATTTATATCCTCTCCTAAATCTCACTAAAATGACCCTAAAAATAAGAAAGGATAAAGACAATATTGGTCAGGCTATGTCTCTTCCTCTCTCTTCCCTAAACTCTAAACAGATGCTGGGATTAATTCAAAGATGGATTTTCCAGCTTAAACTGACTATTCATCCCAGGAAATCCAGAGGAATGGAAGCCCCAGAGATACAAAAGGAAATACGAAACCTCCCAGGACTCCAGCAGGTTTGTGAGGAGATAACAATATAGGTGGAGTGACAAGAAGACACACATAAAAAGTCAAGCAAAATAAAGAAGACAAATGTCAATTTACAAAATAAATTGTACTGGCTGGGCGCAGAGGATCACACCTGTAATCCCAGCACTTTGGGAGGCAGAGGCGGGCAGATCACGAGGGCAAGAGATCGAGACCATCTGGCCAACATGGTGAAACCCCATCTCTACTGAAAAAAAACAAAAATTAGCCGGGCGTGGTGGCAGGCGCCTGTAGCCCCAGCTGTCGGGAGGCTGAGGCAGGAGAATGGCGTGAAACCGGGAGGCGGAGCTTATAGTGAGCTGATATAGCGCCACTGCACTCCAGCCTGGTGACAGGGCGAGACTCCATCTCAATAAATAAATAAAATTAAATTAAAAAGTTGTACTAATAATCTAACATAGTTTTCACTATTCTATTACAAGGCAGCAGAGAGTGCTGGCTCACCAGTGGCCAGGGGGAGGTCAACATTCACATGGATTACCATGAGCTTCTCAATTCCCAGTCTTATCTCCATTCCCTCTCAGCTACACATATGCATGGGCACACAAGGGACTTCTCCATCATCCCAAACTGCCTCCTCCCCCAACTCACTGCACTCACACCTCCTAACCACACACACTTAACTCCTATCTTTGCGTCTTTCTTCTCTTGCCTCCTGACCCCTCCAATGCATTCTCTACACTGCACTCAACTGATCTTTAAGAGACCCATCACCATAACCTCTCCTGCTTATAATCCTGCAAAACTGAAGCCCACATCCTTAATATGGCCTACAGCTCCTGCAGATCAGACCTTCCTCCCAGGCTTGTCCAATGTCTTTCCATTCACTGCGATAGCCCCAGTGAGGGTCCCCCCAGTTCTAGGATGGCACCATGCTCCTTCCCAGCTCAGGCCCTGCACCTATGCTGCGCCTTTCATTGCCTTCTCCACCAGTGCCTGACATGGCACATTAGAAAGCTTTCGGTTAATAACTACTTCTCTATTCACTTGCTGATTTGATATCAGGGAGTTACACACAAGAGAAGGGAGACCTGGATAAAAGGGGGAAATGACAAGCAGAGAGAGCAAAATGATCAGTTTATTCACTCATTCTAGACATATTGAAGAGGTTAGGGAGGTCCAGGTAAATTGGAGCAGTGGAAATCTTAAAGAGCCAGGGGTCAACATATCAGCCCTACAAAAGAAAACAAGGGGCCTGATGCGGTGGCTCACGTCTGTAATCCCAGCACTTTGGGAGGCCGAGGCGGGCGGATCACGAGGTCAGGAGATCGAGACCATCCTGGCTGACATGGTGCAACCCCATCTCTACTAAAAATACAAAAAAGTTAGCCGGGCCTGGTGGCGGGTGCCTGTAGTCCCAGCTACTCCGGAGGCTGCGGCAGGAGAATGGTGTGAACCTGGGAGGTGGAGCTTGCAGTGAGCCGAGATGGTGCCACTGCACTCCAGCCTGGGCAACAAAGCGGGACTCCGTCTCAAAGAAAAAAAAGAAAGAAAGAAAGAAAACAAGGGCCGAGATCAAGGAAAATGGTCTGAATACATATCAATGCCTGATTCAAGTAATGTTTGGAAGAAATCAGTAAATATTTATTGAACACTTACTATATGCAAAGCAACATAGTACAAAACGATACATAGTTTACTTTTGTTTACTTGTTTATTTAATTTTTTTGAGACGGGGTCTTGCTCTGTCACCCAGGCTGGAGTACAGTGGCATGATCACGGCTCACTGCAGCCTCAAACTCCTGGGCTCAAGCAATCTTTTCCTCTCAGCTTCCAGAGTAGCTGGGACCACAGGTGCGCACCACCACACCCAGCTAATTTTTGTATTTTTTTGTAGAGACGAGTTTTGCATGATGCCCAGCCAAGAACCAGCCTTTTGATTTTTTGCTTTTTTCTTTTGTTTTCCTATTTTTAATTCTATTAATTTCTGCTCTTTATTATTCCCTTCTTTTGCTTGCTTTGGCTGATTTTGCTCTCCTTTTTCTAGGTTCTTGAGGTAGTAAATTAGGTTACTGATTTGATGCCACTCTACACTTTTAAAGTAAGCAATTGGGCTGGGCCCAGTGGCTCACGCCTGTAATCCCAGCACTTTGCGAGGCTGAGGTGGGCGGATCACGAGATCAGGAGATTGAAACCATCCTAGCTAACAAGGTGAAATCTCATCTCTACTAAAAATACAAAAAATTAGCCGGGCGAGGTGGTGCGTGCCTGTAGTCCCAGCTGCTCGGGAGGCTGAGGTAGGAGAATGGTGTGAACCCGGGAGGCGGAGGTTGCAGTGAGCAGAGATCGCGCTACTGCACTCCAGCCTGGGTGACAGAGCTAGACTCTGTCTCAAAAAAATAAAAATAAAAATAACATAAATAAAAAATAGAGTAAGCGGTTAGTGCTATTCATTTCCCTCTGATTCACTGCTATGGCTGCATCCCACATATTTTGAATATGTTTTCAACATATGTTTTTATTTCCAATTATGTGTATTTTTACATTTTCTTTGAGAAAACTTTCTCTTTGACCCATTGATTATTTAGAAGTGTTGTTTTATTTCCACGTTTAAAGCTTTTTCCTGTTGTGTTTCTGTTACTGTTTCCTAGTTTGATTTCATTGTGGCAGAGAACATACTCACATGATTACAGTTATTTTAAATTTCCTGAGGCATGTTTTATGACCCAAGATATGATCAAATATGGTCTTTCTTGGTGAATGTTCCATGAGTGCTTGAAAAAAAAAAAGTTTCTGCTGAGGGTTGGGTTACTGTTCTGCAGATGTTAATCAGATCCTCTTAGATTGTGTTGTTCAGATCTTCTTTCCCCTTGCTGATTTACTATTTAGTATTTCTCAGTTGCTGAGAGGGTGCTGTGATCCTCAACTATAATTGTGGGCTTGTCTAGGTCTCTTTACAGCTTTATCAATTTTTGTTTTGTGCATTTTTGAGGCTATGGTGTTTGGTGCATATGAACATTTATATTTTAAGTATCAGTTATATTAAGCATATCTTAAAATGCTGAAAACTCTATTTCTAGATATTATCTATGTAGACAGCCTGATACATTTTATAGTAGTAACAGAGGAAGTTGACTAGAGACAAATTTAAAAATAAAACTTTCAGTATAGATAATGCAGAAACTATTGGCTGGGCATGGTGGCTCACGCCTGTAATTCCAGCACTTTGGGAAGCCAAGGCGAGCGGATCACAAGGTCAAGAGATTGAGACCATCTGGCCAACATGGTGAAACCCCATCTCTACTAAAAATACAAAAATTAGCTGGGCATGGTGGCATGTGCCTGTAGTCCCAGCTACTTGGGAGGCTGAGGCAGGAGAATCATTTGAACCAGGGAGGCGGAGGTTGCAGTGAGCCGAGATCACACCACTGAACTCCAGCCTGGCGACAGAGTGAGACTCCATCTCAAAATAAAAAAAAAAAGAAACTATTATCCCAACATATTATTTTCTGTGGTTTTTTTTAAATATATGGAGAACTGATGGTGCTACGTTTTTATAAAATACTCTTTTTCACATAAGATAAATAGAATATATAATAACTTGCTGACATATCATCAGTAAAGACTTCTAAATGATAATGTAACATCTCTGAAACATATCTTATAAACAAGAGAAAAAAAGAGTAGAACCAAAATGAAACTTTAAATTTAATTACATTAAAATTAATGTTTTGAGTAGGTTTTGTTGAGTAACTAGTAGGCTTGACCCTTGGCTAAAAAATAATTTTCTTCACGAAATCTACATACAGCACTTCTACCTTTCTTATATTTGCCACATTTCATTTTGTGTTATAGTTACATGTATGTTTGTTTTAATAGTATTACTACATTGTTTGTACACAGCCACATGTATGGTATGCTGGTTTTAAAACATATATTTACAAAGTCTTAGATACTCAGCAAGTGGAGTTTATTCCACTCACCCCGCACCCCCCACTGTTTTAATGTGGGCTTAGTGACTCACTTCTTTTTAAAAACAAATTTTATTTAAAAAAAAAAAAAAAAGACCAGGCATGGTGACTCATACCTGTAATCCCAACATTTTGGGAGGCTGAGGTGGGATGATCACCTGAGGTCAGCAATTTGATACCAGCCTTACCAATATGACAAAATGCTCTCTACTAAAAATACAAAAAAATTAGCTGGGCATAGTGGCATGTGCCTGTAATCCTAGCTACTCAGGAGGCTGAGGCAGGAGAATTGCTTGAACCCGGGAGTCGGAGGTTCGGAGGTTGCAATGAGCTGAGATCGTGCCACTGTACTCCAGCCTGGGCAACAGAGAGGACTCCGTCTCAAAAAAAAAAAAAAGAGAGACAAGGTCTCATATTGTCCAGGCTGGTCTTGAATTCCTGGGCTTAAGTGATCCACCTACCTCGGTCTTCCAAAGTGCTGGGATTGTAGACGCGAACCACCACGCCTGGCCATTAGTGACTCACTTCTAACAAACAGAATAAGGCAGAAGTGATGGCGTGTCCTGCAGATTTGGTCATGCATGGCCCTGTGGGTTCCTTGTTCTCTCTTGGATCACTCGCTCTGGGGAAAGCCAGATGCTCTGTCATGAGGGCATTCAAGCAGCACCCTGGAGTGGTCTATGTGGGGAAGAACTGAGGCCTCCTGCCAGCAGCCATGTGCTGGAGTTAACCTGAGAGCAGATCCTCTAGCCTTGGATGGACCCTGGATCTAAACCTCACACCTTATACAAAAATTAACTCAAAAACGTATGACACTTAAGTATAGGTGCCTGTAGTTCTCGCTGACGTCTTGACTGCAACTTCACAAGAAGTGCTGAACCAGAACCCCCTCAACTAAGCTGCTTCTAGAGTCCTATTTATTGTGAGGAATATTATTTTAGAGACTTTGTGAAATAATAAATGTTTATTTTTGTTTGTTTTTGTTTGATACGGAGTCTCACTCTGTAGCCCAGGCTGGAGTGTAGTGGCGCAATCTCGGCTCACTGCAAGCTCCGCCTCCCAGGTCCTGGTTTAAGCAATTCTCCTGCCTCAGCCACCCAAGTAGCTGGGATTACAGGCACACGCCACCATGCCCAGCTAATTTTTGTATTTTTAGTAGAGACAGGGTTTCATCATGTTGGCCAGGCTGGTCTTGAACTCCTGACCTCGTGATCCGCCCACCTTGGCCTCCCAAAGTGCTGGGATTACAGGCATGAGCCACCGCGCCCAGCCAAATGTTTATTGTTTTAAGCCACCAACTTTTGTTATATAGCAATAAATAAATAAATAATGAAATAGGCTGGGCACAGTGGCTCACACCTGCAATCCCAGCACTTTGGGAGGCTGAGGTGGGCAGATTGTTTGAGCCCAGGAGGTAGAGACCAGCCCGGGGGGTAACAGAGCAAAACCCTGTCTCTATGAGAAAAAACAAATAAGTAATAAAATAAAATATAGGCTGGGCACAGTGGCTCACGCCTGTAATCCTAGCACTTTGGGAGGCCGAGGTAGGTGAATCACTTGAGGCCAGTAGTTTGAGATCAGCCTGGCCAATATGGTGAAACGCTGTCTCTACTAAAAATACAAAAATTAGCTGGGCATCCTGGCATGTGCCCGTAATTCCAGATACTTGGGAGGCTGAGGCAGGAAAATCACTTGAATCCAGGCGGCAGAGGTTGCAGTGAGCCAAGACTGTGCCACTGCATTCCAGCCTGGGCAACAGAGTGAGACTCTGCCTCAAAAAATACATATAAAATAAAAATTTTAAAAATAAAATAAATTATAGAAAAGACCAGCTCTTTAGGGAAAAAACAATAAAATTGATAAACCTCTAGCAAGACTGACAGAAACAAAAAGCAAGGAAACATAAAAAATATTAAGACTAAAATAAGGGATATCACTACAGACCCTACAGTCGTTATTAGTATAATAACCAAATACTATAGGCAATTTTATACTCTGAAATTTGATAACTCAGAAGAAATGGGCAAATACCTCAAAAACCACAAATAGCCAACACGGATGAAACAGGCAATCTGAATAGCCCTATTACCAATTTAAAAAACCAATATCTAATTTAAAAACTCCCAAAAGATAAGTTTCCAGGGCCAGATGGTTTCACTAGAGAATTCTACCAAACATTTAAAGAAGAACAACGCCAATAAAAATCCTTGCAAGATATTTGTAGATATAGACAAGACTATTCTAAAGCTTATATGGAAAGGAAAAGAAATTAGATTAGCTAAAACAATTTTGAAAAAAATAAAATGGGAGAAATCAGTCTTCTGGATTTCAGGACTTATTATATAGCTATGATTAAGACTATGTAGTATTGGCAAAGGGATACATATAAAGATCAGTGGAACCCAGAAATAATCCTATGCAAATATGCCTGGGAGCCAGGCATGGTGGCATCTGCCTTCTACCTATATCATATATGTCCAACTCTTTTTTCATAAAGGTGCAACAGCAATTCAGTAGAAGGATAGCCTTTTGGATAAATGGTGCTACAGCACCTGGACAATCACAGGCAAAAAAAAATGACCCTGGATCTAAACCTCATGCCTTATATGAAAGTTAACTCAAAATGTATGACACTTAAGTATTATAAAATTATAAAACTTTTAAGGTAAAAAATGAGAAAATCTTTGAGCTCTCAAGCTAGGCAAAAATTTCTTAGACCTGACACTAAAAGGACAGTTCCCAAAAGGAAATATTGATAAACTGGACATCATCAAAATTAAAAATTTTTTGTTCTGCTAAAGAGCTGTGATGAGGATGAAAAGACAAGCTACAGAATGAAAGAAAATATTTGTAAACCACATATCTGACAAAGGACTAGAATATACAATGAAGTCTTAAAATTCAACTGTAAAAAAACAAACAGCCCAAGTAAAAAATGAACAAAAGACAGACATTTCATTGAACAGGATATTCCGATGGCTAATGGACCACAAAAAGACATTCAACATCATTATTCCTCAGAGAAACGCCAATTAAAACCACAATGAGACATCACTGCATACCTGTCAGTGTCATACCTATTTGGTGACAGCACCAAGTGTGGAGAGGATGTGAAAAAATTGGATCACTTGTACATTGCTGGGAATGTGATATAGTACAGCCACTCTGGAAAACAGTTTAGCAGTTTCTTAAAATCCAAAACACGCAATTACCATACCCAGCAATTGCACTCTTAGGCATTTATCCCAGCAAAATAAAAACTTAGGGCCGGGCATGGTGGCTCACGCCTGTAATCCCACACTTTGGGAGGCCGAGGTGGGCGGATCACCTGAGGTTAGGAGTTTGAGACCAGCCTCAAAATGGAGAAACCCCGTCTCTACTAAAAATACAAAATTAGCCAGGCATGTGGTGCATGCCTGTAGTCCCAGCTACTCGGGAGGCTGAGGCAGGAGAATTGCTTGAACCTGGGAGGCGGAGGTTGCAGTGAGCCGAGATCATGCCATTGCATTCCAGCCTGGGCAACCACAGCGAAACTTCATCTCAAAAAAAAAAAACAAAAAAACTTAGGTTCACACAAAAACCTGTACACAAATATTCATAGCAGCTTAATTATAATATCCCCAAACTGGAATCAGCCCAGATGTTCTTCAATAAGTGAATGGTTAAACTGTGGTATTCACCCCATGGAATATTACTCAATAATAAAAAGAACAAACTATTGATACATGCAACAACTTGGATGTATCTCTAGGAAATTATGTTGAGTAAAATAAGCCAATCCCAAAAGTTTCATTCTGTTTTGGGTTTTAAATTCCATTTATAGAACATTTTAAAGTGATAACATTTTAAAAATGGAGGATAGATCAGTTCTTCCAGCATCTGGGGACCAGTAGAGGGGCTGGAGGAACATGTGTGTGATTATAACAAGGCAACATGAGAGAGTCTCCTGGTGTTGGAAACGTTCCATATCTCAATCCGATAGTAGATACGTGAACCAATGCAGGTGATACTGTACAGAACTTAATATGCACAAATTCAAATAAAACTGGGGACATCTGAATAAGATCAGTGGATTAACATCAATGCTAATATCCTGGTTATCCTTCTATAAAATATTACCATTTGGGGACATTGGACAAAGTATACAAGGCACTTCTCTGTAACAATTCTCATAACTGCATGTGAAACTATAAATAAAAAATATTAAAGATGATGTGAACAGAGATACACACTTTTAGGTGGCTGTATTTTTCCCCCCACAGGAGTCATACTTAACACAATGGCCAAGCTATAAAAATTGAATGAGAGGAACTGATGTCCTAGGGTTACTTATCAACATATCTAAAGTAAAATAAATACAAGCATAGTTTTTAAAATTTCAAAGCTCTATAAAATGCAATTTTACAAGATTACTAAATGTGCTTGTTTTCAGGATCCTGAAGGCAATTTCCTGGTATCAAAACCCACATATCCTTTATTGAGAATGACTTGCACAACACTATTCTGCATTACATGGGAATAAAATGATGGGTGGTTTTTTCCGAGAGAACATATCCAGGAGCAACGACGCACCTGCAGTTGGAGCAGATAGTCGCTATACTTTCACCGCATCACCACTAGATTTCCATGAATTCTGCATGAGAAAACTGTGACTGATATGTCAGTTTTTTCACTTAGTTTATAGTACACGCAAAAATGACATGGCCAGTCTCTTGCCATGTTATTTCCAAAGAAAATTACTTGGAAAATATACCTTTCACCAAACTCTAAATCCATGTGCAAAATGTAATATTTTATACACCATATAAAAATACCAAAAAACATCTAGCAGTACCAAATCAAGATGAGACACAAGAGAGGGATCCTATGCACTGGTAGCTGCAGGATGGCTTCTGTAGTAAGTTGTATGGTGTGGTCTCCAATAAGATATGTCCTAATCCCAGAACCTAGGAAGGTGACCTTATTGGAAAAAAGGGTCTCTATAGATGTAAGTTAAGGATTTGGGGCTGAAGAGATCATTCCAGATTATCCAGATGGGCCCTATGTCCAATGATAAATGTCCTTATAAGAGGGAGGCAGAGGAAGATTGGTCCGAGACAAAAGAGGGGAACGTGATGTGAAGAGGGAGGGAAAGATTAGAGAGATATGACCACACGTCCAGGAATGCCAGGGCATCACCAGAAGCTGGGAGAGACAAGGAACACATTCTCCCCTGGCTCTCCCTCAGGGCGTGTGACCCTGCCAGATTTTGGAGTTCCAGCCTTCAAAACTGTGAGTAAAACTATTTCTATTGCTAAAGTCACCAAGTGTGTGGTGATTTAGGATGGCAGCCACAGGAACAGTTTGACTCCCTTCACCCGGAGTACAATCCACGCACCTGCCAATCAAAGCAACAAAGTATGAAAATCACTACTTTAAAAACTCAAGACAAAAGAAACCTCAAAAATACTAGCTTATGTAACCATGAGACCTTCAAACTGGCCTTGAATTCAGAATAAACAAGAAACAGCCAAATAGAAAGCTATCATTGAGGAGGGGAAAAAAAAAGGTTAGAAACAACTAACTTTTAATTCTGTTCAAAGAGAAGCAGTACTACCAAGATATCAAATAAATAATTCCTTTAATTAATAAGCAATCTGCAAAGAATGAGCATAAAATTGTGAATATGAGTTAATTTGATACTTCCACTGTATACCAGAAACACTACTTTAAAATATAATGGAAAAAACACTCCTTTCACAAAAGTAATGAAAAATATGAAACATAGTTTCAAGAAGTAACTTTAACCAACCTTGCATGGACCTATATGAAAAAAAAATAAACAGCTTTTATTAATCATTGTTTATATCTTCAAGAACACTTGAACAAGTGGGACCTGCTTGGTTGTTGGGTAGAAGATTGAGTAACTGTAAGGTACAAGTTAGTCTCAAGATGCTGACAAGTTTGACACATGCAAAAAAAGTCCCAAATATATTTTTTGAGTGAAGTTAATCAAATAACTCCAAAGCACAACTGGTATAAAAATCTAGTGAGATCACAACACAAACAATAGATAAATGTTTGAAGTTATAGATATCCCAATTACCCTGATATGATCATGACACATTGTATACATGTATCAAAATAGCACGTGTAGCTCCAAAATATGTCAACTATTCCATATCATAATTAAAAAAATAAAGTGAGAAAGAAAAGATTTATTAACACTTATAGCCAGGTGTGGTGGCTCACACCTGTAATCCCAGCACTTTGGGAGGCCAAGGCAGGTGGATCACTTGAGGTCAGGAGTTCAAGACCAGCCTGGCCAACATGGTGAAACCCCGTCTCTACTAAAAATACAAAAACTAGCTGGGCCTGGTGGCACGCGCCTGTAATCCCAGTTACTCAGGAGGCTGAGGCACGAGAATCGCTTGAACTCAGGAGATGGAGGCTTCAGTGAGCCGAGATAACAACACTGCACTCCAGCCTGGGTGACAAAGCAAAACTCCATCTCAAAGAAAAAAAAAAAAGACTTATAAAGTAAACTAATGGGCATAGTGATGACACGGTCTGCTAAATATTAAAACAGGACATAAAGGTACACTTATTAAAACGTAAGGAACAACATACAGCTGCACGAAGCATATGTCCATATAGGAACTTGTATGCAAACATTCACAGCAGCATTATTTCATAAGAGCCAAAAAGCAAAAACAGCACAACTGTGCTTCAGCTGATGAACAGATAAATAAGATGTGGCATATCCATACAATAGAATATTATTCAGTCATAAAAATGAATGTAGCCAGGAGAGGTGGCATGCACCTGTAGTCTCAGCTACTCAAGAGGCTGAGGAGGGAGGATCACTTGAGCACCGGGCAACATAGTGAGACCCTGTCACTTTAAAAAAAAATGAGGCTTTCCTCTTTACTTCTACAGGTATTGATACATAATACAATACAACATAGATGAACCTTGAAAACATTCTACTAAGTGAAAGAAGCCAGACACAAGAGACCATATATTGCACTATTCCATTAAAATGTTCAGAACAGATAAATCCGTGAGACAGAAAGTAGATTAGTGGTTGCCAGAGACTGGGGGAAGGGGGAATGGGGAGTGACTGCTAATGGGTATGAAAGCCTTTTGGGTGTGATGAAAGTCTTCTGGAATTATAGTTATATTTTTACCTTGTATCATGTCAAGAAATAAACTTCAGATGGAGTAAAGATTTAAAAATAGAAAATAAAGTCATGAAAGAACAGTTGGACCTCCGTATCTGTGAGTTCTGCATCCGTGGATTCAACTAACAACAGATCAGAAATATTTCTTAAAAAAATATGTGGGTGCGGCCAGGTGTGGTGGCTCATGCTTATAATCCCAGCACTTTGGGAGGCTGAGGCGGGCAGATCACGAGGTCAGGAGATCGAGACCATCCTGGCTAACACGGTGAAACCCCGTCTCTATGACTGTGCCACTGCACTCCAGCCTGGGTGACAGAGCAAGACTCCGTCTCAAAAAAAAAAAAAAATGTGGGTGCATCTGTACCAAACATGTACAAACTTTTTTTCTTGTCACTATCCCCTAAATAATACAATATAACAATTATATACAGAGCATTTACATTGTATTACATATTATAAGTACTCTAGAGATGATTTAACATATACCAGAGGGTATGTGCAGGTCATATGCAAATATTATTCAATTTTATATAAGGAACTTGAACATCCATGGATTTTGATATCTGAAGGGGGTCCTGGGACAATCCCCCATATATACCAAGGGACAACTATACTATAAGAAAATAAAGAATAATATTTCTATAATCTTATATTGGGGAGTCCAGTCTAAATATGACATGGATTAGAGAAGTTATAAAAGACATACAGACTTAAGCATATAAATATGACAAGCTTCCAGAAGATGAGAGACTTCTTGAATGGATACTGTTTTTTTTTTTTAAGGATGTTTCTATTTACATATCTTACCCATTTCCTGTTTAGAAAAAAAAAATGCAGCTCGCTGCCAGCACACATTTCTCAGGGCAAACAGGAAATGGGTTAAAAGGCCTACGTATGTAGTAGACACCTGCTGGGTGGTCTCCTGATTCAACCATTCTTTCTCTTATATTACGTGGATCGGGCCTCAAGCCTTGGTCATCTTTCTTCTTGCCACATGGACAAGAAGCGCAGGGAAGGCCTTTTTACAGACAAATAAGAATAAAATATGTATGTGAAGAGGGCAGACATAAATGATGCAGAACTGAATACTGATGTCATGCAAATTCTCTGTTCCAGCCTTTTTCCAAGGCCAATATGCATTCTTGCCTTTGGGGACTGGGAGACACTCCAATATTCCTCTATGGGTTTCTTCTCTTACTTAAAAGATGTTTAAATGAGTACATTTTATTATATTTAAAATGACTCCATTTTTTGAGATGGAGTTTCACTCTTGTTGCCCAGGCTGGAGTGCAATGGTGTGGTCTCAGCTCACCACAACCTCCACCTCCTGGGTTCAAGCAATTCTCCTGCCTCAGCCTCCGGACTAGCTGGGATTACAGGCACCAGTCACCATGCCTGGCTAATTTTTTGTATTTTTCGTAGAGACGGGGCTTCACCATGTTGGCCAGGCTGGTCTCGAACTCCTGACCTCAGGTGATTCACCCGCCTCAGTCTCCTAAAATGCTGGGATTACAGGCGTGAGCCACCGCACCCAGCCTAAAGATGACCCCATTTCTTTAACTCAGTAATTCTGCCTTCAGGACTATGGAAACAGGCCAGCTGTGGTGTCTTACTCCCGTAATCTCAACACTTTGGGAGGCCAAGGTGGATGGATTCCTTGAGCTCATGAGTTCGAGACCAACCTGGGCAACATGTCGAAACTTCGTCTCTATAAAAAATACAAAAATTAGCCAGATGTGGTGGTGCATGCCTATGGTCCCAGCTACTCAGGAGGCTGAGGTGGGAGGATAGCTTGAGCCCAGGAGGCAGAGGTTGCAATGAGCCGAAATTGCACCACTGCACTCCAGCCTAGGCAACAGAGCCAGAACTCATCTCAAAAATAAAATTAAAAAATATGGAAACGCTGCAGGTATAAATATTAATCCAATGATTATATACTGAGTCCCTAGTATGTGCCAGGCACTGTTTAAGGCCATGTGGATACAGTGCTTCTGAAGACAGATAGCCACTGAAGAATTATTGCTTTCCTTTTTTTTGAGACAGGGTCTCACTCTGTCAATCAGGCTGGAGTACAGTGCCACAATCACAGCTCACTGCAGCCTCAACCTCCCAGGCTCAATCAATCCTCCCACCTCAGCCTCCGAGTAGCTGGGACTAGCTGGGCACACTCCACCGTGCCCAGCTAGTTTTTGTATTTTTTTTGTAGAGACAGGGTTTTACCATGTTGCCCTGGCTTGTCTCAAACTCCTGGGCCTAAGTGATCCTCCTACCTCAGCTTCCCAAGTAGCTGGGACTACAGGCCTGTGCCACCATTTTTGTATTTTTGGTAAGCTAATTTTTGTATATTTTTTGTTTTTTTGTTTTGCCATGTTGCCCAGGCTTGTCTCAAACTCCTGGGCTCAAGGCATCCTCCAGCCTCAGCCTCCCATAACGCTGGGATTACTAGTACGAGCCACTGTGCCCAACCTGAAGAATTATTTCTAGCAATAGAAACCTCTTAGACAGATGGATGTCCAATAACTGAGGATTGATTGTGGACTATTTAAGTGACATTAGTTACATTAATGTTACTTAAGCATTAACATGCTATTTGTAATAACAAGGAAAAAGTATGTTATTTTGTTAAGTGAAAGAAACGATTAACTTATAGTTTAATCATAACTATATAAAACATTTTAAACCTATATATAGAACAAAAGGTCGGAATGATCAAAGTGTTCGCATCTATTATCTTTGACTGATGAGACACTATGGTAGTATCTTCTGCTGTAGAAAATATCCAAATTTTCTATTATAAGCAAACCTACTTTGGAGAATAAAATAAAACAAAGTCAAATATTAAGAAGAGCTTTGGGAAAACAGAACCCAAAGTGCAAGGCATCAGAGAGGTCTCCATCATCTGATTATGAAATCTTGGACTCTGACCCCGCAGCAATCTACCAGAAACTCTAGGCAACAAGGATGGGACTTCCCACCCCATGCACAGAGGTGGCCCCGGTAAGAAGGCAGAGTTTGACAGTCATTGTGGGTGCTCCCACCCACAGCTCCTGTCAGGAAGTGACTGTGAAACCGGGTTCCTCAGAGCCATCGTGGTTCTCTGGAGGTAATCTGGGTTGGGGAGTGGCTGGAGGAAGTAAATAGGGGTCCAGCTTCCTTTGCCTTCTCAGCCTGGTCCTCTCCATCACAGGTAGCTTTCCACAAACTCTAAGTTGAAAATACAAGCAGCTTCTTCCGAGAATTGTTCTTGCTCTCTAGAGAATTCTCTTCATTAACGCTGTTAGTATCCCTTGACTGGAAGGCACCATAGCATTTATGTGTAATTCCTGAATCACCTCCATGATTTTCAGATATTTTAGGAACCGGGATGTTTTCCTCAAATGAAATCTCCTGTGTATACTCAGGATAAAAGTGAAAGAGGGGAGAAAAGGAAAAAGGAGGCCTTGTGCTGCTGTGAAACCCAACAGCTCTGAGGAACCGGGTTCAAAGCCACTTCCTCAAACAGGAGCTGTGGGTGGGAGCCTCCACATTGACTGTCAGCCTCTCTGCATTCTTACTGGGGCTACCTCTATTCAAGGGGCAGGAATGCCCAGACCTTCTGCCTAGAGTTTTTGGTGGATTGTCTGGGAGTCAGAGCCCACAGAGTCTGCTGCCAGACCTGACCACATCCCAAACTCTGACTCAGGAGTAAGCGCTTTCTTTCTCTCCCCCTGGAATCCTGTTTCACTGTTTAAGTGTTATTGCACCTCCCCTTCTGCACTCCTGTTCCCTGGTTCCAGGGAGCAGAAAGTAATTACAGGACACCTATGCTGTCCATTCCGTCTTCAAGTAGTCCAGAGGCACCCTTGGATTTGCACAGTTATACTTAAAAACCCAGAAGACACTTCGCCCTTGCCCTAGGATCACCCCCTCAACTCCCTAGTCCCTGGCAATCATTAGTCTACTTTCTGTTTCTACAAATTTGCTCATTCTGAACATTTCATATAAATGGAATGATACAATATGTGGCCTTTTGTTACTCACTTCCTTCATTTACCCTGAGTTTTCAAGGTTCCCCCATGTGGTATCACATGTATTAATACTTCATTACTTTTTATGGGTGAACAATAGTATGGATATACTATGGATATACCACATTTTGTCTGTCTATTTTTCAGCTGATGAACAATTAGGCTGTTTCCATCTTTTGGTTATTAGGAAATGCAGGCATACCTCATTTTGTTGTGCTTTGATTTAATGAGCTTTGCAGACACTGAGTTTCTTAAATGGAAGGTTTATGGCAACCCTGTATCTAGCAAGTCGACAGGCACCATTTTTCTAATGGCCTGTACTCACCTTGTTAGCGTTTCTTAGCAAAATTTTAAAATTAAGGTATGTACATTGTTCTTCTTACATGTAATGCTACTGCACACTTAATAGACTACACTATAGTGTAATCATAACTTTTATATAGACTGAGAAACGAAAAGAATTGTGTGATTCACATTATTGCAAAACACAACATTTGTTTTATCATGATGTTCTGGAATGGAACCTGCAATATCTCAGGTATGCCTGTAATGCTGTGAATATGCATGTATGCATTTTGTGTGGACATATGTTTTCAATTCTCTTGGGTATATACCCTTAGGAATGAAATTGCTGGTTCATATGACAACTCTTATGTTTAACATAGACCTGCAAACTGCTCAGGAACTGCAAATTATTTTCCACAGCAATGACACTATTTTACATTCCCACCAGCACGCATGAGGGTCCCAATTTCTCTACATTCTTGCCAGCACTTACTATTGCTCTTCTTTTTGATTACAGCCATCTTAGTGGACGTAAAGTGGTATCTCATTGTGATTTTGATTTGCACTTCCTGACGATTAACCCATTTATGAGGGAGGTTGCAATTTTTTGAATTGCAGACGTGTGAAAAATCAGACCTTGGTGATGACCTTGAGCAGTAGGATATAAATAACTCCCACAGGTTTAGCATTCCAGTAGTGGAACGCTAGGCATAAATGGGATTCAACGATACTGGCATCTTTTCATGTGCTTATTATCTATTTGTATGTTGCCTTTGGAGATATGTCTACTCAAGTCCTTTGCCACTTTTTAATTGGCTTGTCTTTTTTTTGTTGATTCATAAGAGTTATTTACATATTCTGGATATTAGACCCTTTTCAGATATAGGATTTGCAAACATTGTCTCCCACACTGTGGGTTGTCTTTTCAATTTATTTATTTTGTGATGGGGGGAGATTAGGGAATACGAAGAATGCCTGTTCTCTTTACTGACGGTATCATTTAAAGCACAAAAGTTTTAAATATTGATGAAGCTCATTGTACCTATTTTTTTTCTTTTGTCACTTATGTTTTTGGTGTCATATCTAAGCAACCATTCCTTAATCCAAGGTCATGAAGACTTACTCCTGTGTTTTCTTCTGAAAGTCTTACAGTTTTAGCTCTTATGTTTAGGTCTATGATCCATTTTGAGTTAATTTTTGTGTATAGTATGAGGAAGGGGTCCAACTTCATTCCTTTACAGGTAGATATACACTTGTCCCAGCATCATCTATTGAATTCTTTAGTTAAGAAGCACTGAATCCTAGTCCAACATCTTCATTTTACAGATAAGAAAATTTTGGCCCAGAAAGATCATGTTAAAATTACTTTGTGTTGAGAATAAAAGAAAATACATCTGAAAGAAGATATACCAAGTCAATAATAATAACAACAAAAAAAGAACATACAGAGAAAGAGAAAACTTTTTGTTTCTGTTCTTCAGAATTTCTAAGTCCAGTGAGAGAGGTAAACAGTACAACATGGGATGTTCAGGACTAATCACAGAAATATACAAAGTGGGGGTGAAATCATAGAGAAAAGCCTGCTTAACTGCCTGGTGATTTAAGCTAAGATTCACCAGGGAGGATCATTCTAGGCAAAACAAACAAAAAAAAACCCCTCGTATACAAAAGCCTCTCAGCTGGAATGTTATGGGAAGTGTACATGTGGCAAGATCTTAAGTTGAGGCAAAAGGAAAGCGGAGTGATGGGAGCCAAAGCTGAAGCAGACTTGGAGCCAAACACCAGGCTGCATTTGCCCTTGGGAGGTAGGCAATAGGTTTTTTTCTTTTCTTTTTTTTTTTTTTTTTGAGACAGAGTCTCGCTCTGTCACCCAGGCTGGAGTGCAGTGGTGCGATCTTGGCTCACTGCAAGCTTTGCCTCCCGGGTTCACGCCATTCTCCTGCCTCAGCCTCCCGTGTAGCTGGGACTACAGGTGCCTGCCACCACGCCTGGCTAATTTTTTTGTATTTTTAGTAGAGACGGGGTTTCACCGTGTTAGCCAGGATGGTCGCGATCTCCTGACTTCGTGATCCGCCCGCCTCGGCCTCCCAAAGTACTGGGATTACAGGCGTGAGCCACCGTGCCCAGCTGGGGATCGGTTTTTATAACAAGGCAATGACACCACCAGATCTGTGCTTTAGAAATCTGATTGCTTGTCTGGGCACGGTGGCTCATGCCTATAATCCGAGCACTTTGGGAGGCCAAGGTGGGCGGATTCCCTGAGGTCAGGAGTTCGAGACCAGCCTGGCCAACATGGTGAAACCCCCATCTGTACTAAAAACACAAAAATTAGCTGGGTGTGGTGGCAGGCACCTGTAATCCCAGCCACTTGGGAGGCTGAGGCAGGAGAATCGCTTGAACCCAGGAGGCGGATGTTGCAGTGAGCCCAGACCGTGCCGCTGCACTCCAGCCTGGGCGACAAAGCGAGCCTTTGTCTCAAAAAATAAATAAATAAATAAATCTGATTGCTTGCAATATGGACGATGGTTTGCAGGAGGTAGAGGCTGGAGGAAGGGTTTAGGTGATTCTTGCAAAAGGTCATGACAAGAGCCTAAAAACAGAGTCCTCAGCTCACAACAAGTTCTCAGATGCGGCTGGCAGATATGTGTTGTTTGGCTAGAACAGTGTTTTTAAAGCATCTTGAATTCCTGATTGGGGAGGAGGCAGAGGCAAGCTCTCTCTGGGGTGTCACAACCACAACACTCCCTCTTTAGGCTCGCCCAGGCAGAGGCACCCATTTATGTTACCAGCCTGGCCCTGGTAAGCATTTCAGTTGCAACCTACGCCTAAACTAAGGCAGTGATGATGTAGACAGAGAAGAGCACATGTACTCTCAGCACAATTTAGAAAGTGGGCTGGCAGTGCTGCTCTTTGGTGGTAGAGAACACAGGGTGATGTTCGTCTCTGGACTTCAATGTGCCTAACTCACACCCCATCCCCCAGAATGATGACAAAGCTTTTGCTGAACTTGCTACTCTGAACAGTTTGCCCTCCTGGTTCATGGCCTCTCATGGAAGTAACAAAAAGTACATAGTCTTTTAAAATGTCTTGGGAGCTGTGTTTTCTTTCCTGCTGAAGCTTTGTAAAGTAGACCTTCCAATTCTCTAGGAAGCAAAGGTTCTTTTAAACCATAGGCTTCAACTTCCCAAAGTTGTTTAAGGATTCTGGTGCTAGCCAATGATACAGTATTACTTTTGTCTTCAACTGGTATCTTTCAAAGGATTTATATTTCTCAAAATTAAAAAGTTGTACCCGGCCGGGCGCGGTGGCTCACACCTGTAATCTCAGCACTTCGGGAGGCCGAGGCGGGTGGATCACAAGGTGAGGAGTTTGAGACCAGTCTGGCCAACATAGTGAAACCCCGTCTCTACTAAAAATACAAAAAAAAAAAAAAAAAAAAAAAAAAAAAAAAAAAAGCTGGGTGTGGTGGTGTGTGCCTGTAATCCCAGCTACTTGGGAGGCTGAGGAAGGAGAATTGGGTGAACCCGGGAATCAGTACCCTAGTTCCAAGACAATATTTTATTTTCTTTTGAACTTCATTCACTCAAGTCTTTATTCAGAGTGTAAGTTCCTAGAGGGTGGGGACTGTGCATCTCATTTAGCTTAGTAACTCAAGAGCTTAACAAAGTTCCTAACCCATGGCAGGGGCTTATTGAGAATTGTACAGGTTTCCTACCGTCAACACTGTTATCTATTAGCTCTTTTCAGCCTCAGTTACCTGCAAGCATCTGGGCCGGGTTCAACTGCAAAAGGATCTCACCCATATAAGAGGAAAAAGGGCAGTAGAGGAAGGAACCTGGAAGTTGACCTCTGCACATTTCTGGATCTTTTTTGTGGTGCTGGCATGTTGTGGGCCTGGCAGGAACGGGCTTCCAGTTCCTGTCTGTCTTATCACTATCTCCACCTTTCTTATCAGTTAGCTACGTGGGGGGCTTTCTGTCCTACAGATCCTTTATACTTGGCACGCTTTTTTCTTGGCCTTACTCAGTACTGAGGGTGAACATTTGTATGCTACTATTTATTTTAAGTGTTTTGCTTTATAAAGACCTATATTCTGTTGGTAAAACTGTTTTCTAAAATTAAAACATATTTATTGATAATAAAAGGCAAAATTGCAGCTAAATTTTCTTCTTCTGTGGGAGTGACACACTAAGAGTACCCTTCCAATTCTGTGATTTGAAGGTTCAAGAAACCACGAACGTTCCTGTGAGCCAAAAGCTTTATAATTTGCTTGAGTTGAAAATCTACAAGTGAATTTTAACAGGATAAGCAATCCGTAACAGGACCAGGAAACTATTCAAGGACAAGAATAGACTGTTTTTCTTGGTTTTAGCTACACAAATCAACACCAATCCTTCTGATAAGACGAGAATTACTCTTTCAACAGTTACCGACAGTAGCAAATGCCACGAAGATATTAACAAACAGCACCAATTTAAAGCCTAAGAGCATGGGGAATGCAGCTGGTGATTCTTACAAATGTTAATGTAAACTCTGCAGTTTATTCCACTCCACATTGCTAAAAATTTTACCCTGCCAGGCCCACTGCAACCTCAAAATAATACTCTTCCCAACATAAAGGGCTGCTTCTTTTAACTTCTCCAGAGTGATTTTTACAAGGAAGGAAAGTTGCCATATCTCTAAGACCCTAGGGGAGTTTAGAATATGATCAAGTTCCGAAGAAGTGCATTTTTGATTTGTAAAAATTATTTTAACAAATATTGGTCAAATGAGTGAACTGCATTCATGTGCATAAATATGTAGAACATCTGCAAACCTCTCACATGCATCCAGAGGAATACTACTCTCCTGAGGAGGCTTGGAGCAAGGAGGCCTAGCAAAGATGGACATGCACCGAGCAATGTGCGGGATCTGGGCTGGACACCATGATAAATATCAAATGAACCAGAGGGTCCATTAAAAGCTGGCTGGAGAAAAAAGTCACATAAAGCGAGGTGAATGTGGAAAAGTGAGGGGTGAGTTAAGACAAGCTGAAAAGCTAAAGAAATAGAAGTAGAGTGTTTAAGAGAAACATGTACCCAGTTTTATTGAGATCAATTCAAATCGCCAGGCACTGTGCTAGGAGACAGGGAACACAAGCTATTTAAGAGAAGCTTTCTGCCCTTGATTGTAATGAGACAGAAATAAATCTGCAATTAACAATCATAAAGGCATACTTTCATCTTGGGCACTTGGAAGAAAGGAAACATAGAGCTGACATAAACTTTGATGTAAATGCAGCTTTAAGCACTTTTTCTTTTTCTTTCAGTGATATGGCACCTTCTCCTTTTCAAAAATAGCAGCATATTAATTCTCTGTTAAATCTTTTCTTTGAAATTTGCGTTTATGTCTGGCATGATTTTACCCCATGTCACCTGGTCCTGCTCCCCGCATTCTTGTTCCTTCTGGCAACACCCACCCAAATTTCAACACATTTTTCCGTCACAAATTTAGCATTAGCTTAAGTCATTAACTATATTTACAGCTTGTCTTCATCCTTACTGAAACATAAAGGATGGTTGCAATAAACAGTGTGTTTTGTTTATGAAGAAAAATGTCCATTTTAAATCAGTCTGCTTGAATACATCATTTCTGTATTTGAACATGGCTTTGGCAGATGCAGGGAAGGATGAAAACTCCACACTCACTGGAAAACAAATAGGCAGCATTCTTCATTTTATTATGTGAACTCCCCACACAGTATGTCATGTGGAATTTGTGTGGGATTTTATTTACTATATCACAAAAGCTGTCCTTACTGTATATTTATGCAGAAAAAAAACAGGCTGCTTTTATGTAAGTCAAATGTCACATCAGAAAATAATACCCCGGAATGTCTGGAAAGTATTCTGGTGTTTTTGATCCATTAAAAAATATAATTTGTCTTTCACAACAACAAATTAACTGAAGGGGTAAGGTATGTTTAATAAAAAATAACGAGGCCGTCTGGCTGGAGACCGAGCTGTCAGGAACCTGGAGAAGGAGATCTGCAGGCTCTTTCCAGGGGCCGCCCTAACCTGAGACAACCAGGAAGACAGCGGGATGGCCCCCAGCACACAAGGACCCACAAGAGCCACCGTCACCCTGAGCACTCAGAAAGATACTCAGACTGAGCCTGAGCGCGTCTTCACTCAGTTCCAGTTTCATTCACGTGGGTACTCAAAGATGCCTATGCTTCCAGTTGTTTCTGTGTTCTCTGTGTTCTCCTGCAGAATCCATTGAACTGGACTTAAGACATTTATTTCAGACAAATAAGATAAATTATGTAGTATATAAAATGTAAAAGGTGGAAAGAGCAATTTCTGACTGACACAGGAACATTCCTGGACACGAGAAAATTCAACCCATCGATGTTGAGCGAGACTCAGACCAGACATGCTGTTTGTGGCTAATATTAGAAGTCATTTAACTGTCAAAGCAAATGGCACTTTATGAGCAAGAAATCAACTGAAAAAAATGAATTATTTATGGTTTTGATAAGGTCATAACCATCACAAAAGGCAACAAGGGCAAAACAGTAAAACTGTCTGTTCAAGTAAAAGCAGCCCTCCCTGGAAGAAGGTAACTTGCTTCCTGTCTCACTTTCACATTGGGCCTTGCTGGCTCCAACGTGGCCCATGTGTGCTATGTCAGGGGAAGTATTTCTTTCCCTTGCCACTATGTGGGAGCTTTTAATACAGTTCTCAACTCTCTATGAGCTCCTTGGGTGTGTATATTCCCTTAAAAATTATCTCAGTGTGTAAAAAATTTGTTTTAAAAACATTTTAAAGAAGAATTGGCTGGGCATGGTGGCTCATGCCTGTAATCCCAGCACTCTGGGAGGCTTTGGGAGGACATGGCAAGAGGGTAGCTTGAGGTCAGGAGTTTAAGACCAGCCTGGGCAACACAGTGAGACCCTGTCCCTGCAAAACATTTTAAAAATTAAGGCTGGACGCAGTGGTTCATGCCTGTAATTCCAGCATTTTGAGAGGCCAAGGTAGGCAGATTGCTTCAGCCCAGGAGTTCCAGACCAGCCTGGACAACATAGCAAGACCTTATCTCTACAAAAAGTACAAAAATTAGCCGGGTGTGGTGGTGCATGCCAGTAGTCCCAGCTACTTGGGAGGCTGAGGTGGGAGGATGGCTTGAGCTCAGGAGGCAGAGAGGTTGCAGTGAGCTGAGATCACACCACTGCACTCCAGCTTGGGTGATAGATTAAGATTCTGTCTCAAAAAAAAAAAAAAAAAATCAGCTGGGCGTGGTAGTATGCACCTATAATCCCAGCTACTCAGAGGCTGAGGTGGAATGATCGTTTGAGCCTATAAGTTCAAAGTTATAGTCATGTTTTGTGCCATTGCACTCAGCATGGGTGACAGAGTGAGACCCTCTCTCAAAAGGAAAAAATCAGCGGCAATAGCTCCTAATTCCCTCTTTGTAATTTTCTGGGCATTAAAAATAACTGGTCAGTTAGGAGGTGGCTAACTCTGCTCAATGGTTGTGCAAAAGCTTAGGATAAAATACAGAAACAGGAGCTGAGGAGGCTTCTTTCCCTTTTCAGTGTTGTGGCTTCATATAAAATCTACATGTGAGCTCTAATACTGGTCCACGCATGCCTGTGTGGCTCTCAGCGTTCTAGAGGCCAAGGCTAAGCTCACTATAATATAAATGAATAAATGAATCAGGACTGTTGAGTTCTCCTTTCAATCCCCAAGTCAAGCACAGTGTCTACCACATAATGTCAAATAAATATTTATGGAAAGGAAGAAAGGGAAGGAAAAAATAAACCAAGAGAATGAAACAGTTAGATCATGAATGGCGCTGGTATCCACTGGGTTCCCGTATTTCTTAAGAAAATGAACCCTCTAAACAAAATAGCCCAAGTTTTAAGTTTGTTGAAACTTCCCTTAAAGATCAGTTCTGGGGACATAAGAGAAAGATTTTGCTACTGCTAACAAAGTTTGCAAAACTTTGAAAAGAAAGGTTTTGGCACAGGCAAAATCTGAAAAGAGTAATAATGAGCAGAAACTGGCCCTAGCAGACAGATAATAAATCTTCACATTCTGAAGCTTCCATATTAAAAGTGTGGAACTGGAGAAGAAATAATCGACACAGCTCAATGGATCACAACAACAAATTAAAAATATATAAGGGAATTTCATTTTCTATAAAGGTATACAATAAAGGTATATTATATTATTATAAAGGCAGCATTTCAAGAAAAGAGATTGCTTAATAAATGTGTTTCATGCAACTAGGTAACCATCTGAGAAAAATAAAGCCAGATTCCGATCTCACTCCTTATACCAAAATTAATTTCAGATGAATCAAGTTTTCCAAATGTAAAAATGAAGCCATAAGAGAAAGCGAGGGTGAACAGCGAATGTGTGAGTAATCTCAAAGGGGCATGGTCTCTTTCTATGCAGGACACAACAGTCAAACAAACAACAAACAGGAAAAATATTTCAACACAGCTACAAAGGGCTGGCTTCCTTAATTTAGAGAGATACTGTTTATTTCATCCATCACACTGGCAAAACTCTAGGGAGGGCCTGGGAAAACATTTACTGAGATACTATTGAAGGGAGTGTGTGTTAGACGTGACATCTCTGGGAGATTTGGCAGTGTTTATCAAAATTTAGAAAACATGTATCTCAGCAATCCCTGAGCCACAAATAATTTATCCTAAACTCCCACTACCCAAGGTTCTGCACTAAGGTCCAGATTCCAGAAGAAGTAATGCAATCCCAAGTTCATCCTTCCTACTGTGGTCAAGGTTAAACCCCACACCCCACGATGTGACTGCTGAGGCGACTTATCAGTCCCTTGAAGCCAAATCAGACAGGCACCTTACAGACACCGCATCACCCGCTGCCCTGTTCCACCTGCCAAGGGTCTGTGCCTCCTCACTAGACTCCAGCATCTTGAAGGCAGAACGATATCCTTTCCCCTGTCTTTCTTTCTTTCTTTCTTTTTTTTTTTTTTTTTTTTTTTTTTTGAGACAGAGTCTCACTCTGTTGCCCAGGCTGGAGTGCAGTGGCGCGATCTCAGCTCACTGCAACCTCCACCTCCCTGGTTCAAGTGATTCTCCTGCCTCAGCCTCCCGAGTAGGTGGGATTATAAGTGCCCACCACCACGTCTGGCTAATTTTTTTGTATTTTTAGTACAGATGGGGTTTCACCATGTTGGCCAGACTCACCATGTTGGCCAGACTGGTCTCGAACTCCTGACCTCAGGCAATCCACCACCCCGCCCCCCACCGCCCAGCCTCCCAAAGTGCTGGGATTACAGGCGTGAGCCACTGTGCCTGTCCCTTTCCTCTTTCTAATATCACATTTATATAGCCCAGAGCAGAGGCTCAAAATAACATTAGATGGATGAACAAATAAATTACTGAATGTGTAAATCAGATAAACTAGCTAGCTAGAAGTACTAGTGGGCAGGTTAAAGACAGGATGGAATCATAGGTAAATGGTTAAGAAAAAAAAGAGAAAGGGATCCAAGAGTTTAGAATAGTTTTCTAATAAATTTAAGGTTAGTCCTGTGTGTAAAAACTATCTTTATATTAAGTATGCAAAATTATCTTATAATACACAGAGGAACCGGAGCAGACAATAATGAATGTCAGGCATTTAGCAAGCTGGGTTAGATTTGATGAAACCGAAAACTCTTAAGCTTGGAAACTAGCTTGTTAAATAACAATGTTCCTGTAAACAGGCAGGCTAGATTTATTGTGCCCCTGGGAAATTCTCTGGAATGAACACAGAAAATGCTTCTGTTGATTAGCCTTTTTAGCTTGCGGGTGAGTGTTGACCTAAAAGGGAAAGGCTTGCCCTCCAGATTTTACATAATGTGCCCTTATCAATTCCTGTCAGGAGAACTGTCCCTGCAGGGATGTTAGGAAGACTAACGATTCTGCCTCAGTAACACAACCTGTGCTCCCAGGAGCCTGCTGCGAAACAGCAGCTTATCTCTTACACCTGCTTATGGACTAGAAAGACCAATTTTAAACAGAGGGCCAATGCAAAGAGAAGAGAAGATAAAGGACATTAATAAAGCTAACAAGTTGATTGATATATTCAAAGAGAGGAAACCGAGGCCGAGCATGTGTGATCACTGGCCCAAGGTCACGAGGGAACTGGCGGCCAGCCCCAGGACACAGAGGGCTTCCCTCCTCCAGCCACCTCCTCAACGCTAGCTGGAGAGCAGGGAGGAGGCATTTCCCAGAGGCAAGCTCTGAATACTCCGCTGTGTTCTCACTGGACAAAGGAAAGGAAAGATACTCCTCTAAAGACGGCACTGAACACTCACTTAGAGACGGTAACAGAAGCCTCTGTCAGCAACTCAAGGCTCATTTAACCAACTTTTGGGATATTACCCACACAGTCCTAAAAACGTATGCAAAGCAGGAAGTGAGATAAAAGAGACCTCAAAAATTCTGAGAGTAACTATAAAATTAGACATATTAATAAACGTGCAAACGTTATAAAATGGGAAAATATATACAGTTGGTTTTTCCGGCTGTGGTAGCTAATCAAAAATGACATCTCCTTCCAGCTCCCCTCACTCCCACCATGCCCTCGTGGGCAAAACCTGCTATGATTTGCCCGTGTAGCCCCCTCTCTGTGAACGTAGGAGAAGCGAAGCCACTGGCTTTCTGAGACTTGCTCATCAGAAGCCTTGCTGCTGCCACCTGCGCCTCTGGGAAAGCTTGCCGTGGGAGAGGCGCAACCGCCTGGAGAGGCCTTCCTATGAGGAAGTGCGTTAGTCACGTAGGAGACGGCCCCAGCTGGCCCGGCCACCCAGCTGAGGCGCCAAGCTGCACGTGAAAAAGCCGTCTTGGGCATACAGCCCCACTGGGCATTCCCGTGAGTCCAGCCCTAACGTCATCGGACTGCAGCCCCAAGAGAGACCCGAGGGAGAACTGCCCACTCACAGAACCAAGAGGGAGAATGATCAACAATCCACAAAGTTTCTTGCAAAGCAACAGATAACTGAACCATTGGCTAGCCAAGCTGTACAAAAGCATTAAAATAGATTTATTGCCATAAGACATGAGAAGTATAAACAAAAAAAAGTTACTAAACAATTACAGAGCGCCTATGCCTCTTCTTTGAATGGAAGGCCTTAGAAATACTTCCATATTTTCTGAGGTATTTTGAAGGAGTACAGGTCTGAACACACAGCACACAGCTGTCAGAAGGAAGGCCAGGCATTTACACAGGGTGGGCTGTGGAAGAAGAAACCTCGTAGGCAGCGGGGGACACAATGGTGACTGCAGGAAGGCCTATGAGGCTGTCAGCTGGAAGACTCCTTGATACCATTTCATTACCAGTCCAAAACACAGTCAGCTCTGCTTGTTTTTTCTCTTACAAACTCTAGTATGCTGTAGGGTTAGAGAGGTACTTATATTGTAAGCATACATGTGCAAATAACTGTGCTAGATTATGTGGCAACCTGATTTTCCCTAGATTTGTCATCTTATATTTCAATCAGACATGATGATGAAGAGCCTTGAACTCAAATTCAAATTTAAAACAAAGATGAAAGCACAGACTAGAACAGAAAATCAAAAACACAATTCAAGGATAGTATAACAAAAACATATTTCAGATACTGAAGAAAGCTGGTCCTTTGCAATAGACCATGTTCCACGGAGGTCTGCCCTCTGACAAGCCGAGGGCCTTAAGGCACATAACCTCTTTGAGACTTGAGATCTTCAGAATTGTTTTGAAACTATTTCTTCATTGGGAAGAAAAAATGGTTCTGTGATCCTCAATGGTGGTGAAGTTCTAGGTAAGAGCTTTAAGCGAAACGATGGAAAAAGAGCAAGAACTAGGAGCTGGTACGTTAGAAGCATCTACTGCATTCAAACCCTGCATTAGGCCCCTTCATACAAACCTCCTTTAGTCCTCGTCATGGCCCTGCACCAAGGGCTTGGTGTCCCCTCTTTGGAGAAGCCACCACACAGAAAGGTCCAGTCACCAGCAAGAGGTCGTGCGGCACGTCCACTCTGAGTGAGTCTCACAGGGGATCTCAAATGCCCTCTTTCACTCTGCAAGGTATTACCTGCACTGTGGGCTCAGCATTCCAGAGATACGCATGGGAATAGGGCCAGGTCCCTGCCTCCAAGAGCTGACAGAAGGCTGGAACAAACACACATGTGCACGCACCATTCATTTCCACAGAAAGTCATTTTTGGATTCAAAGCTGCGTTTGAAATGGGTCTTGCAGGATGAATGGGATTTCACAGATGAAAACTGGTAGAAGAAAACTGCATAGGCTCATGGATTCATTCAGCAAGCACACACACAAAGGCCTGCTGTGGGTGAAGGGCAAATTCTGTCCCTGAAGGGCAGAGTGAGTGCTGGGAGCTTCAAGCATTTCTTTTGAGGTCCGTTTAGCAAAAGAATTTCTTATTAAATAGACAACTCACTTTATATTTTGTCACATACACTAAACACTTGTGGGAAATTCTCTCTGCCATTCAGATTTTAAAAAATTGATTCTGGATATTAGCTGTTCCCAAATTCAAAGGCGACATCCCTCACAGCAAAAACCTAACACAGGTCCTGGAAACCGACAAGGCCCTGCTGCAGGAGCTCACACTCCTGCGGTCCCTACTCCCAGGGATCAAGCCTGGCTGCTACAACTCTGTGTGCAAGAGCAAACTGTTTCTTGTGATGAGTCAGTTTCTTTTTTGAATCAAAACAGAAATGTTAAGAAAATATGGAGAGCTATTCTTTTATGATCAAGACAATTTTTGCTATGCTTTATATTCTTTTACAGTTTCCTATTTTAATATTCTCATCTGGTAGATTTCAAGCACTGACCTCTCCCTTTCTTTCAACAAGGGTATAAGAAGACAGACTCCACTTGCTCAGACTAGGCATGGGGCTTTATGGCCTTTGGGATTTCTTAGGGGAGACTTGAGACTTGAGAGCTGGAGAACTGTCAAGCTAATGATGTACCCCTTTTCCTTGCCATTTCAACACGAACAGGTATTTCTCTCCAAATCTAGAAATCCTTCTGTAAATGGAACGGCAGATCATTATTTTGCATTTTGCTGAGAACAAGAAGTACGTGAGATATTGCACAAAGTACAGCATGAGGCATAGCTTTTACCCAACAGGCTCAAAACTCTAAATTAAAAGAAAACAAAGGGACAGAAAGAAAAGCAGTTTTCTTCTCTTCCACCTCCTCCTCCTCTCGCCTGAAATGTACCACCCACGGGGAGTTGCACAGCTTAGGGCTTAGGCAGAGATGATATTCCATGTACTTTTTCAGGTTTCCCATTTAAGGCTGTCACCACCATTAAGCCAAATGACAGTAACGGAGGTGCGGTCACATTAATAACATGAGGGCTGTTCTAGGGCAAGATAGGGCCTGCGTCATGGCTTCCTCTATCCCTGAGAAGGAGGGTGACAGAAGAGAACGCCTGCAGGGTGACAGTAAAGGAGTGTATCAGGGATGGGGTTGCAGAGCACTGTGCAGTCCCCACTGTGGGCTGTCGGAGTCAATCAGGCACTCGGCTCATTGGAACTTCTGTCCCCTCAGCAGTAAGGGCGGAGGGCAAACCTTGCAAACGACACATCTTAGTTGGAGGACATGATTGGGGCTGGCATCATCAACCATATGAGATGAGCCTACAACAGACAGCAGTCAGAGACAATACCCCGGGTTAAAAAAGGAATCTACCCCATTATGAAATAGAAGAAACCTCAGCAAGTTGTTGTCTATGTTCTCTGAGCTGATAAAATGGTATTACCATGAACTAAGGGTAGCTAGTCCCTCAAAATCCATGCTAATGAAATTCTCTAAGTCCAGAAAAATGAGCAAAACCATCATTTTAAAAAAATTTAGAAATTTTTATTTTTATTTGCTTATAAACTTCATTGTGAGCTTTTGGAACAAAAAAGTCTGATTTCCTATTTAATGAAGAATGGCTTTTAAACACCACAACTTAATGCATAGCTGTATCAATATTACGTAAATTGACAAATGTCACACAAAATGTGGTGCCTAATTGATTTTGACATGCACGTACATAAAGTAGGACCATTCAGGTAAATACAGAGCTAATAATTACAAGAAGCAAATAATACCAATGAAAACCATTTTTTAAGGGTATTAGATTTTCATTCTCTTCCTCATCAAAAAGAAGCATGTATTGAACATCTGCCTGTGGCTAGGGTTGTAGTAAGCAGAAAAGTGACTTGCCTAAAGGATGAGAAATCCTATTACATAAAGATTTTTTATTTTAAATGTAGGCCCACTCTCCACACACCCACACCCATCAGTTACCTAGCAGTTCCTTATAAGGAGTGTGAAATCCAAGTCTGGCAACTCACTGGGGACTTCAAGCAAAACCTTCTACTCTGTCCTGTTAAGTGTGCAGCCCTATGATAAGGCACTGTGGCCATCCGCAGAATAGGCAGAAGATAAGCCTCTAATCTGTACTTTTCAACCAATACCTGGGAGGCTTTTTAAGAGTGATACTGACCTTGTTTTCATTGGTTTTATTTCATTTTACTTAAGTACTTGTTGCCATTGAAAATTACAGCCGGCCTTATTGTCTTCAATTCATTTGCATCCCCTTTTCCAACTACTATTCCTAAAGCAAATCATGCATTTGCTTTTGTGCAAGTGTCTGAGGACTAATTTCTCCCTAAAGATGCGGTGTTCAAATCCATAAATTCTCCCCCAAATACATGTTGTGGGTTTTGGTTCTTCATATTTTTTTATTTTTATTTTTTTCTGAGATGGTGTCCTGCTCTGTCACCCAGGTTGGAGTGCAGTAGCATGATCTCGACTCACTGCAACCTCCACCTCCCGGGTTCAAGCAATTCTCCTGCCTCAGCCTCCCAGGTAGCTGGGATTACAGGCGTGCGCCACCATGCCCAGCTAATTTTTGTATTTTATTAGAGACAGGGTTTCACCATGTTGGCCAGGCTGGTCTCGAACCCCTGACCTTGTGATCTGCCTGCCTCGGCCTCCCAAAGTGCTGGGATTACAGACGTGAGCCACTGTGCCTGGCCAGTTCTCCTCAATATTAGGAGGAACATTGTCACCAGGCTCCCTGTGAGGTGGCATTTCCAATGACCAAATATAGTTGTTACTTAAGTCAAAACTCTATACCTGCCTTGTCCAATATGGTAACTGCTAGCCACACGTGACTAATTAAAATTAGATAAAATTTTAAAATCTGCTCTTCAGACACACAAAAGCCACATTTCAAATAACCCATAGTCTCATGTGGCTAGTAGCAATGATACTGAACAGTGCAGAAAGTTCTGTTGAGAAGCATTGCTCTACATTAAGCTTGTCTAACCTGCCCCACATGTGGCCCAGGATGGCTTTGAATGCAGCCCAACACAAATTCGTAAACTTGCTTAAAACATTATGAGATTTTGGCCGGGTGTGGTGGCTCATGCCTGTAATCCCAGCACTTTGGGAGGCTGAGGCGTGTGGATCACCTGAGGTTAGGAGTTCGAGACCAGCTTGACCAACGTGGTGAAACTCCGTCTCTACTAAAAATACAAAAAATTAGCCAGGCGTGGTGGTGCATGTCTGTAATCCCAGCTACTCAGGAGGCTGAGACAGGAGAATTGCTTGAACCCAGGAGTTGGAGGTTGCAGTGAGCCAAGCTCGTGCCACTGCACTCCAGCCTGGGCAACAGAGTGAGACTCTGTCTCAAAAAAAAAAAAAATATGAGATTTTTTTTGTGACTTTTTAGCTCATCAGCTATCATTAGTGTTAGTGTATTTTATGTGTGGCTGAAGACAATTCTTCCAATGTGGCCTAGGGAAGTCAAAAGATTGGACATCCCTGCTCTACATGATGCAAGACGGGTCTGCTTGTGATCTTGGTTCATATAGAATAGTTTCTACTAGTATACATTCAACTGAGAATATTCAAATGAGTAAAAACCACGTGGACTGCTGCAGCCCTCTATTCCTCTGCAGAATCCGGGTGCAATGTAACATCAGGCAGTGCTGTGAGCTGAAGCCTAAGGACCTAGCACACTCTTGACCATATCCTGAAACTGTTCCCAACCTTTTCCTGTGACACATTTATACCTCCTAAGTGCATACAACACACATTTATGAGAACACAGTGAAGCAAAAATGCTCAAGAAATGGAAGTGACTTCAGTTAATTTCAACTCAGGGTTGACTCAGTTTCTCCTCACTTTTGTCAAAATTTTCTGTGTAACATGCCAGTCTGCATTGCTTCTCTGATAGGGCAGGATTCTACAGCTAATGTTAACTAAATGAGGATGTTACATTAATTAAAACTCATTGTTCTTATAATTTCATGTAAACCAATTAACAAATGCAAAAGATTTTAGAAAACTGGTTTTAACATTTGACTCCAAGATATAAATAGAAGTATTTCTTTTATTTTTATTGTTTGAGACATGCTCTGCCTTCCAGGCTTGGAGTGCAGTGGCGTGATCACGGCTTACTGCAGCCTCGACCTCCCGAGCTTGAGAGATCCTCCTGCTTCGGGGTCCTGAGTAGCTGCGACTGCAGATGTGCACCACCACACCTGAGTAATTTTTGTATTTTTCATAGACACAGGGTCTCACTTTGTTGCCCAGGCTGGTCTCAAACTCCTGGGCTCAAGCAATCTTCCCCACCGCCTTGGCCTCCCAAAGTGCTGGGATTATAAGCATGAGCCACCACACCTGGCCTAGATTATTTCTTTTCTTCTCTTCTCTTTTCTTTCTTTCTTTTTCTCTTTCTTTCTTTCTTTCCTTCCTTCCTTTCTCCTTCCTTCCTTCCCTCCTCCTCCTCCTTCTTCTTTCTTCTTCTCTTTCTTTCTTTGTCTCTCTCTCTTTCTTTTTTTTTTGAGAGAGTCTCACTCTGTTGCCCAGGCTGGAGTGCAGTGGCACAATCTTGGCTCACTGCAACCTCCGCCTCCCAGGGTCAAGCCATTCTCTTGCCTCAGTCTCCCGAGTAGCTGGGATTACTGGGATTACAGGCGCGTGCCATCACGCCTGGCTAATTTTTTGTATTTTTAGTAGAGATGGGGTTTCACCATGTTGGCCAGGCTGGTCTTGAACTCCTGAACTCGTGATCCGCTTGCCTTGGCCTCCTAAAGTGCTGGGATTACAGGTGTGAGCCACCCCGCCCGGCCGATTATTTCATTGTTTAAAACAAATACTTTGACTTTTTAAAAACTGAAATTTGCCTGTTTTTCCCAAAAGTATAGTTTTTGTTTGTTTGTTTGTTTGTTTTTTGAGACGGAGTCTTGCTCTTGCCCAGGCTGGAGTGCAGTGGTGCGATCTCAGCTCACTGCAAGCTCCGCCTCCCAGGATCACGCCAGTCTCCTGCCTCAGCCTCCCAAGTAGCTGGGACTACAGGCGCCCGCTACCATGCTTGGCTATTTTTTTTGTATTTTTAGTAGAGACGGGGTTTCACCCTGTTAGCCAGGATGGTCTCGATCTCCTGACTCCGTGATCCGCCCGCCTCGGCCTCCCAAAGGGCTGGGATTACAGGCATGAGCCACCGCGCCTGGCCAAGAATAGTTTTCAAGAAGCGGGTTAACTGTGACTAATCAAGTACAACCTAAACTGACTTGATCTCCTTGAGTAGCCTCTGGACTTTCCCCAGAGCTGTTATGAATTCTTGGGAAGCAGCTGATATATTCTCAAATAAATACCTCATTTTTATGTCAGATCATTCTGATATAATCTTATTTTAGAAACACAGCCCATAGTTCAGTATATGACAACAATCTGTTCTTAGAATAGAAATCTGCAAAATTAAAAAAAAAAGGAGCCTCCGGAAGCCCAGAAGCATCTTTGAAAGGTGTCTCTACAATTTTAGTTTCATAGCTCTGTATAACATCCAACCATGCATGTAAACAGCTGAAAGGAAAAGCAACTTCCCTTTTATATGTATCTGTTAGCCATTCTTCCTGGACTGTCAGGGAAGCCGATGTGGGAGGAGGGGCTGGCCTGGGATGAGTATGGGAGAAAAAGTGACTTGCATATTAATTAACGCCCATGCTGGCCGGGCGCGGTGGCTCATGCCTGTAATCCCAGCACTTAGGGAGGCTGAGGCGGGTGGATCACGAGGTCAAGAGATCGAGACTGTGCTGGCCAACATGGTGAAACCCCGTCTCTACTAAAAATACAAAGATTAGCCGGGCGTTGTGGCACGCGCCTGTAGTCCCCAGCTACTCGGGAGGCTGAGGCAGGAGAATCGCTTGAACCTGGGAGGCAGAGCTTGCAGTGAGCCAAGATTGTGCCACCGCACTCCAGCCTGGGAGACAGAGTGAGACTCCGTCTCAAAAAAATAATAATAAAAAAATAAAAAAAATTAACTCCCATGCCTCCTCTGGCTTCCTTTCCTCCATCCCCTGACATTCATGTGCAAGTGGCTAAAATAGGCTAAAGAGAGGATCAAGTACAGTTTCCGTGGGGAAGAACATCTAGGTAGGAAAGGTAACGCCATGCGGTCTTGAGGCTGGGAACAGACGGACGGCAAGGCTCAGGCTCCTGTGCTTGCTCCCCTGAGCTGGTTTTCACCACCAGTGGACAGACGCCTCCCTATCCCTCCAGCTGCCTCCGGCGCTTGCTGCCCAGAAGCCTCCCTGGAGCCAAGACCTGAGAGCCCAATTCTCCAGTGGCCTTTTTAATTTTAAATTTTGAATATTTCTTAGGTTTATATTTCTAAGGCTGCATTAATGATTATTAGTCGGGTGAACTTTTACAGTGGTTTTAAAGCTAAGTCTGGGTATTCTAGGAACCATCTACCCTAGCGACAGCAATCCTGTGGTCACCACCATCAGTCACACTCCTCTGGCCACCTGGTACCATAGTGATGGAATTGTGACATCAGGTGTGTGCACTTTCGCATATAGCTTAGACTCTCTTTTTTTTCTTTTTGAGACAGGGTCTCACTCTGTCACCCAAGCTGGAGGGCAGTGGTGTGATCTCACCTCACTGTAACCTCCACCTCCCAGGCTCAGGTGATCCTCTCACCTTAGCTTCCCAAGTAGCTGGGATACAGGTGTGTGCCACCAAGCCCAGCTAATTTTTTGTATTTTTGGTGGAGATGAGGTTTCACCACGTCAGCCAGACTGGGGACCAATTTATAACATTAGATAAATGTATTGGAAGGGCAATGGAGAATATTTCAACTGTGTTAGCTATTCTAAAATATGTTGAGTATCACCTCAAAAAAATTATCATTAGAATACAATTAATTTTAAAATTATGAGAGCTTTTACTATATAATATTTACTGCTTTCCTCTCCACTACATCTTCAATAATTTCTCTCGGTGCAATTTTTTTCAACAATTTATTCAATCATTTTTCTGTGTATGTACATTCGAGGGTTTTCATTTTTGGTGTCTAAAACTGAAGCTGTAATAACAATAAACATCCTTGTCCTTGTTCTGGTGTGTCCTTTGTTTAGTTTATTAAAATTTAAACAGATTAACTGAGGTAAAATTGATATACAAAGAACTGCACGTATTTAGTGTGTGTAATTTGATGAATTTGGACATACGCAAACATCTATGATACTATCCCCACAATCAAGGATAGATATATCTAGCACCTCACAAAGTTTCCTCATGTCCTTTTTGTTTTGCTTTGTTTTTTGTGGTAAAATCTACCCTCTTAACGGATTTTCAAGTACACAATACCATAGTGTTAACTACAGACACTACATTGTTCAGCAGTTCTCTAGAACTTACTCATCTTGCATATCTGAAACTTTCATACCCACTGAACAGCAATTCCCCATGTTCCCTACCCTGCAGCCCCTGGCAACCACTATTGTATTCTCTGTTCTACGAGATTGACTATATTTATAGATATCTCAAATAAATGGAGTTATGCAATATTTGTCCTGTGACTGGCTTATTTCACTTAGAATAATGTCCTCCAGGTTCATCTGTGTTGTCACAAATGGCAGGATTTCCTTCTCTTTTTAAGCCGAACAATATTCCATTGTACGTATATATCACATTTTCTTTATCCATTCCTCTGTTGATGGACAGGTGGGTTGTTTCTATATCTTGGCTATTATGAATAATGCCGCAACAAACATGGGAGTGCAAATATCTCTTCAAGATCCTGTTTTCGCTTCTTTTGGATATATACCTATAAATGAGATTGCTAGATCGTGTAATTCTATTTTTCATTTTTTGAACAGCTCCAGCTGTTTTCCATAACTGTGGCATTTTACACTCCCACCAACAGTGCACAATGCAAGGGCTCCCTTTTCTCCTCCACATGATCTCCAACACTTGTCTTTTGTGGTTTTTTTCATAACAGCTATCCTAACAGATGTGAGCTGATATTTCATTGTAGTTTAGATTTGCATTTCCCTGATGATTAGTAATATTAAACACCTTTTCACATACCTCTTGGCCATTTTTGTATGTCTCCTTTGGAGAAATGTCTGTTCAAGTCCTTTGCCCGTTTTTAAATTGGGTTATTTGTATTTTTCCTATTGAGTTGTAGGAATTCGTTATATATTTTGGAAATTAACCGCTTATCAGATACACGGTTCACAAATATATTCTCCCCACTCTGTAGGCTGCCTTTTCACACTGCTCATTGTTTCCTTTGTTGATGTGTCCCTTTTGGAGACAGGCAGTCCATTGTGGTAGTAAGGAGGTGAAGTTTAGAGCCCTATTACCTGAGTTTAAATTCTGCCAGTGTCACTGTTTTACCTTGATAGATACTTTATTCTTTCGCCTGGTTTCCTCATTTGCTAATCTAGGATAATATTAACTGAATGTGACAGGTTCACAGCCACTAAAATTTTATCCAATTAATGTTCATCATCTGTTACTTATCAGCAGATTCCAATTTGAACCACACATTGGATATATATTTTTCACCTCTATTCTGGAAGCTTTGTGGATACTTACCAGTAATTCCATATACTCACCGACAAGGAGCTTTAAAAAGTGCTTCTGGACAATAAAACTACGACAATGTTTTTGAGAGTGGTCTATTCCCTAACACTACCTATATACACCAGTCCTAAAATATTTTCTGTGCTACAGAAAGTAAAGTGTTCAAGGATGTTTATTTGCAAAGAGTCTGACAGATATAGCTAAGCTTATAAAGATATATATATAGATATATATAGATATATATATTTTTAGTTATTGAGTTCATCATTGTTAGGGTGGTTTCAAAATTTGAAGTTTTTCTTATTTCTGTGGTATTTTATAACATTAAACCTAGGGATGGCATCAAACACAATTTCAAATGAATGTGTTGCTGTGCTGGATACTGAGAAGTCAGACTACAAACCTCTGTCCTCACATCAACCCCAGCCAACCTTAAATTCCCCAAGTGCACCGACTAAAAAGACCAAGTGAGCCCTTCATCAGCACACTTACCCCACTAGCAAGGACCTGACAGAGTTTTCACCATATGTTTTGTGTTTGTGCGTTTGTGTTTTGGTTTTGGTGAAGGGGAGAGGACATGTCAGTAGGCTCAAAGCTATAACTACAGAGCCGACTTTAAATATGAAATGGCTTTCATACCTTCATCTCATTGCCAGTATCAACAACCAAGGACTTCCTGGCAACACTTGGAGATTTTAGAGACATCAGTAACCTTTCTAAAAATGATTTTGTGACTTTCATTCTAAATGGCTAGGCAAACAAATCATTCAATAGACTGCAGAAAATGGGCCACAAAATGACCAGGAGGCACATGATATCATACACAATAAGAGAGTATGGGGACAAAATTCAGTTTGTTATGAGATTTAAGTGCAAAATTCCTAACTGACTTAGGTGCCTGGATTAAATGTGTTGGGCAAATGAAGAGCAACTGCATCTCCATGTGTCGGACCGAAAGGTCCTTGTATAATGACCCTCCCCAAACGAAGAGCCACTGGTCCAATTCAGTTTGAGGTTCCCTACAGGTTATCAATAAAGGTTTTTTAAAAACCTGCTGGATCAATCTGGTGGAGGGTGATTTACAGAGTAACTAGAAAAAGATTTGGCCCAAGATTTGGCCACCTGGCTGCTTCCCACTTTGGCCACAGCGATGGCTTCCCTGCTCTGGAATGCCTTCCAGACATTTCCCTTCGTCTTCTTGCTGCCCCTTTTGATTCTGCCACTCTTAGGACTTCTACATGAAAGGAATACAAAAACTCCTACAATACTTAAATTCTTTTAAAAAGGTTGTTTGAAAGAGCTAACCTAATTAACAGGGAAAAAAATGCCTTTACTTGCACTTCAGGACAATTGTTTCTGCTACAGAAGAACCTTTAATAATCTTCCCAGGCTAAACTGTGGAGACCTTTGATTTTATACAACCCAAAGCCCACTGGAAATCTGTCTGCTTCCTCCAACTATTGTCAAAGAAGGTTAATTTGGAATTTAACAAAGTAAAAGATTTCTTCCAAACTCTCAGCTTGCCTTGGGACTTAAGTGACGCTGGGTCCGTTTCCTGGGTCTTTCCCTGGGACACTTGCAAGTGAGGCTCTCAGGGAGCCTTGTTGACTGCGTTGGGTGAAATGCACAGGGAATGCAGGGAATGTGGCATGGTGTTCTGTGTTCCTTCTCACTCTGCATTGTTTATGCTTGCTCAAATAACTTATATTTGCTCCTCAGTTGGAGGTTAAATTTCTTCTGTATCATGACTGAGGCATAAAATTATAAAATAAGTAAGTATAATCTCCTACATTCCTCACAGCAACCATTTCCCTACCTCCTTCCACACACAAACAACTTTTCAGCAGTGAAGTGGTACGTGTCCTTTTTTTTTTCCTTTTAATCTCAGGATGATTTAGTCTATTAAGGCCATTTAATGGAATGACCAGATGACAAAGAAGAAAAAGGATTGTTTTGAGTAAGAGTTTCCTTTTTCATTTCTGGCTTTAATTGTGAGGTTATGGCTTTCAGAAAAGAAAAGAAAAGAAAATGCCTGTAGTGATAAAAGAGCTGTATTTCAACAAATGATTATATTTTTATAAATCTTGTAGAATTTGTGGATGTATTTTATTAATAAAATATTTACACCTCAAGTTTATAAAGGAATAGACAAAATTTACACAGGGTTTGACAGTCTTATGTATTTGGTGGTGAAATTATCACAATTTATATCCACTCGTACAATGCTATTAATAAACAAAATGCTTGTGACAAGTATGGGAATTCTTAGAAGGTAAAAATTCCCAGGAAAACGATTTTAGGCTGAAAGCTAAACTAGGGTATCCCTACTAAAACAAGGATACCCTAATGATTATTCTCTCCTTTAACAAAATTTGAAAGCACACCTTTTCCTCCTATATTATGCAGCATGTGGTCATAATTTGTACTTGTTGCTGTGTTGAACTCACAATAGAAAAAATAAATGAAACATCTTTTGAGTAAACTAAACAGATGTCTCATGTTATCCTTTTAAAATACAGCTGGAGAAACCTTAGAGATCATCTTGTTCAACGGTTCTCAACAGATGCTCCCTGGACCATCTGTATCAGGACCATCTTGGGGGTATATTGAATGTGCAGGCTGTCAGCCCCACACCAGGCCCAGTGAATCTTAGAGGGTAGAGCCCAGACATCTACAGTGTTACCAAGCACCTTATTTCATTCTTCCATACACTAAATTTTGAGAATCTCTGTTGTCCTATCTTTTCCATTTTCAACAAAGAAACTCTTACCCAGGTTGTCCAAGATAGAGTAGCAGAGGTAGGCAGAACTTCATCCAATAGTAAAAATACCACACTGCTCTTCTGTAATATAACATTTACTAAAAACTAAACTATAGAAAAGCAGAATTAATATTTCTATTAAAGTTCTGCAACATACAGCAATATTTTAGGCCTTTCTTATCCATTCTTTTATTCCACAAACCTTCATTGAATGCCTGCACTACCTAAGGCATCGATGCTGTAGCAGTTTAAGTTTACAACTGAGCGGAGATGAGACATTACACAAAGAGGTACAGTTCAAGGAAGGCTGCCACAAACACCACAGGAGCAGGTTAACTAAAGGGATCAAAAAGTTCTAAGCAGCTAGCCCTCACCTCTGGTTCAGATGACCCAGATGACTTCACAGAGGAGGGGCTGTTCTGGCCATGGCTGAGCTAGCAACAGATATGGATGGACAAGGGATAAACTCACCTTACTATTCTCGTTCCCTAGCAAGTGTAAACATTAAAGGCTTCTGTCATCCTGGGGCTGCAGCCTTCAAAGGAAGTTCTTTATACAAACTAAAAATTAGAGGTGAAAGAAAACAGGATCCTCATTTTAGGTATGGAATCTCTAACCCTGCTTTTCCCTGACTCCCAGCCTCAAATACTCCTCCTTTTCGGGTTCTGTTGTAGATCTCGATCCTGTCCTCCTCCCGCAACTTATGATAGGGAATCCTAACACTCACCATTGATAATACATTATCCTTTTAGGAGGATATCCTTTGAGGGGACTGGCAATCTCCCTGGGGTCAGAAAATGAGTACGTGTCAGCTACCAGGGTCATGCAGCCACCCTGAGCCCAAGCCAGTGTTCCTACCACTGCAGAGTTCCCTGGCAAGGGAACACATGGAGATAGTATCTGGGAGAGGAAAGGGAATCCAGAGCAGACTTCTGAAGGCTGTGGGGAGGGACTGCAGGCTGCGAGGCTTTGCTCCTCGCTCCTTTTCCTCTTCCTACTCCTTTAGCAGTAAGAGCTCCCCAACCATGCTTGGGCTATGGCCATGCCATGTGGCAGTACAGTTAGCAGACAACTGCCCTGCTAAGCTTTAAAAAACAAAGACACTAAAACCTGATAAACAACCAGCTTTTCTTTGCTTCCTTGGATCAGTAAATTTTAAAAAGAAGCAGGGGAAAGAAAACAGAGAACTGACCTAGAATTGCCAACCTTTTATTTGGGCATCTAAGAACATCTGAAAAATAAGCAAAATAGAAAAGCCTCTATTTCAGTAAAGAGCAATCCTTTAAGTAGAGTAAATTCAGACTATAAAAACAAACATATGATGTTTTATCTGTTTTGTAAAAATCATTTTTCCTTGGACTAGTAAAAACTGCATCATGTCGCCCCATCTGTAGTACTTAGAAACAGCTGCAGGCTGTTTAAGTTTCTGTAAGTTTCTATAAGCATAGCTCAGAGACTCAAAAGAGAAGGGGGAAGAAGGCTTGGGACAGGAAAGGAAAGAGCAAAAGCATTAGGGTTTTTCAAGACGTACCAACAAGCATAAAGTTCCACTCGACAATTTCAGATTTTAAAACCCCTCATCATCTATAATCCAGGCTATGCCTGTTCTTTGAGCCAACAGAACCAAACTGGATGAGATGCCAATTTAAAAATACTGTGTGCTCTAAATAAACTTAAACATCAGCAGTGTAGAAAAACCACATTATATCAAAACATATTGTTTAAGGTACTAAGAAATGTCTCTGCAAAACTTAATATGAGCTTTAAAAGCATATCATGCCACCATCACCATCAGTCATTAAATTTTTATTTTTTCATTTAAGCTTTTATTATTTAAAAAATTTTCAGATTCAGGCCAATGTTAAAAGATATGAGGCAGAAAACAAAACCTAAATATTAAAAAGGAAGATAATAAAATATGTATTTTTGGATGGTGTGTTTATAGGAATCAAATGGTAAACAATTACATTTAATTTACAGCTGAGGGTCCCTGTAGTCACAGTTACTTGGGAGGCTGAGGCAGGAGGATTCTTTCAGCCCAGGATTTTGAGGCTGCAGTGAGCTATGACTGTGCCTGTGACTGGCTGCTGCACTCCAGCCTGAGCCATAGAGAGAGGCCATGTCTTAAAAAAAAAAGTAGGTCAATACTAGATATACAAAACCAAATTACCAGATACTACCAGTTTGAAAGTATAGTAAAAAAAGATCAAAACACAAACTATAAAATAAGTAATAACATAACAATAACCATAATGAGAAATATGTAGGACCTATTTAGAGAAAATTGGAAAATTTTGTGAGAAATATAAAAAGTAAGATTTGGATAAATGCTTAGTACATGTCATGGGCTCGGTGGTAAAGACTAAAACCTGTTAGATAAACAGTTTTTCCCCAAATAATCTGTAAGTTCAACATAAATTTTCCAAAGTTCATCTGAAAAAACAAACAGGAAAGAACAACAAAGAAAATTTTGCAGAAGAGTCCTGCAGGGGGACTGGCCCTATCAGATGCCACAACATGTAAGCCGTGTGGCACAGACAGAAGGACAGGCAAGCAGAACAATGGAACAGAGAAGATAACCCAGAAGAAACACCCATCCATATTCAGAAGATGCCACAAATCCATCAAATAAAATTGAGAAAAGATGGCACCCACTAGGTAACAATTCAGACCAAAAACAAGAGCCCCTCACCTGATTCTATATGGTGAAATATATTCCACATGAATTTAGAGTTTAGCAACAAAAATTTTGTTAAGGTAGAAAAATATATTGTATATATATAATATAAATATATACATATATAATATAAATATATACATATATATGTATATATGTTTTTTGAGACGGAGTTTTGCTTTTGTTGCCCAAGCTGGAGTGCAATGCGCAATCTCGGCTCACTGCAACCTCCTCTCCCAGGTTCAAGTGATTCTCCTGCCTCAGCCTCCCGAATAGCTGGGATTACAGGCACGTGCCACCAAGCTTGACTAATTTTTTGTATTTTAAATAGAAATGAGGTTTCACCACGTTAGCCAGGCTGGTCTTGAACTCCTGACCTCAGATGATCCGCCCACCTCGGCCTCCCAAAGTGCTGGGATTACAGGCATGAGCCACCGCACCTGGCCTATATCAGATATTTTAAATCACTTCTAGGAAAAAAAATGACTTTCTAAGCTAAAAAATAATAGAAGAATCTAAAAAGAACAGAGTAACATATTTTATCATCTACAAATCTTAAACTTCTATTTTTATTTTTTAAATACACTTAAATGCAAACACCAAATTGGAAAAAGTATTTGTAGCAAAGGTCATCATCAAAAGACTAATCGCTTTCCAATAAACAGTGCTATAACATTTGTATAAGATTTTTGGTAGCCCAGTAAGCTAAGACAAGCTTTGGGGAAGGCAATTTGGCAATACATGTAACTGGAGCCTTAAATATATTTGTATCTGTGACCCAGTAATTCCACTTCTGGGAATCTAGCCTAAGGAAACAATCCACATATAATAAATATTCTCTGTGTACAAAGATGCTCTTCACAGGGAAAAAAACTGAAACGATCTAAAAGTATATTAAAGAACAGTTAAGTAAATGATTTAAAAATTTTAAATGGTACTTAGAGTGTATAATAGTATTTCAAAGTGTTTATAATAAAATGTTAAAGAAAAAATCAAGATACTAAATTGCATATTCAATAAAAATACAATTTTATTTTTTAAATATAGATTTATATATGAAAGTATTAAAATATTTATTTAAACACTATTATATCCATTTTATATGTGTATGTACATATATATGTGCATATGTCATATGTTTACACATATGTAGAAATATATTAGGTATAACAGAAATATATGCAATAGGAATATACACACACACATATATACACGCACACACAAATCACCTGCTTAATGCCTTTAATCTATTCAAAAAAGAAGGCATTGAGGCTAAGACATCAATGTATTATTACCATTTGTTTCAAAGTGTAATATAATTAATTCTCAGATCATCCTAAAGTTCCAATTTTTTCCAACCAAAATAAAGTTATAAAAGAAACACTTGGTTAATGAATTAAACGTATATTAAAGAGTCCTTCTCATATTTAAAGCTATGAGGCATTTAAATACAAATAAAATCATTTAGTTTCCTAAAATGGTGAGCAACACAAAAACATTCTGGATAAAAGTTCTTTATTGTTTCTACTTCCAGCAGCGTACATCCTGAACCTACATTCTCTCCCTAGATAAGGAGTGGCTCTGGCTCAGTGTCCCCAGAGTTCCAGCAGCTCTCATGCATTTTCACCCCTGCTATTAGAATGACCCCAGTGTGTAGCCGCACACACTGACTGCAGCACAGAGGAATGCGGGATGGCATCAGCAGTGCTAAAGAGTGGGGCTAAAAGCCCAGCGAGAATCACAGGAGAATGCAGAACTGTGTTCTGAGGCAGCAGGGATGGACTGGATCTAATCTAGTGCTATAAGTGCAAAATGCCCAGGAAATGTGCTCTGTGGATAGCCAAGGACTCCTGCTCCCCAAGACAGAGACGCAAATCTGCTCCCTTAGTTGGGTAAACAACTCTGGGAAGATAAATAAGTGAGCAGGCCTCCAAGTAAATCAACCCACAGCATGTGTGCATAACGTTTTAGTGTTAAATACAAAATAATCTTTGACTGATTGTCATTTCAAGTGTTTATAATATTCCAGGGGTCCTGTCATAATGTTCTTATCATCTGTAAGCTGAAAGACATATCAGAAATTTATTAAGTTTGTAAATAAAACTGCTATGTTTGAGATCACTTGATTAGTGCAAAGTTTAATCTATTTTGTATGAAATACTTTTTTTCTCTGTTAAGATGGTAAGTTTGCTTCTCAGACATTTTAAATACTTAAAATATATGAAACCTACAAATGTAGTTTTAAATGTCTGAGGGAAATCTAATTAGCTAAAATTAATCAACAATCAGTCTTATTTTATGCAAAAATAATTAGATTCATTAATAGAATAACAAGTCTTATAAATTGAAAAGGAAAAGAAAAACTAGCTTTAAAAAAGTCTAACTTCAGTAAACTGAATGCTACTTTTGAACACCAGTAACTACAACAGTTCTTTTGGACATTACAAACTAGCATTAACTCACCCCAACCTCTCCAGCAGCCAGGCTGCAGAGATGTAAGCTAGGCTCCACGGAGCAGGCACACCCATGGGAAACTTTGATATGAATGTCATGGCAGTCCCTAGCCTCTCCTCAGTCCTCTCCCACTTTTAGCTGGCACTGAGTAATCCATTCCTTCCTCCAGAAGAGACCCAGTGCTGTGAGACATTATTCAGTCAAAGTGGTTTTACAAAAGTCATTTAGTAAATGGCTTACTAAACTACTTAGTAAACGACTAAGTCTTTGGTAAACGACTTCACTAAACTGCTAACCACAGGAAAATGGTTAGTAGAATTAATATCTTTCCCACATACCACATAGCAAAACAATTTTAATTTCTTCCATTATTTGTGTCCTTTCCTCTGCTCAAAAGTTGCCTTTCCCGCCAGCTTCACTGTCTCTCTTTTCTCCTCTTCCACCCCTCTCTTCAGATTCAGATCTGGCTGTCAATGGCATGCCCCGATCAGCAAAACAAAAGTTCCACCATGGGCCAGAGAGTGGCCATCCACCCCGACCTTGAGTCCACCTCGCCAAATGTGAAAGCCCAACGAAACTGGGAGGGGACGGGGTGGGATCCCGCTGCCAAGGAAATGAGATTTTTCTCCTGTCATTTAAAATGAACTGATTGTTATACATAATTTGAAGCGAAATAAGAGATAACAGGAAACAGGCCACCTGAAGGAAACAGAAGCAGAGCCACTTCACTATTTTGCTTAACTCTTCATGCCACCAGTAAGGATCTTTAAACTGGAAAAGGCTGGAGCCCAGGAAGAGCATTTCAACAACTTCAAGGCGCAGTGAATTACTCCCACTGCAATGAAAAGCAATTACATATGTTTCTGTGCAGCCATTGTTGGTGTAGTTTCCTAAGGGAAAAAATGGACAGCTGTCAGGAAATGGAAGCCAGAGGAATGTTTCTCGGTTTTCTGAAAAGAGCAAAGAGTAATGTTCTGGTAAATATGGCCTGGAATCCTAATGAAATCCTAGGACAGACTGTTAGATGAATGTTCGGTTGTGAAAGGAATAGAGTCCGCTCAATAAAAAATATGTTGAAAAATGATTAGGCTATCCTCTAGTCCTTCACAGAGGACTTGGTGAGACAGTACATCTCTATCAAACTGCTAATGGGGGAAAGGTAATCTTATTTCACTACATCTACATCTACTGTTAAAAAAAAAAAAATAGAATCATCAGAAAATCAATGCCAGAGAGTGAAAGCTATAAATAAGAGACTCTGCCAGCGAGATGTCTACTTGTTCCAGTGCAGCCCGGTGAAGCCTGCATAGAGAGCTTGCATCAGTGCATGCTCTCTAAAAAGGTATGAGGGAGGCAAGGGCACTGGCACCAGGCCAAGCTCTACCTCCCTGCCAGGTACCTTGGTGCAGGGCCCACATTCTCCTAGAGCAGCATCTTTTCCAAAGATACTTTTTGTGGCCCTATGAACAACTGAATGAAGTCAGGAGCTGGAAGCTCAAATCCCCCTTCTTCCATGCAATACTCTGAAACCCTCCCTGGGCTGCAGTCCCTTATGAATGGATGTGAGGTGGCCTTCCAGATTGACGGTGAGGACTAAATGTCAACAGGTAGTAGGAGCATCAAATGCAGTGCCTGGTGCCATCATAGGAAAATCCCCAAGGGGAACAGAGCTCTGAAGTCCTCCTACTCTCCAATTCTGAGATTCTGTGACCAGAGTTTGAAATCGGAAACTTGACTCAGATCCTTTTTGGTCATCTTTTCTTTGCAGTAAAAATGTAAAATGTGAACTGAAAAAAGGGGATTCCCTGAATGGTAGTTTGTCTTTCTATTCTTCCCATCTTGTAGAGTTCAGGCAACCCTCATCTTATTGTGCTTCACCTTATTGCACTTTGCAGATATTGACTTTTTTATAAATTGAAGGTTTGTGGCAACTCTGTTCAGCATGTCTACTGGCACCATTCTTCCAACAGCATGTGCTCCCTTTGTGATTCCATGTCACCTTTTGGTCATTCTCACAATATTTCAAACTTTTTCATCGTTCTTATATCTGTTGTGGTGATCTGTGATCAGCAACATTTGATGTTACCACTGTAATTGTTTTGGGGCACCACAAACCCTGCCCATATAAGATGGCAGCCTTAATCTACAAATGTTGGGTGTGTTCTGACTGTTCCACTGACCGGCCATTCCCCCATCTCTTCCCCTCTCTGCAGGCCTCCTTATTCCCTGAGATACAACATTATTGAAATTAGGCCAATTGATAACCCTGTAAGGGTTTAAGTAAAAGGTTCAAATGTTCAAGTAAAAGGTCTAAGGGTTCAAGTAAAAGGTCCGTCATATTAAATCAAAAACTAGAAATGATTAAACTTAGAGGAAGCCATGTCAAAAGATGAAATACGCTGAAAGCTAGGCATCTTATGCCAAACAGTTAAGCTATGAATGCAAAGGAAAAGTTCTGAAAGGAAATCAGAAGTGCTACTCCAGTGAACACATGAATGATAAGAATGCAAAACAGCCTTATTGCTGATATGGAGAAAGTTTTAGTGGTCTGGATAGAAGATCAAACCAGCCACAACATTCCCTTAAATCAAAGCCTGACCCAAAACAAGGCCCTAACTCTCTTCAATTCTGTGAAGGCTAAGAGATTTGAGGAAGCTGCAGATGAAAAGTTTGAAGCTAGGAGAGGTTGGTTCATGAGGTTTAAGGAAAGAAGCCATCTCCGTAACATAAAAGTGCAAGGTGAGGAAGCAAGTGCTGATGCAGAAGCTGCAGCAAGTTATCCAGAAGATCTGGTATGATAATTGATAAAGGTGGCTACACCAAACAACAGACTTTCGATGTAGATGAAACAGCCTTCTATTGGAGGATGATGCCATCTAGGACTTTCATAGCTAGAATGGAAAAGTCAAGTCCTGGCTTCAAAGCTTCAAAGGACAGGCTGTCTTGTTAGGTGCTAATGCAGCTGGTGACTTTAAGTTGAAGCCAATGCTTATTTGTCATTCTGAAAATCCTAGGGCCCTTAAGAATGATGCTAAATCTACTCTGCCTATACCCTATAAAAGGAACAACAAAGTCGGGATAGCAGCACTCTGTTTACAGCATGGTTGGTTGAATATTTTAAGCCCACTGTTGAGGCCTACTGCTCAGAAAAAGATTCCTTTCAAAATATTACTGCTCATTGGCAATGCACCTGGTAATCCAAGAGCTCTGATGGAAATGTACAAGGAGATTAATGTTGTTTTCATGACTGCTAACATAATATCCATGTGCAGCCCAGCCCATAGATTAAGGAGTAATTTCAATTTTTGAGTCTTAATATCTAAAAAATACATTTTATGAGGCTATAGCTGCCATACATAGTGATTTCTCTGATGGATCTGGGCAAAGTAAATTAAAAATCTTCTGGAAAGGATTTGCCATTTTAGATGCCATTAAGAATATTACTGATTCATGGGAGGGGTTCAAAATATCTACATTGTTGATTGATTCCAACCCTCATAGATGACTTTGAGGGGTTCAATAGTTCAGTGGAGGAAGTAACTGCAGATGTGGGGGGAAATATCAAGAGAACTAGAATTAGAAGTGGAGCCTGAAGATGTGACTGAATTGCTGCAATCTCATGATAAAACTTGAACAGTCAAGAAGCTGCTTCACGTAGATGAGCAAAGACAATGGTTTCTCGAGATAGAATCTACTCCTGGTAAGACACCATGAACACTGTTGAAATGACAAAAAAGGATTTAGAATACTCATAAACTTAGCCGATAAAGCAGTGACAGGGTTTGAGAGGACTGGCTCCAGTTTTGAAAGAAGTCCTACCGTAGATCAAATGTTATCAAACAGCATCCCATGCTTCAGAAAAATCTTTCATGAAAGAGAGTCCATCCACGTGGCCAATTTCACTGTTGTCTTCTTTTAACAAATTGTCACAGCACCTCAACCTTCAGCAAGCACCACCCTGATCAGCCAGCAGCCAACAACCTCGAGTCAAGACCTTCCACAAGCAACAGGATTATGACTTGCTAAAGGTTCAGATAATCACTAGCATTTTTAACAATGAAACATTTTAAAATTAAGGTATATATATTGTTTTTCAGACACAATTAATAAACTATAGTATAGTGCAAACATATTTTATATGCACTGGGAAACCAAAATATTAGTATGACTGACTGCATTGTGATATTTGCTTTATTGTGGTGGTCTGGAATCTAACCCACAACACCCCCAAGATATCCCTATAAACGATAAAAAAACAAAACTTCTGAAGTAATAGGTTTATACTTGTTCCCCTGTGAAATAAGGTGCTGAAGAGTCACAAAATCATGCTCTTTGCTGCCCTGTGTTTTTTCCTTTGTGTTTTGATCAGATACTAGGAAGCAACATTTATCTAACAGGTAGATTTTTACACAAAAGGTTGGGAAATTCCATCTGACCAGGTCTAGTTTTTACTGGTGATTTCATTAAGTGTGTGGGGGGCCAGATGGATAGAAATGAAGTCACTTAAGGGATACATATTGAAGGATGTGCACTACCTACATATCTGAGATTTTAAAATATGCAAAATTGGCCAGGCGTGGTGGCTCACGCCTGTAATCCCAGCACCTTGGAAAGCTGAGGTGGGCAGATCACTTGAGGTCAGGAATTTGAGACCAGCCTGGCCAACACAGGGAAGCCCTGTCTCTACTAAAAATACAAAAATTGGCTGGATGTGGTGGCACATTCCTGTAGTCTCAGCTACCTGGGAGACGGAGGCAGGAGAATCACTTGAATCCTAGAGGCGGAAGTTGCAGTGAGCCAACATCACGCCACTGCACTCCAGCCTGGGTGACAGAGCAAGATTCTGTCTCAAAAAATATATATGCAAAATTGAAAAAACCATACACATAAAGGAATATGAACATAGGTGTCTTGGCCTGTTGTGCGGCTATAACAAAATCCCATAGGCTGGGTAGGCTCTGGGCAGCCAAACCCCATGGCTTTGCTGAGCACAGCCCAGAGCACACCTATTGCGAGCTGTAGTCAGGTGCCTGCAGCTCTCCCAGGCTGGAATCGCACACCAGTGGCTCTACTGGTCTGGAGTCATGTGGTGGTCCACCCTCACAGCAGCCTCTGCTTGGCTCACTTGACCAAGGCTTCTAGCTGCTACATTCTTCAGAATCTAGGTGGGTGTATCAACACCCCTACAGCTTGTGCACTCTGCATACCTGCAAAGATGGCACTGCCTGGGGGCTGACAAGGTTTACTGACTCTGTCTCCTGGAGGGGCAGCCACTGCCACACCTGGGCCTACTAAAGCCAAACCTGGGGTAGCTGAGGATCCCTGCCCTAGAATGTGGAGAGCAGAGCTTTGAGATGGTGCCCAGTTGTGCAGCAAGCACAGGGGTCCCACAGTTCATCCTTGGCCCATCCTTTCAAATTGTTCTGCCACCAAGGCCCTTGCATTCTGGCCTTGTGATGACAGTGGTAGCCCCAATAATCTCGAAAACGTCTTCAAAGTCATTCTTCCATGTCTTCATGACTAGCACCTGGTGGATTCACACCAATCTCATCAAAGAGTTGCTTGGCCACACCCTTGCTGTTCTCTCCCAAACACACTTCCACAGTATGGACAGGTTTAGAATTGTCCAAATATTTAAGTTCTTCTTCCCTCTTGATTGAAAATTCTGCTTTTAAATCATTATTCTCTTCTCACATTTTACTATAAGCACTCAACAGACGCCAACCCACATCTTTGACACTTTGCTTAGAAATTTCTTGTGCCAAATATCCTATTTCATTGCTCATAAGTTCTACCTTCCACAAAATGTGAGGACCCAAACACAACTTAGTTAAGTTCTTTGCCACTTTATAACAATGATCATGTTTCCTATGGTTTCTAATAACATGTTCCTCATTTCCGAGACCTCATCAGAATTGCCTTTACAGTCCATATTTCTGACAATATTCTGATCACAACCACTTAAGCATTCCGTAAGAAGATGGAGGCTTTCTCTACAGCTCTCCTTCCCTCCTTCTAAGCTCTCACCAGAATTGCCCTTTAGGGTCCATTCACAGCAATCTAAGCTTTTTCTAGCATGCACCTCAAAACTCTTCTTGTCTCTATCCATTATCCAGTTCCAAAGCCACCTCCATATTTCTAGGCATTTGTTATAACAACAACCACACTCCCAGTACCAGTTTCTGTCTTTGTTCATTCAGGCTGCCATAACAAAATACCATAGACAAAGTAGCTTATAAACAACAGTTATTTATTTCTCTGGAGGCTGAGAAGTCCAAATTCAAGGTGTCAGTAGACCCAGTGTCTGGGGAGAGCCCACTCTCTCTTATATAGTGCCGCCTTCTTCTGTCCTCACGTGATGTAAGGAGGCAGGGCAGCTCTCTGGGGCCTCTTCTACAAGTTCACTAATCTCATTTGTTACGGCTCCACTCATGACCTAATCACCTCCAAAAAGGCCCCATCTCCTAACACCATCAGTTTAGGGGTTAATATTTCAGCATATGAATTTTGAGGGAGCACAAATGATATGGTTTGGCTGTGTTCTCACCCGATTCTCATCTTGAATTGTAACTCCCACAGTTCCCATGTGTCATAGGAGGAACCCCAGTGGGAGGTGATTGAATGATGGGGGCGGATCTTTCCTGTGCTGTTCTCCTGATAGTGAGTGAGTCTCATGAGATCTGATGGTTTTAAAAAGGGGAGTTTCCCTTCACAAGCTCTCTCCTCTTGTCTTGCTACCATGTGACATGTGCCTTTCACCTTCCTCCATGATTGTGAGGCCTCCCCAGCCACATGGAACTGTCAGTCCAATAAACCTCTTTCTTCTCTAAATTGCCCAGTCTTGGATATGTCTTTTTCAGCAACATGAAAATGGACGAATACAGTAAATTTGTATCAGGAGTGGAGTGCTGCTGAAAAGATACCCGAAAATGTGGAAGCAACTTTGGAACTGGGTTAACAGGCAGAAGCTGGAACAGTTTGGAGGGCTCAGAAGAAGACAAGAAAATGGGAGAAAGTTTGGAACTTCCTAGAGACTTGTTGAATGGTTTTGACAAAAAATGCTGATAGTGATCTGAACAATAAGGTCCAGGCTGAAGTGGTCTCAGATGGAGATGAGGAACTTGTTGGGAACTGGAGCAAAGGTGACTCTTACCATGTTTTAGCAAAGAGACTGGCAGCCTTTTGCTCCTGCCCTAGAGATTTGTGGAACTCTGAACTTGAGAGAGCTGATTTAGGGTATCTGGCAGAAGAAATTCCTAAGCAGCAAAGCATTCAAGAAGTGACTTGGGTGCTGTTAAAGGCATTCAGTTTTATAAGGGAAGCAGAGCATAAAATTTCAGAAAATTTGCAGCCTGACAATGCAATAGAAAAAAAAATCCCATTTTCTAAGAAGAAATTCAAGCCAGCTGCAGAAATTTGCTTAGGAATGAGGAGCCAAATGTTAATTCCCAAGACAATGGGGAAAATGTCTCCAGGGCATGTCAGAGGTCTTCACAGCAGTGCCCCCTCCCTGCCCATCACAGGCTCAGAGGCCTAGGAGGAAAACATGGTTTTGTGGGCCAGGCCCAGGGTCCCCATACTGTGTGCATTCTAGGGACTTAGTGCCCTGCATCCCAGTCGTGACTAAAAGGGCCTAAGGTACAGTTCAGGCCGTGGCTTCAGAGGGTGTAAGCCCCATGCCTTGGCAGCTTCGATGTGGTGTTGAGCCTGCAGGCGCACAGAAGTCAAGAACTGAGGTTTGGGAACCTCTGCCTAGATTTCAGAGGATATATGGAAATGCCTGGATGTCCAGGCAGAAGTTTGCTGTAGAGGTGGGGCTTTCTTTCATTGAGAACCTGTGCTAGGGCAGTGTGGAAGGGAAATGTGAGGTCAGAGTCCCCACACAGATTCCCTACTGGGGCACTGCCTAGTGGAGCTGTGAGAAGAGGACCACTGTCCTCCAGACCCCAGAATGGTAGATCCACCAACAGCGTGCACCATGTGCCTGGAAAAGCCGCAAACACCTGAATACCAGTCCGTAAAAGCAGCTGGGAGGGAGGTGGTACCCTGAAAAGCCACAGGGACAGAGCTGCCCAAGACCATGGGAATCCACCTCTTGCATCAGTGTGACCTGGATGTGAGACATGGAGTCAAAGGAGAACATTTTGGAGCTTTAAGATTTGACTGCCCTGCTGGATTTTGGACTCACATGGGGCCTGTAGCCCCTTTGTTTTGGCCAATTTCTACCATTTGTAACAGCTGTATTTACCCGATGCTGCTACCCACATTGTATTTAGGAAGTAACTAACTTGCTTTTGATTTTACAGGCTGATAGGCAGAAGAGTCTTGCTTTGTCTCAGATGAGACATTGGACTATGGACTTTTGAGTTAATGCTGAAATGAGTTAAGACTTTGGGGGACTGTCAAAAGGCATGATTGGTTTTGAAATGTAAGGACATGAGATTTGAGAGGGGCCAGGAGCGGAATGATATGGTTTGGCTGTGTTCCCACCCAAATCTTATCTCGAATTCTAACTCCCACAGTTCCTACGTGTTGTGGGAGGAACCCAGTGGGAGGTGATTGAATGATGGGGGTGGGTCTTTCCTGTGCTGTTCTTGTGATAGTGAATGAGTCTCACAAGAACTGATGGTTTTAAAAATGGGGGTTTTCCTTCACAAGCTCTCTTCTCTTGTCTGCCGCCATGTGAGACATTCCTTTCACTTTCCATCATGATTGTGAGGCCTCCCCAGCCACGTGGAACTGTAAGTCCAATAAACCTCTTTCTTTCCTAAATTGCCCAGTCTTGGATATGTCTTTATCTGCAGCGTGAAAATGAACGAATACAACAAACATTCAAATCATGGCAATAGAAAACATTTATATAGGATCCCTCAGATTTTTTTTGAAAGCAACAACTTATTTAATTTTCATCAATAGTTATATTTAGTGATCATATTTCAGAATGTTTCATATAAAATCTATTAGACAAATGAACACAACATGGTTATTACATAATGCTAATACAGGTGGAGCACCCCCAGTCTGAAATCTGAAATGCTTCAAAATTTGAAACTTTCTGAGTGCCAACATGATGTTCAAAGGATGTTCATCAGAGCATTTTGGATTTCAGATTTTCAGATTACGGATGCTCTACCTGTTAGGTATCTGCAAATATTCAAAAATCTGAAAAATATCTAAAATTCAACATACTTTTTCACAAGCAATTTGGACAAGGCATAATATTGAAGAATTACTCCCACCTTGAATTCTCTTTGGAGTGAGGAAACAATAAAATGCTTATTAAATATATGGAAATACATAGGTTATAGATAACAGAGAAACTAAAATGTATTGATTTTTGGTTCATTTTGATTCCGTTTCAGCTAATATGGATGGTTGAAATGAAGTATAAACAGATGAAATAAGAACAAAGATAAGGAGTGTTAGGGTGGGTCCCTAGGAAGGGAATGTGGAACATTACTGGGATGATAATAATTATCCAATTAGGTTAATCTCTATTATTTTGTACATTCAATCAGTAGCCCTGAAAAGATAAAGCCAATGTTTCATGAGGCAGAAAGTGACTTCTAAGGAAAGAAGCCCCCACAAAGCCATGATCCTCCCAACTGTTAGGTAAAAGTGGACCCCCACTAGCATGAAGAAATAATCGTCTCTTCTGTTTTTAATTATATATGGACAGACAAGTTCCAAATCCTTATTTTATGTTTTCTACTTCAATTATTCCTTTCCTATTGCAATTTGAGTTCATTTTCTATTCTGCTCTCAATTAAGTGAAGTCACCATTTTCCCTTTAATCATATGTTATCCTCCAATTTACTTTCCTACTTCATTTACTTCCTTACTATTGTCTTTGGGAAGTTTTATCAGCTCTTCAGATGGGCAGAAGATGTGGTGGCAGGGAAAGGGGCAGGGGCTGGCTGGAGACCACCTGACAGGGAGTCAAGGCCTGTCTCACCAGGTGTGTGAGCACAGGCAACTGTGGAGCCCTCTGAACCCCAACCTCATCTTCAGTAAAATGGAACAGCCACATCTACATCACTACAGGTTTGCTTGAAGTTTAAAGCTATTCTACATTAGGAGTTCAATAATCATAATAAAGTTGTCAGTTTTCTTTTTACCTCCTAATCAATGTGTTAGTCCCTGAAGAAAATCATTAAGTAAAAAGGACCCCACCGACCCACTCACCCACACACTAACACAAAATAGTTGTCCAATGGCAGGAAGTTGGATTAACTGATTAATTTATTCAGGAAATATTTATTTACATTTTGATCTACTCCATGCCAGATACTGTTATAGGTACTGAGGATACAGCAGTGAGCAGGCAAAAGCTCCTGCTCTCGTGGAGCTTCTATTCCAGTAGGGAAAACACAACTAATAAAATGAATGAGCAAAATGTATAGTATATTAAACGGTGGTTAAGTGCCATTAGAGAAAGAGAAGGAGGAAACTCAGGGTGGGGGGATGGCAAATGTGATCTTACAGGGGGTTCAGGCAAAGGTGACATGGAAATGAGACTGGAAGTAGTGAGTGAGGAGCTGCATGGCTGTCCAGAAGCAAGGAGCCACCTGAAAAGGCTCTGGGGCAGGAGCGTGCTGGGCACGTGAACACAGCCAGGGTGGCTGGAAAGAGCTACAGGGGAAAGAGAAGGAGGAGATGGTGAGAAGGGAGAGGTACAGGCCTTCCTTTGGCTTTGACTGAGTGAGATGAAAGGGCAAGCCAAGTTCTGAGCAGAGAAATAACATAGTGCAGCTTACCTTTAACAGGATCCTTCTGGTTCTCTGAGGGGTGCAGTGGGAACAGGCTGCAACAGGGCAAGTGTCACAGCAGAAGCTACTAGGAGGCTACTTCAACAGTACAGGTGAGAGATGATAAGAGTTTAGGTGAGGGTGGTAAGCAGTCACATACTGGATCTATTCCAAAAGTGCAGCCTCTGCAGAGTTTGCTGAGGGACTGGATACATGCAGAGCTGAGAGAAAAAAGTCAAGGATGACCCCAAGGTTTCTGGCCTCAACAAGTTACTAGCTGTATAAACTGCATACAAACTTGTTTCTGACCCCGAGGACTAGATGAGTAATCAATATACATGAAGGCACAGCCCAGTGTACGGCACATGGGCTTGTGTGGTATGCTTAGGTTCAAGTTTACAAACTCTATTGAATTTCTACTTTGTGCTTTGCCCTGACTTTGCTAGGTCCAGAAATACAAACATGAGTAAGTGTGAAATCCACCCTCAGGAGTTTATGATCTAGTGAGACAAAGAATCATCCTTTATAGTACAAGCTTCCCCAGCAGCCACAGAAATGAGTAGAAGATTCAGATGTCAGCAGGGAAGGGAATGATTGACTCAGAGGGAGGATATCTAGGAGGGCTGCCTGGAGTAGGTGACAACAGAGTAGTGGTGTCTTCTCAAGAGGAAAATCGATGAGGACTGGCACAGCTGGGAAAAAGGTGATAAAGAGGACAGTAGTGGCTAGACTTCTCAAGAAGAAAATCGATGAGAACGGCACAGCTGGGAAAAAGGTGATAGAGAAGGGCATTGACGGAACGCTTACCCGCTACTGAATGATGATCACTTATTGTTGAAGATAGAGACTGTGTCTCTTCTAACACCACAATCCTGAGATGTAGGCACGACATCCTGAAGATCGCAATGCGTACACAGTTTCTTGTAAATATTCTGCAACTACATAGTTATTTGTTTGACTGTTCCTGCTTTCACAATTATAATTTGGTCCAGTCAACTCTAGTCAGCAATATAACATTACCTTGTACACCTCCAAAGCAAAATTGTGCAAAAGTATAGCTGCCTGAGGAGGCAAGTCCTGATCCCCACTCCTTGGGGCCTTCTCTATCCATAGATCCAAAAAACCACAGATGCTTCTGGTGTGTTCTGCCAATGATCCTTGGCAGTAAACAAGTGTCACGTCTGACTAGGCACCATGGCTCACACCTGTAATCCCAACACTTTGTGAGGCCAAGGCGGGTGGATCACCTGAGGTCAGGAGTTCAAGACCAGCCTGGCCAACATGGTGAAACCCCATCTCTACTAAAAATACAAAAATTAGCCAGCTTGGTGGCGGGCGCCTGTAATCCCAGCTACTCAGGAGGCTGAGGCAGGAGAATCGCTTGAACCTGGGAGGTGAAGGATGCAGTGAGCCAAGATTGCACCACTGCATTCCAGCCTGGGCAACAGAGCGAGACTCTATCTCAAAAAAAAAAAAAAAAAGTGTCACTTTTAATAACATTACTCAATTGATGACATGTCTGCATCATCATCAATTATGATTCAGGTATTTTCATACTGTTCTCATATACTTTGTACCAGCCCGTAATTCTGCATTTGCTTTTATTTTCTTAGTAAGATGAAATAAAAGGACTACAAACATTTAGAATAATATGAAAAAAGAAGCCACAAATATTAACCCTCTAGTTCATGTCATCAACCCTGAATGCAACTCTATTTCCACAAATTGGAAGAGGGGAAAAAATCCAGATAGTAAATGAAATTTTTACTATCATATTTTATTCTTTAATTTGAATCATGAAGAACTTTGAAAGTTTATTTTGTGAGAAAACTGGAAAATTAAAAACTAACAGAAATAGTTCATAAAGAAATGCACTTTTTAAAACTTTCCACTGCATTCTCTTCCTCTTGGTGGTGAAAGTATAGATTCAACTGCTTGGAAAAAATATAGACTACGCGCCCAGTATCATTAGTTTGAAGTTTGTTCTAACTGTGGTATAGATAGAGGAAGAAATCATTAGCAAACTAAAGGTAAAATACACTCAACTATATGAAAATCAATCAACAGTCAGGCTTCATTTTTTAAAAAAACTTTCCATTAAATCACAACACGCACTCAAGTTTACAAGGGTCAAGTCCTAGTAAAAACACCTTTAAAAATGAACAAGAAAATCAGAGCTATTCTTCATTGATGTTCCTTTTTTGTCATGAACCTGTTCTGTATGAACAAAATTCCTTTATTTAATAAATTGCACTAAGGCATCATTTGCTCAGCCATAATGGAATTACTTTGATCCAACGGAAATAAATAAGGACTAGAGAAGTGGAAATCAACAAGTCAGCAAGTTAACATCTCAGTTGTTGTATGCTATTCACCTCTAAAGAAAAAAACACTAAAGGCCCGACACGGTGGCTCATGCCTGTAGTCCCAGCACTTTGGGAGACCACGGCGGGTGGATCACGAGGTCAACAGATCGAGACCATCCTGGCCAACACGGTGAAACCCTGTCTCTACTAAAAATAGAAAAATTAGCCAGGCGTGGCGGCGGGCGCCTGTAATCCCAGCTACTCGGGAAGCTGAGGCAGGAGAATCGCTTGAACCTGGAAGGCGGAAATTGTCAATCCCATTTAAGAAAACTATCTTTTCTATCTAATATGCCAGGTTTTGACCTAAGTGATTACAGGCAAGCCCAGCCTCTATAAACAAAATGAGGCTGTTCCCACAAAACACACTAGAAGGGGGCCCTTGCCAGGCTCCCTGTCTCACCCACTTCCCTCCCCATACATACACTTGGCGGCTTCTGGCTTGGAGAAGGGTGAGCCAGGAGGAAGCAAAACTTTCCAACTGATCTATGTGTCATCGTTTTTAAGCTCCATATGAAGCTCAAGATGAATATTTTATAAAGGCACAAACCCTGCATGCCACAAAATTTTAGTTTTCTTACATGATCAACTGTACTTATAATATCATGTAATATTTATCTAGAAGGATCTTCTTGTCACTTGGTAAAACAGTGGGTAAAAATTAAAGCCCAATGCACTGAGAAACTATTAAATGAACAAATTACATGTTCAATCTTACCGAGTTTCAGAATCTTTTTTTTTTTGAGATGGAGTCTCGCTCTGTCGCCCAGGCTGGAGTGCAGTGGAGTGATCTCGGCTCACTGCAACCTCTGCCTCCCGGGTTCACGCCATTCTCCTGCCTCAGCCTCCCAAGTAGCTGGGACTACAGGCACCCGCCACCACGCCCGGCTAATTTTTTGTATTTTTAGTAGAGACGGGGTTTCGCTGTGTTAGCCAGGATGGTCTCAATCTCCCGACCTTGTGATCCGCCCGCCTCGGCCTCCCAAAGTGCTGGGATTACAGGCGTGAGCTACCACGCCCGGCCCAAGTTGCAGAATCTTAACAAATTAGGAAATTAGATATTTGTCCTCTTTTTCTGAAATCAGGGGAACTTCGGGGAAAAAGCAGCAATCTAAGTAGACCACAGCAACAAGAAATTCCTTTATGGAAAATTTGCTTGTAAAAATCCAAATAAAGACGTATTTGTAGAGGGCAACCTGAAGGCAAAATATCATGCTCATACAAAATGAACTGCAGAATTGAGAAGCACAAGTGCCTGGAGGCAGCCCCATTATCAATTCTTTGACCTCTTGGAGCTGGGTGTGAGGGCTAAAAATAAACTTACTTCACCAGCTGAACTCCTTCAGGCCTTAACATCTAAAATCCTGGATCCATAGATGTGTTTGGATAAAGGACGGAGACCAGGGGTGGGCAAAGTGGTAGCAAAAGGGTGGCGGGTGCTGCAGGCCACAATGAGGGTTCAGGATTTCCTTCTAAATGTGATTAGCAGGAGAGTGACAGGATGATTTACATCTGAAAAGGACTGCTCCAACTGCTCTGCGGAGATGAGACCAGGTGGATACAGAGAAACCAGGTACTGGCTACTGCATAATCCTTGTGAGAGACAAAGGTGGCTCGGATCACCAAGCAGTAGAGCAGGCAGTGAGAAGTTATCAAATTTGGCATGCAGCTAGAGGAGAAAGCCAACAGGACTTGATGGTCAGTCAGATCTGGATTGCAGAGGAAGAGAAAGTCAAATCTCTTCCACTTTTCACAAAAATAAACTACAGATTGTTCCAGTAGTCAAGATACATCATTCAAAGGAAAACTATGGCAATGGCTATAAACAAATAATTTACCAAAAAAAAAAAAGATGTATGTGCAAATCACCACATCAAAAGATTTCAACACCACTAGTAATTACAGAAATGCAAACTAAAGCAAAAACTAGAATGCTTTCCCCTGTCTTATTAGAAAAAAAAATAAAGATAATCGAAGTGGGCTGAACAGTATTCCTCAAAATTCATGTCTATCTGGAACCTCAGAATGTGAGAGTCTTTGCAGATGTAATTAGTTAAGATGGGGTCAGATGGGATTACAGTAGACCCTAAGCACAATGACTGGTGTCCCTATAAGAAGAGGAGAGGACAGACAGAGATACACAGGCAGGGAAGAAAGCCAGGTGAAGATGGAGGTAGAGACTGCAGCGATGCAGCTACAAGCCAAGAAACACCAATAGGAACTGCAGCCGCCAGAAACTAGGAAGAGGCAAGGACAGATCCTCCCCTGGAACCTTTAGAGGAAGCATGGCCCTGCTACACCTTGAGTCAGATTTTTGGCCTCCAGAACTGTGAAAGGATACATTTTTGTTGTTTTAAGCCACCAAGTTTGTGGTTCTTTGTCACAGCAGTCCTAGCAAACTGACAACGTAATTGACAGTATTACTGAGAGTGTGAAAAGTACAGTCATCCTCAGGCCTGTTGGCAAAAGCATAGATTAGCACAACAGCCTTTGGGAAAAATAATTTGGCAATGCTTGCCACAATTGCAAATGACCAGATCTTTTGACTCAGCAATTCCAATGTGAGGAGTTTATTCTAAGGAGATAATTAGAAACATGTGCAAAGATTTTAAAAGAATGTTCCTCACAGGGTTAAAACTGGAAAAAAATCTAAATGTTCAAAAATTTAAAATAAGTCAAAAAAACTATGGTGCAAACTTACAACAAAGTACCATGATGGGAAGATAGTTTGGCAGTTTCTTACAAAACCAAACAATCTTACCAACCCATCCAGCCATCACACTCTTTAGTATTTATCCAAATGAGTCGAAAACATATGTTCACACAAAAATCTGCATATGAATGTTTATAGCAGCTTTAATCATAATTGCCAAAACCTGGGAGTAACCAAGATGTCCTCAAACAGGTGAATGAATAAACAAACTGTGGTACATTTATTTACCGCAGTTTAGAATATTATTTAGCAATACAAAGAAATGAGCTATTACCTACAAAAAACATGGAGGAAAATTAAATACGTATTTGGTTTCTTTTACTTAGTAATCTGAAAAGGCTGGATATTGTATGATTCCAACTATCTGACATTCTGGAAAAGCAAAAACTGTGACTGTGAAGATTAGTGGTTGCCATGGGTTTCCAGGGGTGGTATGTGGAACAGGTGGAGCACAGAGGGTTTCTAGGGCAGTGAAACTACTTTATATGATACTATAATGGTGGATATAAGTCATTATACATTTGTCCAAATCCATAGATTGCAGAATGCCAAGAGTGAACCCAAATGTAAACCATGAACTTTGCATGATAATGATGTGTCAATGTAGGTTAATCAGTGGTAACTAAAGTACCGCTCTGGTGTGGATATTAATAGTGAGGGAGGCTATGCCTACGTGGGTGCAAGGGGTATACAGAAACTCTCTGTATTTTCCACTCAAGTTTGCTGTGAACCTAAAACTGCTCTTAAAAATAAAGTTAGGCCGGGCGCGGTGGCTCACGCCTATAATCCCAGCACTTTGGGAGGCCGAGGTGGGTGGATCACTTGAGGTCAGGAGTTTGAGACCAGCTTGGCCAATATGGTGAAACCTCATCTCTACCAAAAATTTAAAAATTAGCCGGGTGTCATGATGCACGCCTGTAATCCCAGCTACTCAGGAGGCTGAGGCAGGAGAATTGCTTGAACCCAGGAAGCGGAGGTTGAGCCGAGATCGCACCATTGCACTCCAGCCTGGGCGATAGAGCGAGACTCCGTCTCAAAATAAATAAATAAATAAATAAATAAATAAATAAATAAATAAATAAAGTTTAATAATCTAAAATAAAAATTAAAAAATGTTCTTGAAAAATACTGGGTTTTTTTGTTGTTGTTTTGTTTTTGTTTTTGTTTTTGAGACAGAGTCTCACTCTGTCACCCAGGCTGGAGTGCAGTGGTGCAATCTCAGCTCACTCCAACCTCCGCCTCCTGGGTTCAAGCGATTTTCGTGCCTCAGCCTCCCAAGTAGCTGGGACCACAGGTGTGTATCACCACACCCAACTAATTTTTGTATTTTTAGTAGCGATGGGGTTTCACCATGTTAGCCAGGCTAGTCTCGAACTCCTGACCTCAAGTGATCTGCCCTTCTCAGTCTCCCAAAGTGCTGGGATTACAGGCATGAGCCACTGTGCCTGGCCTTGAAAAAGTATTTGATGATAAGGTTATTCAAGACATGTGATGTACTATTAACTGGAAAAAGCAGAATATAAAAATATAAACTACAGTATGATTCTAATTTTGTTTTTAAAAAGTATATGGTAGCAAAATATTATCTAACAATTGGTGAATCTGGATGAAAAGGTACATAGGAGTTCATTATATTATTCTTGCTACTTGTGTGTAGGTTTGAAACTTTTTCAAAATAAAAAGTAAAAGAATTGAAAAAGGCCAGGTACGGTGGCTCATGCCTGTAATCCCAGCACTTTGGGAGGTCGGGGCAGGCAGATCATGAGGTCAGGAGATCGAGACCATCCTGGCTAACACAGTGAAACCCCATCTCCACTAAAAATACAAAAACTTAGCCAGGGGTGGTGGCGGGCGCCTGTAGCCCCAGCTACTCGGGAGGCTGAGGCAGGAGAATGGAGTGAACCTGGGAGGTGGAGCTTGTAGTGAGCCGAGATCGCACCACTGCACTCCAGCCTGGGTGACAGAGCGAGACTCCATCTCAAAAAAACAAAAAAGAATTGAAAAGAAGTGGTACATACATGTATTCATATGCCATTAGACAAGGCATAGAAAACACTACACTATTAATACTGGTTATCTCTGAGCGATGAGATTATGCACAATTTCGGAGGTTTGTGTGATTTCTTATATTCGCCAACATTTCTACAATAAACATGTTTGTAATCAGGAACATAGAGTTAATGTCATTTAAAAGCAATAACAAATGCAAGGGTCTAAGAAACCTAAGAACATTAATTTGAAAAATAACAAACCTCTTCAACTAAGCTATCAATGCCACCTGCTTTGTTGTTTTAACTTACCCATCACATTCATGTTCATGGCCTTTGTAACCTCTTCCATTCCTCCCAGCTTCCCCCAGGTTCCCGCGACCTCTTTTTCTTTTGCCTGGCAACCTGTCTCCCTATGCAGAGATGTTGAACACCGCCTAATTCCTTTGCTTGCATAACAAAGTTCCTCAGAATTTTCAACCACAAGTTCTTCCATTCCTCTTATCATTTTCTGCTCTTTAGAAAAACAAAGTGAGAACAACAGTGCTCTTGGAAACTAAAAATATGGACAGAGAGGGGAAAAACACCGATAGAAATTTGGAAGATAAAGTTGAGAAATTACCTTATAAAGCAAAAAAAAAAAAAAAAAAAAAAAAAAAAAAAAAAAAAGAAGAAGAAGAAGGAAAGATAAAGAGGGAGGAGACAGGAGATAAAAGGTCCAACATGAGAAGAAGAAAATGTTTCCCAAATTTCGAAGGACATTTTCTATTTTGAAAGGGCCTACTCAGCAAGTACCCATCACAACGAATTTAAAAAGACCTATTCCATGGACATCAGAACACCAGGGATAAAGAGAAGAGCCTAAAAGCTTCCAAAGAGACAGAAGACTTGAGAAAGTGTAAAGGACTGGGATATCAGAATAGCACTGGATTTAGTGATAACACTGGGAACTAGAAACAATTAATGATGCCTACAAAATTAGAAGAACAAATTTCCAACCTAGAATGCTATACTCAACCAAGCTATCAAGTGGGCAGGTGATATAAAGACATTCTCAGTCATTGTACCTCCCTTGACACTACAGTAGCCACCACTGATGTCCACCCCTGCAGCCACCCTCATTCTTCCTTGCTAACAAATTCAAATTTTATTCTGATATTAAGTGGCCATCTGTTTTGAAGGTGGGGCACCAGTCCCAAGAGGGTGAATTTATTAGCAGACGCCAGTTATGGCAATTCCAATCCCTTTGATACGACCCTGAGATGTGAAGTTGGCTAGGAGGTTTTGAGAAAATAATCTCCTGGCTTTTAAAAAGAGGCTCGGCCGGGCACAGCAGCTCATGCCTGTAATCCCAGCACTTTGGGAGGCCAAGGTGGGCAGAACACCTGAGGTCAGGAATTCAAGACCAGCCTGGCCAACATGGTGAAACCCCATCCCTACTAAATATAGAAAAATTAGGCCGGGCGCGGTGGCTCACGCCTGTAGTCCCAGCACTTTGGGAGGCCAAGGCGGGCGGATCACGAGATCAGGAGATCGAGAACATCCCGGCTAACACGGTGAAACCCCGTCCCTACCAAAAATACAAAAAAAAATTATCCGGGTGTGGTGGTGGGCGCCTGTAGTCCCAGCTACTCAGGAGGCTGAGGCAGGAGAATGGCATGAACCCAGGAGGCGGAGCTTGCAGTGAGCCGAGATTGCGCCACTGCACTCCAGCCTGGGGAACAGAGGGAGACTCCATCTCAAAAAAAAAAAAAAGAAAAAGAAAAAGAAAAATTAGCTGGGCGTGGTGGTGCACACTTGTAGTCCCAGCTACTTGGGAGGCTAAGGCAGGAGAATCGCTTGAACCCAGGAGGCAGAGGTTGCAGTGAGTGGAGATCAGGACACTGCACTCCAGCCTGGGCGACAGAGCATGACTTCATCTCCAAAAAAAAAAAAAAAAAAAAAAGAGGCTCACCAGAGAAAATGGTTCATTTTTAAACTTCCAGCTATTGTGGTCTGCATATGACACCAGAGACATGGCAGCTACCTTGCAGCTATCCCATGAAGACAAACCCTCACCTTAAAGAATTGAAAGTTGGCTCAAAGAAGGAGTTGAAAGTTGGAAAGAACCTAAGTCCTTGGAAATATTACTAAGCCTACCCTGTAGCCAGCCCTAACACCAGACTTATGAGTCAAAACGAAGTTCACTTTCTTGATGCCCAAGTCCTGAGTCCTCAGCACCTACAGGAGAAAGACTGGTTTCCCACTGTGCAAAGACCTGCTGCAGCCCTTAGGGTACTGCTCCCTGGAAACCCCAATTCTCATACCATGCTCACACAGGATTTTGAGGTGAGCGGGGCATCCTACCCACCAAGCAGAATGTCTTTGTGCACTAGGGCCAAGCTGGAGTCTGCAGATTAGAACCTGGGTCTCTGAAGAATAGGGTAGCTAAACCCTTCCAGGACTTCACATGGAACCCATCCATCAGTTAAGTTGTTGGAGGCAGAGGCGGGAAACCAACTTAGCTTTTAATTTTAATTATTCTTTAAGTCTTCATCACTTATCTCAGTCTAAGCAGAGTTTCTAGGCTGATCCAGATTTATGCTCCACAGAGGACTGCGTATCTGCATTGAAATCAGAAAACACTCTAAAAGGCAACGTGATATTTGTTTATTTGTACTATTAAAAACCACAGGAGAAAATACCTTATCTGGAAAAATAGTTTGAACTTTTACTCACCTCCTCAAATCTAAATTGATATCTAACACCCATTTTCCTTGCAAAACAATAGCCGGCAGTAGAAACAGAACGTTTATACTAAGAAATGTTACAGAAACCTGAGAAGAAATAAATACAGTACTTATTTTCTATGTACACTCACTTTCTCCTTTAACATCAAAGTGTGTTTATATTTTTAAACACTAAAGTGGAAAGAGTGATTTTATTAGGTTCACTCCACCCAAGTTCATTGCTACAATACCTGACTCTCTGCCAAGGTGCTTAGCCTATCGCTAGGAAGTCCTAAACACAGGCCTGTTTTTAAACACTTTCACCACTCCCTTAGCCTTTCCACTTTGAAAATATTGTCTGGTATCATGTTTACTTCTACATTTTAAACACTGTTTATATGTAGAAGTGTATTTTAATTATTGTCAGTGATTAATACTATTCTTACTATCTGAATGTAGATTATTCTATATTTCATTAAAGTTGAAAGTAATTATATTTGTGGTTGAGCTCTAACAACTGCACTAATAATACTAGTGATAAAAATGCACTCATAAATCAGTTTGTATAATTATTGATATGCATAATGACTAACAAAATTGCTTCCCCAATAACTCTAATGATATGAGAGTAATCACCTCCTCTCCTAAAAATAACACGCTACAAGCACAGAGAAGTCCCAACTTATACACGGATTCTGCATTGTCAATTATATGTGATGGGGTAAACTAAAAGAGAGTGACAGATTATCTGAGGTGGAATTAAATGATCAATGAGCCCTGAAAGACAGGGAGAGGAGAACATACACCTGCATGGTAAGAGTACATCAACGGGTGCCCCTCTAACACTCACTAGCTGATACTTTTAGCTCCAGATAACTCTGTTGCTTTCAGACCACTGGAGGCAGTAAGCTGTACTATGATGATCTTAGGGAGAGCAGATGCAAATAAATAATATGCTAAAGATTCAGTCACCTTATTCCTCTACAATACATTTACCTGCATTGGTATCTCTCATGAAACCTACTCAAATGCAGTCATGTCAGCAGTTGCCCACTGCAGCTGAGGTGGTCCCAATGCTTCAGGCTCAGAGCTGGCATACAGCACACCAGATCTGCTCAGTCTCAGAACTTAACTCCAAAACCCAGAGGCTGACAGAGCTGAGTTGCTGTTTCTAGAATGACTATCTCAAGAACCGGGCAAGGCATAATGGAACCCATTAGTAAATTCAGCAGAAGAAGGAAGAGGCAGGAAAATAAGAAGGGGGAATGTACTAGTCTGTCTTCATGTTTCTATAAAAAACTACCTAAGACTGGGTAATTTATAAAGAAAACAGGTTTAAGTGGCTCATGGTTCCATGGGCTGTACAGGAAGCATGGCTGAGGAGGTCTCAGGAAATTTACAATCATGGTGGAAGGCAAAGGGGAAGCATGCACATCTTCACATGGCCAGCAGGAGAGAGCAAAGGGGGAGGTGCTACACACTTTTAAACAACCAGATCTTGTGAGAACTCACTGTCACGAGAACAGCAAGGGGGAAATCCACCCCTATGATCCAATTACCTCCCACCAGGTCCCTCCTCCAACACTGTGGATTATAATTTGACTTGAGATTTGGATGGGGAAACAGAGCCAAACCATATCACGGAAGTTCAGTCTCATAATGAAAGCAAATCTCATAATTATTTTTGTTAACCATGCATTCCTCTGTTGACTCAACTAAGACTCAGGCTCTGGGAACTTAAAATGCACCAGGCTTTATCTATGTTAGGAGTTATGGGGATATAGAAAAATAAGGCATGATTTGGATTATTGGGGAGTTTGCAATCCAATGAGGAGAAAGATGAGTGTCTTAGTCACCTGGGCTCCTATAACAAGATACCACAGACTGGGTGGCTTTAACAAATATTTATTTCTCACAGCTCTGGAGGCTGGGAAGTCCAACATTACAGCTCTGGCAGATCTAATGCCTGGAGAGGCCCGCTTCCTGCTTTGTAGATGGCTTTTTGCTGTGCCTCACATGGTGGAGAGAGAAAAGAAAGGCACTGGTCCCCTTCTTCATATGAGGGCACTAAGCCCATTCATGAAGGCTCTACTCTCACGGCCTAATCACCTCCCAAAGGTCCTACCGCCTAATACCATGGCACCGGGGAGTTAGGATTTCAACATATGAATTTTTAACACAAATAGGCAGTCCATAACCACAAGAAAACAACTATTTAGTTTTGAATCAAATATTAGGTAGAACCACACAAAATTATGTTAATTGTGGTGAAAAACAGAAATATTTGTAGTCAAAGAGGTAGCCTGGGGCCGGGAGTGGTGGCTCACGCCTGTAATCCCAGCACTTTGGAAAGCCAAGACAGGCGGATCACAAGGTCAGGAGTTTGAGACCAGCCTGGCCAACATAGTGAAACCATGTCTCTACTAAAATACAAAAAGTAGCCGATGTGGTAGTGCATGCCTGTAATCCTAGCTACTCAGGAGGCTGAGGCAGAAGTTACAGGAGGAAGAGGTTACAGTGAGCTGAGATCATGCCACTGCACTCCAGCCTGGGAGACAGAGCAAGACTCTGTCTCAAAAAAAAAAAAAAAAAAAAAAGAGGGAGCTTGGAAAAAATATTCTGGGAGGTGATGGAACTGTTCTGAATTTTGATTGTGGTGGTTACATAACTTATTGCACTTATCAAAACTCTCAGAAACTGTACACCAAATAGAGTGAATGCTACCGTATGTAAATTTAAAAATAAATTTTAAAAGCAGCTGAATATCAGTAATTTCATACGGTTTAACTTAGTAGATGCGCCAGCTCAGGCAGACAGTTCTGCAGGATTGCAGGAAGCAGAGACGAACAGAGATTAATAGAGGAGTGATAGTCTCATGAACAACAACCATTTCATCAGAGCCTTGAAAAAATAAAGCCCTCAACAGTGAAGAAAAGAAGGGCAAGAAGGTAAATATCCTAGAGACAAGGACAGCACAAGCAGTCAAAAAGTTCTACAAACTCACAGCAGGTGTGGAGAATAGCAAATAGAGCAGTAGATAGTTCATGAAAGCAGGGGGATCACAAAAAAAAAAAGGGGGGTAGAATACGGAGGACTTAAAAGACCAGATTAAATACACTAGAATTTATTCTACAGTCAATGGCAAGTTAGTAAAGTGTTTAGACAAAGGACTGACATGACTAAATCTATTTTGGAAAGATAACCTTGATAAAAATATGGAGGATTTGTTGGTTGTGGGAGGTATCAGAGGCAGGAGAATGACCTACAAGGGTTTCTTAATTGGGGTCTGTGAATTTCTTAAAATGGTTGCAATATTGTGTATGTGCACACACATTTGTACATACACACATCTTTTTCTAGAAGGGGGTCTATGGTTTTCATTAGCTACTGAAGGAGTTCATAACCTCTAAAGGGTTAAGAACTTTAAGAACTGTATTGTTCAAGTGCATCAAGATGCAGCAGGAGTTAAGTTTGCAGTGAGCAGAATAAATTCAGAGACACTTATGAAGATCGCATTTCTGGACTTAAAAATAACTAGTGAGTGAGAGTGAGAGAGGGAGGATCTAAAGATGACAACAAAGTTTCTAGCTTGCTGACCTGGGAAGTGTTGAGGGAGAGGAAGGGAGAGGGAGGAAAAGGGGTATCATTACACTAAGAACAAAAAAATGATTTCACTTCAAAGAACTGAATATTTAACCTCTGCACTTGTGTCACTCTTAGCTCGAGATTTTCTTCTATTTTTATGGGCCAAAGTATTTCTGGCTAAAGAGAGAGATAAGATGTACTACAGAGGACCGTACTTGCATATGAAAATAAAAAGCAGATGAGAAAACAATCTTCAAAGCCTTTCTCAGAGTGAGTTCGCTCTCCGGAGGCTTGCTTTCCACATTCTCATGGCATTAGGAAACCTCAGGGGGATGGTATCTGCCTCTGTCACACAAGGGAATGAATGTAACATATAGTATTGGAATAAGCTGAAGATAGCCATCCAAACAGTATTAATATGTTTTAAACGTACAAAACATTTCATATGACTTGAGGATTTTTGTAAGTTAGAAATTCGACTCACTAGCATGGATTACACCTTAAATAAATATAGTTTCTTCCCTGGTGTTTTCATACATCATGGAGCAAATTTATGTTTCTTTGGTAAACATTTGCTTATTAAATAAACGTTTGCCTGAAGTTGAAAGGGGATGCTATATAGAGCTCCCCTAATTGCTCTGTTAGCTCATTTGACCTCCAGAGGCCCTGGGATCCAAAGAGCTGCACCCCCACCTCAGGAAGCCTGGAGAAAGCCAAGCAGCAGCAGGACAGTGAGATTTTGTTCAACAAATCTGTATTCATAGCCAGATACTATAATGGGGGTTGGAAAATACAAAGATGTGAGGGGCTCTCAGCTTGTCTGTAATGAAGTGATCAGGGCAGGGCAAGAGTGTCAGATTCAGTCATGTAGGAGCAGCCCTGTGCAGAAAGAACCCCACGGCCAGGGAGGGAGGCTCCAGGGAACATATGGCTGTCACCATATGGGAGTCGAGAGGGCTGAGAAGAAAGACCTCCGGGGAGAGTATCTGAGGCTTCCTAAATGCTCATACCTCAATTTATAGCAGAGTGCTGTCACCTGAATTCCACTCACACTGCTCTGCTGGGTCTCCTCACTAAAGCAAGCACACCCACTGAGAACTACGGCACGCTTGGGCCATCTGGCCCCTCTCCCACACCCTGCAACACACACACATACACACACACACGCACGCACACACATGCATGCACACACAGGCACACACTCACCAACTGAGGTCTGTGAACAATACAACCTCAGTCAGTTGCACTGTTTCATTTGTACATATTACCGTAACCAACAAATGACTGCAAAAAAACTGTTGTTCAATGAATACTCTGGAAATGCATGATGGAGGTAGACTGCTAAAAAAAATGCTGCCAAATCAGGTGTGAAAGACATTATCTGTAAAAAGGAGGAAGGAAAATTGTTAAAAAGAAATCTACCAGATTTCCAGGTGTCCTTAAGTCCTTCCAACTGTAATACGGCTGTGGTTAACAGAAAAACAAAGATGTGGAATAAGGCAGATCCATATTAAAAGAAATAGCCTGGGACTTCTGTCAAATAACTGGTGAGTAAATGTGCATTTCTGTGTATGTAATTAAAATAAAATGTTTAAGGAATATATGGATCATTTTTTTTTGAGATTCTGTTTACTGGCCAACTACTATAAGAATTAACCAAAAACCTAATGATTCCCCAATTCCTCTTCTACATAAATTTAACAACCTCCCACTGTCAGCCAACATCACTCCCATTACCAGTTAAACTCCCTTCCAACTGGAAAATCATTGCTCTGTTACTGGTCTTTATCAAAGATGATTTCCAAACCATACAATCTCATTTACTGTGATGTAGATTTAGCTTTACTTGTTAAAAAGGATTTTATACTAAGATTTAAACCTTAACCATTGCCAAATCTTCCTTCAGTTTGCCCAGTAAGATTTCATACAACCTAGAAAAGAATTTAGAGCCTGAATAAATATATGAAGTGCTCTAGCAAAGCACTTTCTTAGTGTTTGTCATCAATTATATTCCAGTTGCAAAATTTTAGATATTGAAGATCATTTCAAAAAACTTTTAAAATTAAAATTTGAATGCAAAGTATGTAGCTACTACTTTCTTTGTTTTGGTATATGGCAATGTAAGATACTAGAGAGTAAAACATTCAAGTTGTAACTACTGAAATTAAATTTGATAAGAAACTTGTCCTTTTATTGAATAATTACTTTATTCATGTTTTTTGAAAAATGTATTCAGTTGGAGGAGCTGTCCTCTTTTTAAAACTGATGCTTTAAAATCCACGTTATAAAAACATTACTAGGCCAAGGCGGGCGGATCACCTGAGGTCAGGATTTTCAGACCAGCCTGGCCAACATGGTGAAACCCCGCCTCTACAAAAAATACAAAAATTAGCCGGGCGTGGTGGCAGGCACCTGTAATCCCAGTTACTCGGGAGGCTGAGGCAGCAAAATCACCTGAACTCGGGAGGTGGAGGTTGCAGTGAGATTGCGCCACTGTACTCCAGCCTGTGCGACAAGAGCAAGACTCTGTCTCAAAAAAAAAAAAAAAAAGATCATAGCTCTTTCTTCAGTGTCTTAAAATATCAATATATTAGTATATAATATATCTCTAGCATTTTTGTAAGGTCTCAGAAGCCCTATGAAATGCTCTGGGTTGGCACTTGATCTTTACACACAGGATTCAACATAACAGAGCAACTTGAGAAGACAGAACTGGATTTCCTGAATGGGTAATGAGCTCCCTTACATTTAATTCACTGGAGGCTAACATCATCCTTAATTAAAAAAGAAAAAAAAAGGTACTATTAAAATTACATTTACTTCCTACAATAGAAAGCCAAAATGGAAACTACCAGAGCTTCATGAATTTTAAAGCCCTACGCAAACGTTGTTGCACAAATACAATTTCCTCTAGTCCTAGAAGTTTTGCTCAAGTTATATTAGCTCCATACAACCTGACCTACTTGTTCTAAAATATTTGGTTGCAATTCAAAGATGGGATTCTTTCTTATGGATCCCACATTTATAGAGCAAATGTACCTAAATGTTAATATATGTTCATCATAAATTAGATTAAAAACTAACTCAGGTTAATTTTAGTATGTCATTATACAGTATTAACTAAACAATTAGGATAAACCACTACAAAACAGTGAGCTGTGACATCATAGAGCCACTTCCTTTCAAGCCCTACCCTTAATCCACTCTTCCACCTGCCAATACACACACATGCACGTGTGCACATACGCACACAGAACCCCCCCTCCACCACCACCTTTCATGGTGTATTTTTCAACCCCTTTAGAGAATTGACAAGGATAGAAGACATTTAAGATTAAGGTCCATAAAGTATTCATTATTGTTGTTTTCTGCTTTCTTTAAGAACTGTCTCGTCCTATCAGGACACACAGCTATGCTAGCTCAGCTGTAAACGAAAGGATACGACCTTGAAGGTGTCTATAGCTCACTGGTTTTAGATGCCGACTCCACATCTTCATCACAGCTCCTAGGTGGTGGCTGCACTGATGTGTACAATAAGATAAACTGAATCGCTAGCTGAAATAAGCATTTTGAATTTTCATTTGTATGTGAGTGGATTCAAAAGATTAAAGTGCTATATCCATAATTACATGCTCACTACTATTAAAAATACCTAAGCTAACTTCTAATTAAAAGGGTGGATAGTACATGTGTATTACCTCCTCTCCCTCCTGAACCCCTGCCAAAAACAATATATAAGGCCACAAAGAAGAAAAGATCCAAGTGAACAAGAGATGCAACACTTTTCAGAAGATGGAAAATGAATACAGAAGTAGTTATAGGATGAGAAATAGCAGAGGCTACAGAGGGGAAGACCACACAGAAACAAATTTGCTCTGCAACCCAGGCTCCAGGCTTAGGGGAGCAGGACCCAACCACAAAGGGAATAGTAGGGTGGGTGTAGGGCTGAGAACAGGGGAGTGAATGAATGCCAGCATATGCAACACTTGGATCCCCAGATCCTGCACAGACACTTTCTCCCCTGACCTGCAGAGACAGTTTCTCCCAGGAAAAGAGCTGGCTTGCTCAAGAGCTTCCAATTTGCTTCCTAGTGACTCACTGGGTTTTCTGGTGGTAAAATACACATAACATAAAATTTACCATGTTAGCCATTTTAAAATAAACAGTTCAGCGACATTAAGTATACTCACACTGTTGTGCAACCGTCACCCCCATCCATCTCTGGGACTTTTTCATCTTCCCAAACTGAAACTCTGTACTTATCAAACACTAACTCCTCACTCCCTCTTTCCCCCAAACCCCTGCCATTCTACTTTCTACTCTATGACTCTGTCTACTGTAGGTACCTCATGTAAGAAGAATCATCCAGTATTTGTCCTTTTATGACTGACTCACTTCACGCAGCATAATGTCCTCAAGGTCCATCCATGTTGTAGCATGTGTTAGAGTTTCCTTCCTTTTTAAAGCTGAATACCACTCTATAGTATGAATATACCACATTTTATTTATCCATTCATCCATCAGTGGGCACCTGGGTTGCTTCCACCTTTTGGCTATTGCGAATATCGCCGCTATGAAATTGGGTGTACAAATACATCTTTATATCCCTGCTTTCTAGTGACTCACTCTTACATGTGAACAGATAACTAAGGATCAGAGGACTTTTTAGGAAAACTTCCCAACGTTAAAGACAGAAACCAAAATAAATAAGGAGGAAGGGCTCTTGAAAATTAAAATGGTATAGGCCAGGAGCAGTGACTCACGCCTGTAATCCGAGTACTGTGGGGGACCAAGGCGGGTGGGTTGTTTGAGCTCAGGAGTCCCAGACCAGCCTGGGCAATGTGGCGAAACCCCATCATTACAAAAAATTACAAAAAAATTAGCCAGGTGTGGCGGCACATGCCTGTAGTTCCAGCTACTCGGGAGGCTGAGATGGGAGGATCACCTAAGCCTGGGGAGGTCGAGGCTGCAGTAAGCTGAGATTGTGCCACTGCACTCCTGCCTGGGTGACAGAGTGAGAACATATCTCAAAAAAAAAAGTATAAATAAAAAAGGTTAGATGGGTTGGAAAATAAAGTCATAGAACTTTCCCAGCAAATAGCGTAAAAAGAGAGATCAAACATAGTAGAGAAAAGATAATAATCAATGAAGATGGTCCAACAGCAAATTTATAGGATTTCTAGAGAGAAGAAAGGTGTTTATCAAATAAACTACGGGAGATATTTCCTCCCAAAACGATATTGGTATCCACATTCAAAGGGCCTTCCAAGAGGCTTGCAAAGATGAAAATAGACCATACAAGGCACATCGTGGTGAAATGTCACCATGCCGGGAATAAAGACGCTAAAACCTTCCAGAGCAAAAAGCAGGTCATGCAAAGGTTTGGGACACAGAATAGTATCAAAGGTCTCAATAGCAACATTCAGATGCTAGAGCAGAACAATGTTTTTCAAATTCAGAGAACAATACCTTTTAAGCTAGAATTCTGTACCTAAGCAAATCATGAATCAAAAAAGAGGCAAACAAGGTCTCCATCAGAGGAGAGGAGCAGAAAAGTCCCAGGAACAGGGGCAGCAGGCCCAGAGGGCATTAGGTTGGTGGGCACAAGGGCACAGGAGATGAAAGCTTCTGGCCTCACACTATGGGTCTGTAGCTTTGTTTCTGATTGATTCATGCAGTCATACAACAGTGTTTTTTGTCTATTATGTATCAGGCACTCTTCCCTTCTAAGTGCTGGGAACAGAGGTGAAAAAAACAAAAGTTCCTGTCCTGGTGCAGTTTTCATTCTAAGGCGGGAGAGGGACGATAAACAAATATACCTTGTTAGGTAATGTCCTATGAGGAGAATAAGCAGGGAAAAGGGATAGAGTGTAACCAGGTGGAGTGCTAGACTGGAAAGACCAGAGGTGACCTTGGAGACCTGAGTGCAGTGAGGGAGAGAGCCCTGGGCATTTTGGGGGTCTGGAGAGAGAGCTCTTAGGCAGAGGGACTTCAGGACCAGCTGCCCTCATCAGCCTGGCCTCCTGACAGGCATTCTCCAATGGACAAGATTTTCTCTTGCTCCCAGCCTGTTCATTTCTTCTGGACCCTCTGGGAAACAACTCTGCCTGGAGGCAGATGGCAGGGCTAAGCAGCCCCAATTACCACATGGCTGGGGCCCTATTGGGCCAGTCCTCTTTCCCCTTCCCAGTGGGGAGACGACACAAGACTCTGCAAGAGAGATGGGACCCCAGAAGACAGAAAGGATGCAAGTGGTTGAGTGCTAAGGTGGTAAGTCCAGGCCCTGAAGCCATCTAGGCAGACACAACATCTGACACTTACACTGCTCTTTCTGTGCATTTTCACAAGCAAGAGAGGCAGAACAGGTACCACCATCATGCACAGATGCCGAAACTGGGGCACTGCCAGGTAAGGAACCTGCCCAGGGTCACAGAGCCTGTTAGTTACAGTACGAACTCTCACTGAGGCCTGCTTCAGAGACCAGTGCTAGGTCAAAACCAAACGTAAACATGTTTTTCTTGTTACTTTTCATGTTTTCCATACAGGTAAAAATAAAGCCCAAGTTGTAAGTGGTTCATGAGAACAGAAGATCTTTTTATTTAGCATTTCACAAAATATAAGGCTACTCCTCTTGAGACTTCACCTTGAGCTGTAATTTTCTAGCTACCCATGGGTCAGAGACAGGCACTAGAACTTGGTTAGACTTACTCCACCTCAGATTAGGAGCAATTACCGTTTGGGAAAAGAAAAGCAAACTGAAGGATGGAACAGTCTACCTAGAAGATGTTTCAACGATCGGATAACTAGCATTATGACTAGTTCCCCGCCAGAATATGCCGCCTCAGCCTTCCCTTCCAAACGCTGCAATCTCCTTTCCGTTACCTATCTTCGGGGTTGCAGTTTTGTTCTAAGAGCAGAGGAGCATTTGCATCTGCGGGGCGAAGGTGCTGAGTGGGAGGAGCGGCCACTGCATGCCCACAGAGGAAGCTGCTGTGACAGCCCTGCTGCTCCTGCTGAGCAAGGGAACTAGAGTGGCCCAGTCTCCACCTGGGTCTGGCTCCGTTCCCGAAGCTGATTCAGGAATTGAGTCATCATTCGCAACCTGAAGTCAAGGAACATCTTAGTTAGATTTAAAACACTGTATTTCAATAATATCTAACAGTTTAAAAATACCCCCACATTTAACCCTCAGCATTCCTGCGTGAGGGAAACACAGTGGTGCCTGCAATTTACTTGAAATGAGTAAAACATGTGAAATGGACAGATGGATGGATCGGCAGATACGTGATAAAACAAAGTAAAAGAATAAAGGTAGAATTCAGGTATTGGATATATGAGCGTTCCCTGTAAAATTCTTTCAGCTTTGTTGTAGTTTTGAAATCTTCATAATAAAATGTCAGGGAGAGTGGGAGGGAGGGACTCTCCCATCATCCTGGATTATTTCAATATCCATGTGAATGATTAATTCAACAACCCAGCCTCAAGCTTCCTGGCCCTCTGAATGCCGGCACTCTCCCGTCACCTCCTGGACCTTACCTCACTTAAAACAGTCCTGCCTTGATCTTAAACTATCTCTTCAGACCAGATTCCTTTCATTCCAGCTCACTGCCTCATAGGTGCTTCCGCTTCAGGAAGGTATCTACACCTAAACCCTCCATTTCCCCGTGACTTCTGGTGCTTCTGTATCCAACAGAGATTTATCAGCCCCCTCAGCACCTTCCCTGCAAACCTGCAGGGCCAGCCACTGTCAGGGAAGAGGAACACAGGGGCAGGAAACAACCTCACAGCCCCTGCCTGCAGCAAGCTCATCTGGAGCTGCGAGTAGGGACGGAGGAGATGTGTGGGCACAGCTCTCACGGGGCTTTGCTGCCATGGTTCCTGTGGGCTTGCCTGTGCTTCTCTCCCCTGCTGGATCCCCTCTTTTCCACCGCTGCATCTTCCCAGATAGCTCAGTTTACTCTCATTTTGATGGATCATATTTTTCAACAGCTTAAACAGTTTTTATTATGAAGTATTTTAAATATAATCAAAAGAAGAGAGAATGGTATAATGAACCCACATATACCCATTCTCAACAGTAACAAGAGTCTGGCATATTTGCTTCATTATCCCATTTTTTTTCTTTTTCTTTCTTTCTTTTTTTTTTTTTTTCCATGACGGAGTTTTGCTCTCGTTGCCCAGGCTGGAGTACAATGGCGCGATCTCGGCTCATTGCAACCTCCGCCTCCTGGGTTCAGGTGATTCTCCTGCCTGAGCCTCCCGAGTAGCTGGGATTACAGGCATGCACCACCCCGCCCAGCTAATTTTTCCATGTTTTTAGTAGAGACGGGGTTTCACCATGTTGATCAGGCAGGTCTCAAACTCCTGACCTTAGATGATCCATCCGCCCTAGGCTCCCAAAGTGTCGGGATTACAGGTGTGAGCCACCGCACCCGGACTTTTTCTTTTCATTCTTTGCTCAAGTATTTTAAAGGAACTCAGACTTCTTCAGTGTGCCTCTCTTAAACTCCAGGCCTGTAATCCCAGCACTTTGGGAGGCTGAGGTGAGAGAACTGCTTGAGTCTAGGAGTTTGAGACCAGCCTGGTCAACATAGTGAGGTCATGTCTCTACAGAAAATTTTTAATCTGTTTTCAAATGTATTTGCAGAGTTGTGCAAATTAAAATATAAGAAATTAATGCAAAGGTCAGCTACAGCTAAAGTTGCTGTCTATTAATTTGATATTTAGTAGTTTTCATTTGTAAATTAACTAACTCTTAGACTGCAAATAAACATTTTTGTAAAGGGCTATGTTTTTAAGTTTCTAAGAAAATCTTCAGTTAGCAGTTTAGAGTCTTCTAAAATTAAAGTAGAAAGAAATAATTGGTGTGAAAATGCAAGGGTTAGCTGTGTTAGAAAATGTCTAATTGAGGGTTGTAAGTTTCTTCTATCTTGAGAAGAATAAATATTTTGAAGAGTAACATTGAAGGTGGCATGTTTAAAAGAAATTAAATGGTTATTATAAACCACAGGAAAAATAGTAGAAAGGAAATGGTAACAGAACAATCAAAGAAAAGCATAATGGGATAATAAACAGGTTAACAGTGTAATAATGATAATTAACAGTAACAAGATATTGTTAAAATTTTAATTAAACTTAAAGCAGCAGCAGGAAATACTGAAAAATAAAATACTTGGCTACATAAAAATGTACACTTCTACTTACTTCTAACCTTATAAATTCTAAAAGAAAAAACACAAATGGTAAAACACATATGAAAAAACTTTAATCTGAACAGTGCAAAAAATGCTAACAATAACACTAATGAACAATTTTTCACACTGCAAATCACCACAGATTAAGAAGACTGACATTTTTAGTGTGATGAAGACAAGTTCCTTCCAGCTTTTGGGAAGGCAGAGTGGCACTCTGTGTCAAAATGTAAACTGACCATACCCCTTCACCCACCAAATCTATTTCTAGAAATTCACCCACAAAAGACAATCACATAAATGTTCAAAGATCTATCTATTGAAGCAGTTTTCAAAAGAGTGAAGATTAGGAAAGACTTATCCACTAATAATGGATAGGGTAAATAAACAGGTACATTCACAAAAATGACTACTGCTACAGTCACTGAAAATGTAAGGATGCTGGAGAAAGTCACATAATAAAGAAAATCAGTGCCACTATAATTCATGATCACTGCTCCCAAATGGGTCCTCAATTCCCTTTCTCTAACCGCAGACTCACAGGCCCTTCTGCTGATGTGATATAAGCTCTCCTATCAGCAATAAACAGGAATGAAGTATTGATACATGCTACAACATGGATGAACCTTAAAAACAGCATGCAAAGTCAAAGACCAGACACAAAGGACCATATATTATATGATTCTATTTACATGGAATATCCCAAATAGGAAAATCTATAAAGACAGTAGATTAGTGGTTGCAGACTTGGGATGGAGGTAGTAGGGGGTGACAGCTGGTAATGAAAATACTCTAAACATGACTGTGGTGATGGATGCATATTCAACTCTATGCATGTAGTAGTATATTCAACTCTGTGAATATAGTACAAGCCACTGAATTGTACACTTTAAATGAGTGCATTGTATGGCATTTAAATTCTCTCAATAAAGCTGTTAAAAACCAAAAGCTCTCCCATATGTGGAATGTTTGCGTGACCCCTGCCACCTGAGTACCCTCATGCTTACAGCTAAACATGCCTATGTGTTATTCTAATGTGTGTGAGTTTCACCACTGGCATGCAACAAATCAGCTCTATATTCATTTGTTACTCCACCTTTCTAAAAAGCTATCTGACATATTGACAGTACATAATGACAGCTAAAATTTCTTATCCTTTAATTCAGAGGTGATCTTTTTGAAACCTTTAATAAGGAAATACAAAAACTAAATCTGTCACCCAAACTGGAGTTCAGTGGCACAATCACTGCTCACTTCAGCCTCAACCTCTCTGGGCTCAAATGATCCTCCCATCTCAGACTCCCAAGTAGCTGAGACTACAGGCACACGCCACCACACCTAGCTAATTTTTGTAGAGACAGGGTTTTGCCATGTTCCTCAGGCTGGTCTCAAAACTCTGAGATGGGCTCAAGTGATCTGCCCATCTCGGCCTCCCAACATGCTGGGATTACACGGATGAGCCACCATGCTCAGCCAATAATTTTTATAATTGGAAAAAACTGCAAAAAATCTAAATGTTTAACAATAGAAGAATCAATAAACCATAATATGCCCATACAAGAGATAGCAAAAAGACATTAAAATGTTTTCAAAGAATATGAACTATAGAGTGTTCATGATGTATAAGTGAATAAAGCAGAACATAAAAGTGTATATATAATGTGATCCCTTTTATGTATATTATACATTTCTACAACAACATGGATGTGGGAGCACCTACTGCCTTCTCTGAATACCATCCCTTTCCTTGAGAGCCACTGTCTTGGTGTAATGTGACCACACTGCCTAGTCTCAGGAGCAGGGGCTAATCTGGGGATGGGGTGGGCTAATGACAGGCTCTTTCCCAGAAATCTCAGCCATGAGATTCAACTTGGTTGCTCTCCTAAACGGAGATCTTAACCTAGGGCCGGTTTGCAAGTCAGCTGCAGTTAGCTGTTATCTAAGGAATGCTGGGAATGCTGGTAGGGGCTAGGCCCACGGGGCAGCTCTGACTCCTCCCCATAGTCTCAGTGCTTAAATTCCAAGGTTCTTAGCTTTTGCTGAAATGCTGGAGCAGGAAGTCTCCCAGAATGCAGTGGCTGTGAACAGCAAGGCTAATCCCATGGGAATGGTGGCTGTGTCTACCTGTGCCAGCAGTTCCCTGTAGCATCTTCTTGTTGAACCCACTCCAGTCACAGGAAATAATCAGAGAGCTGATTATGCTATGCAAACAACCAGGGGTTGTGGCAGTCTACAATTTCCAACCACTTGTCTAAAGCGTGATTCAGAGGGGCAGCAACCAGTCCTGGTCACCACAAGCTGTTACACTTTCTGCAGGCTGGGTATGCAAAATTTACCTTTCTTTCAGAATATACTGTATAATTTTACTTGGAATTCTTATTCTACTCTCACAGCATGTTCCAGATGTCACACAGCATGAGGAAGCAAGTGCTCTCCAGCCCAGGATCTGATAGCACCCACATCTTTGAGGACTGAGGACAGAGGGCATCGGGAAGCCCTGACAACTCTGGCACATCTGCCACCACGTGTGTGGTGAGGTCATGAGGGCAGACACTCAGGCGCTACTCCTCTTCTTCTCCTGGTTACTCAAGAAAGCTACTCAGTACTTCCATACCTGAGTTTCCTCATCTTCAAAAGGGAGGTTACACCCTCTAAGCCGTGGCATTCACCAAGAGGCTGGGACATTATTCTTAGAAATACACAAATACAGGCACCCTTTTTTCTAGTATGGGCTGTTCTTAAAGGTATGTGTCACACTGAGTCAGCAGGCTCCTGGGTCCATAGGCAGGTCAGCAGTCTCTGACACATTCTCCTTCAGCTCTTCTGACAGGTAGATCTTCCATTTTTACAGCTTTATGGAAGGATATTTCACAGACCATAAAATTCAACATTGAAAGGGTAAAGTTCAACGCTTTTCATTATTGACACAAGCAGATCTTGACTGTCACAGAGAGAAAGATAAAAAACAAATTAGCTCCTTTCTCTAGTGGCCTGCATCCTCTGTTCCCTGCCATCTCTTAATCTTTCCCTCCAGTAATGTTTGCCTGGGCATCCCCTCTAACCCGCAGCCACTTTCAGACCCCTCAGCAGCACCTCCTGGTGGCCAGCAAGACTTGGAGGGAGGGAGCCGCCAGCTAGTGCAGCAGTTAGCTCACCATGCCAGGACCCACACTCCCCCCAGTGGAATAAGCTCTATGCTCAGACAACAGACTTTATGAAAACCAAAGAAACAAGGATAAAAATGAGGTGAAAGAAATAGAAGTGTTCTTGTGAACTTTTAAAGTACAGTAAATAAGTCTAGAGTTTATAAGCAAAAGCTGATATTTTTTTAAAAGAGCTTTACTGCATAATCTTTATCCTTATTCCCACAAGCAGTCAAAAATCCCACAACCACATGAACCTATCAAATAGTAAAGAAGCATTTGGGAACAAGAGCTAGGCGCAGAAGCTCACACTTGCAATCTTAGCACTTTGGGAGACCGAGGCGGGTGGATCACCTGAGGTCAGGAGTTCAAGACCAGTCTGGCCGACATGGTGAAACCGTCTCTACAAAAAAATGCAACAAATTAACCGGACATAGTGGAGCATGCCTGTAATCTCAGCTACTCGGGAGGCTGAGGCAGGAGAATTGCTTGAACCCGGGAGGTGGAGGATGCAGTGAGCCGAGACTGCGCCATTGCACTCCAGCCTGGGTAACAAGAGCAAAACTCCATTTCAGAAAAAAAAAAAAAAAAAGTATTTGGGGACAAGAAATGAATTAATATGTGTGACGGACAATGACTTAATAATACCTAATCTGGTTCTACTTTCTTCATCTTGATTTCTACTTTTGATTGCTTCTTATTGTAAGGAATATTTTCAAGACATATTTTCTGTTTCTCATTTATTTTTCACTGGTCATATTTTCTAATCCTGTCTTCACTTTGGTGTCTTCTCTGGATTTTAGTAGTGAAAATGACTGACACGTTTTGAAATAAATGTTAAAAAGATAAAAAGAAAAACTCTTGCCTGAAAAATTACCCTAGTATTCAAGCTACTTGTGTAAATTACAGAAATTTAAAAAAAACTCTAGATAATATAATTATCAGATAGAAGTTCTACAATGAGTACATTTGAAATTATTAAAGACCCAAAGAAATAAAAATCCCAGGGAACAAAAGGTAAATACAAAGCATAGAAAAACATGATAGTGAGGTGGGTGCATCACCTGAGGTCAAGAGTTCAAGACCAGCTTGGCCAACATGGTGAAACCCCATCTGTACTAAAAATACAAAAATTAGCTAGGCGTGGTGGCGCATGCCTGTAATCCCAGCTATTCAGGAGGCTGAGGCAGGAGAATCGTTTGAACCTGGGAGGCAGAGGTTGCAGTGAGCTGAGATCACAGCACTGCACTCCAGCCTGGCTGACAAAGCAAGACTCTGCCTCAAAAAAAGGAAGGAAAGAAAAATATGATAGAAATATATCCAAGTACATCATAAATCACAAGTATAAATAAATAAAATGTGTCCACTTAACTGGATGAAAATTTAGACCATGTAAAAAGAAAAGTAAACCCCACAAAATCCATAGAGACACATGCAGATACACAGAGGTTAAGAGAAAAAGAGGAAAAAATAAATATACTGGAGGAATTTAGATTCTGAGACTGAAGGATGAGATAATTCAGATTAACTCCCCCTCTGAACACAACTGGAAAAAATATAAAGGATATTTTCTTGAAGGCATTATAGAATCAAGAAGATGGTAAAGAATGGCCAAGCCAAGATCCTGGAAGAATGGAGGTCTGAGAAGGTGAGCCACGCATATGGGGCCATCTTCCCCTTGGGGCACCTTCTGATTCTGGAGAGCATCGCTGAGCAACAAGGACTCCATCCAGGGCTGAAGGCACATAAATTGGAATCCAAGGCCCCCGAAAGCCAGGGAGCTTGGTTAATTTGGACTGGGATCCTGAAGGGGTACTCTTTAAAAGCAAAGACCAACCAGAAGTTGGCAGGCCCTCATAGGCACTGCAGCTTAGTTCTGAATCATTTCAGTCCTTGAAATCGGACTGATGTTAACCCAGATTGCTACTGCTGCCAAGTGCCCACCAGAAACAAACACAAACCCATCTCGGAGGAGAAATATCTATCATCCTAGACCTCAATTTATTTTTACATTTTTTCAATCTTTAGATAACTCAATCAAAAATAACCAGGCATACAAACAGGCAAGATTATATAGAAAAAAAAAACCACTAGTAGACACCACAAGCAACAGAAACATACCCACAATTGCTCTAGATTTAGAGCAAAAGAACTATGTTTACTATATTCAACAAGATAAAAGACGAGATTGTTTTGGCAGAGAACTGTAAACCAAAAGACGAACCAATAAACTTGCAGAGAGGCTCAATATCATTAGTAGTTAGGGAGATGCATATTAAAACTAAAATAAACTACTAGTACATCCCAACTATGATGGCTAAAAATTTTTTTAAGTGACAACGACAAGTGTTGCTAAATATATTGAGTAATTCTCATAAGCTGCTGGTACAACTATAAATTGTTTAAAGCCATTTTAGAACTGTTCGGCAATATCTAATAAAACTGAACATATGTGTAACCTATGATGCAGTGACTCTATGGCAAGGTTATACATCCAACAGAAACTCATGCACATCTACATCAAGAGACATAGACAAGATAACTCCTACTCGCAAAATCTGATCACTAGAAGGAAAAATAGATAATCTTACTCTCACAATAGTAGAGTTAAAACACACACTTGTCGGCCGGGCACGGTGGCTCACGCCTGTAATCCCAGCACTTTGGGAGGCCAAGGCGGGCAGATCACGAGGTCAGGAGATCGAGACCATCCTGGCTAACACGGTGAAACCCCGTCTCTACTAAAAATTCAAAAATTAGCTGGGCGTGGTGGTGGGCGCCTGTAGTCCCAGCTACTCGGGAGGCTGAGACAGGAGAATGGCGTGAACCCAGGAGGCGGAGCTTGCAGTGAGCCGAGATCTCGCCATTGCACTCCAGCCTGGGCGACAGAATGAGACTCCATCTCAAAAAAAAACCAAAACAAAACACACACACACTTGTCTCAATAAACTAATTGATCAAGTAGAGAGAAGCTGAATAACAACCAATAAACCCAATCTAAAGGAAATATGTAGATCCAACTAGAGAACCCATTATTTTCAACTCCACAGTCATTAAAGAAAAAGAAAAAATGCAAATTTCAACAATGATCAAAGAATCTTTATCATACAATTTACATTATTTAAACCCAATAAAATCAGAAATCAAGGACAAAAAAAATCTTGGAAATTTATGGACATAGTTTTAAAAAATCACAGGTCAGAGATGAAACCATAAAGGATATTAGGAAATACTTACAACTTTAATGACAATGAAAGCACTAACTATTGAAATATATGGGATTCAGCTAAACCACTACTTAGAGAGAAATGTGGAGTTTTATGTGTGTATTAGAAAAGAAGAAAGCCTGAAAACCAATAATTTAAATGTATGACTCGGGCTGAGTGCTGTGGCTCAGGCCTGTAGTCCCAGCTCTTTGGGAGGCCGGGGGAAGTGGATGACATGAGGTCAGAAGTTTGATACCAGCCTGGCCAACACGGCAAAATCCCATGTCTACTAAAAATACAAAAGTTAGCTGGGTGTGGCGGTGCATGTCTGTAATTCCAGCTACTCAGGAGGCTGAGGCAGAAGAATCGCTTGAACCAGGGAGGTGGCGGTTGCAGTGAGCTAAGATGGCGCCACTGCACTCCAGCCTGGGTGACAGGGCGAAACTCTGTCTCAAAATAAAATTAAAAATAAATAAATAAATAAATGTATGACTCAAGAAGTCAGAAAAAGAACAAGAGTATAAGATAACAGGGGCAGAAATTAATGAAACTTGAAACAAAAAAAAAATCCTGATTTTTAAAACAGCAGCAAAACTGAAAGCTGCCTTTTTGAAAAGACTACAGGAAAATAGAGAAGGCATAAATAGGAATGAAAAAATGATTACAACTACAGATACAGCTGACATTTTTGAAAAAGAATACTATGAACAACTTTATGCAATACAACTGAAAATTTAGGGAAAAGTGGACAATTCCAAAAATAAGTAACATTAAAATTCAGTCAAGAAGAAATGTAAAACTTGAACAAACCTACTAAAGAAATTGATCCAGTAGTTAAAAACCTATTCCCTCAAAATAAACTAAAAATAAACAAATAAAACCCTGGACACCTGCCCTAGATGGTATTATCAGCAAATCATATCAAACATTCAAAATGCAGATAATCTCTATTTACACAGACTATTACAGATGACAGAAAAAGAAATTATTCCCAACTCATATAATGAAGCTAAGAAAACCCAAAAACCAAGCCAAACAAGTACAGCATGAACATCTCACTTACTAACAGATTTTAAAAACCTAAATAAAATGTTAGAAAATACAATTTTACAAAATCTTAGGCAACACCATTGTCAAGTACAAGTTATCCAAGTAACACAAAACAATATCATACTAGAAAATACTTTAGTATGATTATTTAATTCATCACATTGACGGACTAAAGGAGAAAAACTGCATTATCATCTTAACAGGTACAGGAAAATCACTCTTTAAAATTCAACACTCATTCCTGATACAAACACCTAGCAAACCAAGACCAACAGAGGATTTCTCTAACCTGATAAAGACTACCTACAAAAACATACAGCAGTCCCTTTAAAATCTGGACTAAGATAAGGGTGCCCACTATCAATCACAGCCTCCATTCAATACTGTGCTGAAGTGCCTGACATGGAAGTAAGACAAAAAGGACTGGCGTAAGGATTGGAAAGGAAGAGGCAAGTCTGTCATAATGTGCAGAGAATAGGAAAGTCTACACAGAATAACTAAGAAAATCTATAAGTTATTAGAATTAAAATGAAAGGTTCCTGGTTATAACCTGAAAATACAATAGTCAGTTACATGTCTAGACATGAGCATAAAAATAAAAATATACAGCTGACACTTGAACAATGTGAGCGTTAGGAGTGCTGACCTTCATGCAGTCAAAAACCCACCTATAACTCCTGACTCCCCCCAGAACTTAACTACTAATAGCCTCCTGTTGACCAGAAGCCTTACCAATAACATAAATAGTCGATTAACACATATTTTGTATGTTATATGTATATACCGTATTCTTACAATAAACTAGAGGAAAGAAAATATTGTTAAAAAAATCATATAGAAGAGAAAATATAGTTACTGTTCATTAAGTGGAAGTGGATCATATAAAGGTCTTCATTCTTGTTGACTTCACATTGAGTAGGCTACAGAGGAGGAGGAAGAGGAGGGGTTGATCTTGCTGTCTCAGGGGTGGCAGAGGCAAAAGAAAATCTGCATATAAGTGGAGCCGCACTGTTCAAACCCATATGGTTCAAGGGTCAACTGTAAGTCATGTACAACAGCAAAAAAACTATATAACAAATCAAACTAGTCACACAACATAAAGTTTTATTGAAAGTAATTTTAGAAGAATAGAGAGATGTACTCTATTCACATATAACGAGTCCAAATTATAAAGTTATTAATTTTCCCCATTCTAATTCTATATGTTCAATGTAATTCCAAACTCCTGCTAGGGTTTTCTGTGTGGAATCTGACAGATTGATAATTATAAAATGTATAAAGAAGATCAAAGAGCCAAGTACAACCAAGGCAACTTTCAAGAACCGCCTAAGGTGGGAAAGTACTTGCCCTACTGTTAGAGGAAAGGAGTCCCGATCCAGACCCCAAGAGAGGGTTCTTGGATCTCACACAAGAAAGAATTCAGGTGAGTCCGTAAAGTGAAAACAAGTTTATTAGGAAAGTAAAGGAATAAAAGAACGGCTACTCTATAGACAGAGCAGCCCCAAGGGCTGCTGGTTGCCCATTTTTATGGTTACTTCTTGAATATATGCTAAACAAGGGGTGGATTATTCATGCCTACCCTTTTTACACCATGTAGGGTAACTTCCTGATGTTGCTATGGCATCTGTAAATTGTCATGGTGCTGGTGGGAGTGTAGTAGTGAGGACCACCAGAAGTCACTCTTGTGACCATCTTGGTTTTGGTGGGATTTAGCGGCTTCTTTACTGCAACCTGTTTTATCAGCAAGGTCTTTATGACCTGTATCTTGTGCTGTCTCCTGTCTCATCCTGTGACTTAGAATGCTTTAACCGTCTGGGAATGCAGCCCAGTAAATCTCAGCCTCATTTTACCCAGCCTCTATTCAAGATGGAGTTGCTCTGGTTCACACGTCTCTGACAATACCAGCTTTCAAGATTTGTTATACAATTATAGTAACTAAGACAGGTTTCTACACAGGGAGAGGTAAACAGACCAAGGGAAAATATGAGAGAAACAAATCCACACATATATGGAAACCTGGCATTTGACAGACATGGTATTATAGATCAGTATGGAAAGGATGAAACACCCAATATATGGTGCTGAGACAACTGGTAATCCACATTGAAAATAACAAAGCAATCTCTACTTCTTGCCACATCCAAAAACTAAATTTCAGAATAAAAGACTCAAATGTAAAAAGCAAACTTTAAAACTTTAAAAAAAATATGGGAGAACATCTTTATGACCTGGAAAAAAAAGGGTTTTTTAAAACAAGACATTAAAATAAAAGAAACCATAAAAGACTGATAAAATGACTACATTAAAATTATGAGCGAGAAGCAGAAAATAAAAGGTAAAATTACTGACAAGAAGACATTTCCAGTGTATATTACCATCAAAGGACTAATAACAGAATACACAAAGAACTCCTACAAATCAACAATCTTCTCTCCAAACAACTATTTTCAAAAGTATGAAAAGCCTCCATTTTTGTTTTCATTTTGAAAAATGAATTATTTAGGCTCACTGAAAATATTCTTTTCCTTATTGTAATTTCTAACACAGAATTCTAACACTGATTTTGAATAGTATTAGAACTATTGAAAACAATTTAATGATTAATACATTTGAACTGTTTTTATGATTATAAAATAATGTGTAACTATGAATTTTGTAAAGATATCAAAATACACATTTGAAATATTTAATTAAAATGTTAAAATTAAAAAGAAACAAATGTAAAGAGCATAAAAATCATTAAAAATCCCTCATGCATCACACACACACATTTTGTCAATATTTTGGATTTTTTCTTTACTTTGTTTCTATTAATAAATACATATACATAGATGCACAACAAGCTGGGTCCAAAGTGAGGGTGGCTTATTCAAGTGATGACATCCATCAGTCAGTAGATGATGCAAGCTAATGCTTAGGAAAGAGGTGAGGTCTGGGGATGTTGACTTGGGAGGTCATGCTTAGAGCAATAAAAGTTAAGACTCAGTCTTGGATGAAGAGATTGTAGGAAGAAAATAAGAGTGAGGACACAATATTAGAATAAGGAGCAGAATAATATGTTGGGAAAAATAACTTGAAAAAAGAGAAAGTACAATTAGATAGGTAGGAGGAGAATCAGGATATTGTGGAAGAATGTCAAGAAGAAGATAACATTCAACTGCCAATCCTGAAAAGAAGTTAAGGAGAATGAATCCTAAGAAAAGGCCAACATATTTAACAATTGAGAGAGACGGCTGTGGAGTAAACGTCTGATTACAGGAATGCAAAGAAAACAGATTGAAGGGATAGGGATATGTGCATATTTACACCACACAGTCAACAAATCTGGCCAGAAAGAAAGGTGGCAAATCAAGCTTTTTTTCAAGATATTAGAGATCTGTTATCTGTCTACCTTCTCTGGGTGAGAAGCCCAGTATACTGAAAGACTAAAGATGCTGGGAAGAGAGAAGTAAACAAAAACACAAATGCCTGAAAGCAGAGGGAGAGGATGGACTTTAAAAGAGTTCTGGATCATGACTTGTCATCTGACACAGGAGAAAAGAACCGGGGTCACAACAGACATAGTTCAAGCTGAAGAGGACAGGAGAAACCTCTGGCTAGGTAAACTTAGTAATTTTAGTACCAAGGTACGTCACGGGACAAAACTCAACTTAAATCAAGAAGCATCCACACTAAACTATACCTAAGGGCTTATAAGAGACGAAAAAAATCCCTCATTATGTCTTTGCTTCAACTCACCCATGACATGAGAACCAATACTGGTATTTGGGTGAAGCTTCAAAACAACTGAAACTATGGGGAATGTTTCAAACCAGTTAAGCACTGACATAAATGACTGAGAAACTCCGGTTTCCTTAAAATAAGCAAAATATTCATTTGTTTTGATATTATTTTTTGATGATACAAGTGTCCATCTGTAGTAGCTAGTCAATAAATATTGGTTCATGCTACCTGTACTGAATGTTTCTGTGCTACATGGTCAATTGCATAATTGCCAGTTTAAGGTACAGCATTAAGAGCAAAACAATTCACGGTGAAATACCCCACCCATGTTTTCCTACACATCTGTGATTCAACAAGGAATGTAATGATTCACAGTATTGGCATTAAGTTTATATTGAGGTTGCCCTTTTGTAACTGAGAAGTAGGGCTGGGTTGTCACTGTGATCTTCCCAATCCCTTCCACATCCAAACCCTCACTTCCCTTCTCAGCCCCACTTTGAATGACGCCAAGTTAAAACACTAATGTAGACATCCTCTGTCATAAAGCCAACAAACCAGAGAAACAAGAATGCTTATTGACCTCCTTCCTTAACTACTTCTTAAAAAGGGATCTAAAATTTATGAGTAATAAAATTCTAAAAAGAACATTTACCTTCTATGTGTATGCATAACTAAAGCCTACAACTGAAATATTTGGAACTTCTAAAGTAGTTTTCAACTTCAAATACAAACTTATATTAGAGACAAAAGCCATTAGCTTTGCTATGAGTAGTGTGAAGGGTTGATGTGACTTGAGGAAGCAAAGTTTGCAAAGATTTTCATTTGACTGTAGATTTACAAAATGTTTAACAATTTCAGTTCCTGAAATAGTTAATATAGGTTAAAATAAATTAGTAAGTTAAATGTGGAAGTCTTTAAGGTAATAACAAAGCAAGGCCATCAGAGGGAAACTGAGAATTATCTCTCTCAAATATCTGGAGAGTGACTGTCAAAATCAAGTCACAAAGAAATTACTACATTCACATTATTCCGTGTTCCACAGATGTTTCTTCTATTGCTCACATGAACTCTTTTCTCTTTGCTTTCACACTCACCAGTAACACTTGTAGATCTCCTAGGTCATTTGAACATTTAGCATTCAACTCTTTGATCAGTTCAAACTGCCTCCACAGAACATCTTTTTCTTTCAAGCGTTCCTTATTCTCAAAATGTTCCTTGAATTTCAACCAAATTTAAATTCCTTACATTTACCTTCTAAACTTTGTATTCACCTCCTCTGTTCCAATAAACAGGAACAACTCTCTAAGCCCTTGTGTCTTGTAGCAACCATTGCCAGGCATTTTCTTAAAATTCTTACACCTCCCTTGAGGTGCTGGTAGCTTTAGAAATGTCGCCGGAGCAGCATGAAATTAGCCATGACTAGGACAGGACAGTCAGGAATTGCTGAAGACTCTCATGCCTGCTTCACCACCTATGGTCATTACAAAGGACTTCAAAATTCCTGGCTTTTCCAGTCCTGGAATGACCCTGATCCCTGCCCCATTCCTATAGCACAATCCCAAAACCATACATGGTCTTTCTCACCACAGTTCCCCTGCCAATCTCTTAAATGCTCACATCTAATGCTTAGGCCAAGGCTCTTGTGTTGCACAAGAGGTCCCCTACACCCCCGTTCCTGCTGACTTCACCTCCTTGCATCAACAATCTGGTCTCCTGGGCCATCATTTCAATCACCCTCTCACCTTTAATCACAACTATTTCCTTCCTTTGTCTTTCTCCACATACCACCCTTCAAAACCAGCAGTGCCAGCTCTCCACTGCCACCCCCAGGCAGATGTGCTTTGCTGGAGAGAGTGACACCAGACTGGCCCTGGTACAGTCCTCAACATGTTCCTAGCCAGGGTTCCCTCTCCTTTTCTGGTCCTCAGCAGCAATCCTACATCATCACCTCTCTGTAGCATCCCCACCTTCTCCCTCTTCCTCAACTGGCAATCTCAATGCCCACTCAGGGAATGAAACTACCTCCCAACCCCAAACTGGTCTCTATATGAGTTCCCTCCTCGCTGGGGGTTTCCTCCCTCCTATGCGCTAGAGTCCATCCATCTGTCCCATCCCTACAGCACCAGGGCCCTCCATTCTCCCTTTCCCTCTGGTATCTTCGAAGACTCTCCACAGCCATCTAAAGATACTCAACACTCTCCCACTTAAAAAAAATGGCACATGTTAAAAATTAAAGACTTCTATAGAGAACATTAACACGCCACTAAATACTGAATAGAGTCGTCCAGTCAGTCTTCATCATCTAGCTCCTCTATGTTGCCAGCACCTGTCAGTGCCTGCCTTCCCCGGTCCAGCCTGTTGTAGACATTGTGCTCATTCCTTGTTTCTTGTTTCTTCAGCCCCAGAACCTTCCTAAGCCATCCTGACCAAGCCTTTGGGCTTCCTGTGTCTGCATCTACAGGGCCACCCGCCGGCTCTCCAAACTGAGGCTTTCTTCCCCACATCTGCAGTTCTGATTGCTCAACTCTTGGCTTGGTTTCAGATTAGTACTCCAGGTACTGCAGTCTGACTAAACTCCCACTTACTGCACTCATGTCCAATCAGTGTCCTGACAAGACACCAGCTCCTTTTCCCTGGGGGTACAAACCTTATCTCAATCCCGCAAATTATTAGGGGTCCCCGTGCTCCCAAATTCATGTCACTACCACTAACTAGTGGAATGAAGTACTGTTATTGCTTACAGACCGCTCTACTGGGTTCATAAGATCCACCTTGGGTTTATCAAGTTCCCTTAGAAAATATATTTAGAACGCTGGCAGCCCAGTGGAGTCCAGCTACACAGCTCGGCGCGTTTACCCTGGGATCCCTTGTTTCTTGTTTCCTTTCATTTCCTTCTCCAACCAATTTCCCATCATACCTATGGGCAAACACCCATGTTATAACAAGCAATTCATTAACTACTTATTTTAAGTTATGGTGAAGTGTTATAACCATAATATTTATAAGTGTTATGAAATTTATAAGTTCTGAAATTTACACAATTCTTTCAGTGGTTAGCAAACCATACTACTATTATAGACTCTATTATATTTCATAACCACATATTATACACAACATGAGAAGATCTCTGTTTAAGAGTCCCACCTATGGTATTTGTAAAACCATTCAATCAGGCAAAAACAAATTAAAAAAGTAATATCAGATAGTAATACACTAGAAAACCAAACCTTGAACAAACATTTGGGGATCCCCAGGCTTACAAATGTATTGGTTTCTATTGGGTAAAGTCTTGGCTTTCTCATTTTATATCATTTAAACAAAGGAACTGAAAATTATATTTTAAAATAAAAACCATAATCTAAAACTAATCTAAGAAAATACTGAGAAAAAATAGCAGTAAATTTATATATTTTATCTTCTGTAATGAAAACTAAGGGGAAAAAGGCATGCTAAAAGCAACTAGTTCTAAAGTAACTTCATGAATGTACCACACAGAATACTTAACAGCTTTAAAAAGCAGTTATGAAATGCCCATTTGAACATCAGATGCCACGGACAGAACAAGTATCCAACCTAAAGCAGACAACACGGACCCACTCAAAGATATGCAGTGACATGCAGAGTCGTACTTCACACAATCCTCATTTGGAGAATGAGTCAAGAAGGGCAGCAGCGCGACCCTCCAGGCTTTTCCAAAATGACCCTCCTGATAACTGAGGAGCTCCAGCTGGGCTGTTCTTTTGCCCTGGTTCAAAATATACCTAGATGTGGAAAAGTACAAAGGCAAGCATTTCCCATCCACTAGAAAAGAAGTTCAATTATCAAATGCTAAATCTAGGTTACACTAAAAAAAATTAGATGAATTAAAATGTGGCCTGCCTCAAAGCAAGAGCATGTCTTACCAATCTTACTGTATCTCACTTAACATACTCAAGAGGAAAAGAAATTGAAGCATTTAAGTAGTCCATCTTCAACATTCTGCTGTGAATACAGGACCTGTAATATGCTTGTTCTACTTGACATATAAAAAGAATCACATTTATGTGGAAGCCTAAGGTTAAAACAGGTTTTTAAAATGTAAACAGCAGTAACATGAATGTATTGAATTACGTAAATCCCAAAACTTTTCATGCCACAATGGTATGGGAAGGTCGGTGACTGACTCACCTAAATAAAATGCAGTAAGTCAAAGTATATAGTTAGAGCAAAAGGAAAAAGATAAAAACATTTTAAAAACTAATTTATGGTTTTAATTCTCTATAATAAATCTTTTAAAAATTAATACACAATAGAAAATGGAGAAACAAAGTTAATAAATGCTTACAAAGATGGCTTATGTTATATTAAACATGAAAATGATATCAAAGCATAATTATGAAATCATCAAAAATCACGTTTGTAGTACAAGTTTACAGCTAGTTTTAAACAAAGAATTTTGACCAATTACTTGCAGAAAGTAAACAAGAAAAAAAGCTTGACTTCTTTCTGACAGCACGGAAGTCCTTATAAAACAGAGCACTATGTCATTCGACTACCACCCCCCAGTTATCACAGTTCTTGGTATATAAATCACCTTCGAATAAGCACAGGGTGTCTGAAATTTCCACTCTGCCCTAAGTAACACCATTCAAAATATCAATTGCTTCCAGCAATTCGAACAATGAAAATAACTTTAAATTGGAAAGATTATCCCACTTTCATCTCCACATTAAAGTCCATCCATCATAAATTTAAGTAGAGTTATGGTGGGCAAGACGTAGCAAGAATGAAATAAAGTATTTTAACCACAAGAGACCCAAACAGGACTTGGCAACGCTTCCTAACTGCACACGCTAGAAAGCCCTGCCCCCATGTGGCTGAAAGTCTTGCACAGCTGGCCAGCTTGCCCTGGGGCATAAGGGAGAAGGTTCATCCCCGAAATTGCCATGTTAAATGCCCACTTCTGGCTGTTGGAAGATTTAGGATACCATCTACTAAGCAGAAAGGATACCTTTTTCCCAGGCTCAGTGTCTTGGACAATGTGAACACACAACTAATAACTGCTGGATTATGGAGACAACAGCTTGTGTCTGCATAATGCCTTATGTAAGGTTCCCTCCCACGGATGCAGCAAACACGGAACATTCAAGTTCTGAGATGATGCTGAGGCTCAATTTAAATGGCATCTTTCCTGCTCTCAACTCTACTTTCCTGGTAATGCTTCATGACATACGATCTTTTAGTCATTATTCCTAAATAATAGTGCCCTGTCAGTACTGGGGGCAAAGGACGCATCTTGGCACTTGGAGCTTTTGCTATTCTCTCTCCACCTGGTACACACTCTGCAGTCTGTGACCCTCCATTTCCACCTCCAGCTGCCTGGAGTCTCTCTGCGAATGCTTCAATTCCCTCTGGTTCACAGCCCAAACCAGAGCCTACACCTGATTTACCATTAGCCATTTCCCAAGCCTGTACTCTGCTCCCCAACCCCTAGCACAGGCTCAGTGACTCTGAAGGTGAAAGCTGGCAGCAATGCTGGTGAGTCATAAGAGAAGGCAAGGAAAAATACCACCCAGCTACACACCATGTGCTATGGTCAGAATGTCTGCATCCTCCAAAATTCATTTGTTGAAATCCTAACCACAAAAGTGATGGTATTAGGAGGTGGGGCCTTTGGGAGGTGATTAGGTGCTGGGCTGGAGCCCTCATGAATGGGATTAGTGCCCTTACAAAAAAGGCCTAAGAGAGCTTGTTTGCCCTTTCACCATGTGAGGACTCAATGAGATGATGTCTGTCTACCAGGAAGTGGGCCTCCCCAGACACCAAATCTGCGATGGCCTGATCTTGGTCATCCCAGACTCCAGAACCATGAGAAATAAACTTCTGTTGTTTATAACCCCCCAACCCCCCAGTTTATGATATTATGTTATAGCAGGCAAAAAGCATTAAGACACCATGCACTTGAATAACAAACTCTGGAAATAGAGCCACTGTCAAGCCTATTAGTGACTCTCATTGTGAGACTTCCAGAATAAGCAGGCCGTAAGATATTCTGGGGGAAGACTGGGTGGGGTTTATGACAGCATCCAAGTCAGGTTCGGAGGAATGGGCCTTCCTCTAACCTACAAAGTCATAACTAGAAAGAACTTAACTATAGCATTCACTTCTCCACCTGCCATAGGAAAGAAAAGAGTAAATCATAGGGGAGACAAAGTGATTCCTTTCCTCTTGGTTTATAAAGCCTGCCCAGAGCCAGCACACAGAGCGTGTGCCCATGTCACAGGTGGCCCTCCCCTTCTGCACCAGGTACACAGTCAGGCCTCACGAAACATTAGCTACTACAAAATGTAGGACTTACCCAAAAAAGAACATGTGTAGAGATAGAAAACAACATATTCTGAAATGTCCATTTTTCATTCTAATGCTCAGCAGTCATATAATAACCAGATGAACTAAGCTGCTTTCATTTAGACTTTTGGGAACAGAATGGTATCTGTTTCAAGACAAATACAACCAATTTTCTATCTATACTTGAAATTACGTGTGTGTGCATACAGACAGATTCACTATGTTATTTATATGTTCCTCAGGGATGATTTACTGTTCCATAACAAACGTGGTGATCAAATGATTCTAATCACTGACTGAAAAGTAATGAAATAATCTAAGATCATCTCTGAAAAGCTGAAGCAGATCCATATTAGATAAAAAAGAATGACTTCCATAAATCGACTCATTCAACACACAGGAAGGCATTCTATCTTTATATTTCTGTATTTTTCAACCTCCTCTGGCCTGCTTGCCACCCCACTGCCCATGGCCTATGTCACCAATCACCTCCAAGTGACCCCCACCCTCGCCCCTGCCCCGATGACCACCATAACCACAGCACCCAGAGATGAGTCCACTGCACTGTGCCACTTTCACAGATGGGGGAGGAAGAGAGCTGTAACTGTCAGAAATACATGAAAACTGTCAAAAATACATGCCATCAGCTCTGGAGATTTTGAAGCACTGATGTCTCTCTGTTCTGTGAATGTATTAAAAAAAAATTACATTATCCCTCCTTTCAAGGTTAGCAAAAATAAAAGATGAACTCTACTTCCACCTCTGCAAATGACCTCCTACGACCGCAGGCAGGCCCACGCTGCCTTTGCCTTCCCCACCTGCTTGAGGCCACACACATCTCCGTGGACCACTCCTCCCTTCCAGAAACTCCCCTGTTCGCTTCTTCAGCCTCTACCCAGGAGTTTCCTTTGCTGGCCCCTCGCCTTCTGACTGCCTATGCACTGGTGAGGTTCCCTGGCCCTGCCTTAGTCCTCTCTCTGTTCACAAAACCATCCTAGCAGTAAAATCCTTTTTCCCAAATAAAATGGTCTGTGCTCCTCACCCTCCAGTAGAACAGATAAAAGCAGAGCTACTCTGGCTGAAGGGGGGAAGGAGGCTTGAGGCCACCCTCATGGGGCATCTCTACAGACCTCTAGGGTTGGGAACCACCAGCAGTTTCCTTCAACCAGCTGGTGTGAGCTCCATCTCCGGTCCCCCCTCTGCCCCCTCAACACCTCCCCACTTTTTGCCCAACAAAGTCATATGAGTCCTTCCAGATCCAGTTTCCCAGCCACCTTGTTTGTGATTCTTTATGTACAAAGTAGCTTTGAGCACTTCGTTATCCCCCAAGGCACTCTGCACCGCCTCCACCATTGTACACGTATCACGTGTTTGTTTACATTTTTGCCGGCTCCACTAGATTGTGACCATTTTAAAGGCAGACAAGATGATGACAATGGCGTGCATGCGTGTATGTGTTTGCATGTGATGGGACAGGGGAGTCTCAGATGAACCTAAAGTTAGGCTTAAACTGCTCTGGGTGTGAGGCTGGTGCACTGGTCTGCATGAAGAGGCCGTGAGGAGGGAAGCGACTGGAGAAATGGGGAGGAGAGGTGGCTGCGGTCTCCATGCCCGCCCACCAGAGCTGCGTCTCAGCCCTAGACAGAGAGGGTCAAGCAAAATCCAGGAACTGCTTTCATGAGAGACTTCACAAAATATTTGTTAAACCAGAATACTGAACGCATAATATTCTCTTCTTTGAAATAACATTTTCTCTATTCTTTTCATTAAGACCCAAATTTCTAAAAGGCCTATATTTTCTTCTCAGTTCTGATGAATAAAATTCTGCCTAAAGTCAGAGTCAATAAGCTCCCGAACTAGCAGTTGCTAATGAAAAGAAACTCTGAAGAGATGAGAGATGATGGCACAGGTCAACTGGAATGGAGACAAAATACTGAGCTGCAAAACCGATCCAGAAAGCCCACTAGGTGGAGATGAAGGCCGGTACCACTCACAAGAATGGAGTCTTTGCAGCCTTTGTACTTACAACCATTTTTTAAAACAAGAGTTCTTGCAAGGTTGTCTAGAAGACTCCTTTAGAAATATCTGAACATTCACAGTTTAATCAAGAAAGTATCCATTAAGGGCAAAAATCTCCTACCAATTAGTTGTCAATTGGCAAACTGCATTCAGACTGGCCTCTGGAACTCCCAAAGTTATAAAAATAGCTGGATTCCTTTTTCTGCAAAAGAGCCTCAAGTCTCTCTGACTCCTCTCCGTTTGGAAGATTAATAACGGTGATAATTCTGGAAGACTCCTTTACCACACAGCGGTGCGTACCTCCGCAGAGGGCTGGCAGTGGGCCACAGCACACTCTGATGTCCCGTGCAGTTCACTGACACCCAGGTTAGCAACACAGGCTGTATGCTCAGTGAACTGGGGCTGGCAAGGGCAGGCCCGGGGGGACCTGCAAGGGAGGGGACTTGTTCATAAGCACCTATAAGAACCAACTCCCAAGTCATTTTTCTTTTCTTCCTTTTTTTTAAGTGAATACTCTCTGTATTTTGGTTAATCAACAATCTTTAGCACCCATTATGGACAAAACAATATGCTGCACACATACCAAGGATACAAGAAGGAACAAACTACCCTGGCCTGTGCTCTGATGGAGCGCACTTTCTCCTGGAGACAGATGAAAGAATAAATAAAATAACTGCAAGCTGTGATAAGACACTGGTGAAACCAAGACCACCAGCTCACCAAGTAACACTAGAAGATCGCCACAAGGGATTTTATATGTGTAAGAGAGAGAGCGGGTGGGCATCCTCTTTTGACATAAAAGATGATGGAGAAGGTCTTTTTTAAAACATGCATTCAGTCAAATCCATGAATTTAGCTAATCCTTCTTTCCCTAAGTGTGCAATTAGGGAAAACCTAATGACTACTTTACAAGTTATAGTTTTGGCTTCTTTTGCTATTTATTAAAAACACAGCCAGGCACAGTGGCTCACGCCTGTAATCCCAGCACTTTGGGAGGCCGAGGCGGGTGGATCATGAGGTCAGGAGTTTGAGACTAGCCTGGCCAACATGGTGAAACCTCGTCTCTACTGAAAACACAAAAATTAGCTGGGCATGGTGGCGTGCGCCTGTAATCTCAGCTACTCAGGAGGCTGAGGCAGGAGAATTGCTGGAACTGGGAGGTGGATGTTGCAGTGAGCCGAGATTGTGCCACTGCATTCCAGCCCAGGCTGACAACAGTGAGACTCCATCTCAAAAAAAAAAAAAAAAAAAAAGGCAATATTTTCAGGCCAAGCATGGTGGCTTATGCCTGTAATCCTAGCACTTTGGGAGGCCAAGGTGGGCAGATCATCTGAGGTCAGGAGTTTGAGACCAGCCTGGCCAAAATGGTGAAACCCCGTCTCTACTAAAAATACAAAAATTAGCTGGGTATGGTGGCGCGCGCCTGTAGTCCTAGCTACTCAGGAGGCTGAGGGAGGAGAATTGCTTGAACCCAGCAGGCAGAGGTTGCAGTGAGCCAAGATTGTGCCACTGCACTCCAGCCTAGGTGACGGAGCGAGACTCCATCTAAAACAAAACACACACACAAAACTAAATAAGACTAAACAAAAATTTTCTACCTGTTAAGGTACTTAAAGGAAATATTTTGTATGTAAAAATTAAAAATCGTTAGAAAACAGGTACTTGACTTTAAATTTATTTATTTATTTATTTATTTATTTTATTTATTTTTGAGACAGAGTCTTGCTCAGTTGCCTAGGCTGGAGTGCAGTGGTGCAATCTTGGCTCACTGCAAGCTCCGCCTCCCGGGTTCATGCCACTCTCCTGCCTCTGCCTCCCGACTAGCTGGGATTACAGGCGCCCGCCACCACACCCGGCTAATTTTTTTTTGTATTTTTAGTAGAGACGGGGTTTCACCATGTTACCCAGGATGGTCTCGACCTCCTGACCTCGTGATCCACCCGCCTTGGCCTCCCAAAGTGCTGGGATTACAGGCGTGAGCCACCGCGCCCGGCCTTGACTTTTTAGTATCACAATTTTGACCTAGTGAATACTGTGACCAGCTTTTGTTGGTGGGGGGACGGGGACGGGGGCACCAAGGAATTTATGACCCTATGTTTATAAATACAGATATCTGAATTGGAATTACACCAACACTGGCAACATCTTACTGACAAAATATTTTAATTTCATAAAGCCAATATAATCCCTTGTTCAATTTTCTCTAAAGTACACGAAACAGCTAATTTTTTCCTTCTTCAACTGATCTTTTCCTGCAATTATTTTCACTGAGATAAGGCTTTTCTAAGTAAATTTTAAATCAATCGGATTTTACCTACTTCAAATATTTACCAATTATAGCTTCTGTCATTATGAATTCTCTCTACTGGCAACTGCTTTTTGTTTATTTTATAAAGTCCAATAACCTGGATCAAAGTCTGAAGATTTTAAATCTGTCATGAATATTTCATTCTTTTGTTGATCTGAATTCAAAAACAAATTTTACTGTATTAAATATCAGCAAATGTCAATTTTAATTTTACTTCTTCTGTCAGCTTTTCAACTGTATGAGGTTTGACTATGCCACTTAACCCAGTGTCTGTCTTGTTTTATGTTGACTATTTCTACCAGGAATTGTCATTATGAAATATTCTACAGGACTGGTCTACTTTAATAAAAATCCAACCCTCCCACATACTTGTACACTTGTGATCACTTGGGATCTCATACTAACCTTCCTCACTGGTGAGTAACTCCCCTCTGGTGTTTCAAGTATATGGTCACGGAGACAAGGGCCAGGTCAAAATGTCCCCAAGACCAAAAGGTCTAGGCCCTAACACTGGAGCCAAATGTTCAGTGCATGTGTAGACAACGTGTAGCACAAGTATGTGCCTAAGTAGGAATTATGTTAGCTAGGAGAATCTGGAAAAAGTAAGAACTTTTATTCTAAGAATCACCAGCTGATATTCTTTTCACTAATTTCCAAAGAGAAAGACATAGCCAAGTCAGTTGGTGAGATTTCAACAAGTACTTATCGAGAAGCTGAAACTGCCCTACAAACTTCATTACTTCAAACCATTCCATTTGAGATAAGAGCTCCTCTACTCTCTCTCACTAAAACCTCACTTGCCAAGAATTCCCCCAAAGCCACATGGAGGCCCATGGCAGCACGAAACCCAATGCCCAGGATACTGGGCACTGGTGGGCAGAGGAGGATCAGTGTGCTTGGGAGACTACTTACACTGAGCCAAGAGTAAGTTTGACAGCAACAAATGAAGGGATGAGGACAGGGAAAGCTAGGTTTCTCACTACTGGAACACAGAAAGGGAGGAAAGCTAGAAAGAACTATGAGGCAAGGAACGGAAATAGGAGTACCAGTGAGAACTTAAGGCTATTAAACACACACACACACACACACACACACGCACACACACAGAAGGACACAGGTTACAGATGATAATGTATATGTGCTTGCATGTTCATTTATATTCACTGTATCTTTTCTGCTGTCTGCTGAGAGGGCCTGGAAGAAATGTACAGTACATCAAAGAAATAAGCACACTGAACCCCCTACATCACGGTTTCTAAATACTCCATCAAAGGGAACCAGAGCCTCCTTGAAGAAAAGGCTTATTCCAGGACTGGGGCAACAAAAGTATAAACTAAACCTGGAACACAATATGCAGAAAACAAGGAAGTGTTCAAAGATTGAAAGGGACATGTCACAACATCAGGAGAGCCAGGCTGAAGGAGCTCCCACTGTCTAAATCACAGGTCTCCACGAGTTGACACTGTTACAAAGAAATGAATGACAATGCAAATTAATAGACAAGAGAAAGCTTTTTACTACAGTGGAATGCCAACTAATAAATGCAGAATGAATGAAAGGAATATGAAATCACTATTTGGCAATCAGCATAGACGTGGCTGATTTGGGCAGGAGTCATCCGTGGAGGCCAGGGCTAGTGGATGAAAGTCTGATGAGAGACACTGGTGTAATCTTGAAACATCTCACCACAAAATACTAATGAATTACCAAGAGGACCACATGGTGAATTAAGTGTGAGAGAATCTGGCAGACGCAACATGCCCAGGCCAGCAAGGTTAACCTCAGGGCATGCGCCCTGATGCGAGGCTCTGAGAAGCACAGCATCATTTCCGTGGTATTTCTTCCCAGGATGCATGGCCTGAATCTGCTCATGAAGAAACACTCGATGGACCTAGGCTGAAAATTCTTTAAATTTGTCAAGGCCATGAAGGACAGGGAAAGGCCGATTTCTGTTTCCATTTTCAGTGCCCCTTTCATGGCCTAACTGCCAGCAAGGCCATTTATTCACTTAATCATATCTATTCATTCATTTGACAAATATTTATACTGAGCTGCACCAAACCCTTAACATTATGCCAGGTATTATGAAGCAATCTAATTTTATGGCACATAAGCTGTCAGAAATTGGGGAAGCAATATGAACACACAAATTCTAACATAAGGGATCCTGTAAGGTTGCACAGTAAAACAAGACTTCCTGAATGAGGGATAATTCGGGGAGCAATTTGTCCTAGATAGACAAGTTTTCATAAGTCTAACTAAAAATGCTACTGCAGGCACTAAATCTTTTTGTATTTTAACCATTTGGCTGCATTTTTTTGTTGTTCTAAAATATATTACTCACTTTCCTGCCTTCGTAAACTGAACACAATGTGGTCATTATTTTATGCAAATTTTAGTTGTATAAATCTAAATCATGCAACATAAAATATTAATAAAGTCTCACTTCATGAACACACCTGAAATTATGCAAATGTCCCAAATTAAAACTAAGCACCTAGAATTACATAATTTTAAACTGGCAGGCTGAGTGAATTAACCTGTGTGTCTATTACTGGTCCATGGCAAACCGATTTATCTGAAAACAGAAATAAGCCACCATACTTGTAGCTTATTGAGAGTCCTATGGGAAAAATAGTCTCAGAATCATAGGAATTTTGAATTATGCAGACACCTCAGATACGTATCTCTGAAAATGCCATGACAGCAACTATAATTTAACCTATTTATGAGTTGGCTTCTACTGTGGCATTAATTTTCTGGTCTGTGAGTTAAAGACTTGCTGGGAGGTCTGGCGGAGCAGACCCTGCTAGTTACCTACAAAGTACCCGTTTCCTCCTTCTTCCTTACTAGCAGAACCCATTTTCATCCCTAGGAGCCTGTGCCACCAAAACTCCCCATTTTCCACCCTCCCTTAGAACAGAAAATGGCAATGTGATGCAATTCTTGCCAAGGAGATGTAGAGAGATGTCCCTGGGGAGGGCATCTCCCCTGAAACTAAAGGGCAAAGCTTCACTAGGAGAAAGTTTTCTGACCCTTTACTCTGCCCCATTATTTTTGTTAGAAATACAGCATGTGAGGGCAGAGTCACAGCAGCCACCTAGAGACTGGACGAATGAGGGCTGAGGCCTATAAAACGAGGGCAGCCTGGAACAGTGCGGAAGGCTGGTCTCTGGGAACATCACAGCACAGCTGTGCCAACCCTGGGCTGCCTTCCCCCACACTCCTTGCTACAAGAGAAAAATGCTCCTGTTACTTTACTTTAAATGACAATCATTTGGGTGGGCACGGTGGCTCACACCTGTAATCCCAGCACTTTGGGAGGCCAAGGTGGGCGGATCACGAGGTCAAGAGATCAAGACCATCCTGGACAACATGGTAAAACCCCATCTCTACTAAAAAGACAAGAATTAGCTGGGCATGGTGGTGCCCGCCTGTAGTCCCAGTCACTCCTGCTGAGGCAGGAGAATCGCTTGAACCCAGCAGGCGGAGGTTGCAGTGAGGCGAGATCGTGCCATCACACTCCAGCCTGGCAACAGAGCAACACTCCATCACAAAAAAAAAAAAAAAAAGACAATCATTCAATCAACCAAAGGCACTGAGTGATATTTGAGGATTATTTATTTGCTCCTGTCCTAAACAGTCTTACCTTATTAATACCATGTCTTTTATCTTTTATATTCTTATGGCCATTATTTATGGAGTCTCAGACTTTTCCTTTGGTCAAAGAACCCAGCTAAGAAAATCAATACATGACATTCACCAGGCCAGAGCCTGGTCCAGCATAAGGTCCAGTGAGACAGAAATGAGAAGTAGGAAAGAGAACTTTAGGGGAAGTTTTCTATGCTTGAAAGAGAGCCACAGAAAGAGACACTGCCCCTGGCCTTTATCCTTGTGGACGTGAGGCCTGAACTGCTGCCCATGGCATGGCACAAGCCTACCGAGGAAGCCTACGCAGAGGAGGGGAGATGCAAAGTATCCCAGGAAAATGGAACCAGACCCACAGGATTCAATTAGCCCTGAAGAACATCCTACTGCAGAACTTCTAGTATATAACTTAATATCTTTATTATTTAGACCAGTTTGAGTTAGTGTTCTGTTATTTGCAAACAGGAACATTTCAACGACCTCAGAACGTGAAAGACTCAGCCCACTGTAAGAAGAGAAGAAGGCTCAATCACTCTCTACCTCCACATCTACTACTAATAACACCTCCACCACCACCTCCTCCTCTTCCAACTCCACCACCACCACCCCCTCCACCACCTCTACCATCACAACCTACTCCTTCACCACCACCTCCACCACTTCTACCCTCACAAACACCCACCACCATCACCTCCGCCACCTCCACCACCACCTCTACCACCACAACCTACTCCTTCACCACCACCTCCACCACTTCCACCTCTACAACCACCACCTCCACCTCCACCTTCACCACCTCCACTACTACCTCCACCACCACCACCTCCATCACCTCCACCACCAGCACCTCCACCACCACCACCTCCACTTTCACCACCACTACCTCCACCACCTCCACCACCACCACCTCCATCACCTCCATCACCTCCACCGCCATCACCTCCACCACCACCACCACCACTTTCACCACCACTACCTCCACCACCTCCACAACCACCACCTCCACCACACATCTTCACACTGCTACATCACCACCACACTCCACACACACACAACACCACCCCCACCTCCACCTCCACAACCACCACCTCCACCTCCACCTTCACCACCACCTCCCACAACCAGCACCACCTCCACCACCACCACCTCCACCTCCACCACCACCACCTCCACCTCCACAACCACCACCTCCACCTCCACAACCACCACCTCCACCTCCACCACCACCACCTCCACCACCACCACCACCTCCACCACCACCACCACCACCTCCACCTCCACCACCTCCACCTCCAGAAGCACCGCCTGCACCTCCACCACCTCCACCTCCACAACCACCACCTCCACCTCCACAACCACCACCTCCACCTCCACCTTCACCACCACCTCCCACAACCAGCACCACCTCCACCACCACCACCTCCACCTCCACCACCACCACCTCCACCTCCACCACCACCACCACCTCCACCACCACCACCACCTCCACCACCACCACCACCTCCACCACCTCCACAACCACCACCTCCACCTCCACCACCACCACCACCTCCACCACCTCCACAACCACCACCTCCACCTCCACCACCTCCACCTCCACCACCACCACCACCTCCACCACCTCCACAACCACCACCTCCACCACCACCACCTCCACCTCCACCACCACCACCACCTCCACCACCTCCACAACCACCACCTCCACCTCCACCTCCACCACCTCCACCTCCACAACCACCACCTCCACCTCCACCTCCACCACCTCCACCTCTACCTCCACCACCTCCACCTCCACAACCACCACTTCCACCTCCACCTTCACCACCACCTCCCACCACCAGCACCACCTCCACAACCACCACCTCCACCACCACCTCCACCACCACCACAACCACCACCTCCACCACCACCACCACCACCACTTCCATCTCCACCTTTACCACCGCTACCTCCACCACCACCACCTCCTTCACTACCACCTCTATGACCACCACCTCCACTTCCACCTTCACCACCGCTACCTCCACCACCACCACCTCCTTCACCACCACTTCCTGTGCCACCACCACCACCTCCATTACCACTACTACCACCACCTCTACCTCCACCACCATAACCACCACCACTTCTACCACCATAAGTACACCATCATCACCACCACCTCCTCTTCCACCACCAACTCCACCTCCACCATGACCTCCACCTCCACCACTACCACTACTTCTACCACCATAACCACTCAATCATCACACACTACACGCTCTACGCACACTTGCTCAGAGGGCTGGCAGCAGTCACGCACTCCCCAACACCCCCGCACCTCCACACCCACACACACCCACGCACACACACCCTCACAACCAAAGCACTCACTCACCCCCACCACTCACCCACGCACTCGAACACCTCCACATCCACAACGGCAACCACCTCTACCACCACCACCACCTCCACCACCACCACCACCTCCACCACCTCCACAACCACCACCTCCACCTCCACCACCACCACCACCTCCACCACCTCCACAACCACCACCTCCACCTCCACCACCTCCACCTCCACCACCACCACCACCTCCACCACCTCCACAACCACCACCTCCACCACCACCACCTCCACCTCCACCACCACCACCACCTCCACCACCTCCACAACCACCACCTCCACCTCCACCTCCACCACCTCCACCTCCACAACCACCACCTCCACCTCCACCTCCACCACCTCCACCTCTACCTCCACCACCTCCACCTCCACAACCACCACTTCCACCTCCACCTTCACCACCACCTCCCACCACCAGCACCACCTCCACAACCACCACCTCCACCACCACCTCCACCACCACCACAACCACCACCTCCACCACCACCACCACCACCACTTCCATCTCCACCTTTACCACCGCTACCTCCACCACCACCACCTCCTTCACTACCACCTCTATGACCACCACCTCCACTTCCACCTTCACCACCGCTACCTCCACCACCACCACCTCCTTCACCACCACTTCCTGTGCCACCACCACCACCTCCATTACCACTACTACCACCACCTCTACCTCCACCACCATAACCACCACCACTTCTACCACCATAAGTACACCATCATCACCACCACCTCCTCTTCCACCACCAACTCCACCTCCACCATGACCTCCACCTCCACCACTACCACTACTTCTACCACCATAACCACTCAATCATCACCGTGTGCCCAGAGCAGAGGAGCCCATGATGCTCCCTGCAGTTTCTTCCAGGCTCTCGTACTGGTGATGGGAGAACTGGTGATAAGAGTGGGAGTGAGAACGGGGGAAGGGGCCAGTCCCTTCCACAGAACTGGGAAGCCCAGAAGTGGTGTCCATGTCCCTCCATGGACTTTCTTTCTACCGTGTTCTCACCATTTCATGCCCAGCTCCCTTCTCACCAGCCAGGCGCCCATGGTGGAGAAAAACTTAGGATGTGTTTAAAGTCAAAAGGCAGTTTTGTGTCAAAACAGGTCCCTGAGGCCTCTCAGGGTCCCACCAGTCTCATAGTAGGAAGTCTCGAGGTTACATTCTGTAACCCCATATCCTTATCTGTAAAATGAGGCTGATGGTAATAGCTGTATCTAATTGACAAAGTTGTTATGAGGAGGAAATAGCTAATGTAATTAAAGTGCCTAGAACAGTGCGTGGCATTTAGTGAGTGCCACACATAGAATCATTTGTTAAATAAGTTAAATTGATCAATTACATGCATCAATTACATCAATTACATGAGGGGTTGAGGGAGGAGGAGAAATTTTTCATCTTCGATATCTTCACAGGGTTACAGATATTTCCTGTTAGTCTGCATGGATACTCTTTTTTTCTTTTCCTTTTTTTTTGAGATGGAGTCTTGCTCTGTCACCCAGGCTGGAGTGCAATGGCATGATTTCGGCTCACTGCAACCTCTGCCTCCTGGGTTCGAGTGATTCTTCTGCCTCAGCCTCCCAAGTAGCTGGGATTATAGGTGCCCGCTACCATGCCCAGCTAATTTTTGGATTTTTAGTAGAGACAGGGTTTTACCAGGTTGACCAGGCTGGTCTCGAACTCCTGACCTCAGAAGATCCACCCGCCTCGGCCTCCCAAAGTGCTGGGATTACAGGCATGAACCTCCGTGCCTGGCCAGATACTTTTTTATATCAGGAGAAAGAAGTGTCTTTTCAAATCGAAAAAAAATCACTGCTATTAAAAAAACAAAACAATTATTCAAGGAGCAGTGACATGTGATTTATTAACCCAAAAATGTACTCAAATGTAACATTCCAAATAATATCTTCTCACATATTTCCCCCTCTAATGACAAAAACTCCTCTAAAGTTTTTGAAACATGTATCCCTTTTGCCTAATGATTATCAGTGATGACTGAATCCCCTGTCACTCAAGGTTAAGGGAACATCACCATAAACTGTTAATTGGATCATTGTTTCTATTCACTGCACAAAACTTTTTGTAGTATTTTTCTGTTGGCAGAGAGATAAGCAGCAATCTAGATTTACACCCACAAAGCAGGAAATAAACTGCCTAAGTTTATGTTCTAGAATACCTTCCTCCCAAACAGAATGAACTTCACCCAACTGGCTCCATTCCCCTATTTTAGGAAGGAGGTTTAATAAAAGAAGCTGCAAAATTTCAAGCAATTTGTTAAATTTTTAAATTATCACTTAAACTTCTTTGACTATACACTTAGAATCCAACACCAGAGTGAAATGGAACAGCTAGGAATGTAAACATCATTCACTAAATCTAAAGACAAAAGGTCACTTTTCTTTTTCATATTGATTGTTATATGTCTATCACCCCCAGGGGGAAAAAAAAGAACCTGCCATCTGGTTTATGTACCATTTTACTCATTACAACATTGAAGAAGGGCTCAGGTTTTCTAGGCAAAACACATACACAGAACAGAATTGTTGAGTCCAGGCTATGCCTAAGAGAATTTTACCAAGCATCTCTGGGACACTGCCTCAAGGAACCAGGGAGACTGGATGGATTCCAATCCCTGTCAGTAAACTAGGATGCCAATCAATTATCCTGCAGGGTTACAAAATGAACTAGAATGCCCATCCCATTTAATCCCCACAGAGAAAGCTGAAACAATCACTTCTCCCCAGGAGTGAAATGGCATCATTCTGATGATGCCCGGGACCAAAGCCAACAGGCTCAGCTGGAACCTGAGGCCTCTCAGCCAGAAACTGGGACCAGGAAACTACAGCAAGTGGATCTCTTGCTCCACTTGCTATGTTTTTCTAAAAGCAATAAAAGTTGTATTTTTCCTTAGACAAATTTGGAAAAATTAAAAGTAAAATATAAAAATAAAAATAGAAATATTATTCTGTTAGTTATACAAATTTGATATGTATATATGCCAGGAGATTATTAACTAAGTCTAAGCTTTCCTATTTCAAGGTTCTGTATTTACTTTGGCAGTCATAGGGAGTCATACATTTAATCAGAATTTTTAAATAAATTTGTAAAATAGTGTGTAAAGTTTTCAGAGTTGTTTGAACTGTAAGAACATTTACAAAGTGGTATCTATGGTGGCTAAGGTACTTCCTAAAGGAAATAAAGATTTCTATTCCTATGTAATTAGAAGTCATTACAGATCCTTTACCAAATACCTTCCCTTCAGACTTCTGTGGCTAAGGTTTTAAATTGGTTCTACATGATTATATTACAAAGTCAACTTCCTTAGAAAAACAATTCTGAATACCTTTCATCTTCTAAGAAACCCTTTTCGAATCCATGTTTTTTTCAAATGTGTAGCCCCCCTCTTCCTTCTTTCATAAAAGAAGACAGATTTTTTTTTTTTTTTTTTTTTTTTTTTTTTTTGCAACGGAGTCTCGCTCTGTCGTCCAGACTGGAGTGCGGTGGCACCATCTTGGCTCACTGCAACCTCCACCTCCCGAGTTCAAGCCATTCTCCTGCCTCAGGCTCCCGAGTAGCTGTGATTACAGGCACCTGCCACCATGCCCAGCTAATTTTTGTCTTTTTAATAGAGACGGGGTTGTGCCATGTTGGCCAGGCTGGTCTCAAACTCCTGACCTCAGGTGATCCACCCACCTTGGCCTCCCAAAGTGCTGGGATTACAGACGTGAGCCACCATGCCTGGCCAAAAAGACAGAATTTTTAAAGTGTAGGGAAAAAAATGTTTTTAGCCCCATGCCAGAAATGCTATATGCCCCTACATATTTTGGGTATTACAGTATTAATTGCCATATCTTATGGTAGAAAGTGGGAGGAGCCAAGCTGTTAAGCTCTTCTTATTTATTTTTTTTATTGCTTGGAAAATCAGTTATTGCTTTTCTAAAAATGAAACATGCTCATTGTGAAAATTTCTAACAATCTAAAAACATGCAGAGTAAGATACAGGAAATGTAAATTGTTGCTCCACCACGCATGACCTCAAAAACCTGAGTAAGAAAATGAACACAAGTTGCAAAAAACTCAAATGAATTGCAGAAATTAGACTTCATTAATACATTCCCATTGCTGAGGAATGAAATGTCAGCATACCAAAGTCCATGGCTTTTCAATGCACTCTTCAGAAGTAGAAAACCAAAATTTAAAACAACATCGTCCATGAAGCCAAGGGAACCATTACACCAGAACATACAGCTCCTCCCTGGAATAAGCCTTCTGTGAACCTCAACTTTTCCTCTCTTTTAACATCAATGTTAAAATGCCTCCCTTCAGGGATACTAAGACATTTCACTTTTGAGACAGAGTCAAATAGAAAAACCATCAAAAAGAAAGAAATTAATTCTGCACCTGGGTAGCATTATTTTTTCCCTGCTTGGAGTGTGTACTAACTTCAACCAGATCAATTCTTTCATGAAATGAGGGAGAAAATAAACTCTCCATAATTTTAAAACATATTTATTATGATAAAAACATGGCTCTATTTGTCATTTCTATTTGTGGAAAACTGAAGGCCATCTTTTTCTCTGTAAAGCTTTTTGTCTGCTACATTCTAGAAACATTATAACCTCTCCACCAACCAGAATGATTCTGTTTATGCAAATAAATATATTTTATGACATGTAAAATTAATTAGTTATATGATTATGCTTCAGTAATGACAATGTTTTGCACAATAGAAAAAAAGCTGATAAAATTTAAATTTCCATTTTTATATTCCAACAAATAATTTAAATTTGTTTCTTGATTAATTCAATGTTTCACTTTTGAAAAGCAATTCACTTCATTTTGAAGTACATTTATATTTTCTTTAGTCACCTTAACTGTTAGTTCTACTCAGCAAGAATTTACTGTCTTTTTATTCTTTTTCTGTTCTTGGTTAAATGTCTTCTGGTAGGTCACATTTTACCTATTTATGTCTTGTGTCATAAAAGCATTCAAGAACATTTTAAGGTAAAATGCTTGAATAAAATTATTTTAGTAAAAATGTAAAAATACATGTAAAATAAATGTAAACAAATTAAAATAAATGTAAAAAAAATAGAGTATTGGCCGGGCACGGTGGCTCACGCCTGTAATCCCAGCAATTTAGGAGGCCGAGGCGGGTGGATCACAAGGTCAGTAGTTTGAGACCAGCCTGGCCAAGATGGTGAAACCCTGTCTCTACTAAAAATACAAAAAATTACCCAGGCGTGGTGGCGGGCGCCTGTAATCCCAGCTACTCAGGAGGCTGAGGCAGGAGAATTGCTTGAACCCGGGAAGCAGAGGTTGCAGTGAGCCGAGATCGTGCCACTGCACTCTAGCCTGGGCAACAGAGCAAGACTCCATCTCAGAAAAAAAAAAATAATAATAATAGAGTATTCACATTTACTGAGCTTTTATTTTCAGTAGTTATAGATAAGAGATGAAAAAGACAGAATTTAGTTTCATATTTTGATGTCATTTTTTGAAACAATGGCCGATGGTACCTTTATCATTCAAAATTTTTCAAAACTCAAAGGACAGAAATGAACATATCAGGTCTACCAAATAACCTAAACATTCATTAATTTGCCATTGAACCTTATGATACACCAATTGAAATAAAACCTTTTTACAGCAAAGAAAATTCTAGTATTTGCTTTATGGCATTACAGTATCTTTTTTATTCAAGTGGGGCCTGAAAGTGCCAGTGTTCCTCCAAAAACATGCATGAATTTACCACATTTCCATATGAGAAATAAGAACCTGTCACTTGGCCTTGAAAAAAATATGACCATTAATGTAATCACTTAGAATAAAAAGAAAGTGCCAGGAGTTCAAGACCAGCCAGGGCAACATAGTGAGACCCCATCTCTACAAAATATTAAAAAACTAGCCAGGCATAGTGGCACACGCCTATAGTCCCAACTACTTGGGAGGCTGATGTGGGAGGATCACATGAGCCCAGGTGTTCAAGGCTGCAGTGAGCCATGATTGCACCACTGCACTCCAGTCAGGGCAACAGAAGGAGACCCTGGCTCTTTAAAAAAAAAAAAAAAAAAAAAAAAAAAAAAGAATAGAAAGAAAGCACCATCATTAACTGAATTGGGATCCGTACTAATAATATCAGAGTAATTATTGTCTGGCACTACCAGGAAGCTGGGTGTTTGGGGTTAATCAGACACTTAAGTCTCTACTTATATTAACATGTGGATTTGTGATTTTATAAGATATTCACATTAATACTCTATCGAACTTAAATCAATTTTTCTTGTAGAGGTCAGGAAGCATTTCTCTATCTTCATATTTGGATCAGAATCATCATTATGAACCATTTTACCAATGTTATCATATCCATGCTAGTTAAGAAAACATTCTGGTTGGTAAACTGTTGGGTGAACCATTTCTAAAATTAAAAAATGCCTGCCACAAAATAAGTCTGCTGCATTTTTATGAAAATAATAAAATAAAAACTTTCATACTCTTTGGAAAAATGAGAAAAGCATTGATCAGTCCACTTACAGTGAGCTCACAGAAATCCATGCTATCAAGGCTTTTGCTTCTGTGTAATCTCCCTTTAATTCGTCTTAAAGAGGGTTTTCCTTGGCTGACACTAGAAGTAGCACCATTAGGATTTTCAGAGGATGGCGTTACCCTGCAAGAAAGAAAAAAATTCTTAAAAAGGCAGGTTTACAGGTGAACACATTTCTCAAGTTTGAGGTAAGCATTTACTCAAAGGCAGCTTTGGAAATGTCACACTCCTTTTTCCAGCCAAAAAGCTAAGAACCACAGCAGAGCTACATTCTATCAGATACCCTTTCTAACTATTTCTTAGCTAGTTAAGACATCTTGACAGGATTCAAATAGTACAACATTAAGATTTATTAGACTGTGGGTGGTGGCTCACACCTTGTAATCTCAGTACTTTCAGTGGCCAAGGCAGGAGGATCGCTTGAGCCCAGGGGTTCGAGCCCAGCCTGGGCAATACAGGGAGACCCTGCCTCTACATATACACACACGAATAAAAAAATTAGCCTGTCCTGGTGGTGCATGTCTGTGGTCCCAGCTGCTTGGAAGGCTGAGGTGGGAGGATTGCTTGAGCCTGGGAGGTCAAGGCTACAGTGAGCCACCACTGCACTCCAGCCTGAGAGATAAGAGTAAGACCCTGTCTCATTTATAAGGTTTTTTTTAAAAAAAGATTCATTAAATATCAATTCTACAACTATTGAAGAAGCCATTAATATTAGACTGAAGTTTTCTAGGTAACTTAGGGGCATCTGCTTCCTTCTGGGCAGTTATTTATTCAACACTCAGTCCGGTGCCTAGCACACCCAGTACAAGTGAGCTATCATTGTGTCCATCACAGATACTGTTCAGCATGGTTTTGTTAAGCATGAAAATAACATAAATCTAAACATGATAGCACACACTTAATTCAGCATAATTATGGAAACATGAAAACACAGACAAGAAGAAGTAGCAAATAGTATAAGCCATCTATAAAGTGCACACTGGAATACATGTTCATACATATACATACAGACACAGTAAATATCATAAAATAGACTAGATATGGCTACAGTTTAGAATAAAAGTAATACATCCATAGAGTTAAAACATTTGAAGGGTATAAAAAGATATAAAAATGGAAAGTAAAAGCTGCCCTTTTCTCCCTCATCCCAAACTCCCCTTTTCCAAAATCAACCACTATTAACAGTTGTTTGTATTGTATAATCTCCCAGACAAATGCTCATGCTTATATACAGATGTGTTTATTTCCTTTTCAATTTTTTTACCAAATTGTGTGTATTGTCCTGCACCTTACATTTTTCACTTAATATATCTTAACGTTCTTCCCATAATAATCCATACAGAACTATTTCACTCTTTTTAATGGCTAAATGGTATCCCATAACATAGATGTAATATAATTTGTTCAACTATTCACCTACTAATGGGCATTTAGTTTGTTTTCCTATGTTTGTTACCAAACCATACAGCAATGAACATCCTTGGCAACATCTTTGGGTACAAATGCATTATTTAGTTAGGAAAGATTGCTCAAAGTAGAAAGGCAGAGTCAGAGATGGGAGTTTCCTACATGCTGATAGGTAATACCTTTCCAAAAAGCTTTACAAATTTACACTTCCATCAACAGTATATGAGAATACCCATTTGGGGGAGTCCTTAAATACAAGGGCAACTTTATCACTTTATTATTTTTATCACTCAACTTCTCCATGTCCTTCATTATATTTTTGTCTGTTGAACTGCTGATTCTGTATAAAGGACTATTGTAGGATTTCCCACCTTGAACATGGACTTGTCAATTAATCTATGTCTTTTAGTTTTTGCTTTTTATATTTCAATTGTTTTTTATTAGATGTCTTGATGTTTATGACACATATCTTCTTAGGGATTTAATCTTTTATCATATAAAAAGACTATGCCAATTAAATATTTTACCTTAAATGCCATTTTGTCTGATGATAATTTTCCCATCTACATTTTTATATTAACCATTTCCTGATTTATCTTGTGTTTGTATTTTCAAGTGTTCGAAGTCTCTCTCTCTTTTTAGTTTTTTTTTTTTTTAAGTTGTACCTTTAACTCTGGATAAGTAGCATGTAGCTGGATTTTTTTCTTTCTTTACCCAATCTGAGGGTTAATGTCTTTTAAGAGAAACTTAATCCATTCAAATTTATTGTTTTTACTCATATGTTTAGATCTATTCCTGCCATCTTGTTTTGTGTTTAATGCTTTCTTCTTAAGTTTCTGCCTTATTAATATGATTGAGTTTACTTTGTCCTCAACCACCCTAAGACCTTTTTCCCTTTCCATTCAGTAGTTTGAAAGTTATACATCTTATTAGGGAAACTCTAACTCTAGTTAGCTATATACACACATGTACATTAACATCTTTATATATGTATCCATCACACACGTATATGTACACACACACACACATAAACTCATATTTTCCTATCAACACCTAGGGCTCATGAGTATGCTCACCTCCTCCTAAACAAGAAGTGGCATTAGCACGTCTTCATTCCCCCTTCTTTCCCAGCAACTCCACATCCCTACAAAAAGCCCCAACTTCCCTTAGAAATAGTGTTCAGGTTTCCTGGCTTCTTGTTCATACTTTTGATCTCTTTGCTCTTTTGTGATTCTTTAACTTACTTCTCCAGATTGCAAACTTGCTTTTTAGTTTTGTGAATTCAGCCATTGTCTTTTCTATGAATCAGTAAATTCTAAATTTCTAAAGTAGCTAGTTTTTTTTTTTTGTTTTTTTTTGAGTCGGAGTCTCGCTGTGCCTCCCAGGCTGGAGTGCAGCGGCGCGATCTCACCTCACTGCAAGCTCCGTCTCCTGGGTTCACGCCATTCTCCTGCCTCAGCCTCCCGGGCAGCTGGGACTACAGGCGCTCATCACCACACCTGACTAATTTTCTGTATTTTTAGTAGAGACGGGGTTTCACCATGTTAGCCAGGATGGTCTCCATCTCCTGACCTCGTGATGTGCCCACCATCAGCCTTCCAAAGTGCTGGGATTACAGGTGTGAGCTACCACGCCTGGCCTGTATCTAGTATTTTTTTAATTAATGCAATATTCTCATGCATCTTTCCAAAAATAACCTTTTTTTCTTCTGAAAATCACCATCTAATGTTTTTCTATTTTCTCAGGAGTTAGTTCTGTGTTTTAATTTGGTAATTCTCTGGGTACTGGCTTTCTTGAATTGTTTGGTGATTTTTAATGTCTACTTACATTTGTATTGGAAAACATCCATTTCCCCACTGCGACTACTGTGGCCTGCCTTCAGGAACTCTGGCAGAGAGATGGGATACGCTGCCAGGTCTGTGAGGCAGCTTCTCTTGCAAGTCAGTAGCTACCTCTAGGACAGCCCTGCCTCTCTGACCCCAGTGCTCCAGACAACTGTAACGTTTTCTCTCAACAGATCTATCCCTACCTACTAGTTACATTTCAAAGAGTCCTCAAAATTACGGGTCCACTGATGACATTCTTTATTGTTTACTCAGATTATTATTAATTTTGTCGTAGCTTTAAAAATTAATTTTCTTCTTTCATTGAATTTCTAGGGCGTCTTCCTTTCAATTGGCCTCCCAAAGTAAAATTTTACTGATGCCACTTTCATGATTCTTAGGATAAAAAGAAACATTGTACAGCTTTGTTCTCTTCTCCACAGGGTAAAAGCTTCCATGAAAACAATGAACTTTATTCAAAAGAGGACATATGGGAAAGAAAAATAGAGTTATAAAACTAAATACAAATCAACTTCTCATTTCTCTCTCACTTTATTTTGATAGCGCTGGTAGGTGTGATCATATTTTAGAAAATTAATGCAAACATTTAATATAAATAAATAAATCTGTCTAGTGTTCTTCGTAAGTTTTTCTCTCATCTGACTTAGAAAGGCATCACTATTCTCCCTTTATGCCAAATCTAGAAGCCTAAAAGAGCCTGTAATAAAAATTTATATCTACCAAATTTTATAAATGGCAGATAGTCAAGAAATTTACCAGGGTTAACTCAATGTAATACTAAATCCAGTGACAAAGTAAAACAGAAAAATAAAATGATCATAAACAAAACTAGAAGAATAGATCCACTGCCCTCCCTACCAGGATCATAATAAAAACATGCCTGTAATATCAGCACTTTGGGAGGCCGAGACATGAGGATCTCTTGAGCCCAGAAGTTTGAGACCAGCTTGGGCGACATAGAGAGATCCCGTCTCTACAAAAAATACAAAAAAACTCGCCAGGCGGGATTGCACATGCCTATGGGTCCCAACTACTTGGGACTCTGAGGTGGGAAGATCACCTAAGGCCAAGACGTCGAGGTTGCAGCGAATGGTGATCATACCACTGCACTCCAGTCTGGGAAATGGAGTGAGACCATGTCTCAAAAAAAAAAAAAAAAAAGTAATAATCAGTAGCGCTAAAGTGGTGTATACCAGGTGAAAATCAGCTCTGGACCTACCCTGCCCACAGACTCCACAGGAAGATGGTACCTTGTCTAAGAATTTAACCAGGCTTCTACAGAGTAACTTCAGGAACTTTAAAGCTTTGACCAGATCTTTGGGAAGCTGAGGTAAACTGTTAAAAGGCATATGGCTCAATAATGACCCCCCTTTGTTTGGTGTGGAATAAAGAAAAGAAAAAACACTGATCTAGATAATAATGCAGAATATTAACTCTGGTGTAAGTAGAAGTGCTCTTGTAGGAATAGGTGAATTTTAGATGTTGCTTCTCTTTTGTTTATTACTGTCTTTAAAAATATTTGTCTTGGGGAGGGGCGTGTGTGTTTCATTGTTTTCTGGACACTCACAAGAACACAGCTGTGTACCTGTAACTCAGGTGAGAAGAGCTATACAAAGAGCCCACCAAGGACAGTTCCATTTGACATGGAATATAAATTCTTTTAATCCCCTGGAACTACTCTTCCCCAGCCCTGATGGTGCAGATCTGAGCTGAGTAACTCAGACTTCAGGGATTATTCCCCGCATATTTAGGGGAATGGCCCTTTATGACAGGGAAATAAAGTTGGGAACTGATGTAGGGAAATCAATATTTAGCTTACAATGAGGTTTTACTTTTCCTAATTCTTTTTTTTTTTTTTTTTTTTTTTTTTGAGACGGAGTCTCGCTCTGTCGCCCAGGCCGGACTGCGGACTGCAGTGGCGCAATCTCGGCTCACTGCAAGCTCCGCTTCCCGGGTTCACGCCATTCTCCTGCCTCAGCCTCCCGAGTAGTTTCCTAATTCTTAATTCCATTTTATCCTCCCTAGAGGGAAGGTGGGGAGAAAACTTCTGCCTCTCTCCACCTGCTTTGTAACTTCCCTCGTGAGAGTGTACTTTACTTGTGGGCATGGCTGATATGCATCAAACGCTGAAGTCCAGGGCCCACCCTCTCGTTCCACTTCCTACCCCTACCGGATGAACACCGACCACAGGCCTGGCCCCTGGAGGCAGTCCCCCACTTGATCTGCCCATTTCCCTTCTCTTCACCTGACACTGCTAGAACAGGTCTGGTCTGCACTGCAGCCTCCACCATCATAGCTCCCGAGGTAAGAGAGGAAGCATCCCCTCAGAGGCTTGCAGACCAGTGTGGCCTGCTCCAGCACAGCTTCCTAGACAGACCCTCATTTGGGTGATAGCCAGCACCTGCCCCAATATTATTAACAACCCAGAAAACTGTTAACATTTAGTTCTTGTTCCTTGAATGTATCTTCCCTGGTCAAGGACATGCAGGAGAAAGATATACACCAATCCAACTCCACCCATTATGTCACACCTACAAAGCTCTGTTGGGCGCTCTGCTGGCTACAGGCCAAATGTGGACTGCTACATCTTTGACATGGGACTCGGTCCTTAGCAAAGTCATTTAAATCTGACAGAGATACAAATTTTCACTAGTCCAAAATACTTGCACCACAGTGCAGCACAACTTCTTGACATTCTGCAACCATCCCTCCCACACCCTTCCCTCTGCTGGAATGCTTTTCTACTCCCCATCCTTGAAAGCCCAATGTTCCCAGGAAGCCTCAGATATTCATTCCTTTTGTTTCCAACTCAGGAGCTTTGGCTACAAATATTTCTGACCATTCTAAGACAAACAACTCCCAAGCTCATCTACACCACCCATTTCTAATTTCCAGTGGAAAAGAACTCAATAATAACACAGAATCGGGCAAAAATAATCAAGATGGCAAAAACAAAGCAGTCACACAAGGACAAATCTATCAACAAAGTAACATCTAATAATCCTTCTACAAGATATTCGTTTTAAGATACCAGCAACTGACAGCCACAGCCAACTGAAGAGAATGCTAATGAGTGACAGCAAAGCTGTCCCCTTCCTCCACTTGAGGGGAATTCCAAACAACAGTGTGAGCCAAGGAGCTGTGAGACACTGCTAAGTACAGAAGGGCAGCTGGCTTTAAAAGGATGCTAAATCCTTCTGAAGGACACTTCAGGAAAAGCTAGTAAAATGCTAATTTTTGTTTATAAGCATTGGACTTCAGAAAGCTTAATAACTCATGTAATAGGTTAACAGTAAATAGTCATCTGATGAACTTAGAAAAAATAATGTGCACAACTGCCAATAATTAGGTCATTTAAAAAATTGTGGGCTGGGCACAGTGGCTCACGCCTGTTATCCCAGCACTTTGGGAGGCCAAGGTGGGTGGATCACCTGAAGGTCAGGAGTTTGAGACCAGCCTGGCCAACATGGTGAAACCCCGTCTCTACTAAAAATATAAAAAATTAGCCAGGTGTGGTGGTGGGCACCTGTAATCCCAGCTACTTAGGAGGCTGAGGCAGAAGAATCACTTGCACCCGGGAGGCGGAGGTTGCAGTGAGCTGAGATCGCGCCATTGCACTCCAGCCTGGGTGACAAGAGTGAAACTTCGTCTCAAAAAAAGAAAAAATTATGAAAGGACTTGGGTATTGGAGCCCTTCACGTCCCAACGGAGGACCTCAGTGATCCATGAGTGGGCCGGGGGACCACCCTTGGAGAAACAACCTTCTATCGGGCAATTACCAGTCATTTTAGTATCTGTTTTCAGTTATTCTCTCCTTCTAGACTGTCATCTCACTGATCAATTGTCTTTTAAACCTTGATCAATTGTATGAGTCTGAGCAAGTCAATGACCTAATTTGTAAAACTGAGAAAATACAGCCTCATGGGGTGCTATAAGTTAAATAATGACAAGATACTTGGAAAGCACTAATATAGAGTGCAGCAAGTAATAGCTCAATGAATAGCAACTCTTATTGTTTTTGGAATCTGATTATTAGATGACTACTTGAATGAATATACTGATAGTGCATGGCCTTAAATAATCACTGAATCAAATAACTGGGGAAATGTTTTTAGAGTATAAAGAAAATGAAATCACACCCCCTTTTCTCCCTAAGATCACTGTAAATACTTTTTTCTTTTTGAGACTGAGTCTCGCTCTGTTGCCAGGCTGGGGTGCAGTGGCATGATCTCGGCTCACTGCAACCTCCACCTCCTGGGTTCAAGCGATTCTTCTGTCTCAGCCTCCCGAGCAGCTGGGACTACAGGTACGCGCCATCACGCCCAGCTAATTTTTGTATTTTTAGTAGAGACAGGGTTTCACCATGTTGGCCAGGATGGTCTCGATCTCTTGACCTTGTAATCTGCCCGCCTCAGCCTTCCAAAGTGTTGGGATTACAGGTGTGAGCCACTGTGCCCAGCCCACTGTAAATACTCTTAAAGCACTTAGTGCAAAACTCAAGACTGCTGATAGCAATAAATTATGAAAATATTTTTCACATTTTACATTAAAAAGGAGTAACTATTATTTGTGCCTCATACCTGCAGAACAGCAGCATAAATGTCACCTTACTTAGAATGTTACCATGTTTAGAAACAAAGTCTTTGCTGATGTAATTAAAGATCTCCAGATGAGATCATCCTGGATCATCCAGGTGGGCCCTAAATCCAATGACAAGTGTCCTTATAAGAGACAGAGGAATAAGGAAGCAAGACTCAAGGATGTCAGAGGAGAGCTGTTTTAGTTGCAGTGGAGATTCTAATATGGCCTGCAGAAGAATCTGTCTGCATATGTATACATCATATTATAAAATGGAGCATTTATTTTATGAGTTCCTAGTTTATAATTTGAAATAAATTAAAAATTAAAAGTTTTAGTCTTTTAAAAAAAAGAGAGACAGGAGAAGACACAGAGACACAGAGACACAGAGAAGGTCATGTGAAGACAGAAGCAGAGAATGGATTGATGCAGCCACAAAGAATGTTCGAAAGAGGCAAGGAAGGATCCTCCCCTACAGCATTTGAGGGAGTGTGACCCTGCCAACACCTTGATTTTGGACTTCTAGCCTCCATAACTCAGAAAATAAATTTCTGTTGTTTTCAGCCACCAAGTTTATGTGATCTGTTACAGCAGCCCCTGAAAACACAAAGCCCCACTGCTTCTTTTCATCGCTGGCAATTCCAGGATGTCCCCCAAAGGAAGCCAGCAGGCTCTGCAAACTTATACCTACCTCAGGTAGAGGTAACCAGGCTTTGTTCTGTGTTCCTAAGTAATGATTCAGAACCAAACACTGCAAACGCCCCTACTTTCTAAATTTCTTGAAGAAGGGGATGAGGAAAAGAGAGTTCCTACAGGCTCCACTGATGTGGGTCTGACTGTCTGCTTTAGTTTCCACCTAAGTTGGTCTGCAAATATAATTCTCCTTACGAGATTTGTAGAGCCAATCAGAAAGACAGGAGATATTGCACAAAGAAAAACTGACAGGCACAAATGCCCAAGCGAGATGGAAGTGTGGGAATAAGGCATGCAACCCTGCCCTTTACACTGGCAGAAGCCTTTCCATATAGACTGCAGTAAAGACAGAGAAACACAGATATATAAATATCTTCATATAAATCTTCACATATGCCTTGACCAGTTTTCATAATACATCCTCACATTTATTTATTTATTTATTTATTTATTTTGAGATGGAGTCTTGCTCTGTCATCCAGGCTGGAGTGCAATGGTACAATCTCGGCTCACTGCAACCTCCGCCTCCTAGGTTCAAGCGATTCTCCTGCCTCAGCCTCTTGAGTAGCTGGAATTACAGGCACACACCACCATGCCTGGCTAATTTTTATATATTTTTAGTAGAGACAGGGTTTCACCATATTGACCAGGCTGGTATTGACCTCCTGACCTCAAGTGGTCCACCCATCTTGGTCTCTCACAGTGCTGAGATTACAGGTATGAGCCACCACGTCAGGCCCTCACATTTGTAAACAGGCACAAGCTGGTGCATTCCAAAGTCTTACAAGCATTGTTGATGTCTGCTATTGGTTTCCACCCACCACTCTAGAGTCAGGACCTACATCCTACTATCTTCTAGACATATGATGGTACCTTATGTCTCCAATGCTCCATGTGCGGTTGCTATGAAACTAGCAAAATGAAACATTATCTAAAAAATAAATCCAAAGCGTATAAGAGAAAAATAAATCTGGCGGCACAATGTTCTCCAACTTAAAAATATGAAGTATTCTACACCTCTGTTTAAAAGAGCCACTCACTCCAGAGTCTTCATAGAGCATACCCTTCCCTTTGCCGCTGTAGAATCAGATGAATGTTTGCAAGTTAACAATGAGTGGAAATTAAGAAATGATTATCTAAGATCATGGAAAAGCTCAACAAAAGCCTCTTGCCTTTTCCAGGCCGCCTCTTAGTAAGATGGTTTTTATCCCTGGCCCTAACTCACTGCCTACCTCAAACATGAATTGCTTGGATATAAAAGTTACCTGGATTTTATTTCCTTGTGTCCTCTCTTCAGAAATTCTGTGTTTAGAGAATGTGTTTTCAGAAGCAGAACCCCAATGATGGAAAAGAATAAATATAGTTTCCTAACTTTGTGACCAAATGCTGCTAATATTGATGTCTAATAATTCCTCAAATATTATTCCCACATCTTGATTTTTAAACTGGCCCGCGCGCAGTGGCTCACACCTGTAATCCCAGCACTTTGGAAGGCCAAGGTGGGTGGATCACCTAACGTCAGGAGTTTGAGACGAGCCTGACCAACATGGTAAAGCCCCATCTGTACTAAAAATACAAAATATTAGCCGGGTGTGGTGGTAGGCGCCTGTAATCCCAGCTACTCAGGAGGCTGAGGCAGGAGAATCACTTGAATCCTGGAGTGGAGGTTGCAATGAGCCGAGATCTGCCATTGCACTCCAGCCTGGGCAAGAAGAGCAAAACTGTTTCAAAATAAATAAATAAATAAATAAATAATAAAAAATTTTAAACTGAACATTAAGAAAACAGATTTCCTAACATATTATTTCCCAATCACAAATTATTAAGAATCCATTTATTCAACAAATATTTATTGAGAAGCTTTCTGGTACATTTGTACCAGACATCCGTTGCAGGGGTTTTACAGTAATGGATGAAACAAACAAAAGCCCTCCCTCATGCAACTTACATTTTAGTGAGGAGAAGGGGAATATATATGAAAAATAAGTAAAATAAACAATGTGTTAGTTATTGATAAGGGCTCAGGAGAAAAGCAAAATGGGAGATATGACTGCTGGTGCTGATATTTCCCATACCCCCATATACCATCAATCTGAGAAGCGATCTTCAAATGTTACCCCTTCTTCCTTCACTGTAGTGACAGTCTTCATTTATTTGCTAACATCTCCCACGGACATGTTTTAATTGAACTGTGGCTAACCTTGTCTTCTAAGTGTTGTCACTTGCTGTTCATCACATTAAAATATCTTTTTTTTTTTTTTTGAAATAGGAGTCTCACTCTCGCCCAGGCTGGAGTGCAGTGGCATGACCTTGGCTCACTGCAACCTCTGCCTCCCGGGTTCAAGCGATTCTCCTGCCTCAGCCTCCCAAGTAGCTGAGATTACAGCCACACACCACCATGCCCGGGTAATTTTGTATTTTTTTGGTTTATTTGTTTGTTTATTTAGTAGAGATGGGGTTTCACCATGTTGGTCAGGCTGGTCTTGAACTCCAGACCTCAGGCGATACGCCTGCCTCGACCTCCCATAGTGCTGGGATTACAGGTGTGAGCCACTATACCCGGCACATTAAAGTATCTTTTGCAGAATAAATTTATTTAAAAAAAAAAAAACAAATTGGTGGGGGCAGAAAGACACTAACATTTACTAAGCACCTATTATTAAGCCAAGCACAGTGGTAGACACCTTTGTATTCATTATCAGAGTTGATCTGTGTATATCCCCATGAGGGAGATAACAAGATTCTCACTTTACAGAGGAAGAAACAGACACTCCAGGAACTTAAGGTCACACAGTAAGTGGCACAACTGAATTCTGAACTTTGCTGTCCATATTTGTCTTACCTTCAAAATTCTCCACTTTTAGGATTCTTTTTCTTAACCCATCTTTTTCTTGGCTGATCACGCTATATACTTTTTTGGTAAGGATCACTCTTTCACACTGTCTTATACAGCAGGAATTACTTTCCTCATTACCTAAAAGCAGCCTCATCTCCTTTCTCTACAACCTTAGGATTAAATTAGACTGTGCTCAATTGAATTGAATAAAACCTTTATGAACTACACTGACCACTAATTTTAAAATTAAAATGACCAATGCCATAACTGGCATCTTTTTTCTGTAGTCATCTTCCCTTTACTAGGTTATTTCTTTTGCAAAAGAATCTTAATCCTAAATCTCAAGCCAGTGGCATACCTAGGTGGCTCCTGGGATTCCGCATGGATTACGGATTATTATTAATAAAATGCAATATACAATCCTGTAGATAATCAGCAACGTAAACCAGTAAGGTCCAGACATTTTTCTTTAAGGGTGTTTTTTCCTCATTACCTCAGTAACAGTTTCCAGGTCGGAGGAACTGGAACGCATGCAGGTGGAATACAGTCCCTGACAATGCAATAATAATTTCCCAACTTATTCCCCTTGCCTTGCTCGTCCTCTACTATGCACTCAGCAGCAGACGAATTTTTGGAAAATAACTGAAAACGCACACCGTGATACCAATGAATTCTTCTGCTGTCTCCGCGGGAGCCTGGCTGGAAATTCTGAGCCAGAACCCGCCGTAATGGAGCAGAAAGGACAGACAGAGGCGGGAGGCCGACGCCCGGGTGCGGGTGCCAGGCGTCCCGGCCGCTCCCCGTCGCCCTACGCGCCGCGGGCACAGCGAGGGTCTCGGCGAAACCAGTCAGCGGGCACGCGGTACAAGGCGGCGCTCGGCCCTGGGCTCGGCCTTGGCTGCTGCGCCCCGCGCGGCGCGCCCCGCGTCCCGTCGGGCCCGACAGTCGCGGCCTCGCCCCCCGCCCGACCGCCCCGGCCGCCGCTCGCTCTCCCACTCCGGCCCCCGCCCCGCTCCGCGCCTAGCCCGGCTGGGGCTCCGCGCCCGCGCGGCCGCCTCACCACAGCTTCCTCTTGAGCGGCAGGAGGCTGCCGCGGTTGGAGGGGGTGACGCCGATGGCCATCTGCAGCACCGTCAGGTATTTCTGGTACTTCATCTTGTCCCCGCTCCGCTCGCGGGCAGGGCCCCGCCGCCTCCGCCGCCGCCGCAGACACAGCCCCTCCAGGCGCCGCATAGATCAGCTCTGGGCCATCCGCCGCCACCACAGCTCCCACCGCTCCCGCGCCCGCCGCACCCGCAGCTGCGGCCGTGCGTGGCCTGGGCTCCCGCTCCCGCCGCCGCCGTCGCCGTGCGTGCCCGGCCGCTCCCGCCGCCGCCGCCGTGCGTGGCCCGCAGCTCCCGCCGCCGCCGCCCCTTCCACCCCTGCAGGCCGTGGCCCGGCGGCGCGCTCCGGTGGGCGGGTGCGGGTCTCGCGGGAGGCCGGGCTGGCTTGGCCCCCGCTCCGGAGCCGCTGGGCGAGGCCGGGCCACCTGCGCGCCGGCCGCCCTGCCCAGGCCCTGCGCCCGCGTGCCGCGGTGTTTTCAGCGGCTGGCAGGAGCTCCTTCTCAACCGTTAGCACCCAAAGAGAATCCCAACAGCACACTTCCAGCGCGGATTAAAACAAACAAACAAACAACAACAACAACAAAAACGAGACGCTGCCTGTTGGTTTGTAACTATCAATTGATGTGTTCTATCCCAAAGTGGTTGACTTCACATTGACATATAATGCATATGGCGAATACGTACTACACGCGCATGCAGTCCTCGCTTGCACGGTAATTCTGGACGCTGGAAATGACTGAACCATGCAAAACTACCTTAATAATCACTGGGAAAAATTAAGATTGTTTCACGACTTTAAACAGTTTTTCTCAAAACATTCAAAGCAGTCCGGGCACGGTGGCTCACGCCTGTAATCCCAGCACTTTGGGAGGCCCAGACGGGAAGATGGCATGAGCCCAGGAGTTCGAGACCAGCCCTGGGCAACACAGTGAGACCCGGTCTCTACAAAATAAAAAAAAAAAATTAGCCAGGCGTGGTGGTGTGCACCTGTAGTCCCAGCTTCTCAGGAGAATGAGGGGGGAGAATCACTTGAGCCCCGGAAGCCGAGGTTGCAGTGAGCCAAGGTCGCACCACAGCACTCCAGCCTGGGTGACAGAGCAAGTCCTTGTCTTGGAAAGAACAAACAACAACAAAAGAACCATTCAAAACTCGCTTAACTGATGGTTACAAATACCCTGTATATGGAAATGAAAAAAAATCAGTTTAAAACATTCAAACATTGAGAATTAAAGTATTTTTTGTGTTTGTAAAAATAAAGCTTATTAAGAATAACTTGAACAGTGCTTGTCTTCTTCTAGTGTAACTCTTATATACCACCTTTTCTGTACTTTAGCAAAACATCACATTTGGATTACACGCAAGTATTTTATCCTTTGCACTTCCAATGCCATGCAATGTCTCAGAGAGTTCCTTTAATGTAAAATGTTTTTGTGGACCTCATTTCCTCCGGGACATCCTCATCCTTTTAGTCACAGCCATTTTCCTCATTCAGTGTGCTTTGAGTAAGTTTCACTGACTGCATATCTAGTCTCTGGAAAGTCAGCACTCCCACAGTTGTCTATTTCTTCTATAGTACTTCATTTGCATTCAATTTGAATTTCACTTCAATTCCATCTTTACCATTTTTTTATTTCTTTGCTGCACTTTCATCTTTGTTGACCAATTCCCTTTCAATTATTCATTTTTATACAATGCTGTGTGAGTTTAACACTTGGAGAAAAGGAAGCAACACAATTGCACACTTTGCTGCCAGTGCCTAAACTAACAGTGCAATGACCCGTCACTGACAGATTTTGAAAGAACTGCTGTGATTGGTCACTGGTTGTTATGGACATCTATTGTTTACATAGGGTTTTGTGGACTAAAGAGCTAGAAGCAAAGATTGTACTATGTTTGTTCACAGCTAAAATAGCATGATAACTAAAATTTGTTTTTTTTGTTTTTGCTTTGTTTTGTTTTTGAGACAGGATCTCATGCTGTTGCCCAGGCTGCAGTGCAGTGGCACAATCATGGCTCACTAGAGCCTCTACCTCCCAGGCTCAAGCGATCTTCCCACCTGGGCCTCCCAAGTAGCTGGAACTACAGGCATACACCACTAAGCCTGGCTAATTTTTGTATTTTTATTTTTTGAAGAGACGGGATCTCACTATGTTGCCCAGGCTAGTCTCAAACTCCTGGGCTCAAGCGATCCTCCCACCTCAGCCTCTCAAAGTGCTGCAATTATAGGCATGAGCCACCATGCCCCATCCAGTAACTAAAATTTCAACCATATTGTTGAGATACTGGTGTTATTTAACTAAATAGCTGACATCAGTCATATCTGAACCTGCAAAGCAAAGGATGCCTATTTGGATATATGCATACTATATATATGTGTGTATATATAGTATATATGAAGAGTACCAATAATAAGCACCTATGCATCCACCAGGCAGAAGTGTTAACCCCCTCCCTCCACAGTTTATCCCTCCTGCACCTCTATTTAAATACTTCATCTTCAAATTAATTAGCACATAAGATTAAAACAACACAATCTTCCTGGGGTTTGGGTTCCCAACATGATTTCACAGTCACTTAGGTAGGAAAGCAGGTCTAAATATTTCACTTTCATTTACCCAGAAATTTTAGCTCTCACATAAAATGAGGAATTGGCAGGTTTTTGACACTTCGGTTGTATACTCCCCTGGGGAGAGGACATCCTTGGAGCAGAACTTTTAAGAAACATCAAGGCCTGTTTTTATATACTCACCATGTCAAATATATGTTTGGCCTTTTGCATTACTTTGTCATAATAATTGTAAGATATTTGATGAAAATACTACACTGTGCTCAAAGATTTAGGCACCTGGAAGCTGAGGGACCTATTCAGGATAATAAGCAATAAAAATAAATCTGGGAGAAGCACTTCTAGAGTGGTAGAAAATCTGCTTCTCCATAAAAGGGAGTACACTGGCAAAAATAGTTAAAACCAACTCCAGAAATTAACCAAACACAACAATCCAAGGAGTATTTATTAAAGAAAAATTACTGAATCTTGGTGAGTACAGTGAGCTTTAGGGCATTTTGATCTGCCCAATTCTCAACTACTTCTCTCCAGCTCTACAGTAGCCTAGTAAGCCAACAGCCTCACAACTACAGTAGCTTTGAAAACCATCCAGCAGCCACTGGATGGGGCAGAATAGGTTTAGATCTTCTCAAAAGCCCCATACTAAGTAAACTGTCATTATTTGACCTGTCTGGAAGCACCTTGAAAAGTTCCATTCTCAGGGTTTGTCTTTATTTGACCTGGTTCAGAACTTGCTCTGTGCAAACAGCCCTATCCCTGGTGCATTTGTTGAAAACAATCAGTTGCAACTGTTTAACATCACAGATACCTGTGGTGGTGAAACTGTTTGGTACTAACAAGAAGCTAACCAAAAAAGTTAAAAAAAAATGGGCAATAAGAGTCCATATAGTTCCTTGAAAAGCTCTGACATATACCTAGGAATCCAGAATTTCATGCAGGACATGCATGTACATGCAGGACTGTGAACACACCCAAAAAACACCTAAGAAGACTCTAATCTCTCACCTCTGTCTGACCTTGAGTTTCAGTACAATGCAGAAAATAAAGGCTAAGGAAGAATCGTAAACTACCTACCACAATGTGCAAGGCATGCCCCAGCACACACAGCCTCTCAGCAAAAGCTAGGGGATTTATTGGCTCAAAGCATTTAAGAAAATATCCATTCAATCATTAGCTAAGCACTAAACTATCCAAGCAGAGACTCTAATGGCTGCACACAACAAACAATACAGACTTTATAGATTAGTCCAGCAAAGTCACTAAACCAGCAACAAACCTCAGTGGAGAGGAGGGGATATGATTTCTAGAGTTGTCACATTACATTGTTCAAAACATCCAGATCTCAACAAAAAAGTTCACAACATCCAAAGAAACAAAATTATGGCCTATATGCAGGAAAAAGCAGTTAATAGAAACCATTCCTGAGGAATCCCAGGCATTGGACTTACTGAACAAAGACTTTAAATCAGCCATTATGAATATGTTCACAGAACTAAAGGAAACCATGTCTAATGAACTAAAGGAAAATGTGAGAATGATGTCTTACTAAATAGATAATATCAATAAACAGAAGTTTTAAAAAATAGAAACTCTGGAGTTGAAAAGTACAAAGAGTGAGATGAAAAAATTCTCTAGAGGAGCTCAATAACAACATATATGAACTGGTAGAAGCAAAAGGCAGTGAACTTGGAGATAGCTCAATTGAAATTATCCAGGCTGAGAAACAGAAAGAAAAAAGAATGAAGAAAATGAACAAATTCTCAGAGACTTATGGGAAACCATGAGTTTATGTGTATATTAACATGCACATAAAGTCCCAGAAGGAAAGGATAGAGAGAAAGGAATACAAAGAATATTTGAAGAAATAGCCTTCCCAGACTTTATGAAAAACAGTAATCTGCCATCCAAGGAGCTCAAAAAACTTGAAGTAGTGACCTAGACACATAATAGTCAAACTGTTGAAAGCCAAAGATGATGAGAAAATTTTGAAAGCAGCAAAAGAAAAACAACTCATCACACACAAAGGATCCTCAATAAGCTTAATAGCTGACTTCTCATCATAAATCATGAAGGTCAGAAGGTGGTGGGAAGACATCATATTTAAAGGGTGGAAGGAAAAATATCCTTCAAAAATGAAAGAGAAATTATGGCATTCCAGGTAAACAGAAAGTGAATGAAATCATCACTAGCAGACATGCACTATTACCAAAGGGAACCTTGCAGGCTGAAATGAAAGAATATTAGAAATTTAAATCCACATAAAGAAAATAAGAGCAGTGATTCTGATAACTACACAATTGAATATAAAAAATTATTTTAATTTTTAAAATTAAAAAATTTTAAATTAAAAAATCTGAACACTCTGATTTAAAACACAACTGCATAAAACAATGGCTATGAGCTGTGTCGATAGGCTTTTAATGTATAAACATACAATTTGTTTGACAATCATATTACAAAGATAAGAGGGACAGAGTGGATGTATACTGGAGCATAGTTTTGGCATGCTATTGAAATTAAGGCAAGTCGGCTGGGTGCGGTGGCTCACGCTTGTAATCCCAGGACTTTGGGAGGCCAAGGCAGGTGGGTCATGAGGTCAGGAGATCAAGACCATCCTGGCTAACACAATGAAACTGCGTCTCTACTAAAAATACAAAAAATTAGCCAGGCCTGGTGGTGGGTGCCTGTAGTCCCAGCTACTTGGGAGGCTGAGGCAGGAGAATGGTGTGAACCCGGGAGGTGGAGCTTGCAGTGAGCTGAGATCTCACCACTGCACTCCAGCCTGGGCGACAGAGCAAGACTCCATCTCAAAAAAAAAAAAAAAAAAAAGAGAGAGATTAAGGCAAGGCACGGTAGCTCATGCCTATAATCCCAGCACTTTGGGAGGCCTAGGTGGGAGAATTGCTTGAGCCCAGGAATTCGAGACCAGCCTGGGCAACACAGTGGGACTTCATCTCTAGAAAAATAAATAAATAAATAAATAAATAAATAAATAAAAAATTAGCCAGGCATGGTGGCACGTGCCTGTAGTCCCAGCTACTTGGGAGGCTGAGGTAGGAGGATCTCTTGAGCCTGGGAGATGGAGGCTGCAGTGAACCATGATTGTGCCATTGTACTCCAGGCTGGGCAACAGCAGGAGACCCTGTCTTGAAAAAAGGAAAAAAAAAAGAAATTAAGTTAGTATTAATACTACTTAGGTTATTTTAAGTTAAGAAGCTAATTGTAATCCCCGGGATGACTATTAAGAAAATGATTTTTTCAAAATGTTATACAAGAAATAACAAGGAAATTAAAATGATACAGTAGAGAATATATAGCACAAAAGAAAACAGTAACAGAAGAATAGAACAAAACAAGATATAAGACATATAGAAAGCAAATAGCAAAATGGCAGACATAAATTCTACCTTACCACTAATTACATTAAAGGTAAATGTACTAAGCATTCCCATCAAAAGACAGAGATTGGTAAAATGGATCTTAAATAAATGTATAACCTAATCTTTCACTTTGAGCAACTAGAAAGAGGAGCAGAATAAACTCAAAGCAAGGAAAAGGAAGGAAATAAGGATTAAGAGTAGAAATAAATGAAATGATGAATAAAAAAACAGAGAAAATCAGCAAAACCAAAAGTTGGTTCTTAGGAAGTATTAAATATCAATAAAGATGACAAACCTTCAGCTAGACTGACCAAGTGAGAGAGAGAACTCAAATTACTAAATTTGGACTGAAAGAGGGGACATTACTACCAACCTTGCAGAAACAAAAGTGATTATAAGGAGTATACTAAATTATGTTGTCCCAGCTACTCGGCAGGCTGAGGTGGGAAGATCACTTAAGCCCAGGAGGTGGAGGTTGCAGTGAGTTAAGATTGCACCACTATACTTTAGCCTGGGTGATAGAGCAAGACTCTGTCAAAAAAAAAAAGAAAGAGAGAGAGAAAGAAAGAAAGCAAGAAAGAAAGAAAAGAAAAAAGGAAGAAAGAAAAAAAAGAGAGAAAGGAAGGAAGGAGGGAAAGAAAGAAAAGAAAGAAGGGAGGGAGGGAGGGAAGGAGGGAAGGACCTACCTACGTGAATTAGAAAACTTTCTAGAAAGACCAACCTACTGAAATTGACTCAAGAAGAAACAGAAAATCAAATAGAAGTATAACAAGCAAAGAGATTAAATTGGTAAGAAGGAAAACTTCCCACCAAGAAAAAATGGCTTTATCAGTTTTGTTCACTCCTTTATCTCCTGCACCCAGAACAGTGCCTGGTGTATCATAAGCAACCAATAAATATTTGTTGAACTTGAGACAGGATGTTAATATAAAGTGAAAGACTTCATGACTTGTCATAAGGCATATCATTTTTCTAAAGAACAGAGTTTTGCATGCAATGTAGATAAATATTACAGCTGGAAAATTGACATCATTTTATGTAGTCAAAGAAATAAAAATTCGCTATTAGTTCTCAGATGATAGTTAATGCTTCAAAGGAAAATGTGGGAGCTGCTACTATTGGCACTATGCAAGGTCCAAGGTAGTGTTTTTCCAACCTGCCTCCCAGTGAATACAACCTCAAGGGTTATAGCACCTGAGCCTGTTGCTCCACCTTCCTCAAAAACAAGATCCTTTCACCTATTTTGACTACCACGCACAGTTAGAAGTATATTTTATTTTATTTTATTTTAGATGGAGTCTTGCTCTGTCAACCAGGCTTGAGTGCAGTGGCGTGATCTTGGCTCACTGCAACCTCTGTTTCCTTGGCTCAAGCAATTCTCCTGCCTCAGCCTCCCAAGTAGCTGGGATTACAGGGGCCCACCACCATGCCCGGCTAATTTTTGTATTATTAGTAGAAACAGGGTTTCACCATGTTGGCCAGGCTGGTCTCGAACTCCTGACCTCAAGTGATGCACCTGCCTCGGCCTCCCAAAGTGCTGGGATTACAGGTGCGAGCCACCGTGTCTGGCCAGAAGTACATGTTAAATAGTGGCACAGTACACACAGACACATACAGGCGTACACACAGACACATACAGACACACACACACACACACACATACACACACAACTGAAGCAAAAGCTTCTGAAAACAATATTTTACCTTACTACCTGGGTTGAACTTTTCTGTTCTCTTCTACAGCAAGCCACTCTACATCCTTAGCATTTTGTTGGAACATTCTCATCAGCTCCTATCTTTGCTTGAAGCTGGACTGTCCCCCAATTCAGCTGCCCTCGGCAGCCCTCAGTGCCCCAATGCTGCCCTCGGCAGCCCTCGACAGGAGGTGTTTTATCTCTTGCACCCCACATGTCTAAAGGCCAGAGGTTGGGGTAAGTTTCTTCCTTGTTGGTCCTGCCCCTTCTAAACCATTCCTTGCTATTTCTCATGCCCAAACCAAACCAAACAACCAAAAAAAACTAAAAACTGGCTGCCCTGAAGTTTATGCCCTTAAAGGATATTACCTACCCCTTTCCCCTCTTCTTTATTGTCGTTTACTGCCTTCCTCTCCACTTTTATTCCTGGCATAATTTTTTTTTTTTTTTTTTTGATACGGAGTCTCGGTCTGTCGCCCAGGCCGGACTGCAGTGGCCCGATCTCGGTTCACTGCAAGCTCCGCCTCCCGAGTTCACGCCATTCTCTTGCCTCAGCCTCCCGAGTAGCTGGGATTACAGGCGCCCACCACCACGCCCGGCTAATTTTTTGTATTTTTGGTAGAGACGGGGTTTCACCGTGTTAGCCAGGATGGTCTCCATCTCCTGACATCGTGATCCACCTGCCTCGGCCTCCCAAAGTGCTGGGATTACAGGCGTGAGCCACCGCACCCGGCCCCTGGCATAAGTTTGAATGATTTCAACATCCATGTGGGTGGACCATCCAATGCTCTTGCCTCTCAGTTCCTTGGTCCCATCTCTTCTAGAGATCTTTTCCCTATTCTACTTCAGCCTTGCACTTGTGTGGTCATACCTTAAGCCTGGGCTCACAAACTCAAATGCCAGTAGGGTAAGGCCCTTACTACCAATGAGTGAAGAAGGCCAGATGTTAGTCAGCAGAAAATAGTGGAAGCTGTGACCTCCCTGCCTGGTGCTACAGTTCTCTTTTAGAAAGGAGTGACCGCCACTCAGCTGCAGCCAGCTGTCATGTGGAAATGCTAGACCAGGATTTCCACATCTTCCAATTCATGGAAACACAGGTTGTCATGTGCTATCTCCCGAATTTTACATATTGGCAATAATATGGACTTTCAGTCTAAATATTGTGACATTAAAAAACATTTCCCCTCTTAAAAATCAGCTCAAAAGAAGAAAAAAAAAAGGGAAAATTAAATTATATCTTCCTTGAAACGTGGAGATATTCCAGAAGTTAGAAAACAGTGAAGATTTGGCCGGACGCAGTGGCTCACGCCTGTAATCCCAGCACTTTGGGAGGCCGAGGTGGGCGGATCACGAGGTCAGGAGATCGAGACCATCCTGGCTAACACGGTGAAACCCCGTCTCTACTAAAATACAAAAACAAAATTAGCTGGACGCGGTGGCGGGCGCCTGTAGTCCCAGCTACTCGGGAGGCTGAGGAGAGAGAATGGCGTGAACTCGGGAGGCGGAGCTTGCAGTGAGCCGAGATCGCGCCACTGCCCTCCAGTCTGGGCGACAGAGCGAGACTCTGTCTCAAATAAAAAAAAGAAAAGAAAACAGTGAAGATATGGTAAGTGACTTAGCAGAAGGGAGGGGACCAACCTCAGTGACTATCCAGGGCAATGCCATGAAGAAACAAGCTCATTGCATTGCAGAAGCACGGAAATATTCAGGAATGAATTGGAGGCTCCAGGTACCACAAAAGATAGATGGGAATGGAAGGAGGTGGCAGGCACTGAAAATAGGAGATTGATCTAAAATGTGGAATAGGAAACACTTATTACCCCGGTATCCTCTCTCATTTCAGCGGAAATGGAAGTATATTCTCAGGAGAAGAACTAGAGAGTGGCATTAGGTACAATAGACTGAAAAGAAAAGGTTACAGGAAAGTTGTATATGGAGTGATGAGATGCTAAGCTCCTTTCTGCCACCCAGATGCAGAATGCTAGCAACCTCAGACAAGAGGTCTTCCCATGTAGACCGTTACAATTTTTTGTTAAATCCATAGATTTCATTGTTGTGACTGTTTAAACATTGTTTAGTACCGAACCTAGTATTGTCCCGTGATTATATTTTCCTGCCTTATACAATTTCTTATTTTACCTGGAGTTAATAATTGCCTTGTTTTCAACTTGTTGTTTTCCTAAAACTCATGACTAAGTGTTCCCACATCCGCAAGAGTAATGTCAAATGCCTGCAATACAGTTTTCCACACACTCAAACCAGACAGAGAGTCTACCCATTTCAGTTTTTCTTGGACTCAGCCCTCTGAAGCCCTCCATCCTGCTGCTCCTATCTGTACAGATGTGCTCTCCGGGTTTCTGCCCAGTTCAGAGAGAGAGAGAGAGAGAGAGAGAGAGAGAGAGAGAGAGAGAGAGAGAGAGAGAGAGGAAAGAGAGAGAGAGAGAGAGAGAGGAAAGAGAGAGAGAGAGTAAGAAAGAGCTGTTTATTTTAAGGAATTGGCACATGTGATTATCCTCTCTGTACAGATGTGCTCTCCGGGGCTTGTGCCCAGTTCAGAGAGAGAGAGAAAGAGAGAGAGAGAGGAAAGGGGGAGGGGGGAGAGAGAGAGAAGAAAGAGAGAGAGAGAGGAAAGAGAGAGAGAGAGAATAAGAAAGCTGTTTATTTTAAGTAATTGGTGCATGTGATCATGGAGGCTTGCGAAATACAAAACATGCAGGGTAGCTGGCAGGCTGGAGACCCAGAGAAAAGTTGTAGTTTGAGTCCAAAGGCAGTCGGTTGGTGTCAGAAATTTTCTTGCTCAGAAGACGTTAGTAGTTTTATTCTATTAAGGTCTTCAACTGATTGGATAAGGCCCACCCACATTATGGATGGTAGTCTGCTTTACTCAAAATCCACCAATTAAATGTTAATCACATCTAAAAATTGTCTTCACAGAAACATCCAGAATAATGTTTGATCCACCAGGTAGGTTTGAGAAACAAGGAATGAAGAGTAAAGAAAGTGGTAAATATGTGGATGAATCTAAGCAAATACTGATAAAAAAATAATAATAACAATGTCTTAATGGGTTAAAAAGAATAATTAAAATACATAGAATAATAGTTCATAAGTTGGGAATTAAGTAAAAAGAATTAAAGTTTTTTTTTTTTTTTTTGTGGTGGGGACAGGTTTTCACTCTTGTTGCCCAGGCTGGAGTGCAATGGCGTGATCTCGGCTCATTGCAACCTCAGCCTCCTGGGTCAAGTGATTCTCCTGCCTCAGCCTCCCAAGTAGCTGGGATTATAGGTACCCACCACCCCTCCCAGCTAATTTTTTTGTATTTTTAGTAGAGATAGGGTTTCACCATGTTGAGCAGGCTGGTCTTGAAATTCTGACCTCAGCTGATCCACCCGCCTCGGCATCCCAAAGAGCTGGGATTACAGGTGTGAGCCACCACACCCGGTCTAGTGTTCTTTCTTTTATTATGAGGAGAAAGTTAAAGGATCTGTTAACTTTAGACTTGATTATATTAAGTGAGCATATTATAATTTCTAAGGCAACTACTAAAAGAAATGAACAATGCATAGCTTTTGAACTATTTAAAGGGGAAAACATTGAAATGATTAAAATACTCAGTATATCAAAAATAAAGTAAAAAAGGAGAAAAGAAAAAACATGGAATGGGTGTGTCAAATAGAAAGCGGTGGCTCACACCTGTAATCCCAGCACTTTGGGAGGCTGAGATGGGTGGATCATGAGGTCAGGAGATCAAGACCATCCTGGCTAACATGGTGAAACCCCATCTCTACTAAAAATACAAAAAATTAGCCAGGTGTGGTGGTGTGTGCCTGTAATCCCAGCTACTCGGGAGGCTGAGGCAGGAGAATTGTTTGATCCCAGGAGGCAGAGGCTGCAGTGAGCCAAGATTGCGCCACTGCACTCCAGCCTGGGCGACAGAGCAAGACTCTGTATCAAAAAAAAAAAAAAAAAAAAAAAGCACAAAATATGTTTGCAGATTTAAACTCAAATATATATAAAATGTGAGTTGTGCCTTTAGGAATGGTGCAATGTCATGGCCTTAACAATGTAGTGTTAATTACATTTCATGTAAATAAACTAAACGCTCCAGTTAAAAGATTTTCAGACTTGATAAAGACAAATTCTATCTCCATGTTATGTACAAGAAACATGTTTTAGAATTATAAAGATATAGAAAAGTTAAAAGGTAAAAGGTTATATAAGATATACCAAAAAAGCCTAAGCCAAAGGAAACTAGTATAGCTATATTAAGAAAGATATGGTTTTAAAGAAAATAAAATTACAATAAAAAATCAGTGAAGACACAAAAGGTTTGAATAAGATAATATGATTGACATAGTGAGATCTCCACCTAACTACTGCAGAATATATATATATCAAACATACAGAAAAATTATTAAATACAAATGAACAAATAAAAGCAAGTCTCAATACATTTCAAAGGTTTAAAATCATACAATGTGTGTTCTTAGATTATAAGACAAGCCAGAAATCAGCAAAAATTCGAATGAGAAAAATTAATATGTTAGGGATTAAAAGACAATCATGCTTCAAAACAAAATTGTAAAAATGTTAGAACATATTTTGAACAGAATTATAGCAAAATATTGCATATAAAATTTATGACATAATTTCAAAATAAGTATATTCAGAGAATCTAAAAATTAATTAAGTAAACATTCATCTCAAGAAGTTAGATATGCATGAGCAAGAAGGAAATAATGAAGATAAAAGGAGAAGTCTTTGAAATAGAAAGCAAATATATAATAGATTCGACAAAGCCAAATGCTGCTTCATTGATTTTAACAAAATTAAAATATCTGTCAAGAAGTATTAAAAAAAAATTAGAAGGCACAAATAGTCAATATGTAGAAACAGAAAAGAGACACACTTAGGTATATTTCAGATATTTAAAAGATAATACAAGGTTAATATGAACTGGAAAAATTTAGACAAAATGGATAATCTTCTAATAAATATATAACCCACCAAAGTTTATTCAGGAAGAAATAGGAAATCTATAATAAGAGATAGGAAATTTTACAATTATGGTGCCCATACACCCCATTTTGCCCAGGACAGTCCCAGTTTATATCTATTATGGATTAATGTCCATTAATTATTTTCATAACCCCTTTAATTCTCAAAAGCGCTCCAGTTTGGAGGATAAGCCATATGGTCATCCTGCCTGTTTATAATAATTAGAGTAACTAAATCCGTAGTCCGAAATGTTCCGCAAATGTTCCTCCTAAAACCATTCCAGGCCTCAATTCACCAACCAGTTCTACCAAACATTCATGGAAGAAATAATTTCAATCTTAGCCAAACTCTTTCACAAAATAGAAAAAGAGGAAATTTTTCCTGACTCTTAAGACTAGTGTAACCTTATTACTAAAATGTGGCAAAGACAGTACATGAAAAGAAGATTACAGGCAATGTCAAGCACGAACACAGACACAAAACTCGTAATCCAAATATTTGCAAACTGAATTTAGCAGTATCTAAAGGGATAATAAATTATGACCAAGTTGGCAATATCCCAGGAATTCAAAATTGGTTTTATGTTAGAAAATAAACTAAAATAGGCCGGGCCTGGTGGCTAACACCTGTAATTCCAATGCTTTGGGAGGCCGAGATGGGAGGACCACTTGAAGAGTTTGAGACCAACTTGGGCAACATAACAAGATTCCCTCTTTACAAAAATAAGAATAATAACAAAAGCTGGATGCAGTGTGTGTGCCTATACTCCTAGCTACTCAGGAGACTGAGGTGAGAGGACTACTAGAGCCCAGGAGTTCGAGGCTGCAGTGAGCTATTATTGTGCCACTGCACTCCAGCTTGGGCAACAGAGTGAGAAACTGTCTCTAAAAAAAAAAATCAACTAAAATAATTCACCATGTTACCACATTACCACATTAGAGAAGAAAAATCATAACATCTTCTCAATAGATATGGAAAAAAGCATTTCATAAAATTCAGCATACATTCATGATTTAAAACCTCTTATCAGAGTGAGAATACAAAGGAACTTCCTTGATAGTTATCTTCAAAAATCATACAGCACATCTCACTCTTAATGGTGATATTAGGTGGAGATCAGGGCAACACAAGCTTCCTACTATCATTGCCTCTATTTGATATTGTGATGGTGGTCCCAGCCAATAAAGTAAGAAAAAGATTGTGTAAGAACTAGAAAGGAAGGAACAAAACTGCCATTATTAGTGACGAATATGCTTATGTAATAGAAAATTTTAATTAAAACTACATATATTATTATTAGAATTAATGAGAGATGAACAACTTTTCTGGATATGAAAAATCAAAATTGCCTTTCTTTACATCAGCATCAAAGCACTGGAAAATGGAAAAAAAATATACATTTACAATAGTGTCAAAACATATAATGTACCTAGGAAGAAAATCTAACAAAAATGTTATGGAGAAAACAATAAACCTTTATTGAGAGATATCAAAGAAACTATAATGGACAAATATATAGTAGTCCCCCCTTGCCCATAGTGGATACGTTCCAAGACCCCCAATGGATGCCTGAAACTGCAGATAGTACTGAACCCTATATACACTGTTTTCTCCTATACACACAAACCTAGGATTAATTTGTAATTTAGGCACAGCAGAGACTAAAACAACTAAAAATAAAATAAAACAATTATGACAATGTGCCAGCATTATTACTCTTTCACTTTAGGGCCATTATTAAATAAGATAAGGATTCCTTCAACACAAGCACTGCAATACTGCGACAGTCGGTATTGAAAACTGAGATGGCTGCTAAGTGACTGATGGATGGGGGGCTTGTATAGCCGTGGGTGCTCTGGGCAAAGGGATGACTCATATTCTGGGCTATGCAGAGCAGGACAGTATGAGATTTCATCCCCCCCAGTCAGAACGGTGCACGATTTAAAACTTATGAATTGTTTATTTCTGGTGAATTTTCCATTTAATATTTTGGGACTGTGACTGACCAAAAGTAACAGAAACTTTGGAAGCAAAATAGTGGATAAGGGGAGACTACTGTAACAAGTTTCTGGATTAGAAGATTCAATATTGTAAGCATATCAGAATTTTCCAAATCAACCCATAGATTCAGTGCAAACACACCAAACACATAATCGTTTAAGTTATTGAGCTTGGCAAACTGATTCTGACGTTAAAATGGACTGATAGCTGATAATTTTTTTTTTTTTTTTTGAGACAGAGTCTCACCCTGTGGCCCAGGCTGGAGTGCAGTGGTGCGATCTTGGCTCATTGCAACCTCCGCCTCCTGGGTTCAAGCAATTCTCCTGCCTCAGCCTCCCGAGTAGCTGGGACTACAGGCATGCGCCACCATGCCTGCTAATTTTTGTATTTTTAGTGGAGACGGGGTTTCACCATGTTGGCCAGGATGGTCTCAAACTCCTGACCTCAAGTGATCCGCCCGCCTCGGCCTCCCAAAGTTCTCAGGCGAGAGCCACCATGCCCGACCAGCTGAGACTTTTTTTTTTTTTTTTTTTAAGACACAGTCTTGCTCTGTCATCCAGGCTGGAGTGCAGTGGCGCGATCTCGGCTCACTGCATGCTCTGCCTCCCGGGTTCATGCCATTCTCCTGCCTCAGCCTCCCAAGTAGCTGGGACTACAGGCGCCCGCCACTACGCCCGGCTAATTTTTTGTGTTTTTAGTAGGGACGGGGTTTCACCGTGTTAGCCAGGATGGTCTCGATCTCCTGACCTCGGGATCCGCCCGTCTTGGCCTCCCAAAGTGTTGGGATTACAGGCGTGAGCCACTGCGCCCGGAGCTGAGACATTCTTAAGGAAGAAAAGCAAGGTGGAAATAAATATTTGTCCTGTACGATGTTGAGACTTAATACATCACTAGAATGATTAAGAAGGTATAAGGTTGGCTCAGGGATAGACAAATAGACCCGTAGTACAGAGAGAGAGCCCCAAAATACACCTAGACACATATGGATACTTGATATACAACAGAGTTGGCATTGCCAATAAGTCATGAAACGATGGCTTTTTCATGAAAGGTGCTGAGACAATTGGGATTTCTTATAAAAGAATAAAACCCAAAATGGTCCTATACCTTACATTACACTAAAAAATCATTTATAGGTAAATTATATGTGAAAAGCAAACCTGTAATGCTTTTAGAGGATAATATAGCAGATATCTTTAAGACTTGGGAATATGGAACTATTTCTTAAATATTACATTAAAGCATCTAGCCATAAAGTAGAAGATTAATAAATAAGGCAATATTAAAACTAAGAGCTTCTATCATCAAAAGACACAAGACTGGGAGAATATATTCACAATATATATAATTGGTGAAAGATTAATCTCCGAATATATATATTTATATAGTTTTTAAAATGCCTACTTATCATTGAGAATAAGGCAGACAACTCAGTAGAAACATGCACACAGGGGCCGGGTGCGGTGGCTCACGCCCCCAGCACTTTGGGAAGCTGAGGAGAGCGGATCACGAGTTCAGGAGTTCAAGACCAGCCCGGCTAACACGGTGAAACCCCGTCTGTACTAAAAATACAAAAAAATTAGCCGGGCGTGGTGTCACGCCCCTGTAGTCCCAGCTACTCCGGAGGCTGAGGCAGGAGAATCGCTTGGACCAGGAGGCGAAGGTTGCAGTAAGCCGAGATGCGCCACTGCATTTCAGCCTGGTGACAGAGCGAGACTCTGTCTCAAAAAAAAAAAAAAAAAAAAAGAACGAAAGAAAGAAAAAAAGAAACATGCACATAGGAGTTGAATAGACAACTCAACAAAGAGGCATTCCAGATGTCTGATAAACATATGAAAGGTGTCATCTTCATTTGCATTCACGGAAATGCACCTTGAAACAACAGCGAGATACCCTACAATCCCAACAGGCTGGCTAAAATTACGAAATCTAAAATAAGTTTGGGAACTCAAAAGCATTGCTAGTGTGAGCACAAATTGGCAAAACAACTTTGGAAAACAGCATGACATTATGGCATAGTTGTCAACGTATTGCTTCTCAGCTCAAATTCACTTTTCAATACAAGCTTTGAGATGAGGGAATTTCTTTAAGCATTTCTCCTCTAAAGTGAGCACGATGTTGAGCTTTCTCAGTAGAGGGCGCTAGGCAGGTGTTGCGGGAGGGAGGGGCGCTTCTGCAGTTTCTGGCGGAGGCTCAGTGGTCAACCGTGCGGGTGGGAAGGGGTCGGGTGGATTCTGCCCTTCCATATGCCCAGAGTTCCAAGTCCCTCAGCGACTTCACAGCCCCCTTGTCTGCTCAACACGGTCACTATGTGTTTCAGGCGCCCTCAGGCCTGTTGCACAGTCACACGCAGGCCACCAGCTGCGGCTCCCCTGCCCAGCCTGCACTTTGGAGGGTTGTTTCCTGTTTTTTTTTTCCACCACTGCAAACCATCAAATTTCTCTGCCATCCAGTGGGTTCAACTACACCTTCTCCAACGAAGTCAGAACCACAGTTTTGGAGAGGGAGCCCCTTGCAAGTTTATTCTTCCTTGGGTAACTCTCTCTTGGCCCCAAGGCACCATGAAAGTTTTCTTATTTTCTATAGCTACTCCTTTATCCCAACTTAATAATTCTTTATATTAAACTCTCCCTTTGCGGTAGGAGTTTATATTAAACTAAACCCTTTGTGTTTAAAATAATTGCGTGGTTTCTATCTTCTGATTGGATCCACCCTGCTAAGTATTGAGAATGTGCCATACAATTCCACAGCAATTCCACTTCTAATTATCTTTTCTAGAGGAGATTTTTGCACACGTGCATTAATTCACAGGAACCAAAACGTTTATAGCAGCAATTTGCATAAAAGCCAAATTCTGAAAATAACTCAAATGTTCATGAAGAGAGAACAGATAATTAAATTGTTACAGTCCTACAAGGAAATGAAAATCAGTGAACTACAGCTAGACAGAACAAAATGGATGAATGTCACAGACAATGTTCAGTGTGAAAGAAGCAGGTTACAGGTTGGTGTTTACTATATAATCCCATTGATCCCATTTAAAGTTCAACTTTATTTAAAACTAAACTACATTGTTTGGAGATATATATATATATTAAAACCATAAAGAAAAGCAAGGAAATGAATATTTTAAAAGTTAGAATAGTGGCTACCTTTATAAGGTTGCTTTTGGGGTGCCCTCTTTGTCATGCGGATGTGGTTACATAGGTATTTGAATTACAATTCCTCTTTGACTTATGCATATATGTTCTGTGCATTCTATTAAAGTCTTTGCAATTATGTAAACTAATAACCACAACACAAAGAAAGACACAGTTCCTGCCTTTATGAAACTTACGGGGAGAAAGAACAAAACAGAAAACGTGGAATCACTTAAGATGGAGATAGCATGATTACATTTTCTTTCTTTCTTTCTCTCTCTTTCTCTCTCTCTCTCCTTCCTTCCTTCCTTCTTTTCTTTTTTGAGACAAGGTCTTGCTCTGTCACCCAGGGTGGGATACAGTGGCACGATCATGGTTCACTGCATCTTTGACCTCCTGGGCTCAAGTGATGCTCCCACCTCAGCCTCCCGAGTAGCTGGGACAACAGGGGTGTACCACCACACCTGGCTAATTTTTGTATTTTTTGTAGAGATGGGGTTTTGTCATGTTGCCCAGGCTGGTCTCAAACTCCTGGGCTCAAGGGATCCACCTGCCTCAGCCTCCTAAAGTGCTGAGATTACAGGCATGAGCCACTGTGCCTGGCCTGCGATTCATTTTTTAAACAAGTATCTTTGGACTGCAATCCGGCTAGATTAGACCTTGGAACAATGAAATATGACAAACATTTTAAAAATGCATTGTTCAGCTGGCAAGAAAGTATGGTGAATTCCAAGGGTGGAAAACAAAGAGATAATCAACAAGCAGAGATATGGGGAGCTGATGCTGTAGTTGCCTTAGGTGCAGTAGTGATGTACTGGTCTCAGTAGCCAGGCAGCTTGGATTTTAATGGTCACCTGCTGTCCAGGACAGGCTTTGGGCCTAAGGGAGATGGGAAGGTTGAAGTGAGACCCTGGATAAAGCTATACCACAGGGACATGATAGACTAGAAAAAAAATTACGGACACAGGGAGACAAAATAAAGCTTTTGTGTTTTGGTTTGCACTCCAGTTAGAATAAAATCAGGGGTGTAATCCCAGCACTTTGGGAGGCTGAGGTGGGCAGATCACCTGAGGTCAGGAGTTCGAGACCAGCCTGGCAAACACGACAAAAACTCATCTCTAATAAAAGTACAAAAAAATTAGCCAGGCATGGTGGTGTGTGCCTGTAATCCCAGCTGTCCAGGATGCTGAGGCAAGAGAATCACTTGAACCCTGGAGGTGGAGGTTGCGGTAAGCCAACATTGCACCATTGCATTCCAGCCTAGGTGACAGAGTGGGACTCCATCTCAAAAAAAAAAAAAAAAAAGAAAGAAAGAAAGAAAAAAGAAAAGAATAAAATGCAGGGAAAAATGTGCCCAGAGAAGATTGATAATCTTGATAATCCAGGGTTGGACCTCATGTTGGTCTGATATTCTAAATTACATTACCCATGTGAGCCAGTAATCTCTAGGTAGAAACATTAACATAAGAATTAATCACTCTAGGATGATACTACTGCTGGGCACCTGGCAGAAGCAACATAAAACCGCTTTAGAGAAATACACCTGTACCCAGGTCACATGGAACGTCCACCAAATGGGAGCTCATGAACCTAAATTACAATAACATGATGAAATAATTCATCCTGATGAAAAGTCAACAGACGCAATAGTCAGCAAGATTAGACTCTCAGAACTTTAGAAAATATAATAAATAAATATTAGTAAAATATCAAGATTATAAAACCAGGAGTCACATAACACAAGAACATCTTAGTATCAAGAAAAAATTAATTTGAAAAAACTAGACTGAACTTCCAGAAATAAAATATGTGGTCATTGAAATTAAATATATCTTCTTGCATAATAGTTCCTAAGGCATTGGCCTCAAAGTAGTCTTTACAGGAAATTGGAGCTGCCTAGAGTCATAATGTCAGGTGAGTGATAATTTACAAGCAATTATAGATATAGTGATATATTTAGAGGTGAGAGCAGCCTTATAGATATACTAGTGACACTCCCTTTGGTGAAAGATATAAAAATCTTAGCCCCAGGATGTAAACCAAGTCACAGATAACAGTAAACTCCCATCTAGAGCACACATGTTCTGACACCTGTTAAGTGCCTTTTCAGATATGTCACATTCCCCTATCCATAGACACAGGCACCTGCTGAGAGAAAGATCAGGGAAGTTTGATGACACTTGTTGCAGTGAAAAGCTGGTAAAAGGAGAAAGGAAAGAGGCTATCTCAGACCTGAAAAGGCTGGGAGACTATTTTTGTATATAATAACAGGAAATAGTCTTCACATTATATAAACAGGAATTTAATGGAGGAGAGCCACCCAGGGACTCTGGGGAATGCTGGAATACATACTTGCTTACGTCCTGCGAGGGTGGATTTGAGTGAGGAGCAGGGCAGTGAATTCTGGCACTTGTCAGTGCCAGGGCTAAATTATTCTGCTCCTGTTTGGTGGAGGTAACAGCTCTTACATCACTTTAATTGTTTCCTTCCATTGACGTGAAATGAGGAATTTCTTCCATGGAGTGCTTGGTTCAAGCACTGCCAAGAGTTGGCAAAGCTCCTAGTGGCATCTTTCACTTTTGGTCTCTGGTGGCTCTTAAATACAGATGAATTGTGTAGGAAACAAACAGGAGGAATTATCAATCATATGTGTCTCCTCTCAAGAAAATGTGCCATTTTCCTCTTATATATACTGCGATGGCATTTGTTTTTTCAAGTTTGCTCAGTTCACAATCTGCACACTTCACCTTCTTCAAGAAGTCTCCTAGGCTGAAAGCTATTGTCAGCTGTTCTGTGATTCTATCTTGTGTTACCATTGCAGGTGTACATGTCTTACCTCCTTCAGTAGACAGTGACTTCGGAAGACAGATCCTGGTCTGATCCATTTTTGAGTTCTCTATAATGGCTTTCCCAGTTCCTCACACACATTTGGTGCTTAATAAATGTTTGTCTTATGAGTGAACCGATCTTTGATTTGTTGTGTAGTAAACATACAAAATTCTAGGCTGTATCAGCTAGAAATTATGTTGGTACTAGTGACTGAGAACCTAGCATAGTGGCTTAAATAAATTAAAGCCTTCTTTTTCTGTGATGTAAAAAAAAAATTATTAGTCTTGTCAGTCCAGGATGGGTAAGGCAGCTTCACCACATCATGAGGGACCCAAGCACTTCCTTCCATTCTGCGTTCTTCAGCATGTTGCTTGCATCTTCGAGGTCACAAAATATCTGCCAGAGCTCCAGCCAGTAGGTCTGCATTTTAGGAGAATAGAAAGGGAAAGACAAGGGGCAAGCAGGCTCTTCCCTCATTGGCATGAAAAAACCCCAGTAAAGAGAGTTGCAGGAAACGCCAATCAAAGACTTATATTTAAATTTCATTGACCAGCCCCTTAACTGCAAGGGAGGATGGGGAGTAAAGCTTTTTAGCTTGGCACACTTTCCCCCTAAGCAAAATCTGAGTTATGTTTCTAAGGCACAAAGAGAGAGAGGATATTGGGTAAGCAGCCTGCAGTCTTTGCCGTGAAGGATCTTAATCATTCATCAGTAAGTATGATCTTTTTTTTAAAAAAATGTCAATTGTTTCTTTAAGATTTTTAGTTTCTCTTCAAAGTCTATAGGTAAATCACTGAAATTTATCCAGATCCCAGCCTTCACATCCAGGGATTTTGGTGTACCACCATCTACTCAATGCTCCCCGTCCTCCTACCCCATCAAATGAGCTTCGTTTGTTTTTCCTTTATCTCTAAGTGGTATGACACCATCTGCTGTTTTCTGCTTTTGACCCAGAGCCATGTCTGGCATCATCAGACTAATCAAGAGGTGGGAAGGGACAAGGTCAGGCATGGGTTAGTGACACAAATCACTTGGTAATTAAAAACCCCTTGGTGATAACATTTTCTCCTTGCACAACAAAATATCCATTGCAGGATTTTGATAAAATTCTGCTCTATTAATCATCAGCAATTGGAAGCTCAGAATGTGAGGCTAATTGTCAGATTGATGTTGCGGCTGAGAGGAAGTATTAAAATTTCGCAAAGACCATAAGAGAGGCAGTTATAGAAATAGTGTGCTAATTCTTAGCTTACATTTCCATATATGTTAAATTTCTCTTAGAAATTATTTGGATTACTGAGGTACAAGTGATTACTAAAGATAATAATTAATCAATTTAGTCCTCCATTCCATTAATCAATAATTGTTGAGTATATACTATTTGCCAGGCATTGTGCTAGCTGCGAGAGCTATAAATGAGAGTTTTTTAAATGTAGACGTTTCTGAGTTAAAGATACACTGAAAGGCTAAAATGAACAGCAGGAAAATGAGATGATAATCTGAAATCAGCTTCCATAGACCAATAATCCCAGAAAGGCTGCGAGAAAATTAATAGCAGAAACTAAGCTTGGGTATTTTGCAATTCTCTTTTAGCCACACAAAATTAAATTAGAAATTCTGAGAAGACTCAAGCAGGGACTGTTAATATGGGGTTTTGACATGTATTAACTAGACAATCTTTATGAATAAAGAAAAGAGAACAAGTCGCTTCCATGGCATAATATTAAAATAAGGCCTCCTGGATAGCCACTATTCTGAATAAGATAAGAAAGACGATGCCATTACAGCTAAGCAGCTCAAAATTCCATTAGAATATTTTAAGCGTTAGTATAGGAATTTACACAAGAGTTAGAGAAAATGAAATTTAAAACCAAGACCTGAAAGGCACTCATGAATTTAAGGGCAGGTCATTTTGCAGGGGTTGGGTGGGGCAGGAGAATCACTGGATTGTGAAATTGAAATTGAAATTGAAATTGGTTAATTTCAACGGACTACTTGATACAATTGATAGCCATGGATTTGGCAACTGTGGATGCCAGGGCAGACAGAGTTTGCTCCTAAGAAGATGCCCAACTCAGAGACGCTGGGTCCTGTGTCCCATGGTCTCCAGTGCCTTTCATTTGGAGATCATATCACTGTCCTGTGCTTTTGACCTTGTTAGTTGGTCTGACATACTTGTTTTCTTCCCTTTAGCTGAATGAATAATTTATAATCTCTGGAAAGTATAAAAACCCAATGTACTCTTATGTAATTTGTGTTTAAATGTAACCATTATGATGTCCTGTGCATACTATGTTAATGTTTTAAATGATTTTTGAAAGGCTTAAAAAGATTTCTCTCTACAAAATTTATAAGGCTGATGTAGTAGATTGTTAAGAGGAAGGTTTCTTACATTTGTAACTCTCCCTTTGTATATTTCGAATGTTTGAGAGGGGGAGTTATATTAAAATAAAACTTTCAAATAGCCAAGGGAATTTGATTGGTTAAATATGCAAATGATGTTTAACATGAAACATTACTCCTGGCCAGGTGCGGTGGCTCACACCTGTAATCCCAGCACTTTGGGAGGCTGAGGCGGGTGGATCACAAGGTCAGGAGATTGAGACCATCCTGACTAACACGGTGAAACCCCGTCTCTACTAAAAATGCAAAAAATTAGCCAGGCGTGGTGACGGGCACCTGTAGTCCCAGCTACTCGGGAGGCTGAGGCAGGAGAATGGCGTGAACCCAGGAGGCGGAGGTTGCAGTGAGCCGAGATCGCGCCACTGCACTCCAGCCTGGGCGACAGAATGAGACTCCGTCTCAAAAAAACAAAAAAAAGAAACATCACTCCTGTAATCCCAGCACTTTGGGAGGCCAAGGTTGGCGGATCACCTGAGGTCAAGAGTTCGAGACCGGCCTGGCCAACATACTGAAACCCCATCTCTACTAAAAATACAAAAATTAGCTGGGCTTGGTGGCGCAAGACTGTAATCCCAGGCACTCGGGAGGCTGTGGCAGAAGAATCGCTTGAACCTGGGAGGCAGAGTTTGCAGTTAGCTGAGATAGCGCCATTGTACTGCAGCCTGGGCAACAAGAATGAAACTCCACCTCAAAAAAAAAACACAAAAAGTTAATGATTATACTTTAAAAAAAATTTTACTGAAGTATGAATTTTATCAGGTTAAAAAGAGCCTTAGCTCTAGATTTAAGAGCATAATTGCTGGGTCATATGTGTATGGCTCCAGCTTGGATGGAAAGTTCTGAATTGTTCTCCAACACTCCCACTGCAACCCCACCACACATTATTCCATAGTCTGCCAACACTTGATGGTGTGAGGCTCTCTGCTTGTTCCCAACCTGACGACTATAAAATGATATCTCGACCAGGCGCGGTGGCTCATGCCTGTAATCCCAGCACTTTGGAAGGCCGAGGTGGGTGGATCACCTGAGGTCAGGAGTTCGCGACCAGCCTGGCCAACATGGCAAAACCCCGTCTCTACTAAAAATACAAAAATTAGCCAGGCATGGTGGTTCATTCCTGTAATCTGAGCTACTTGAGGGGGCTGAGGCAGGAGAATTGCTTGAACCTGGGAGGCGGAGGTTGCAGTGAGCTGAGATCACGCCACTGCACTCTAGCCTGGGCAACAGAGCAAGACTCCATCTAAAACAAAAAATAAATAAATAAAATGATATCTTATGATGGTTTTAACTTGACTTTTCCTGATTATTAGTGAAATTTCCATTTGTCTTTTATGATAATTTTTATGTTGTCTTTTTCTTATACATATATATTCTGGATTAGTCCCTTAGGAGAGTTAGATGTGTTGCAAATAGCTTCTCCTAGTTTATGCAGATTTTTTACTTTTCTTTTTTTTTTTTAGTATGTCTTTTGATCAGTAGAAGTTTTATATTTTAATCTCGTTCAGTTTATTAGTCTTCTCCTTTATAGTTGGTGCTTAGGTTTTGAAATATCAAGTACCTTTTGGTAATTTTTCAACAGCTTAGCTTATATGGCACAATGCATTTCATATGTACATATACAAATGTCAAAATTATAAATATGCCTAAATTATACATCTGTAACTAGCCTTAAATATTGTAATTAAAACTGTATAATTAAACTAAGCATGCAAGCCAATAGTTTAAAAAAGAGTTTCACTCCAGTTTGGTACTGATTTAGCTCTTGAGCTATTGAAATCAATGGCCAGCATATGAAGCAATTATCTGACGCTTGTGGGTGGTGACCTTGCAGCAGCTCAGCCTCTTCTTTCATTTCATCCTATTTTTGTCCTTAATAGCAGATATTTATCTCAGTTTAAAATTTTATTATTTTCTTTATAACTACAATCTTAACAGTTTAAAATAGTACTAAATTTCATGTGGAAAGAAACTTCAGATTCTCAGCACCTTATCTTCCTTAGCGATTTCCACTCTAGCCCTCAATGTTATTAGGTAAACTCTTATCTCAATTGTTGTTTTCACTGAGTGCTATCTAACCATAATGAAAAAGGGAAAAAAAATAGAGTCCGAATTATCCATAACTGCCTCTGCTTTCTGAGAAAGGCAACGTGATTCTTTTTCAGTGGAGGAAAAACCTCTCTATGGACTTTTTTCACCCCATAACAGAGAGATTAGTGGGAGAAAGAGAAGAGCTTGAGATTCCTGTCTATCAGGGCCTTTGGAAATTCAAATTGTGTCCCAGAGCTGAATTCTCCAAAAGAATGTACAGAGATTTGGAGGTGCGGGGGAGAGAGGGCTAAATAGTTTGGCGGGAGGCTGGAAGCTGAGCTGGTAGATAGGGTCAGAAGACTTTTTAAGAACAAAGACTGGAGACTTGAGGTGACTCCATCTTCACTATTACTTCAGATCTTTCTTATAATGTGCTTCATAAACACACACCTTGTGTGAAAGCTGCTTTTGAGAAAAAGAAACGTATTTTATGCGACGCAGGGTGCAACAGGAGCGGCGCATGTGGGGCAGTGAGAAATTCCTTCCCCTGACCCGATTCAGCAGTGAAGGTGATCAGAGCAAATAGGAACTGGACTGCTTCACGCTCCTCAAGGACTTTAAGGAGTGTGTCTTCCACCACCCACAGCAAAGGGCTCAGAAAATTTTATCTGAACCTCCTGACATCTGAGTTATACAAACTAAGACAAAGAATGGGAAGCACATAGCAGCCACTGGTCCATTACAGTTCTAAAGTCCAGCCAGGCGCGTATTTACCCGAGATAGAAAATGTTCCTTAGTCAGGGTCTAGTACTGCTCACTGGAAGTAATTCCCCGATCCACTCTTTTTTTGAGGCTCTTTAGTTCATCCTCTGTGCTCTTGGCTCTGCCCTCCAAGTTGTCCTTCATTTTCATTAGAAGTAGCTTTCACAATCTGCTGCTTGCCCCTAAAAACTGGGGACCCAGAGAGTTCATTTCATTTTGAAATAATGTCCCTGCTCCATTTAGTTATAGCTGGCTTTAGCAAGTATGCAGCAGGGGACTAATATCCAGAATTTAGAAGGAATTCAAATGACTCAACGACAACAACAAACCAATAATTCCATTAAAAAGTGGGCAAAGGACATGAATAGACATTTTTACTTTCTTTTTTGTTTGTTTGCTTTTGAGACAGAGTCTCACTCTGTCACCCAGGCTGGAGTGCAGTCGGGTGATCTTGGCTCACTGCAACCTCTGCCTCCCGGACTCAAGCAATTCTCCTGCCTCAGCCTCCCATGTAGCTGGGACCAGATGTGTGTGCCACCACGCTTGGCTAATTTTTGTATTTTCTTCTTAGTTAGAGATGGGGTTCCGCTGTATTGGCCAGGCTGATCTCGAACTCCTAGTTAAGTGGTCCACCCGCCTCGGCCTAAAGTGCTGGGATTACAGGAGTGAGCCATCGTGGCCGGCCAAATAGACATTTTTCAAAAGAAGACACACAAATGACCAACAAGCATATGAAAACATGCTTAACATCACTAGTTATCAGAGAAATGCAAATTAAAACCAAATGAGATATCATCTTACACCAATCAAAATGGCTATTATTATTATTATTTTGAGATGGAGTCTTGCTCTGTTGCCCAGGCTGGAGTGCAATGGTGCAATCTCAGCTCACTGCAACCCACGCCTCCCCGGTTCAAGCAAATCCCCTCCTTCAGCCTCCCTAGTAGCTGAGATTACAGGAGTGCCCCACCACGCCTGGCTAATTTTTGTATTTTTAGTAGAGACGGGGTTTCACCATGCTGGCCAGGCTGGTCTTGAACTCCTGACCTTGTGATCCACCAGCCTCGGCCTCCCAAAGTGCTAGGATTACAGGTGTGAGCCATGGCGCCCAGCCCAGAATGGCTATTATTAAAAAGACAAAAAATGGCAGATGTTGGTGAGGATGTGGAGAAAAGGGAATGGCTTACACATTGCTGGCAGAAATGTTAATTAGTACAACCTCTATGGAAAACATCATGGAGATTTCTCAAAGAAATAAAAATAGAACTACAATTCGATCCAGCAGTTTCGCTACTGGGTATCTACACAGAGTAAAGAAATCATTTTATAAAAAAAGATACCTGTACTCATGTATATCACAGCACTCTTCACAATAGCATAGATATCAGCCTAAGTGTCCATCAACAAATGATAGGTAAAAGAAAATATTTGTCTATATACACAATGGAATGCTATTCAGCCATAAAAAAGAATGAAATGATGTCTTTTGCAGCAACGTGGATGGAACTGGAGGCTATGATCTTAAGTGAAACAACTCAGAAACAGAAAGTCAAGTACTGCATGTTTTCTCTCATAAGTGGGAGCTAACCGGTGGGTAAACATGGATATTGAGTATGGATGATAGACAGTGGAGATTAGGAAGGGTGGTGAGATAGGGAGAGAGAATGATAAATCACTTGGTGGTACAACCTATGTTATTTGGGTGATGGGTAACCTAAAAGCTCCGACTCCACCACTACACAATGTATTCATCTAACAAAATTGTACCACATAAATATATACACATTTTAAAAATTTAAAAAAAAGTTCTGAGTTCTTGTTGAGTCTTATTGAGGATCACACCATAGCAGAAGGACTACATCCATAATTCTTTCTAAGATGCGCTTTTCTGTACTTTGGGCCACATGTGAGGCTGCTATGGTAAATGCTCTTAAGATTCTTAGAAGTCCAACTGTCTAGTTGAGAAAGTCTACTAGGTGCTGCCTTAAATCTTATAGAAGTTTTAATAAGGGATCTTGGCTGGGCACAGTGGCTCACGCCTGTGATCCCAACACTTTGGGAGGCCGAGGCGGGTGGATCACCTGAGGTCAGGGGTTCGAAACCAGCCTGGCCAACATGGCGAAACCCCGTGTCTACTAAAAATACAAAAATTAGCTGGGCATGGTGGCACATGCCTATAATCCCAGGACTCAGGAAACTGAGGCAGGAGAATCGCTTGAACCCAGGAGGCAAAGTTTTCAGTGAGCCAAGTTCATGCCACTGCACTCCAGCCTGGGCAACAGAGTGAGACTCCATCTCAAAAGAAAAAAAAAAAAAGATGGGCATTTTACCTTATTAAAATAGTAATCATAAGGGAGCTTATAGACAAACCTTTTTTTTAATGTTTACTTACCTTGGCCATTTCTTACTTTGAGAATGTTTTGCTGGCCGGAGATGCTGTCCTGGGCCCTCTGTTTCTTCTTACTGCTGCCTAAAACCTAAAGAGTTCTTTCTTTCCATTCATCTCTTTCTTCCTGCACTTTATCTTCCTGCACTTTACTAAAACCTAAAGAGTTCTTTCTTTCCATTCATCTCTTTCTTCCTGCACTTTATCTTCCTGCACTTTACTAAAACCTAAAGAGTTCTTTCTTTCCATTCATCTCTTTCTTCCTGCACTTTATCTTCCTGCACTTTACTAAAACCTAAAGAGTTCTTTCTTTCCATTCATCTCTTTCTTCCTGCACTTTATTCTGCACTTTCTTCCTGCACTTTGTAACTTTCTTCCTGCACTTCATCACTTTCTTCCTGCACTTCCTGCACTCTCCATTCATCTCTTTCTTCCTGCACTTTTAACACAGGTAAAAGAAGCCAATTGTACTTTCAATATTTTACCTAAAAATCTCCTTATTCAGATCAAGTTCATTAGCTATATTTTATTTCTGTCTTTCATGACATTACAGGTGACAATGTGGCCAAAAATCTCACTACTATGTAACATCTTTTGTCACGCTTCCAAAAGCAATTTTCTCACTGCTATTGCAGGCTTCCTAACAATTTCCTCACTGCCCTTCTAGCCTCTGCTGCCTCCCAATATCAGAGCCAATGACAAATGTTTTAGGGTTTGGTTATGGCAGTATCCCACTTCCAGATAGCAATTTCTGTTTCAATTATCTACTGCTGTGTCATAAACCCGCCCAGCATTTAGTGGCTTAAATCAATATCCATTTTATTGCTCACAATTCTGTGGGTCAGGAATTTGGGTGAGGGCTGATGGCAACAGCTCATCTCAGCTCCAGTGGGGCTAACTGGGAAAGTTCCAAGCTGTCGGCCGGCTCGGGCACCTTGATTCTCCTGTCTGTGGCCTCTCATCATCCAGACCCTGTTCCTTTCCATGTAGCGTCTCCAACAGGACACGCTGGACTTCTTTACACACCAGCTGGCTTCCAAGAAGGCAGAAACAGAAACTGCTAGGCCTCTTATGGCCTAGGCCCAGAAGTCACAATGCCACTTCCAGAGCTTTCTGTTGGTTAGATCAAGTCATGAAGCCAATCTATATTCAAGGGAAGGGGAAAGATATTTCATTTCTTTGCTGGGAATGATACATCACAAAACAGCATGCAGGATAGGATGGATTGGGGTGACCATTTTTAGAAAGGACCTACCTCTCAGAAAGCGGCAAAAATTCATGAACTGAAATACTCTGAGACAATCTCTATTTTATAGTCTAGCAATAAACCAGAAGTTCAAGCTCTGCTCTCTGGCTACGTAAGCAAACTGAGGTCAGAAAGGAGTTCAAGCAACAACGAATTGATACAAGGCTGCTGTTACAAGATTCTCATCTATAGTGGTTTGGTCTTTGCTCGAGCATTTTGAGAGACAAACTGCCTCCAAAGGAGACCTGTTCCACAATTGAATAATTCTAAAGTCTATAACAATCTTCCATTTGCAAAGTTCAACATTGCCTTTCTGTGACTCCTCCCATGGTCAGATATCTGCCCTCCAAGGCCACTGAAAGAAAGGCTACTCCCTCCTCAATATGGCATTCATTTAAATCTAAATATTTTCAAACACTTTTCTTGACTCAAGACTTCCTAACTTCTTTACCTGTCTATCATGTTAAGTCATTATTTCCCAGAAACATGTGTTTATGTATAACACATACAATCCATAGAATAAAATTTGCCCAGAATAGTATGTTTAAGAGGAAAGAAAAGTATGTAATAGATTATTGAAAGTTTCAAAATATCTGGTGGTACAATGAGTGAGTTAAACATTTATCTGGCTTAACCATTCAGTTTGATCTTGTGGAAATCCAGTGCTTGGAACTTATCTTGTCCTAACTTTTTCATAACATAGTCACTGTTTACCTGAATAATTGTCTAAATGTAGTGTCCTTTATGGTTGGTTAGTATTCACTGGGTGATGGGGAAAAGAAATACATAAATCCTGAGAAAAGCTGAAAGCAAAGTTTATTCTTACAAATGACAAAAAATGCCCAGATACAACAGACTCTCTGTTTGATGTGTGTGTGCCAGAATGAAAACTATGGGTCTGAGGCACCTTCTTTTTAAAAAAAAAATTTTTTTTATTTGCATAGGTTTTTGGGGAACAAGTGATATTTGAGTACATGAGTAAATTCTTTAGTGGTGATTTGTGAGCTTTTGGTGCACCCATCATCTGAGCAGTATATACTGCACCCAGCGTGTAGTCTTTTATCCCTCACCCCCTTTCCACACTTTGTCCCTGAGTCCCCAAAGTCCAATGTATCATTCTTATGCCTTTGCATCCTGATGCACCTTCTTCCATAAGCACCATCCAGAAGGAGAAGTGGTTCTTCAACTATGGCTGATGGGAGCAAAGTGCTGAAGCAACTATGACTGGTTGAAAGACCATTTCTCCTGTGAATGGTGCTTATGGAAGAAGGTGCCTTAGACCCAAAACTAGAGTGAGGCTTTTATTGGTTGGGGAAGGTGGCTATAAAAAGATAAGAATAATGAAAAGCTATGACCAATTAAAAAAAATGAGAACTTAATCACAGCCTTATCGACCCACAACCAGGGGTCCACAAATAGCCTTAATTATGACTTATGTTATTAAGATAACAACCCCAAATTTTCCGGGCAGCAATTTTTTTGTGCCAATATTTTGGTCTTTTGCTTCCAAAGACTAGCCTTTTGATAAAGTCAGACAGCTCTAAAATGTATGTGTTTAAGTTCTATAAATAGACATACATTTGAGGATATATGAAAGGAGCAAAGTATTTATCTCACCACACAGTTAAGAATTTTAAAAACATTCATTGTTGGATAGTGATTTTTAAAACATTAAAATAAGTGGAACGATTGCTTTGAATTTATGAAGAATAACACATATAATTAATGACTTTTCTATTTGTATTATACTTGCTTAGATGGTTCAGACTTAGTAAGAAAGCTATTGATAGTAGAAAACAATGTGTATATGTAATAATAAAGAAATAACGTGGATTGTTAGTGAATAGAAAATAGTCCTTTTGGCCAGGTGTGGTGGCTCATGCCTGTAATCCCAGTACTTTGGAAGGCCAAGGCAGGAGGATCACTTGAGCCAAGCAGTTCGAGACCAGTCTGGTTAGCATAGTGATACCCTGTCTCTACACAAAATTAAAGTAAAAAAATTATCTGGGGGTGGTGGCGCACACCTGTGGTCCCAGCTACTTGGGAGGCTGAAGTGGGAGGATCCCTTGAGCCCAAGAGGTTGAGGCTGTAGTGAGCCTTGATTGTACCACTGCACTCCAGCCTGGGTAACAGAGTGAAATCCTGTCTCAGAAAGAAAGAATGAAAAAAAGAAAGAAAGAGAGAAAGAGAGAGAGAAAGAAAGAAAGGAAAGAAAGAAAGAAAGAAAGAAAGAAAGGGAAAGAAAGAGAGAGAGAGAAGGAGGGAGGGAAGGAGGGAAGGAAGGAAGGAAAGAAAGAAGGAAGGAAGGGAGGGAGGGAGGAAGGGAGGAAGGGAGGGAGGGAGGAGGGAAGGAAGGAAGAAAGAAAGAAGTGGATATGTTTTGGATGTTTATCCCCTCCAAATCTCATGTTGAACTGTAATCCCCCATACTGGAGGTGGGACCTGGTGGGATGTGTTGGATCGTGGGAGCAGATCCCTCGTGAATGACTTAGTGCCATCCCCTTGATAATGAGTGAGTTCTTGTTCAGTTGGTTCACGTGAGATCTGGTTGTTTAAAAGAGTCTGGGACCTCCCCCTTCTCTCTCTCTCTCACTCTCTCTCTCACCGCGTGACCCTGCGTGCCCTGATTTAAAGCTTCCTGAGGCCTCACCAGAAGCTGAGCAGATGCTGGTGCTGTGCTTGTACAGCCTGCAGAAACTGAACCAAAAAAACCTCTTTTCTTTAGAAATTACCCACCCTCAGGTATTCCTTTATAGCAATGAAAATGGCCTAACACAATAGTCTTTTGACTATATTTAGTTTGAAGATAGTTCCAGATATTTCCCTACATTACTTTCTCATCTTTAGTGAGCAAATGGTATACTGAAACTAGATAGTGATGGTGGTGCGACAATGTGCGTGTACTAAATGTCTCTGGATTGTACACTTAAAATGGTTAAAGTGGTAAATTTTATGTTATGTATATTTTACCACCACAACAAAAAAAACCTTTCTTTTTTTTTCTTTTTTCTTTTTTTTTTTTATTTGAGATGGAGTCTTGCTCTGTCGCCCAGGCTGGAGTGCAGTGGCACGATCTCAGCTCACTGCAACCTTTGCCTCCCAGGTTCAAGTGATTCTCCTGCCTTAGCCTCCCCAGTACCTGGGATTACAGGCACACACCACCATGCCCGGTTTATTTTTGTATTTTTTTAGTAGAGTCGGGGTTTCACCATGTTGGCCAGGCTAGTCTTGAACTCCTGACCTTATGATCTGCCCGCCTCTGCCTCCCAAAGTGCTGGGATTACAGGTGTGAGCCACCACACCTGACCAAAAATAACCTTTCAAAACAAACAAACCAACAAAAAACACCCATAGTTCACCTAAATATGCCTGAAAATGTACTTTGCAGGGAACCTAAAATCTGGGATTTGAAGTAAAAAAGGATAACCCCAAGTTGAATTTGTTAAGATTGCCCACCTTTTCTTTGCTGACAACTGGCAAATGGTTTGCTAACTTCTGGGCAGATGAGAGTTCAGTCAGCACAATCAACAAAGAAGTGACGTTCACTCGGGCCCAGGCAGGCCTATGTGCTGGGAGCTTTTGGACCTTAAATTGGTCTGAGTTCACTGTTGCTCCAGTTGCAGACAGGAGCAGGCAGGTTCAAGAGTTTCTGATGCTTTGCTGTCCAGCAGTCAGCTGACCATGAGCACAGCCGGCACAAGCAGCCCTTTATGCTGGTGAGAATCCTGCCAGCAGTGCTGAGGCACAATCCCTCCTTTATGTGTTCCCTTTGCACATTTGTATTCTTGGGGCCTTTGGGATTTTTGTTGCTGCAGATAATGGGAAATGGGTGTCGGTGGGTGTTACGAGCAGGGTTTTCAGTAGACTAGGAAGAACAACTGGTTAAAAATAAAATAACAATAGTGACAAATAGGAAAGGTGGGCAACCTCAGGCAGTACAGCTCCTGAGCAAATGCTTCCAGCTTTTACCCTAAAACATAAGCAACTGGGCACAACTCCAGGCCTTGACTGTCTCATTGGCTGATAGGAATAACTACTAGGAACTATTAAGATTACCTGATATTCTGGCCTTTTCATAATTACAGTGCAGCCTAGTTGATGTTGTTGGAACATGATGGTTCTTTGATAGAAAAGTCTCTACTTTCATTACAAATGGAAAGTGCAAATCAGAAGGGTTTGTACCATTTGGGGTTAGGATCCAAAACATTTGTTCCACCAAGGGGGAAAAGGTCCAACTACAACAAGTTATCTTGAGATTGTCCAGGGTGTTCTCTAAAGCCCTAAATCCAAAACTTTTCCTTTTTTGAGGCAGACTCTCACTCTGTTACCCAGGCTGGAGTGCAGTGGTTCCATCTCGGCTCACTGCAGCCTCCGCCTCCCAGGTTCAGGTGATTCCCCTGCCTCAGCCTCCCGAGCAGCTGGGATTACAGACGTGTGCCACCACGCCTGGCTAATTTTTTGTATTTTTATTAGAGACGCGGTTTCACCATGTTGTCCAGGCTAGTCTCGAACTCCTGATCTCAAGTGATCTGCTGGTCTTGGCCTCCCAAAGTGTTGGGATTCCAGGCGTGAGCCATCATGCATGGCCCCTGCATCTGAAACTTTAATGTGCATGCGGATTCAAATGGGGATCTTGTCAAAATACAGTTTCTGATTTTGAAGATTTTGCATTTCTTTTTTTTATTTTTATTTTTATTTTATTTTTTATCTTTGAGATGGAGTCTCGCTCTGTCGCCCAGGCTGGAGTGCAGTGGAACAATCTTGGCTCACTGCAAGCTCTGCCTCCTGGGTTCACGCCATTCTCCTGCCTCAGCCTCCCAAGTAGCTGGGACTACAGGCGCCCGCCACCACATCTGGCTAATTTTGTGTATTTTTAGTAGAGACGGGGTTTTACAGTGTTAGCCAGGATGGTCTCGATCTCCTGACATCGTGATCCGCCCGCCTTGGCCTCCCAAAGTGCTGGGATTACAGGCGTGAACCACCACGCCCGGCCGAAAATTTTGCATTTCTAACAAGGTTTCAGGGAGTACTGATGCTGCAGGTCTGAGGACCACACTTCAAGTTGCAAGGCTGTCAGGAAGTGAGAGCTAGCTAGGGGGAAACTAGCATCATTTCAGTTAGGTCTAGTATTGCTGCTAATTTACTGAAAGTTTTAAAATGTAGCTTTTCTGTAAAGAAACAAACAGGACATTCTAACTAAACAAAGTGCTGTGAAATCAGTCATTCACACTGGGTAGCTAGAGCTACTGTGTCTCAACTGGAGGAGGCACCATCTCCAGTGGATTATTTAGAAACGTAGAGGGTGGCTACTGGTATTTGGTGCCTGGGGGCCCAGGGCACTAAATGTCTGGTAATGTGTGGAAGAGTTCTGCACAAATAATTGTCCCACTCAAAACGCCAAGAGAGCCCCCCTGCCCCGCCCCATTCAGGTACCCGAGCTACACCAGTGGAGATGGAGGCTGCACCCATACCTGAGACCTCAGCCAATCAATTCTATGGCCATCTCCTTGAGTGTGTCATCTGGAATAGAAGATCCTGCCCATGTATTTTAGCTCATCTCTTTAGAACTTTGACTGCCCTTGGAATTCTCCAGTGGGAAGAGTGGCCTCTGTCTAGTGTACCACATGTGGTTCCATAGCTTGATGTATTCTCTCAGCAAAGGATGAGATCGACAGGAAAGGCTTCAGGAAGCCCTACGGAATTTGGATTCATCAACATTTTGAATCAAAAATCAGAAAAGGGAACATCCAGTGTTCCCCTTGAGACGATACCCTCAAGTGCTGCTGGTGCTCACCTCCTAAACTCCTAAACGGGGCTGTGACCAGCTTGCCTAGTGCCAACGACAACAGCTCCAAGGCATCTGGGCCTATCAAACTTCCACTGCGTTCTTTTCCACAAAAGAAAGAATCCCACAGCGCTAGATTTGCTGGCCATCATGTCAAACAAACTCTGACCTCTGATCCCAACACAGTGTTGAACATTACAATGAGGATGTTAGAAATTCTGCTGGAGACTGAGTTGAGGTAAAAATAGATACAGGGGCTGGGCATGGTGGCTCACACCTGTAATCCCAGCGTGTTGGGAGGCTGAGGTGGAAGGATTACTTGAGGCCAGGAGTTTAAGACCAGCCTGGGCAGCATAGCAAGACCCTGTCTCTAAAAAAAAAAAATTTTTTTTTTAATTAGCTGTGTGTGTTTCCACGTGCCTGTAATCCCAACTACTCGAGAGGCTGAGGCGGGAGGATTGCTTGGTCCCAGAAGTTGGAGGAGTGCAATGAGCTGTGATCCCGCCACTGCACTCCAGCTTGGTCAACAGAGCAAGACCACATCTCTAAAAACAAAGACACAGATATGAGAAATAAAATAGGGATGAAAGGAATGAGTTAAGACAATGTTAGAGAAGGATGACGTAGTAAGAAACCTGAAGATAACGAAAACCCACATTAACCTAATGTTGCAGAAAAGAGGGCTTCATCATTGTTGTCTGAGAAACTTGTGAGTAAAAGACAAAAATAATACATATTGTGATAAATACATTCAATACAATATAAGGAAAATATTCTTTAGCTTCTTGAGACTCCATGAAGTTCAAGAGTTAGGAAATTCTGAAAAGGGTTTGGCAGGGTCATAGTGATTCCGTCTGGAAAGGGTTTGTTTGTGCTTGGTCTCAGGGCTGCTAGGAAGATGGGAAACGTCTCTGGCACTCCAGGAGAGCAATTACTCTGTGCCATGACTTCAAGTGCCCCCTCACCATGATGCAGTGCCCCATGGGAGATGTTCTGTCACTGATCCCACTGTCTCACTACATTCCAACAGTCCAAAAGACAGGCAAAAATTTAGACTGATAACTTTTTTTATTAGTCTGATTTAAAAATTAGTTACACAAGTAAAATAATGTCTGTATCACACTCATAATCACGTGTGCACATGAAAATGTTAGCTCAGAGGAGGTTGAATGCTTCTCCAGTGCAGACTTCCTGGAAAGCTGGAAAGCTGGGCAATGGCTCAGGGGCCCCTGGGCACAGCACTGTCTTCTCCTGAATGAGAATCAGCTGTGCTGATGCCTACGTTAGTTCAAGAACCAGGAGCTGCATAAACAAGCTTTTGAGAAGTATGCCAGAAGAAGCTCAGATTGATGATGGTGTGTTTGACAAAATTAATGAAGCCATGCTTATTAGACTGAAAGATAAGATTCCAAATGTGAGAATACAGGCAGTTCTGGCGCTTTCACGACTTCAGGATCCAAAGGATGATGAATGCCCAGTGGTTAATGCATATGCTACTTTGATCGAAAATGATTGATTTGAATCCAGAACTTAGACAGGCAGTGTTATCATGTATTGCACCATCAGCAAAGACTTTGCCAAAAATTGTAGGGTGCACCAAGGATGTGAAAGAGGCTGTCAGAAAGCTGGCTTATCCGGTGTTAGCTGAAAAGGTTCGTATGAGAGCTATGTCCATTGCTCAGACAGTAATGCTCCCTCAACAAGGTTTTAATGAGAGATCAGATGCTGTGAAACAAGCTATGTGGAAGCATCTTCTCCAAAGCTGGTTATGGTTCTCTGAGGGAAATATCTTCGAGTGGCTTCAGCAGTTGGATGTAGAAAATTCTGAAGTGGCAGTCTCTGTCCTCAATGCCATGTTTTCAATGACTCCTCTCAGTGAACTGGTGGCAATCTGTAAAAACAATGATGGCAGGTACATAAAGGATTCATTCTTTGAAATGTAATACTGATTAACTTCTACAATTAATTTGTTTTTTTTCCTCCCCATAGCTTAAGATTATATTAATATCTTTAATCTTACCTCCCTTTTGTTTTCTTTTAGTCTGATGAATATCTTCTTTCCCTTCTTTTTTCCCCTCCTGGTGTAAGAACTCATTACTTTATCTTAGACTATCTACTTTAGCTGTGGTTTTCTACCCCTCGGTTTCTTACTTTGATTTTTGAATTAGCCTACCATGAGAAAATCCAGCAACATGCACCCCTAGTATATGTTTGCTTATTTGGTTCTTTTTTGTTCTAAGTTCCTTCATTCCTTTCTGTGTTAATGACTCTAATTAAAAGGATAGTGGTTTTAAAGCAAATCTTCTTATTCTTATTTATGTTCTCTTCAATTTGTAATGATATAAAGATCATGCTTTCTCTTACACTCTTTCTTTTAAGTGAAGGAAATTGATTCTAGTGGAAACGTTAACTCCTGAAATTGCTTTGTATTGGTGTGCCCTTTGTGAATATTTGAAATCAAAAGGAGATGAAGGTGAAGAATTTTTAGAGCGGATTTCGCCAGAGCCTGTAGTATATATAGACTATTTACTGAGGTAAATTTTTTTTTCTTTTAGTTTGGAGAATGCTTGTGTTGCTGCAACTGTTAACCTCCCAGCCCCCTTCCTCGAGGTCATGCTTGATTGTGAATATGTTAAAAATCCTTTTTTTTTTTTTTGTACATGCCGGGATAGTTATATACATTGAGTCTTTTTGAATATCTTGTATATCTTGTGCTGGTCTGTATAATGAAAGAGCAAATCATGTTTAGGATCATTTCTTCAAAACTATTAAGATATGATTATGAACATTTCTGCATATACAGTTGATAATGATGATGTATTATTTCTGAAATTGGTTGGCACATTTTCTGTTAAGTGCCAGATAATAAGTATCTTAGGGTCTTGTGGGCCATACCATCTGTCAAAAACAAAAACAAAAAACAAAAAAGACCAGGAGCTGGTTGGACATTTGTGAATGTTCTCTTGCCCTACTTCGACTCTCACTTCTCTTAAGTTCTGTACCTCGACTACACAAATCAGAGGCTGCCAGCAGATGGATGTGTGCACGTGTGTGTATGAATGTACTTCCTGTCCACCTGGAACTTACCTGCAAAAATCCTTGCCACAATTTGGATGTGCAGAGAAAGTGTTGTTTCTTATTTTCTTTATATCCTTTCTTGCCTTCCTCAGGTACTACCTATTACCAGCAGGAAAACAAAGCAAACAAACCAACAGAACCCAGGAAAATGGAAATGGCCCACCTGATTTAAGCTTTAGACATACACAATACTTTATTGTACATAAGTGTCAAATGAAATTAAAAACGAGGAAAAAAAGACATACACAAGACTTTAAATGGCTCCGTGGGCACTGTCCAGCCCTCAGCTTGGATCCGTCTGGCTATCCTTGTATGTGGTGGCATTGCTTTGGGTGTCAGGGACGCCCTTGGCTGCTTGGCTTCTGGACTCCCTGCTTACTTATGAGCTCAGGCCTGGGGCTGGGGGGTTCATGGTGGGACCCGTGGGCACAGGAACCACTCTTGTGGGGCATAGCCCCCAATGGACCCAGATTAGACCCCTCTAAGTGCCTGTAGTGCCATCCATGCAACCACCTCCAGCCCTGCCTCAGCCTGACCTCGCTCTAGCACCATGGACTTGGGGCCCACCCAGCGGCTCTCAGCCACCCCTTTCATGCTGGGACTTTGTGAGGGACACTCAGCACCTACATCAGGCTGATCGCCTCGCCAGACTCTTCCTGCTCTTTTTTTATCCACCACGCTGTAGACTGCCGAGGTAGACTTTTCTTTACATTTCCTCTGTGACATCTTCCCCCTACCACTTCAGAGAAAGCCCTGAGGCCCAGCAGGTCCAGCAGATGGATGGAAGGACTCTCTTCATCTCCACTGTAAGAAATGGTTTAAGCTGCAAGGCATACCTAGACCATTCAAATAGCAGCTGAAAGAATCCACCAAATCCACAAAGCACGGATTTCAAGCCTAGCCTCTTGACAAGAGAGAACATACCTGCTCTCGGCCCCAGGCAATAAACCCCTTGACTTGATTTTGAGATGAAAGAGGCTAGAAGGAAATGTGGCATAAGGACAAAAGGCACTGGTTAAATATTTGTAGACTATTCTTTCCATTACCACTGTTCTATAGAGTCTTGAGGAGAAAACAAGACAAAGCAACAAATAATTATATAATTCAGTAGCTGCAATAGATAAAGAGAACCATTAAAAGAATAGGTTTTCTCAATTATAAAATGAGGCATTAACCAAATTTTGAATATTAACTATATATTTGACTATTCCTGGACAACTAGAAGGCTGGCGATTGTACATGCATTTGTATTTGCCAGTTGTGTGTCTTCCTCCTTTCAACCTCACACAGCTAATTTATGTTGACCCTCAAAAAAGAAAATGAGTACTTGAATGTCAAGGCATGTGACTTTCATTCTAGGACATATAGTAACTTCCAGAGCACTGAGTCAGCAGTCTAAAGGTTTAGCCTTCATACTCCTGACAGCTGTTTATTTCTTTCAGTGTAATTTCAGAGAAACATATCCAGAAGGGATTTGCTGCCCTAGATCTATCAGAAAACATATTTAAGATATTCTGTAGTTTTATAGCACAAAAATCTAACACTAAATAATCACATCATAACAGGGTTTCAATTTCTGTAATAATTTATCTTAAATCAGGCACAAGGGTATTTAAAGCACACAACTAATACTTTGTAGAGATTTAATGAGATGATGTATGGGAGCAGTAGGGGCTGAGACATTTGTTTCCAGTACTATTTTAAAGCAATAAGAGAATAATAGCATTTGAAATAACCTTTCCAATCTATTGGATTCAGGCTTCTGCCTTCTGTATCTAAAAAGAAGCTTAGTCACTGGCTTCTGGTAGATGAGTAGGACTTCTCAAAGATCAGGAAGGCTTGGGGTCATAGCTGGTGATGCATAAAGGGCCCCAGGTCAAGAAGTCTAAGCCCATCAGGCTCAGATTGAAACCAGGAACCTGAGCGACAGGCCAAATTGGGACTTAGGAGGTCCTCTAGGCAAAATCAGTCCCTGAAAAGGAAGATTGGAGCAGAAACCAGTGGCTCCAGCAGGTGGGAGAGAGCAGACAGCAGTTTTCATCCACAAGGTAACTGGCTGCTTTGATAGCAGCTCTGCCTCCCTAAGTGCTTCAGATATGAAGCAACTCCTAAGAAAAGAACTAGAATTAAAACTATCAAAAATTACAAGAATTAAAATAATAGAGTAGAAAGTATCTATTTATTACAAAAGAAAGCAATGAAAAGGAATAGTCACGAGACTAACAAAATGAAGTCATGAGCATGACAAATAAATATTGAAATGGCAGATATAATTTCAACCATACAAATAATAACATTAAATGTGAATGGATTAGACACCCCAATCAAACGACAGAGATTGTTAAGACTGGATTTTTTTTTTTTTTTTTTTGAGATGGAATCTTGCTCTGTCGCCCAGGCTGGAGTGCAGTGGTGCGATCTCGGCTCACTGCCAGCTCTGCCTCCCGAGTTCAAGCAATTCTCTGCCTCAGCCTCCTGAGTAGCTGGGATTATAGGCGCCCCACCACCACGCCCGGCTAATCTTTTGTATTTTTAGTAGAGACAGAGTTTCACCATCTTGGCCAGGCTGGTCTTGAACTCCTGACCTCGTGATCCACCCGCCTCGGCCTCCCAAAGTGCTGGGATTACCGGCGTGAGCCACCGCGTCTGGCCAAGGCTGGATTTTTTAAAACAAGACCCACCTAGCAGGGTGTGGTGGCTCACGCCTGTCATCCTAGCACTTTGGAAGGCCGAGGCGGGTGGATTGCCTGAGCTCAGGACTTCGAGACCAGCCTGGGCAACACGGTGAAACCCCATCTCTAATAAAATACAAAAAATTAGCCCGGCATGGCGGCGGGCGCCTGTAGTTCCAGCTACTTGGGAGGCTGAGGCAGGAGAATCACTTGAACCCTAGAGGTGGAAGTTGCAGTGAGCTAGGATCGCACCACTGCACTCCAGGCTGGGCGACAGAGCAAGGCTCTGTCTCCAAAAAAAAAAAAAGGCCGGGTGTGGTGGCTCACGCCTGTAGTTCCAGCACTTTGCGAGGCCAAAGAGGGTGGATCACGAGGTCAGGAGATCGAGACCATCCTGGCTAACACGGTGAAACCCCGTCTCTACTAAAAAAATTAGCCGGGTGTGGTGGCGGGCGCCTGTGGTCCCAGCTACTCTGGAGGCTGAGGCAGGAGAATGGCGTGAACCCGGGAGGCGGAGCTTGCAGTGAGCCCAGATGGAGCCACTGCACTTCGGCCTGGATGACAGAGCAAGACTCCGTCTCAAAAAAAAAAAAAAAAAAAATCAAAAAACAAGACCCACCTAGTATGTGCTCTTTAAAAGAGACGTGACTTTGATTCAAAGAGTTTCGAGATAAAAGGATGGTAAAGATATCTCATGCAAGCATTAACTTTGGGAGAGCCAAAGTGGCTGTACTAATATCAGAGAAAATTTAAACACAAAGGAATTACTTAATTTAAAAAAAATTTAAGTGCATAGTTTAGATTAGGAAATCAATCTTTGTGGTGCGCAGTACTATGGGTTTTGGCAAGTGCAAAGTGTCATGTATCCACCATTACAGTACTGTACACAGTCGTTTTACCATGCCCCAAATGCCTTCTGGTACAACTATTCATTCTTCCCGTTCCCCAGTCCCTGAGCTTCTGGCAACCACTGATCTTTTTCACTGTCTATGATTTTGCGTTTTCCAGACTGTCAAACAGTATTGTTGCCTTTTCAGACTGGCTTCTTTTACTTAGCAATATACATTTAAGGTTCCTTCATGTTTTCGTAATAGCTATTGACAGCTCATTTATCTTTATCACTGAATAATATTCCATTATATGAATATACCACAGTTTTTATCCATTCACTTGTTGAAGGACATCTTGGTTGTTTCCAAGTTTTGGCAATTATGAATAAAGCTGCTATAAACATTTGTGTGCAGGTTTTGGTGTAGGCATATGTTTTCAGTTCATTTGGGTAAATACCAAGTAGCATGATGGCTGGATCATATGGTAAGAGTATGTTAGCGTTTGTAAGAAACTGTCAAACTGTCTTCCAAAATAGCTGTACCATTTTACATTCCCACCAGCAACGAAAGAGAGTTCCCATTGTTCCACATACTTGCTATCATTTGATGTTGTTAGTGTTTTGGATTTTGGGCATTCTAATAGGTGTGTAGTGGTAGCTCATTGTTGTTTTAATTTGCAGTTGTCTTATGACATATTATGTCGAGCATCTTTTCATTGCTTATTTGCTGTCTGTATATCTTCTTAGGTGAGGCGTCTGTTTAGATCTTTTGTCTATTTAAAAATTAGGTTGTTCATTTTCTTATTGTTGAGTTTTAAGAGTTCTTTGTATATTTTAGATACAGTCCTTTATTCAATATGTCTTTTGTAAATATTTTATCCCAGTTTCTCATTCTCTTGACAGTGTCTTTCACAGAGTAGAAGTTTGTAATTTTAGTGAAGTCCAGTTTATTAATTTGTTCCTTCATGGATCATGCCTTTGTGTTCTAACCAAAGAGTTATTACCATTCCGAAGGTCACCTAGGTCTGCTCCTAAGTTTTGCATTTTACATTTAGGCCTATGATTCACTTTGGGGTAATTTTTGTGAAGGATATAAAGTCCGTGTCTAGATGCACTTTTTTTTGCATTTGGATGTGTAGTTGTTAAGCACCTTTTGTTAAAAAGATGGCCCGGTGTGGTGGCTCACACCTGTAATCCCAGCACTTTGGGAGGCCGAGGTGGGCAGATCACAAGGTCAGGAGTTCGAGACCAGCCTGGCCAATATGGTGAAACCCCATCTCTATTAAAAATACGAAAATTAGCTGGGTGTGGTGGTGCATGCCTGTAATCCCAGCTACTGGGGAGGCTGAGGCAGGAGGATGGCTTGAACCCAGGAGGCAGAGGTTGCAGTGACTGAGATCGCACCACTGCACTGCAGTCTGGGTGACAGAGCGAGACTCTGTCTCAAGAGAAAAAAAAAAGAGAGAGAGAGAGAAAGAGAGGACATTGGGGCCTATAGGCACAGGCCACCATGCCTGGCTAATTTTTGTATTTTTTGCAGAGATGAGGTGTCGCCATGTTGTCCAGGCTGGTCTCAAACTTCTAGGCTCAAGTGACTTGCCTGCCTCGGCCTCCCAAAGTGCTAGGATTACAGGTGTGAGCCACCACACCCAGACTGTTGAGAATTTTTGTGTTTATGTCTGTGAAAAACATTGGTGTGTGATTTTGATTTTTTGTAATGCCTGTGTCTGGTTTTTATACTAGGGTTATGCTGGCCACACGGAATGATTTAGGAACTATTCCCTCTGTTTCTATTTTCTAGAAGAGATTGTAATGAATTGGTATATTTATTCCTTAAATGTTTGATAGAATTCACTAACGAACCCATCTGGGCTTGGCGCTTACTGATTTGAAGGTTATTTGTTGTTGTTGTTTTTCCAACTTTGTTGAGATATAATTGGCATTAAAAAAACTGCATATGGCCTGGCATGAGGGCTCATGCCTGTAATCCCAGCAATTTGGGAGGCCGAGGCAGGAGGATTGCTTGAGGCTTGGAGTTTGTGACCAGTGTGGGTAGCATAGTGAGATCCTGTCTTTATTAAAAAAATTTCAAGATAAATTAGCTGGGTGTGATGGCACGCGCCTGTAGTCCCAGCTACTGAGGAGATTGAGGCAGGAAGATTGCTTGAGACCAGGCATTTGAGGCTGCAGTAAGCTATGATCAAACCACTGCAGTCCAGCCTAGGTGACAGAGAGAGACACTGTCTCTAAAAACAAAAAAATCCAAAACAAAAATCTCCCCCAAAAAACTGCATATAAATTTATGCATACAATTTGATGATTCTGGACATATGTATATATTCATGTTGCTATTGCTGTAATCCAGGTAATACACGTATCTGCAACTTTCCCCGTGTCCCCTCTTTTTTTTCTTCATAAGAACACTTAACATGAGATCTACCCTGTTAACAATTGTTTTTACGACACAATATCTTGTTGTTAGCTATGGACAGTCTATTGTACAGCAGATCTCTGGAACTCACCGATCTTGTTTAACTATAACTTTATACCCACTGGATAACAACTCCTTTTTTCTCCTTCATGCCATCCCCAGGTAACCCTCGTTCTGTTGTCTAATTCAACACCTTTGACTATTTTAGATGCTCATATTAGAGGAATCATTAGTATTTCTCTCTCTGTGACTGAATTATTTCACTTAGCGTCATGTCTTCCGGGTCCTTCCACGTTGTGACAAATGGTAAGATTTCCTTCTTTTTAAAGGTTGAGTAACGTTGTGTTGTATGTCTATGTCACATTTTCTTTATCCATTCAGCTGTCTATGAACATTTGGGTTGTTTCTACATCTTGGCTATTGTAAATAATGCTGCAGTGAACACAGGAATGCATAAATATTTTCTCCCATTCTGCGGGGTTGCTTTTCACCCCGCGGATTTCTCCTTTGCTGTGAAAAAGCTGTTTAGTTTGATGTAATCAAACTTTTCTATTTTTGCTTTTGTTGCTTGTGCTTTTGATGTCATATCCAAGAAGATTATTGCCCTGAACAATGTCCAAAAGCTTTTCCTTGGGTTTATTCTAGTAGTTTTACAGTTTCAGGTCTTACGTTTAAATCTTTAATCTATTTTGAGTTGATTCTCATATATGGTGTGAGATAAGGTCCAATTTCATTATTCTGCATGTTGCTATTCACTTTTCCTGGTACCACTTATTGAGGAGACTATCTTTTTCTGCATTGTGGGTTCTTGGCACACTTGTCAAAGATCAGTTGACCATAGATGTGTGGATTTATTTCTAGGCTCTCTATTCTGTTCCATTGGTCTGTCTGCCTGATTTTTATTCCAGTACAACACTGATTACTGTAGCTTTATAATATATTTTGAAATCAGTAAGTACGATGCCTCCAGCTGTGTTCTTCTTGCTTAATATTGCTTCAGCTATTTGGGATTTCTTGTGGTTCTATATTTTTTGTGATTTTTTTCCTCTTTCTGTAAAAAAATGTTTACCGTATTTTGATAGGGCTTGCACTGAATCTGTAGATTGCTTTGAGTAGTATGGACATCTTACCAATATTAAGTCTTCTAATCCATGAACAAGAGATGTCTTCCCATTTATTTGTATCTGTCTTAATTTCTTTAATCATTGCTTCATAGATTTCAGTGTGCAGTCTTTCACCTCTTTGGTTAGGGTTATTCCTAATATTTTATCTTTTTGGTGCCATTATAATTAGGATTGTCTTCTTTTTTTAATATACTAGTTGGCCACATAGATATCTTCTTTTGAGAAATGTCTATTCATGTCCTTTGCCAATTTTTTAACGGAGTTTTTTGTTTTCTGCCTAATTTAAGTTCCCTACAGAATCTGGATATTAGACCTTTCCCAGATGCATAATTTGCAAATATTTTCTCCCACTATTTACTCTGTTGATAGTTTCTTTTGCTGCAGGATGCTCTTTAGTTTAATTAGGTCCCCATTTGTCTATTTTTGGTTTTGTTTCAATTGCTTTTGGCATCTTTGTCATGAAATCTTAGCCAGGGCCTATGTCCACAATGGTATATCTCAGGTTTTCTTCCAGGGATTTTATATTTTTAGGTTTTTCATTCAAATTTTTAATTCATCTTGAGTTGATTTTTGTGTATGGTGAAAGGAAGGAGTCCAGTTTCAATCTTTTGCCTATGCCTAACCAGTTATCCCAGCATCATTTATTGAATAGGGAGTCCTTTCCCTATTACTTGTTTTTGCTAATTTTGTTAAAGATCAGACGGTTGTAGCTGTGCCACTTTATCTCTGGGTCCTTTGTTCTGCTCTTTTTTTCTTCGAGTCTATTTTTGTACCAGTATCATGGTGTTTTGGTTTCTACAACCTTGTAGTAAAGTGTGAAGTCAGGTAATAGGATGCCTCCAGCTTTGTTCTTTTTGCTTAGGATTGCTTTGGCTATTCGGGCTCATTTTGGTTCCATATGAGTTTTTAAATAGTTTTGTATAATTCTGTGAATAATGTCATTGGTAGTTTGATAGGAATAGCATTGAGTCTGCAAATTGCTTTGGGCAATATGACAATTTTGACAATATTTATTCTTCCTATCCTTGAGCATGGCATGTTTTTCTATTTGTTTGTGTCATCTCTGATTTCTTTCAGCAATTATTCAGTAATTCAGTAATTATTATTGTAGAGACCTTTCACCTCTGTGGTTAGCTGTATTCTGAGGTATTTTACTTTTTGTGTGTCTATTGTAAATGGCATTGCATTCTTGATTTGGTGTTACTGGTGTAAAGAAATGCTACTGATATTTATACATTGATTTTATATCCTTAAACTTTGGTGAAGTAGTTTATCAGTTCTGGGAGCTTTGGGGCGAAGACTATGGGGTTTGCTAAGTATAAAATCATATTGTTTGCAAGGAGAGATGGTTTGACTACCTCTTTTGCTGTATGGATGCTTTTTATTTCTTTCTCTTGCCTGATTGCTCTGGCTAGGAATTTCAGTACTATGTTGAATAGGAGTGGTGGGAGTGGGCATCCTTGTCTCGTTCTGGTTCCCAAGGGGAAGGCTTGCAGCTTTGGCCCATTCAGTATGATGTTGGCTGTGGGTTTGTCATAGACAGCTCTTACTATTTTGAGGTATGTTCCTTCAATGCCTAGTTTGTTGAGGGCTTTTAACATGAAGGGAGGTTTAATTTTGTCAAAAGACTTTTCTGCATCTATTGAGATGATCATGTGGTTTTTGTCTTTAGTTCTGTTTATGTAATGAATTACATTTATTGATTTGTGTATGTTGAACCAAACTTGCATCCCAGGGATAAAGCCTACTTTATAGTGCTGGATTTGTTTTTTGATGTGCTGCTGAATTCAGTTTACCATTATTTTATTGAGGGATTTTGCATCTATGTTCATCAGGGATATTGGCCTGAAGTTTCCCCTTTTTGTTGTGCCTCCACCAGGTTTTGGTATCGGAATGATGCCAGCTTCATAGAATGAGCTAAGGAGGTGTCTCTCCTCCTCAATTTTTTGGAATAGTTTTAGTAGAATTGGTACCAGCTCTTCTTTATACATCTGGTAGAATCTTTCTGGCCCAGGACCCTCTCTGGTTGGTAGGCTTTTTATTACTGATTCAGTTTCAGAACTTGTTACTGATCTGTTCTGGTTTTAATTTCTTCTGGATTAAATCTTGGGAAGTTGTTTCCGAGAAATTTATCCATTTTTCTAGGTTTTCTAGTTTGTGTGGTAATGTCCCCTTTGTCATTTCTGACTGTGTTTATTTGGATCTTTTCTCTTCTTTCCTTTATTAGTTTAGGCTAGTGGTCTATCGATCTTATTTATTCTTGCAAAAAAACCAACTTTTGGTATCGTTGACCTTTTGTGTGTTTTATTGTGTCTCAATTTCTTTCAGTTTGGCTTTGATTTTTGTTTTCTTTTCTTCTGCTAGCTTTACGGTTAGTTTGCTCTTGTTTTTCTAGTTCCTCTAGGTGTGTTAAGTTGTTCATTTGAGGTCTTTCTAACTTTTTGATGTGGGCACTTAGCACTATAAAGTTTCTTCTTCACACTGCATTAGCTGTTTCCCAGAGATTCTAGTATGTTGTATCTCTGTCTTCATTCGTTTCCAAGAATTTCTTGATTTCTGCCTTAATTTCATTGTTTACCCAAAGTCATTCAGGAGTAGATTGTTTAATTTCCATGTAATTGTATAGTTTTGAGCAATCTTCTAAGTATTGATTTCTATTTTTATTGTGCTGTGGTCTGAGAGTGTGGTTGGTATGATTTTGTGTTTTATGAATTTGTTGAGCATTGTTTTATGGTCGAGCGTGTGGTTGGTTTTTCAGTATGTGCCACCTGCAGATGAGAAGAATGTAATGTATAGTCTGTTGTTGGCTGGAGTGTTCCGTAGATGTCTGTTAGGCCCATTTGGTCAAGTGTCGAGTTCAGGTCTTGAAAATCTTTGTCAGTTTTCTGCCTTGATGATCTAATACTGTCAGTGGAGTGTTGAAGTCTTCCACTATTTTTGTGAGGTTATCTAACAAAATAGGTCTCTAAGAGCTTGTTTTATGAATCCAGTGCTCCAGTGTTGGATGCATGTGTATTTAGGATAGTAAAGTCTTGTGGAAATTAAACCCTTTATCATTAAGTAATGCCTATCTTTGTCTTATTTTATTGTTATTGATTTAAAATCTGTGTTGTCTAAAATTAGAAAAGGAACCCCTGCTCTTTTTTCTTTCCATTTACTTGGTAGGTTTTTCTCTATCCCTTTACTTTAAGCCTATGGGTCTCATTGCATGTGAGGTGGATCCTCTGAAGACAGCATAAAGTTAGGTCTTGTTTCTTTATCCATTTTGCCACTCTGTGTCTTTTAAGTGGAGGATTTAGCCTATTTACATTCAAGGTTAATATTGATATGTGCGATTTGATCCTGCTGTTGTGTTGTTAGCTGGTTGATTGTATAGTTGTTTTATAGCATCAATGGTCTATGTACTTAAGTGTGTTTTTGTGGTGGCCAGTAACAGTGTTTCATTTCCATGTTTCGCACTCCCTTAAGGGCCTCTTGTAAGGCAGGTCTGGTGGCAATGAATTCCCTTAGCATTTGCTTGTCTACAAAGGATCTTATTTCTCCTTCACTCATGAAGCTTAGTCTGGCTGGATATGAAATTCTTCGTTGGAACTTCTTTTCTTTAAGAATGCCAAATATAGGACCCCAATCTCTTCTGGCTTAAGGGTTTCTGCTGAAAGGCCCACTGTCAACCTGATGGGGTTCCCTTTGCAGGTGTCCTGCCCCTTTTCTCTAGCTGCTTTTAATATTTTTTCTTTCATATTGATCTTGGAGAATCTGTTGACTATGTGATTTGGGGATGATTGACTTGTATACTATCTCACAGGAATTCTGTGCATTTCCTGAATTCTAATGTTAACCTTTCTAGTGAGTTTTGGGAATTTTTTAAAAATTTATTTAAGTTCTCAGATACATGTGGAGAACGTGCAGATTTGTTACATAGGTACGCATGTGCCATGGTAGTTTGCTGCACCTATCAACCCCTCATCTAAGTTTTAGGCCCCGCATGCATTAGGTATTTCTCCTAATGCTCTCTCTCCTCTTCCCCGCCGCCCCCGACAGGTCCCGGTGTGTGATGCTCCCTTCCCTGTGTCCATGTGTTCTCATTGTTCAACTCCCATTTATGAGTGAGAACATGCAGTGTTTGGTTTTCTGTTCCTGTGCTAGTTTGCTGAGAATGATGGTTTCCAGCTGCATGCATGTACCTGCAAAGGACATGAACTCATTCTTCTTCATGGCTGCATGATAGTCCATGGTGTGTATGTGCCAGATTTTCTTTATCCAGTCTATCATTGATGGGCATTTGGGTTGGTTCCATGTCTTTGCAATTGTAAATAGTGCTGCAATAAACATACGTGTGCATGTGTCTTTATAGTAGAATGATTTATATTCCTTTGGGTAAATATCCAGTAATGTGACTGCTGGGTCAAATGGTATTTCTCGTTCTAGATCCTCATGGAATTGCCACACTGTCTTCCACAGTGGTTGAACTAATTTACACTCTCACCAACAGTGCAAAAGGTTTCCTATTTCTCCACATCCTCTCCAGCATCTGTTGTTTCCTGAATTTTTAATAATCACCATTCTAACTGGCATGAGATGGTATCTCATTGTGGCATCAAATTTGATGGTATCAAAAAGATTTGCATCAAAACTTGATGATAGCAAAAGATTTGCATTTCTCTAATGACTAGTGATGATGAGTTTTTTTCATATGTTTGTTAGCTGCATAAATGTCTTCTTCTTTAGAGAACTGTCTGTACATATCCTTTGCTTACTTTTTGATGGGATTGTTTGTTTTTTTCTTATACATTTGTTTAAATTCCTTGTAGATTCTGGGTATTGGACCTTTGTCAGATGGGTAGTTTGCAAAAATTTTCTCCCATTCTGTAGGTTGCCTGTTCACTCTGATGATAGTTTCTTTCACTGTGCAGAAACTCTTTAGTTTGATTAGATCCCATTTGTCAATTTTGGCTTTTGTGCAATTGCTTTTGGTGTTTTAGTCATGAAGTCTTTGCCCATGCCTATGTCCTGAATGGTATTGCCTAGGTTTTCTTCTAGGGTTTTTATGGTTTGGGGTTTTACATTTAAGTCTTTAATCCATCTTGAGTTAATTTTTGTATAAGTTGTAAGAATTTGCATATGTTGAACCAGCCTTGCATCCCAGGGATGAAGCTGACTTGATTGTGGTGGATAAGATTTTTGATGTGCTGTTGGATTTTTTTGCCAGTGTTTTATTAAGGATTTTCTCATTGATGTTCATCAGGGATATTGGCCTGAAATTTTGTTTTTTTTGTTGTGTTTCTGACAGCGTTTGGTATCAGGATGATGCTGGCCTCATAAAATAAGTTAGGAGGATTCCCTCTTTTTTGATTGTTTGGAATAGTTTCAGAAGGAATGGTACTAGCTCCTCTTTGTACCTCTGGTAGAATTCGGCAGTGAATCCATCTCCTGGGCTTTTTTTGGTTGGTAGGCTATTAAGTACTGCTTCAATTTCAGAACTTGTTATTGGTTTATTCAGGGATTCGACTTCTTCCTGGTTTAGTCTTGGGAGGGTGTATGTGTCCAGGAATTTATCCATTTCTTCTAGATTTTCTAGTTTATTTGTGTAGAAGTGTTTATAGTATTCTCTGATGATAGTTTGTATTTTTGTGGGATCAGTAGTGATATCCTCTTTATCATTTTTTATTGTGTCTATTTGACACAATAAAATTTATAGATAAATCCATGAAGATGAGGGAAAAACAGCACAAAAAAGCTGAAAATTCCAAAAACCAGAATGCCTCTTCTCCTCCAAATGACTGCAACTCCTCTCCAACAAGGGCACAAAACTGGATGGAGAATGACATTGATGAATTGACAGAAGTAGGCTTCAGAAGGTGGGTAATAACAAACACCTCTGAGCTAAAGGAGCATGTTCTAACCCAATGCAAGGAAGCTGAGAACCTTGACAAAAGGCTACAGGAACTGCTAACTAGAATAGCCAGTTTAGAGAGGAGGATAAATGACCTGATGGAGCCGAAAAACACAGCACAAGAACTTCATGAAGCATACACAAATATCAATAGCCAAATTGATCAAGCAGAAGAAAGGATTCAGAAATCAAAGATCAACTTAGTGAAATAGTCATGAAGACAAGATTAGAGAATGAAGAATGAAAAGGAATGAACAAAGCCTCCAAGAAATATGGGACAATGTGAAAAGACCGAATAGACTAGTATTGATTGGGGGTCCCTGAAAGTGATGGGGAGAATGGAACCACATTGGAAAACACACTTCAGGATATTATCCAGGAGAACTTACCCAACCTAGCAAGACAGGCCAACATTTAAATTCAGGAAATACAGAGAAGTATTGAGGATACTCCTCAAGAAGTGCAACCCCAAGACACATAATCATCAGGTTCTCCAAGGTTCAAACTAAGGAAAAAATGTTAAGGGCAGCCAGAAAGAAAGGTCAAGTTACCTACAAAGTTAAGCCCATCAGACTAACAGTGGATCTTTCTGCAGAAACCCTACAAGCCAGAAAAGAGTGGGGGCCAATATTCAACACTCTTAAAGAAAAGAATTTTCAACCCAGCATTTAATTTAATAGTCAGCCAAACTAAGCTTCATAAGTGAAGGAGAAATAAAATCCTTTACAGACAAGCAAATGCTGAGGGATTTTGTCACCACCAGGCCTGCCTTACAAGAGCTCCTGAAGGAAGCACTAAATATAGAAAGGAAAAACTAGTACCAGCCACTGCAAAAACACACCAAATATAAAACCAATGACACTATGAAGAAACTGCATCAACTAATGTGTGAAATAACCAGCTAGCATCATAATGACAGGATCAAATGCACACATAACAATATTAACCTTAAATGTAAATGGGCTAAATGTCCCAATTAAAAGACACAGACTGGCAAGCTGGATAAAGAGTCAAGACCCATCGGTGTGCTGTATTCAGGAGACCCATTTCACATGCAAAGACACGCATAGGTTCAAAATAAAGGGATGGGGGAATATTTACCAAGCAAATGGAAAGGAAAAAAAAAGCAGGGGTTGCAATCCTAGTCTCTGATAAAACAGACTTTAAACCAACCAAGATAAAAAAAGACAAAGAAGGGCATTACATAATGGTAAAAGGATCAATGCAACAAGAAGAGCTTACTATCCTAAATATATGTGTGCTCAATATAGGAGCACCCAGATTCATAAAACAAGTTCCTAAAGACCTATAAAGAGACTTAGACCCCCAAATAGTAATAGTGGGAGACTTTAACACCCCACTGTCAATATTAGACAGATCAATGAGACAGAAAATTAACAAGGATATTCAGGACTTGAACTCAGATCTGGACCAAGCAGACCTAATCAACATCTACAGAACTCTCCACCCCAAATCAACAGAGTATAAATTTTCTCAGCTGCACATAACATGTTTTCTAAAATCGACTACATAATTGGAAGTAAAACACTCCTCAGCAAATGCAAAAGAATGGAAATCATAACAAACAGTCTCTCATACCACAATGCAATCAAATTAGAATTCAGAATTAAGAAACTCACTCAAAATGGCACAACTACATGGAAATTGAACAACCTGCTCCTGAATGACTACTGGGTAAATAATTAAGTTAAGGGAGAAGTAAAGAAGTTCTTTGAAACCAATGGGAACAAAGAGACAAAGTACCAGAATCTCTGGGACACAGCTAAAGCAGTATTAAGAGAGAAATTTATACCACTAAATGCCCACAAGAGAAAGCTGGAAAGATCTAAAACTGACACCCTAACATCACAATTAAAAGAACTAGAGAGGCAAGAGCAAACAAATTCAAAAGCTAGCAAAAGACAAGAAATAACTAAGATCAGAGCAGAGCTAAAGAAATAGAGACATGAAAAACCCTTCAAAAAATCAATTACTCCAGGAGCTGATTTTTTGAAAAGATTAACAAAATAGATGGACCACTAGCTAGACTAATAAAGAAGAAAAGAGAGAAAAATCAAGTAGACACAATAAAAAAATGATAGTCTTTAATCTTTGAGGCTGATGACCTTTGGATGGGGTTTCTGTGTGCAGCTTCTTTTTGTTGATGTTGATGTTGTTGCTTTCTGTTTGTTAGTTTTTCTCTTCTAACAGGCCCCTCTTCTGCAGGTCTGCTGCAGTTTGCTGGAGGTCTACTCCAGACCCTGTTTGCCTGGGTATCACCAGTGGAGGCTGCAGAACAGCAAAGATTGCTGCCTGCTCCTTCCTCTGGAAGCTTCGTCCCAGAGGGGCACCAGCCTGATGCCAGCCGGAGCTCTCCTGTATGTGGTGTCTGTCAGCCTCTACTGGGAGGTGTCTCCCAGTCAGAATACACAGGGGTCAGGGACCCACTTGAGGAGGCAGTCTGTTCTTTAGTAGAGCTTGAGCACTGTGCTGGGAGAATCCTCCTTGTCAGGATCTGCTGCTCTCATCAGAGCCAGCAGGCAGGAACGTTTAAGTCCACTGAAGCTGTGCCCCTGACAGCCGCCCCTTCCCCCAGGTGCTCTGTACCAGGGAGATGGGAGCTTTATCTATAGCCCCCTGGCTGGGGCTGCTGCCTTTCTTTCAGAGATGCCCTGCCCAGTGAGGAGGAATCTAGAGAAGCAGTCTGGCCACAGCTGCTTTGCCATACTGTGGTGAGTTCTGCCCAGTCCAAACTTCCTGGCCTCCTTAGCACTGTCAGGGGAAAACTGCCTACTCAAACCTCAGTAATGGTGGATGCCCCACCCTCTACCAAGCTCAATCATCCCAGGTCAACTTCAGACTGCTGTGCTGGCAGCAAGAATTTCAAGCCAGTGGTTCTTAGCTTGCTGGGGTCCGTGGGGGTGGGAGCTGCTGAGCAAGACCTCTTGGCTTCCTAGCTTCAGGCCCCTTTCTGGAGGAGTGAACGGTTCTGTCTCTCTGGGGTTCCAGGCACCACTGGGGTATGGAAAACAACAACAACAAAAAAACTCCTGCAGCTAGCTCTGTGTCTGCCCTAACAACCATCCAGTTTTGTGCTTGAAACCCAGGGCCCTGGTAGTGTAGGCACATGAGGGAATCTCCTGTTCTGTGGATTGCAAAGACCGTGGGAAAAGCATAGTACCTGGGCTGGATAGCACAGTCCCTCACAGCTTCCCTTGGCTGGGGAGGGAGGTCCCCGGCTGCTTGCACTTCCTGGGGGAGGTGATGCCCCACCCTGATTCTGCTCACCCTCTGTGGGCTGCACCCACTGCCTAAACAGTCTCAATGAGATGAAGTGGGTACCTCAGCTATTCCTATTCAGCCATCTTGCCAAATCTCTCTATTATCTTTTATAGGAAAAAACTTTCTGAAGATGACATCAGACTCAAGAAGCCAAGTAGGAAAAGACTGATAAATCTGAAGATGTAAAAATTAAGATCCTTTACTCAGAAAAAGAAAAGTACAATAAAAAAATAAAAAATAATTTGAGCAAAATATTTGTGATACATGATGAACAATGGTTAAGTGTTCCTAGTAAACAAAGAAGTCATCAATCTGAAACAATCAACAGCAGTAAAAAATAGGATAAGCATCTCACGGAAAAAAGAAATACTAAGAGCAAATAAACACATGAAAACATGCACAACCTCATTCTGAGGAAATGAAAAACAGAACTAATGGCTGACTACAAGATTTAAAAACTGGTGATACACAATGTTGATGAGGATGTGTAAAACAGTCACTCCCATGGATCATTCATTGGAAAATATATCAGAGTAATCCTGTTGGAGGACAATTTTGCAATATCTACACTTAGTAATTTATTGTTCTCACCAAAGTACATGGAGGTGTATTATGGTTTGAGTATATGGAGGCTGTAGAGCCCTCGGAGTATGGAGCCCGATGCCAGGGATCAGATAATAGCTCAGCAACTTCTGAGGTATGTGACTGTGGCAAGCTAAGAGCCTTACCTGGGAAGTGGAGATAAGTATGTTTTTACCTCAAAATGCTGGTGTGAGGATCTGATATATTTATACACTTTAGAGAAATGCTTGGCACTTTGGAACATTAATCTAAAGAAAACATCCAACTGCTCACGAGTAGAGTGCTAAGAAGGAAGAGCTTGGCCTCATAGTTGGATGGCTGCCACGTTCCCTGAAAGTGAATGAAGCAAACCTCTCTCTGACTGGGAGGCTGATGTCTTTACTTCATTAAGTCCTGGGGCATCTCATGTTCCAGGATAGCATCACTTTCCACGTTTCTTCCTTTTTCATGCATAAGAATTTTAGCTAGCGGAGAGTAAGGCAAGTGACCATTTCAAAGACAGGCATTTTACTAAATGGTGGCCACTGAAAGCTTGATTCCTGTGCTGTTTTCTGGTACTTTTTGTCTTAAAGCAGGATTTCTCAACACTGGCACTATTGACATTTTGGGCTGGATAATTCTTTGTTGAGGGGGCTGTGCTGTCCATTGTAGGATGTTTAGCAGCATTCCTGATCTTGATCCACTAAATGCCCCAAGTTCTGACAACCAAAAGTGTTTTCAGATATTGTCAAATGTCCCTTGGGAGTGAAATCACCCTTGGTTGAGGATCACTGGGTTTTAGAGGTTTGGAATGAAAAAAAAAAATGATTCTCCCGTTGGAAGCAGAGACTGTAGTTCAGATTATGAACCAGTTAGATGATTTCCCTTCTTAAGCATGAATTCAGACTGCATTGCCTTTGAAAATTAATGTTTGGGGTGTGTGTGTGTGTGTGTGTGTGTGTGTGTGTGTGTGTAAATATTACGGTTAACAGTTATCCACTGGGCCCTAGGATGAATAAGGAAGCATAGCTTCACCTTATTCTCGACAAAGTCCTTAAGAGGGTCCAGATTATGTTCCATCACACTTTCATGCTTCTGAATTCCACTTAAAAAAAATAGACTTATTGGCCAGGTGCGGTGGCTCACACCTATAATCCCAGCACTTTGGGAGGCCAAGGTGGGCAGATCACAAGGTCAGGAGTTCGAGACCAGCCTGGCTAATATGGTGAAACCCCATCTCTACTACAAATACAAAAATTAGCTAGTCGGGGCGGTAATCCCAGCTACTCGGGAGGCTGACGCAGGAGAATAGCTTGAACCCAGGAGGCAGAGGTTGCAGTGAGCCGAGATTGCATCACTGCACTCCAGCCTGGGTGACAGAGCAAGACTCCATCTCAAAAAAAAAAATTGACTTATTAATTATTTTGAATTAGCAATATATTCCCATGGTTCAAAATTGAAGCAATATAAATGAGTGTAGAGTGAAAAGTTTCTCTCTCATCCCTGTCTCCAGATATCTGGGTCCTGCCCATGAGAAAGCCACATGAACAGGTTCTTTGTTTATCCTTCCAAATATATTTTTTGCATACACAAATATGTATATTTGTATTTATAACATATTTGTATATTTCCCTTGTATATTTGTATATTTCCCTATCTCATCCCCCACTTTTTTAACAAAAACAGGTCATACACTGAACATACATGTGTTCACCCAGACTCTTCTATGTGCATATGTTATCTCTTCACCACTGCTTCCTTTCTAAGAGAACTCCGATTTTGTGCAGTTCTTCAGCACCATACCCTTTCCCCTACCTACCCACAAACACACTTCATGGAATCCATGTGACTCAGGGGAAGTGGATTCCACCCCCAGATCTGGGAGTAGCTGGTCAAAGGGTCACCCATTCTCTTTGCCAGAGGTCAGTTCAGAAAGGGGCATGAAACCCAACTCAGGCCAATGGACATGCTGAGAATTTTGCTGGGCTTTCCAGGGAATTTTTTTTTTTCTCCTGAGAGAGCTGTGGAAGAAGTCTCTTTTGCCTCCTCTGGACACCACTATGGGGAGAAGTAAAGATGGGGCAGACACTTGAGGGATGGCCCGGAAGAAACTGGAGCGCCTGGATTAAGCCAATCCTGAAGTCTGCACGACTGCTGTCCTTTCAGGCAGAGGAAAGATGGGTGATGTCACTATTAGCAGTCTAGGGTGAGGTGACAAGTCAGTGAAGCCATTTCAAATCCAAGTCTGGTGTGGCTTGAAGGCTTTTGGTTTACAACGGTAAAATCAGTTCTCCGATGTGTAGCATTTTACAGTACAAACGGTGCTCCCACATTCAGGTTTCATTGAGAGTAAATACGCCAGGCAAGGCCTCTGTGCCCACTGCACAGATGAGGAAAAGGAGACATGGAGGGGAAAGTCTTGTTTAAGGACACATATCCTGTAAGAGGCAGAACTGGAATCCAACCCCAAGTTTGTTTCTGTTACCGAAACACCGGGAGTTTGGTCTGGGTCCTGCGGCTCACAGAACAGAAAGCCAATGACTGAGACGATGAGTATTGCCAAGGACGAAGGCTTTAGTCGGGTTCTGCAGCAGAGGAGATGGGAACTCAGTCTCAAATGCATCTCCCTGACTAACTAAAACTAGGGGTTTATATGGCAGGGAAGCAATGTAACCGTGTGTAAGAAAACGGGAACTAGGGAGGGGCAAGGAAGCAATCATGGTGAATGAGGGGTCCCACATCTTATTGTCTGATGTGACGGTCTGGTGAATTTCAGTTCTTTGGTACTTTTTTTGAGATCTGAAGCTCCTTTCCTGAGGAAGGAACTCGGATAAAACAAATATAAGTTTCAAGCTTTAAGACTAGAAGGGTGAATTTCTATGTTTATCAAAAGAAAAAAAAACTGTCTATGGGACAATTGCATTGGTTTTATTTAAACATCAAGGTTATTTTCTCCCAAACCACCAGATACTCTGGCTGGAGGCATTCATACCCACAGATGCATGCCAAGTGTTGACTCTACCCTCAGGAGCAGCAGGACCAGGAAGCTCTGGGAGGTCAGGACACAGGAGAGAGGCAGGAAGAGCCCCCGCAGGACCTACTGTGGTGGCCGAGACTGCTACAGCCATATGACCTCCGACTGTGCCCAGTTCCTTTTAGCATGTCCTCAAGAGTCAGTGCCTCGGAGCAAATGGGCTGACCTCTGGACTACACTGGGGAAGAGAGAAAAGGAGGTCCTCCCTGTTGCCCAATGGAAGATTCCTCAAGATGGAGATTGAGCTGCTCTTCTAGGGCACCCCAAGGGCAAATGTCCCCATCGTCTCTAAGGCTCCAGCCAGCTCCAAACACTCTGGGTGGTAAATAGACTGAATCCCCTTTAGTGACCTCTCTCACTGGCAATGTTTTTTTTCTCTTTTTTCTTACAATAGTTGAATTGATCAAAAAAGAACTCAATCTCAAAGGTGAGAGTAGAGTTGATGATGGGGTCAGGGAGCTGACCTCAATCGAAAGTTGAGAAGAAAAGCATGTGTGAATAACAACATCCTTGGTTTAGAATTTACTTACAAAGCTTCAGCTGAGCTTATGAATGTGTCATTTGGATATTTGCTGGGCTTCGCACACACCCCTTCAGTTTCTACACAGGGCCAGGCATATCACAATGGTGTGGTTGCATTTTGTTTTTAATGTTAGGTTCATTTTTTATAGATCCTAAAACACAAAACGGGATTCGGGAGTGTGAATTTACTTGAACCAAACTGAAAAAAGGTTTTCTCAACCTCTGCAAAATGAAGCTGCAGAATTCACAACAGTTTTAATTATAACACACTAAATAGATACAATAAGTGGCTCTTTGCTCTGACGTTGAAATCTCTACCTATTTTTATCTCCAGGCAAATAACAGGCGGCTGGGGAAAGTTACTACATTATGAGTGGGTTATTGAATCTCTGAGCATCAACAACCTCTATGTCATTACACTGCATTGTATGCTAAAGAAAATCATTGTATCCAGGCTGGGCACAGTGGCTCATGCCTATAATCGCAATATTTTGGGAGACTGAGGTGAGCAGATCACCTGAGGTCAGGAGTTCAAGACCAGCCTGGCCAACATGGTGAAACCCTGTCTTTACTGAAAAAAAAAAAAAAAATACAAAAATTAGCCAGGCATGGTGGCGCACACCTGTAATCCCAGCTACTCCAGAGGCTGAGACAGGAGAATCGCTTGAAGCCGGGAGGTGGAGGTGGTAGTGAGCTAAGATCGTGCCATTGCAGTCCAGCCTGGGCAACAAGAATGAAACTCCATCTAAAAAAGAAAGAAAGAAAAAAAAAAAAAAGCAAAACAAAGAAAATCATTGTATTCAAAAATACCAAGATGAGCAAAAATATTTCAAGATTTCTTAGAAGAAATTTGCTTCCCATAGGCAAAGGAAAACTAAGCACATTAAAACTACTGCTCTAAAGTAACTTTAAAGCATAATTCTCCCCTTGAGTTTCAGGAAAGACCTGGAAAGAGGGGCAAGACTTTCCCTTTCTCACCTTGCCATGACCTCCAGGGCCTTGTAGCTCAGGCTTTGAAAATGAAGGTCACCATAATTACTATTACAACCCAGATCTGGAGGAAGGTGGAGAACCTTGAACAGAGCCCACCAGAAGTGGCTGGCTGGGGTCCCAGTGGGCTGCAGGGCCAGGGAAGGCCCTGCGGTTGCTGCCCCACCTGCCTGCTCTTGGCCTCACTTCTTTGCTTCTCCTCTGGAAGATTCTATCAGAATTGCTTTGTGCTCAGGAATGGGCCTATGATGAAGAGTCTGGCTCACTTTTTCCTCTGTACTTTGGGATTACATCATGGAACCCAATATCCTGAGCAAGCATAAGAAAGGGAGGGGAAAGTGGATGAATCTGATGTAAGAAGAAAACAGACACTCATATTTTCACTCAATTTTCAAAGCAATCCACACTACAGATGAGGAAACTGAGATTTATGGACGTGAAGAGACTTGCTGAAAACCACAGTTTGGTGGCTGAAGCTGGTTTGAATTTTATTCTAACACAAATCTTTATTTATTTTAGACAGGGTCTCACTCTATTCCTTAGGCTGGAGTGCAATGGCGTGATCATGGCTCATTAAAACCTCTTCCTCCAGGGCTCAAGCCATCTTCCCACCTCAGCCTCCTAAGTAGTTGGAACCACAGGCATGCACCACCACCCCTGGCTAATTTTTGTATTTCTTGTACAGATGAAGTTTTACCATATTGCCCAGGCTGGTTGTGAACTCCTGAGCTCAAGTGATCCACCTGCCTTGGCCTCCCAAAGTGCTGGGATGACAGGTGTGAGCCACTGCACCTGGCCTCAAATATTTTTACTGTATTTTATTTTTTATTTTTGTTGGTACATAGTAGGTGTATATATATATGGGGTACATGAGATATTCTGATACAGGCATGCAATCCATAATAATCACATCAGGGAACATGACATAGCCATTATGTCAAGCATTTATCATTGCTTTGTGGTACAAAAATTCCAATAATACTACTTTAGATATTTTTATATGTACAATAAATGATTGTTAACTATAGTCACCCTGTTGTGCTATCAAATATGCGATCTTATTAATTCTATCTAACCATATTTTTGTAGCTATTAACCATCTTCCCTCTCCTCCTTCCCAGCCTCTGGTAACCATCATTCTACTATCTCCATGAATTTAATTGTTTTAATTTTTAGCTCCCACAAATGAGTGAGAGCAGGTCAAGTTTGTCTTTCTGTGCCTGGCTTGTTTCATTTAACATAATGACCTCCAGTTTCATCCACAGTGTTGCAAATGACAGAATCTCACTCTTTTTTATGGCTGAATAGAGTACTCCACTGTGTATGTGTACGACATTTTCTTTATCCATTTGTCTGTTGATGGACACTTAGGTTGCTTCCAAATCTTGGCTATTGTGAATAACACTTCAATAAATGAGAATGCAGATATATCTTCAATATACTGATTTCCTTTCTTTGGGGTATATACTGGCAGTGGGATTGCTGGATCATATGGTAGTTCTGTTTTTAGTCTTTTTTGAGGAACCTCCATACTTTTCCCCATAGTGGCTGTATTAATTTACATTCCCACCAACTAACTCAAATCTGTAAATTATACCATGAGGATGTCTAAATCAAGGGGGCGATTTTTGCAGTTTCTACAAGAAAATCATTGAGTAGTTCACCTAACTTGATTGGCAAATTCAGTCAAATGACTGTACAAGTTTTATATAAATGTAGTCTCATGTTAAACATTTAAATCATGTGTTACCATAAACAATTATTAAATCACTTGAAGATGTTTGAGAACTAAATAGGATATTTCTTCATGATATATGCTTTAAAAAGTTTTAATTGCGGTAAAATACACATGACAAAACTTTACCATTTTAACAATTTTAAGTGTACAGTTCTCTAGTGTTAAGTATATCCACATTAATGGGTAACCAGTCTCTAGGACTTATCTCATAAAACTGAAACTATACCTATTAAACAACAACCCCTCATTTTCCCTTCTCCCCAGCTTCTGGCAAACACAATTCCACCTTCTGTTTCTATAGCTGACTACTCTAGAGAGGTCATATGAATGGGATCATTCGGTATTTGTCCTTTTGGATTGGCGTATTTCACTTAGCATAATGTCCTTAAGGTTCATCCACGTTGTAGCACGTGTCAGAATTGTCCTCCTTTTTAAGGCTGAATAATATTCCGTTGTATGCATAGACCACATTTTGCTTAGCCATTCTTCTGTCGATAGACAGGTGAGTTGTTGCCATCTTTTGGCGATTGTGAACATTGCTGCTATGAACATGATTGTACAAATATCTCTTTGCAATCTTTTCAATTATTTGGTTATATACCCAGAAGTGGAGTTGCTGTATCATATGGTAATTCTGTATTTAATTTTTTAAGAAGCTGCCATAGCGTTGTTCAAAACTGCTGCACCATTTTACATTGCCAACAACAGGGCACAAAAAATTGAATTTCTCTGCATTCTCTACAACACTTGCTATTTTCTGGGTTTTTTTTGCAAGCAGTTATTCTAATGGGTATGAGGTGGTATCTCACGGTGGTTTTAATTTGCATTTCTTTATTGATCAGTGATGTTGAGCATCTTTGACTATGCTTGTTGTACACTTACATACATTATTTGGATAGCTGTCTGTTCAAGTCCATTGCCCATTTCTAAGCTGGGTTATCTTTTTGTTGTTGTTGAGTTGTAGGAGGTCATTATATATTCCGGATACTAACCCTTTGTCAGATGTATGATTTGCAAATATTATCTCCCATTCCATAGGTTGCCTTTTCATTCTGTTGACTGTTTCATTCTGTTGACTTTTGTCTTTTGACAGACAAAAGTTTTTAATTTTGATATAATTTATCTATTTTTACTTTTGTTGCCTGTGCTTTTGGTGTCATAGCCAAGAAATCATTGCCAAACTCAGTATCAAGAAGATTTTCCTCTATGTTTTCTTCTCAGGCTTATATAGTTTTGGCTCTTACATTTGGGTCTTTGATCGATTTTGTGTTAATTTTTGTATATAGTATAAGGAAAGCATCCAATTCATTATTTTTTGCATGTGGCTATCCAGTTTTCCTAGCATCATTTGTGGAAAAGACTGTTCTCCCCCTTTGAATGATCTTGGCACTCTTGTTGAAAATCATTTAACCATATATGGGAGGGAGGGTTTATTTCTGGGCTCTCTATTCAATTCCACTGATTCATATGTGTGTCTTTATGCCATAAAGGTACTATGGCTTTGTAATAAATTTGGAAATCAAGAAATATGAGACCTCCAACTTTGTTATTCTTTTTCAAGACTGTTTTGGCTATTCAAGATCCTTTGAAATACCATACGAATTTTAGGATGAATTTTTTTTTTAATTTCTGTGAAACATCCATGAGATTTTGACAAGGATTGCACAAAATGTGTAGATTGCTCTGGTTAGTATGGACTTCTTAACTATATTCAGTCTTTAAATATAAGAACATGTACTGTATTTCCATTTATTTGTATCTTCTTTAATTTCTTTCAGAAACACTTTGTAGTTTTCAGTGTACAAGTCTTTTGCCTCTTGGTTAATTCTGAGTATTTTATTCTTTTTGATTCTATTAGAAATGGAATTGTTTTCTTAGTTTCCTCTTCTGACTGTTCATTTTAGTGTATGATAATGCAACTGATTTTTATATGTTGATTTTATATTCTGTATATTCTGCATCTTTGCTGAATTTGTTTATTAGTTCTAATAGTTTGTGGAATCTTTAGGGGTTTCTACATATAAGATCATGTCTGTGAACAGACATAATTTTACTTCTTCCTTTCTGGTTTGGATGCCTTTATGATTTTTTTTTTTTTTTTTTTGAGACAGGGTCCCACTCTGTCACCTGGCTAGAGTGCAACGGCTCAAACACGGCCCACTTCAGCTTTGAACTTCTGGGCTTAAGTCGTCCTCCCACCTCAGCCTCCCAAGTAGCTGGGACTACAGGCACTTGCCACCATGTCCAGTTAATTTTTTTAAAAATTTTTTATAGAGATGGGGGTCTTGCTATGTTGCCCAGGCTGGTCTTGAACTCCTGGGCTCAAGCAATCTCCCTGCCTTGGCCTCCTAAAGTGTTGGGATTACAGGCTGAGCCACCGTACCTGGCCTATGATGCATTTTTATTGAAAGAAAAACAGACACCATTATTTTGCATTACAAAATATAAAACAGAAGAAATTTCACAGCCAATCAAACGGGAGTTTAGAATTGGATCCTCCTGCACTTTCCCCTACACTTCTTTCAAAGCTGCCTTCCTCTGCAAGGCTTCTGCCTCACCTCTGATCACCCACAACCTGAGCTCTGAGCACCCACACCTCACCTCTGAGCACTATGACCCATCTGGATGGAGCTACTGCACGGTCAGTGTGGGAACATCTCTGAGGAAGATGCATTGTCTTCTGTGGAGTTACCTAAAAACACTGGGGCATGTTCTCCTAACTGCCTTCACTTAGTCTAAAGATGAAGCAATTCAACAAAAGTACATGTAAACCTCAAAACTGGACTTGGAGTTTTAAAGATCAATGGACTCTATTGTCTATTGTCTGGATGGTTTGGGGGTTTCCTAGCTCATTTTTTTTTCTTTTATGGTATAGACACCTGAAGGCTCTTTGCTCAGTACTCCTCACTGTGTGGCTGCCTTCCACTGCAGACGCTGTGCTGAAGGTTGGGTTCTGGCCACTCTGTTTACACCCTTTTGGACTTGAGGCTTGCCTGTTGGTTCCCTGAAACGTGGACTCTGGATCTGGGTGCTAACCAATTCCCTTTCTTTCCAGGCCGGGGTCCTGAGACCTCACTGTAATGAGAGACTGTGACCTCTTTTCTCATGTCTCAGGCAGGCTATGATGCCTTTTCTAGTTAAGGACCGTGTTGAACCAGGTGAAATCGCCATTTTTGTTGGCTGTTTTTGTCCTGCAAAACTGACAATTTCATGTCCTTAAATTTAATACCTTTGGAGTAGAAACTACCTATTGTTGTCCAATAGAGGAAACAAAGTTTCTTCCTGAAAGCATTTGTCTGAACAAAACAGTATTTGTTTTATCTGCATTTCCCCTTCATTCACTTGTATCATTCAGGGACTTGCACATCTCAGTCACATGTGTGACGCACTCACATGTATGGCTCCAATCCCATCTTCACGGCACAGAGAACTAAATTCTCTCCCACCTTCCCGTGGAGAGCCCTCTGTCCTCATCATCACTGGTTCCTTTCTTCTGGATCCTTCCACCTCAATTATGTTTCTCTGAGGGTGCAATGACAAGAATAAAATGAAATTTTGTTCTTGTTCAGTTAAGTAATAAATTGTCATTTCTTCCATTTTCTCTTTGACTAAAGATGTATTAGCTTTATTATTATTTTTTAAATAGAGACAATGTCTCAATATGTTGCCCAGGCTGGCCTTGAACTCCTGAGCTTCAGTGATCCTCTCGCCTCGGCCTCCCAAAGTGCTAGGTTTACAGGTGTGAGCCACCACGCCCGGTAAAAGATGTATTAGCTTTAAACAAAGTTAAAATTTCTTCTCAGTTGTGTAAAAATCACAGAAGAATGCAGCATGTCCTCTAAGTGTCAGCCTGTGTGGGGCTGAAAAAACAGTGGAGTCCTTTGTTCACTGTCTTAGGAGTCTTTGGGATTTCTGTTGATCCACAGACTTGCATAAAGAGTTTGCCATGATGACAGGGCCTCTGCACATGATGTGAGGATGTGGACCCCCTTTCCTCCCCACAGCCAGTGCCGGCCCGACTCATAAAAGCTCAAAGATCCAGTGAGACCAGCCTCAGTCAGATCAGCCCATCCATGAGTGGGGGTTGTTGTTATATATATTTATGCTCCATCTCACTGCCAAAGAGGGATTTGGGGTGGATTATAGAAATGCATACAACAGGGGCCGGGCGCGGTGGCTCATGCCTGTAATCCCAGCACTTTGGGAGAGCCAGGTGGGTGGATCACAAGGTTAGGAGATCAACACCATCCTGGCTAACATGGTGAAACCCCATCTCTACTAAAAATATAAAAACTAGCTGGGTGTGGTGGCGCGTGCCTGTAATCCCAGCTACTGGGAAGGCTGAGGCAGGAGAATTGCTTGAACCTGGGAGGTGGAAGTTGCAGTGAGCCGAGATCACGCCACAGCACTCCAGCCTAGTGACAGAGCAAGACTCTGTCTCAAAAAAAATAAATAAATAAATAGATAAAAATAAAGAAAGAAATACATACGACAAAATAAAAATAAAATAAGCAAAGAAGTGGAGGAAGAAGAGGAGAATTAAGGTAAGAAATTAAGATGAAGTCATTTGTTTCTTTTTGCCTATTCATATTTTGAGTTTTCTCTTTTCTTATTGATTTGTAGGAGTTACTTGTATATTCTAGATCTGTGCTAATACGTTAGCCACCAGTCCTATGTGGCTATTGAAATTAATTAGGCTGGGCGTGGTGGCTCACACCTGTAATCCCAGCACTTTGGGAGGCCAAGGTAGGTGGATCACTTGAGCTCAGGAGTTCACGACCAGCGTGGGAGACATGGCAAGACCCCATCTCTACTAAAAATACAAAAATTAGCCAGGTGTGGTGGCACACCTGTAATTCCAGCTACTTAGGAGGCTGAGGTGGGAGAATCACCTGAGCCCAGGAGGTAAAGGCTGCAGTGAGCTGTAATCACACCACTGCACTCCAGCCTGTGTGACAGAGACCCTATCTAAAACAATAATAATAATTATTATTAAAGTTAAATAGAATTAAAAATTTAGCTCCTCAGTCACCCTCCTCCCATTTCAAGTGCTCAGTAACCACAACTATCCAGTGGCCAGCATAGACCTACACCATTTCCATCATCACAGCCAATTCTCTTGGATAGTGTTGGTCTGTATATTAATCCCTTGTCAATTTTATTCATTTCAAATATCTTCTTCGAGAAAATTGTTCTCTGCTAACTTTGATTAAGATGTCTTCACTGAACAGAAATGTTTAGGCTTTTTTGAGACAGGGTCTTGCTCTGTTGCCCAGGCTGTAGTGCAGTGGTACAACCATAGCTTACTGTAACCTTGAATTCCTGGGCTCAAGCAATCCTCTTGCTTCAGCCTCCCAAGTAGCTAGAAGTATAGGCATGCACCACAATGCCTGGTCAATTTAAAAATTTTGTAGAGATGGTGTTTCACTGTGTTGCCAGTCTTCCTACCTCAGCTCACGAGTTCTCACGAGATCTGATGGTTTAAAAGTGTGTGGCACTTCCCCCTTTGCTGTCTCTCCTGCTCCACCATGGTAACACGTGCCTGCTTCCCCTTCGTTTTCCACCATGATTGTAAATTTCCTGAGGCCTCTGAACCATGCTTCCTGTACAGCCTGTAGGACTATGAGTCAATTAAATCTCTTTTCTTCATAAATTACCTAGCCTCAGTTAGTTCTTTATAGCAGTGTGACAATGGACTAATACACCTTAAATGTTTAGTTTTTATATGGTTGTGTTCATCATATTTTGCCCTGTAATATGTGCATTTGGAGTCTTGTTTAAGAAATCTCCTCCCTGAGGTCTCAGAGATATTTCCCCTCACCTTTTGGTATCTGGGTTGTGGATTTCCTTTTCATATGTGGGTAGTGAATCCAATAGGACTTTGCCTTTGCTACACAGCGTGAGGCAGGGATCCAACCCTATGCTCTCCATCTAGTGAGGGGTTTTCCCCATCATTGCTGTTAACAGATTCATCTACACATCCATCGTCTCCCCACAGGTCTTGTGTGCCACTGCTTTCCTGTGCCCATCCAAGGTCCATGAGGGCAATTTTGGGCTCTTGCAGGCTGCATCCATCTCTTTATGTTTCCTCTGCCAGGACCAAATTGTCTTATCACTCTGACTTTGTGCAACGACTTCACGCAGGGAGAGTGCTCTATTCTCCCTCACTCTTGTGTTGCCAAATGTTCATAGCTCTTCTAGGACCTTGCTCATCTAGATTCACTTTAAAATCTATCTTTTTGAGTTTCTCAAAATGTGTATAGAAAATCAGCAGTCACTCACTAATGAAATACTCTCTTTTAAGTGAAAAATAATATATGTGCTGTGAAGCTCCGTGATCTACTTTAAACCTAGGAATGAAGTTCCAAGTGTTAACGGTGATTTAAAATCCATTCCATTGAGTTTCGGTTTGTCTGGGGCATCAGTAAATGCTCATTTCCAAAAGTGCTTTGCCTTTGAAGGCTACTAATGCATGCAGTGTGTTGCCATGGCAACGGTTACTTTTAGTTAGTACTTTTTATAGATTAAAGTGCTACACCCTGGAGTCTATTCATATAAATGCATAAATCTTAAGACAGTATGGTACTTCATTTAATGTAGATATTTAATGGAACAGAGTCAGACTTAACTGACCAGAAATGGAAAATTTTCAACACTTATATTTGATACGGACATGCAGTGTTACCAAAAATATAACATTTTCATTACTTTGTTTTACAAAATATAAATTAACCTTGCTATCCATTTAACTTGGTCAATATTTAATAAATTGTGGTTGAAATGTATGTGTCTGTCAGAAATTTGCACATATCACTTTGTTTTCTACCCTAGAGTAAAATCCCCAATTATTGTAGGGATTCAGAAGACTTGGGGAACAAGGTGTTTCCCAGGCAAATGGAGGGGAAGTCAGTGGAGCCCTGGGTGGGAAAGAGTATATGGGCCTGGGCTTGGATTTTGGCAGTGATTTTTATTAGCTGTGTGGCCTTGAACTTCAGTTTCCCCAGTCATAAAATGGAGATCATCACATCTACTTTGCACAGCAGTTGTGAAGATTAATTGTATCTTCAGTGAGTGATATCTATGATTTAAAAATGACTAGATAATGATTTCAAGTCAATATTTAAGACAGAAAGAGAGGGTGGAAATATCAAGTACAAAAGTGCTGCGGAAAGTCAATAGTCAACGATCCTGGTGGATGGGAGGTCTCAGAGACAGGGGAATTGGGCACCGCTTCCACGCACACGAGAGGAGAAGGACACAGAGGCAGAGATCAGCAGAGCAGTGGGCATGGAAGAGGGACCATGGGGTTGGCTGGGTGAGGCTTGGTCAGGAAAGACAAAGGGGTGGCGGTAGGAGCCCCCAAGGGTGGGTTGAGAGCTCTGTGCCTTACACAAAGAGTGACCCTGAACTGTGCCTTATACAGAGGTGACAAGAAGTGTTTTAGAAGGGAGATCTGGTAAACAAAGGGGCACATGGAGACAAGCATGAGGGCTGGATGTGCCCCTGGCCTGAGGACAGCAAGGCCTGAACCCAGGAGGGGTGTGGAGAGTGAGATGAAGATGAGAATCTCACAGTCACAAAGAAGACGATATAGGGATTAGCTCTACTGGAAACAGGAGTGGAAAGAGCCAAAATGGTCTCCGAAGCTTTGATCTCTTCCGATGAACAATTGTTTAAAGCAACAATAATGACAATAACAAAACAGTCATCCCTTGGCATCTGGGGGGTATTGGTTCCAGGACTCAGTTTCTTGCCACGTGAATCTCTCCAGTTTGCTTTGTCAGAGCAAGCACGTGAAAAGAATCTGAACAAGATGGAAGTCACTGTCTTTTATAATCTGATTTCCAAAGTGGCATCCATCACCCTTGCTGTGTTTATTCATTAAAACCAAGTCACGAGTCCAGCCCATATACACAAGGAGAAGGAACTACACATGGGCATGAAGACAAGGAGACAGGGGTCGCTGGGAGCCATGCTGGAAGCTGCCTACCATACTAGGGGACTGGAGAAGTGGAAATACTCTTGACCAAAATAGGACAGGAGGATGGAAATAATTTAGGACCCAGATGATGAATTCAGTTGTAATCATGGTGTATGAGCTAATGGCATGGCATCAGAACCAGAATCCACAGCCATTTGAGCCATGGGAGAGCTCTAGAAAGAAGGCAAGCCACGGACATGGATTAGGAAGCATCCTGTTTTGACCATGTTCAGGACATGTATTCTTAGCTTCATTGCACATGTCTGCAAAACAAATGAGTCTGCTACAGGGCTGTCAGACAGGGCTGTGGTTTCATCTGAAGGTTCAACAAGAAAAGGATTTACTTCCAACCTCACTCACATGGTTGTTGGCAGGATTCAGTTCTTTGCAAGATGTTAGGATGAGGTTCTTGATTCTTTACCAACAGTGGCCTCGTGAGAAGTCTTGAGTTGGATAATCCAACTCAACTGTGGCTGGATACCTGACCCACAGAAACTATGAAATAATAAACGTGCTTTTCAAGCCACTAAGTTTTGGTGTGATTTGTTATGCCGCAACAGATAATTAATACACCCAGTTTCCAACTCTTTGATCCTATCAGTTACCATAAGGCACCTAGAAGTTTTCCCACCCTTCCAAGTCCTCAAAATTTATGCTTTTCTGGAATTTGAGAGAAGGTAATGGTCCACTTAGGGAGGAAGCTATTGTTTGGTACATGCCTCCAGGCACCCTTTCTCCTGCTGGACAACTGCTTCTCCAGTCTAATCCTGCTCTAGCTTTTTGCTGGGAAATAACACTCCACTCACTCTTTCACCTTGGACTTCCTGTGCTCCCAAACTTGGCTTGGGTCCAGACTGTAGTCTTCTGTGTCCCTGACCTGGATTTCTATTCCAGAACCTAAATGCTGCATGTCTAAGCTGATCTGGTCAGCAAATTTTTTATCGCTCTTGCATTTGATAGTTGGATTGTGGCATTCCTGACCTTGCATTGCACCCGCACAAATCAAAACAGCCTTGGCAGCCCTGTAAGATAATTTGATTCCATTCCCTAGCAATACAGGGCCAGGTCCAAAGTTACCAAATCAGGGCCCTGACTGCTCCTGGCACCCAGCCCTGGCCCATGGCTTCCTGACTGATCTTCCTGACCTTTGCCTTTCCAGCTCCACCACCTCAAGGAGGCATGAACGATCTTTCAGAGGCATGTGCCAAGTTCTGAGCTTGGTCTTCCCATCCTTCCAGGGGGTGTGGGATGGGACTTGGAGTTATGCCAGCTCTTCAGAAGGGGATGTGCATGCACCAGCTCCAAGTAGAGTTGGCAATAGGCACCGCTACTCAGTGGCACAGTGGTGACTCATGAAAGCAGTGGGGAGTAGGACATGGTGGCAGAGAATCAGTTCCCAGGCCCTGCTCAGCAATTATGAAAAAGGCTGTTAACTTGGCACCAGGAAAATAGAGTAAAGGTCGCTTTTCCTGACTTCCAAGGACTTCCACAGACTGAGGCCAACCTGCTCGCCCAATGTGTTCTCTACTGTGAGCCCTCTGCTCTCACTGTCACTTTCTAGTCTGGAAGTCAAAAAATTCTTCTCCTTCTTCTTCTCTTTCTTCTTCTCCTCCTTCTCCTCCTCCTTCTCCTTCTCCTTCTTCTTTCTCTTCTTCCTCTTCCTCTCCTTTCCTTCTCATTCTCATTCTTCTTTTTTTTTTTTTTGAGACAGGGTCTGACTCCATCACCCAGGGTGGAGTGCAGTGGTGTGGTGTCAGCTCACTGCAACCTCTACCTCCCAGGTTCAAGCAATTCTTGTGCCTCAGCCTCCCAAGTAGCTGGAATTATAGCCGTTTGCCACCATGCCTGGCTAATTTTTTATTTTTAGTAGAGATGGGGTTTCACCATGTTGGCCAGGCTGGTCTCAAACTCCTGGCCTCAAGTGATCCACCCACCTCAGCCTCCCAAGTGGCCTGCTAGGATTACAGGCCACTGTGCCCAGCCAAAAATATTTATTATTAATAAATGGATGAGCCTTGTAGAAATTATGTGGAACAAAAGAATCTGGACACAGAAGAGTAAAGACTGTATGCTCCACTTAGATGACTTTTTAGAATAGGCAAAATTCATCTAAAGTGGATAAAATAAAGGTCATACTTGTTGCCCTGGTTAGTTACCTGGAAAGGGACATGAGGGAGCTTTCTGGAGTGATGGAAATGCTCTATATCGTGATAGGGGTGTGAGTTACAGAGGTGTGTGTTTGTTAAAATAAGGCCGGGTGCGGTGGCTCACACCTATAATCCCAGCACTTTGGGAGGCCAAGGTGGGTGGATTACTTGAGGTCAGGAGTTTGAGACCAGCCTGGCCAATATGGTGAAACTCCATCTCTACTAAAAATACAAAAATTAGCCGGGCTTGGTGGTGCATGACTGTAATCCTAGCCACTTGGGAGGCTGAGGCAGGAGAGTCGCTTGAACCTGGGAAGTGGAGTTTGCAGTGAGCTGAGATGGTGCCACTGCACTCTAGCCTGGGTGTCGCAGGGAGACTCCATCTCAAAAATAAATAAATTAATAAAAAATCGGCTGGGCACGGTGGCTCATGCCTGTAATCCCAGCACTTTGGGAGGCCAAGGTGGGTGAATCACGAGGTCAGGAGATGGAGACCATCCTGGCTAACATGGTGAAACCCCGTCTCTACTAAAAATACAAAAAAAATTAGCTGGGTGAGGTGGCGCGTGCCTGTAGTCCCAGCTACTCGGGAGGCTGAGGCAGGAAAATGGCGTGAACCCGGGAGGCTGAGCTTGCAGTGAGCCCAGTATATATATATATATATATATATATATATATATATATATACACTTAATTTTTGTTACTTTGTCATTATGGCATTTTGATATATGTCAATTTTACCTTCAATAAAACTGTAAAAATATTAATGGTTGAGTAAGGGCAGGGGAGTGGGGTGAGCTACAGAAGACCCTGGAATGGCAGAATGCTGAATGTCGAAGCTGGGTATTTGCCGCATAGGGGTTTATTACGCTATTCTGTTTACTTTGTACATGTTTGAAAATTTCCACAATAAAGAGTCAAAAAAAATTTTATGGTGCACATATTCTGCACCATGTCCTATGCTAAAGGGCATGCACAGGCAGACAAGGCTGCAGAATACAGAAAGAACAAAACTGAAGATGGAATTTATTTTTTTACATTTATTTTTAGAGATGGGGTCTTGCTATGTTGCTCAAGCTGGTCTTGAACTCTTGGGCTCAAGCGACCCTCCCACCTCAGCCACCCAAGTTACTGGGATTACAGCATTATTCAACCTGAAGATTGGAAGATTTTTTTTTTTTTTTTTTTTTTTGAGATGGAGTCTTGCTCTGTCGCCCAGGCTGGAATGCAGTGGCACAATCTCGGCTCACTACAAGCTCCGCCTTCTGGGTTCATGCCATTCTCCTGCCTCAGCCTCCTGAGTAGCTGGGACTATAGGCGCCCGCCACCGCGCCCAGCTAGTTTTTTGTATTTTTAGTAGTGACGTGGTTTTCACCGTGTTAGCCAGGATGGTCTCGATTTCCTGACCTCATGATCCGCCTGCCTCGGCCTCCCAAAGTGCTGAGATTTCATGCGTGAGCCACCGCGCCCAGCCAAGATGGATTTTTTACTTACAAACATAAAGTGCATTGAAAAGGGGGAAAGGTGGACTAAACGGAAAGTCATGCCAGCCCCAACATGTGGCTCCAAGAAGAGAACCCTGCACCAGAAGGGAAGTCATCCAACTGCTTCTTTCATGGCTCACAACATGTCACGAGACCATCGCCAGCAGAACTAAACACTGGGCGAAGCGATGTGGTTGATTTACATTCTGGCTCAGGCTCTATTCTTGAACCATCAGCCAGAAATGTGACCAACACTAAGGCAATGATTTATTAGATTCACCTGGGAGCACCCAGATAAACTAAATCAGAATCCCTTGTGGCAGGGCTCGGCATCAGTGTATTTTGATGTTCCAGATGCAATTCCAATACACAGCCAGGGCAAGAACCAGCGATCTGTGAGCTGCTCAAGTCACATTGCTTCCAGGAAGTCTCTCTTCATGCTCGCTCACAAAGAGCCTTCTTTTATCCAACACCCTAAACATTGCTGACTGACAGTCTGCTATCTAGGTATATGGGGCCTTGTACTGTTTTGAACAATTCATGCTTGTCTTCTTTAATGAGGATGTCTGCACATGTGTTCTTGAGGGTAAGAATTACCTTTTACATTTTTGCATTCCCCACAACACTTTGCACTATGATGTTCAATAAACATTCAATTTTCAAATTTTTATTTAGACAATGAAATATTTCCTTATTATAAATTGGCTGCATTCTTTAATTCTCAGAGTACTGAACTAAATGATTAATCATTACTGGAACATGTTCTTTCATAATGAAAATACTAAAAGATTTATAAACTTAAACATAACTTTTCAGTTATTTAATTTGGGGATTTTCCAAGTCAACGTATTTCCTATTGAACAGATTTTTGTCTATATTATTTTTGCTCTCTGACCTGATGTGAATCTTTCAGACGCTGGGTTGGTTGAAGGGGAAACAGTTTTTCTAATGCAGCTACTGTGAGCTGAGCTGACTTAGGCCTTGGAGAATTACCATTCTTACCAATTGACCACAAAAGCAGATAGGAACAGTATCTACGTATTACAAACCAGAATCAAAATGACCTTCACACATGATTAGTGTGGAATTCTTTTCAGTGGAAAATGGCAACATTTAGCAGCACAGGGTGCAGTTGGCTTCAAATACTCTCTGAAGTGAAACCATTGTGTTTTCCTGGGTGACTGAGCCCAGGGCTAATGCCCATCGGAGAAGCTGCTGGGAACTGCAATGCTTTGATTAAACAGAGTATTAACCACAGGCTGGCTGTTTGAACCATATCGATAAAGACAAAATTCACCCTATCTACCAAAACATTCTTTCATGTAAGACTTAACAATGAAAATAAACAAAAGCTTTAGCTGTCAACTATATATACCATGAAGAATGGCAAAACTGGTTTTTGTTAATGCTATTTTGTCTTTTAATCGCTCAGTTGGCTATGAAAACTCTTGTTTACATTCCTTTACATATTGTTGAGCTTCAAGGTAATTGTGAAAGAAAACGGGGAATTAATATCACTTCCCAGAAGCCACATTTTATTTAACCTCAAAAACTTTATGTAAAAGATTTTGTTATGAATCAAAGGCTGGCAGTTCTTCCCACTGGGGTGATTTAGGAAATTAAAGTTAGGAGTAGATGGTGCTAATGGGAATGGTAAGACTAGTAAGAGTGATTTATTCCTTGCAGAAAAAAATCACTGTCGATGCTCAGTTGAAATAATGTGGAATTTAATAATTACCTCATAGTACCATCTAGTGGTGCTATATTTCTACCCTTGTGTTAAGTGAGGACTGTAGTTTTCTGTAGCCCGAAGCCAGCAAAGCCAGGTCAGTGGTCTATTACAAACACTTTAACTGTAAGCTGTTAGAAGGGTGAGTTCACAGAGAAAATGTAAACAAAGTATTAGTAGCTCATATGACAATATTAAATTTTAAAATGTTCCCAGAACTCAGACATGTTCAATATGGATTCTCAATAAATTGTGTTTTTAAATATTGAACAAATACTGTGATTACTTTTTTCACAATAATTACAGCAATTTGGGTAGTTTTGGGTACTACCGTAAGATTCTAAGCACTATTTTATATTTTTCCTATTCTGAACAATTGTGGTTTGTGCATTTCTTCCAGTAAATGCGGTCTGGAAAATAAATACCTTTCACATGGTACGTGTTATTGGAAAACAATTGTCTTTAGTGAGATTTATGGAATGTGGAGAAAAAAAATTTTTTAAGGAACTATTGCTCCTATGAAAGCTTGAGAGTGTTACGGGCAATGTAGGCACTTTTAGATCAAATTCAAACATAAAAAGGCACTTACACACATTTTAAGAATACTTGTAATTATAAGCACATTTTCAGATTTACAGGACTAAGTCTAGTTTAAGCATAAACCAGATTCAATGTGAATCTCTATATATTTTTCTTGCTTCAAGTATTATTTTACAGAAGGGACACTGATTTGTTTGGCCTGTGTAAACCTAAGAATCTAGGTTTGATCTAGTAGATATCATATCTAGTAGATGTCATATCTCAACAATAAAGGGTCTGAAGAATAAATATTAATATTTAGGCCTAAGTTATTTTTTAAAATTCATAATGTGTCTGTCCTGTTTTGCTTACTGAATTAACAAATCTTTAAAGAAAACCTTCATATATTATAGCGATATATTTATACCACAGTGATATGATTTATTGAATGTGAGAGAAATTCTCACACTCAATTTTAATTTTCTTAAAAAGAAAAGATGGGAAAATGTTACAGTATTTAAATAGTGAATGCTGGGCGGCGACGGCGACATGGAGAGCGGGGCCTACGGCGTGGCCGAGGCGGGCGGCTCCTTCGACCTGCGGCCCTTCCTGACGCAGCCGCAGGTGGTGGCGCGCGCCCTGTGCTTGGTGAGCCCGGGGAGGGCGGGCCGGGGGCACCCCGAGGACCCCCCCCGCCGCCAGGCCCGGCGGGACCCCTAACCCACGAGCGTGACAGGTGGAGGCGGCCGCGTCCGGGCCCTGGCGGCGAGCGGGGCGGGCATTTAGCGTCCCGGGCCCCGCCTTCCCGCCCTCCACAGTCTTCGCCTTGATCGTGTTCTCCTGCATCTATGGCGAGGGCTACAGCAACACCCATAAGTCTAAGCAGATGTACTGCGTGTTCAACCACAACGAGGATGCCTGCCGCTATGGCAGTGCCATCGGGGTGCTGGCCTTCCTGGCCTCGGCCTTCTTGGTGGTCGACGCGTATTTCCCCCAGATCAGCAACGCCACTGACCGCAAGTACCTCGTCATTGGTGACCTGCTCTTTTCAGCTCTCTGGACCTTCCTGTGGTTTGTTGGTTTCTGCTTCCTCACCAACCAGTGGGCGGTCACCGACCCGGAGGACGTGCTGGTGGGGGCCGACTCTGCGAGGGCAGCCATCACCTTCAGCTTCTTTTCCATCTTCTCCTGGGGTGTGCTGGCCTCCCTGACCTACCAGCGCTACAAGGCTGGCGTGGACGACTTCATCCAGAACTACGTCGACCCCAGTCCGGACCCCAACACTGCCTACGCCTCCTACCCAGGTGCATCTGTGGACAACTACCAACAGCCACCCTTCACCCAGAATGCGGAGACCACCGAGGGCTACCAGCCGCCCCCTGTGTACTGAGTGGCGGTTAGGGTGGGAAGGGGGACAGAGAGGGCCCTCCCCTCTGCCCTGGACTTTCCCATGAGCCTCCTGGAACTGCCAAACCCCCTCTTTCACCTGTTCCATCCTGTGCAGCTGACACACAGCTAAGGAGCCTTACAGCCCGGCGGGGGCTGGCCGAGCCACACCCCACGTGCCTGTGCCCAGAGGGCTTCAGTCAGCCGCTCACTCCTCCAGGGCACTTTTAGGAAAGGGTTTTTAGCTAGTGTTTTTCCTTGCTTTTAATGACCCCATCCCCGCCTGGAGTGGCTAGAAGCCAGCAGGCACCCATGTGCTACTGACAAGTGCCTCAGCTTCCCCCCGGCCCGGGTCCGGCCGTGGGAGCCGCTGTTACCTGCGTTCTCTGCCAAAGACTCGTGGGGGCCGTCACACCTACCCTGTGCAGCGGAGCCGGACCAGGCTCTTGTGTCCTCACTCAGGTTTGCTTCCCCTGTGTCCACTGCTGTATGATCTGGGGGCCACCACCCTGTGCCGGTGGCCTCTGGGCTGCCTCCCACGGTGTGAAGGCGGGGCTGGTGCTCATGGCACTTCCTTCTTGCTCCCACCCCTGGCAGCAGGGAATGGCTTTGCCTGACAACACCCAGCTTTATGTAAATATTCTGCAGTTGTTACTTAGGAAGCCTGGGGAGGGCAGAGGTGTCCCATGGCTCCCAAACTCTGTCTGTGCCGAGTGTATTATAAAGTCGTAGGGGAGATGCCCGGCCCTGGGATGCTGTTTGGAGATGGAATAAATGTTTTCTCATTCAAAAAAAAAAAAAAATTAGTGAATGCTTTTGTAAAATAGCAGCCAAACCAAGACCAAAATGTTTCTTTAGTGTACTTTCATGCTTAATGCTGACAGATAGCATTGTTTGAACTCACAATCAATTTTTTATATATACCTTTTCATTACAAAACAAATAATATTCATGGCAGAAAATGAAGAAAACCAAAAAACAAAAATAAGATAAGAAATTTCACCTGAAATCCCAACACTTAAAATGCCATTTAAAATATTTTCCCAAGTAGCCCCATTTTTTAAAATGAGCAAATTAGCTTCCCACTTAACTTCTTTCACTTAATACTAAACTGTGAATAACTTTCACAGTGTGATTTTCATTTCTGAAATTGCCCAGCTTCTAAGGCCCACTGCATGCAAGGAATTTAGCTAAAACACATAGTCCTTGAGGAGATGACAGTCTAGAAGCAGAGACAATATACACTGTAGTTAATGACAGTTAAAATGTCCTTAACAAGATTAAAAACTCGTGGGAAAAGAATGAAATCCTGTCATTCACAGCAACATGGATGAGCCTGGAGGACATAAGGCTAAGTGAAATAAACCAGGCACAGAAAGGCAGATACCACATGATCTCTCTCATGTAGCGTCAAAAAGGTTGATCACATAGAAGTAGAGAGCAAAACAGTGATTACCAGAGCCTGGGGAGGGGAAACAGGGATGGGAAGAGGTTGGTCAATGGGCACAAAGTTACAGTTAGACAGGAAGAATAAATGCTGGTGTTCCCGTCCATAGTACGATGACTACAGCTAATAACAATGTAGAGTATATTTCAAGTGAGCTAATAAAGAGGATCCTGAAAGTTATCACCAGAAATAAATGTAAATTTTGTGGTGAATGATATGCTAACTACCCAGATTTGGTCATTATACAATGTATACATGTAGTGAAACATCACACTGTACCCCATAAATGTGTACAATTATTATATGTCAAATATAAACACTTTTTTTTTTTGAGACGGAGTCTTGCTCTGTTGCCCAGGCTGGAGTGCAGTGGCGCAATCTCCGCTCACTGCAAGCTCCGCCTCCTGGGTTCACGCCATTCTCCTGCCTCAGCCTCCTGAGTAGCTGGGACTACAGGCGCCCACCACCACGCCCAGCTAATTTTTTTTTGTATTTTCAGTAGACACGGGGTTTCACCGTGTTAGCCAGGATGGTCTCTATCTCCTGACCTCGTGATCTGCCTGCCTTGGCCTCCCAAAGTGCTGGGATTACAGACATGAGCCACAGTGCCCGTCCTAAACATGTTTTTTAAAAGAACACACAAAAAAGAATAAAATTCCCTGAGAACTAGCTTTATTTCTTCCATTTCTGTGGTCTCCTGGTCTCAGACTGGAATTGTTTTGTTATTAAGTAAAAACCAGCCCTCAACTGGCCAAAGCACAAAGGTAAGTCACTGACTCATGTAACTAAACTCCCTAGGAACAGACCCAGCTTCAGACAGAGCTGGATACAGGCTGCTCATCTGCCTAATTTGGTCTGGGTGCTGCTCCTTGGCTCTTGGTTAGCTTCCTTTCTGTTGGTTCCTTTCTCCTTTGCAGAGGCAAAAACAGCACACGCTTTTAGTTGGAGTCTTGCTGCCTCCTGGGATGTTCTTCACCACCATCCTGGGGATTCACTTTGACTCAATCTTGGGTTGGGTTCTTTGTCTCCTTATCCCATATATTCCTCTTCTTTGATTTGCTCTCTTATTTTGGTGGAGGCTCCACTCTACTAGTTTCCTGAGAGAAGCTGCCTTGGAATGAAATGTTTTGAGACTTTGTATGACCAAAATGTTTCTTTAGTTTACCCTTGTGGTTAATAGTTTTGCTGGTGTGAAAGAGACTGCCAGTGTTACATATATCTTGTCCTCCTTTCTTTCCTGGGTACATGACGGGATTACCTTTGCAAAGGACTAACAGTATCTTTGCAGTTAGGTAGTCTTGTGATGAGTGTAGCCAATAAAATGAAAAAAGAAGTGTGTGACCTCCAGGCCCAGGGAATTAATAGCTTGGGTGCTACTCCAGGCTCTCTTCCCCTGCTGCAGGAGCTTTGGAGGCCCCTTGTTTCAGAGCAACATCTCAAGGTGAAAAGAACCTGGATACCTGAATCACAGGATGGAGGGGATCACCTGCCAACTTGCCTTTGCATGAACAAGAAGGAAGCGTTGTTAGGCTGGCCTACTGAGATGCTAGGGTTTCTTTCTTTCCTTCATTTTAAAATTGCAACGTTATCTCAGTGGAATAGATTATTCTTAGGTGCATCGTTCATATAAAGAAAAATTCATGTAATCCCAGCACTTTGGGAGGCCGAGGCAGGCGGATCACGAGGTCAGGAGATCGAGACCATCTGGCTAACACAGTGAAATCCCATCTCTACTAAAAATACAAAAAATTAGCCGGGCATGGTGGCTGGCGCCTGTAGTCCCAGCTGCTCAGGAGGCTGAGGCAGGAGAATGGCGTGAACCCGGGAGGCGGAGCTTGCAGCGAGCTGAGATTGTGCCACTGCACTCCAGCCTGGGCGACAGAGCGAGACTCTGTCTCAAAAAAAAAAAAAAAAAAAAAAAAATTCAAAACACTCCTGAGGGATACAAAGAAAAGTCAAAGAGGTGGAAATCTGTAATCTTGGAAAGGAAGATTCACCACCAAAACAGTAACCATAGTGGAGAGTGTGTTAATAATAAAGTTGATGCAATTCCAATAAATATCCCAACAGGATTTTCTTTTTTGAGGGAGAGCGAAACAATCTGATTCTAAAGTTAATGTGGAAAGAAAAACTCTAAGGAAATATAAAGTTAAATTCGGATCTCACACCTGACTCCAGGATAAATTCTAGTTGATTAAAAAATTAAATGTAAAAAAAAGATACCATAAAATATTAGAATAAACAATCATACTTGTTTTGAATCAAATGCTGGGGAGGGCATTTCTAGGTACAACATAAAACTGGGGAGCCATCACAGAAGAGTTTGATAGATTCAATTATTCTAAAATCAAAAAGAAAAAATCCACATGTAAAAACCCTCCCCAGGCAAAGTCACAAGACAAACAGTAAACTGGCGAGCATTTGCAACTCAAATCACATATAAAGAATAATTTCATTGCTGTATGTTTTAGTCCATTTGTGCTGCCATAACCTGAGATGGGTAATTTGCAATAAATAGAAATGTATTAACCCACAGTTCTGGAGGCTGGGAATTCCTGAGAGGTCAGTGTCTGACAAGGACCTTCTTGCTGCATCATCCCATGGTGGAAGGCAGAGGGCAAGAGAGAGGGCAAGGGGCTGAACTCACTCTTTTATAATAACATCAATCCCACCCATGAGGGCAGAGCCCCCATGGCTTAATTACCTCTTAAAGGTCCCATCTCTTAATAATGTTACAATGGCAATTTAATTTCAAGGGTATGTGCCACCACACCCAGCAAATTTTTTTTGGTATTTTTTGCAGAGATGGGGTTTTGCCATGTTTCCCAGGCTGGTCTCAAACTCCTGGGCTCAAGCGATCCACCTGCCTGGGCCTCCCAAACTGCTAGTATTACAGATGTGAGCCACTGCACCTGGCCTTGTCTCATTTTAATGTCTCTCTGGACCTGATAATTAAAAAGACTTGCATTTCTCAGATAAAAGTGATTTTCTTTTTCTCAAAAGGATATGAACAGAGAGAAAAGAAAATGCATATGGATCTTCAAAGATGAAATGATGTTCAGTCTCACTCATAATAAGTAATTTCACACAAACTACAATGGGATATAATTTTTCACCCACTAGACCAACAAATACTTCAAAATTTGATAACACATTGTATTACTGAGGATACAGGGAAACAAGGACAATCACAAATTACTTGTGGGAGTCTAAATTGTTTGTAACCCTTACAGGGCACAATTTGACAACATCTAGGAAAATTTTGCATGCAAATACCCTTTGAACCAGCAATTCTCTTTTAGGAATTCATTTATATTTATAGATATGTGACATGATGTGTGCACAAGTCTCTTCATGGTGACACTGTAACAGCAAAGACGAGATAAGCTAAACAGTAGTCAACAGGGGATTGCTTAAATAAATAACAGTACAGCCACACAAAGAAATATTCTGTAGCTCTAAAAATGAATAAAGAAGCTCTTTATGAACAGACATGGATTCATCTCCACTGCATATTGCTCAGTGAAAACAGTGAGTTGTAGAGTATGTCTACATTATACTACTATTTGTGGTTTTCTTAAATGAGGAAAATATGTATAGCTTTTGCATGAAAAAAATATCTCTAGAATGAAGTATGTACAAAAATCTGTTAATCATGACTGTTCATGGGAAGGGGACTGGATAGGAGAGAAGGTGGAAGGGAGAATTTTCACCATTGATACTTTGAACCCATTGATTTTGGGACCAAGTGAATACACTGCTTATCTAAAAATTAGAAATAGTTAAAATTTAAAAAGAAAATGTGCAGTGGCTCACGCCCGTAATCCCAGCACTTTGGGAGGCCAAGGCAGGCAGAACATCTGAGGTCAGGAGTTTGAGACTAGCCTGGCCAACATGGTGAAACCCCGTCTCTACTAAAAATGCAAAAATTAGCCAGGCATGGTGGTGGGCGCCTGTAATCCCAGCTACTCGGGAGGCTGATGTAGGAGAATTGCTTGAACCCCGGAGGTGGAGCTTGCAGTGAGCTGAGATCGCGCCACTGCACTCCAGCCTGGGCAACAGAGTAAGTCTCCGTCTCAAAAAAAAAAAAAAAAAAAGAAAAAAAGAAAAAAAATGTGAAGAGAACAGTTTGGGCACTTGAAACCTACCTTTCAGCATCATTGGTGATGTAACCCTTGGGGTGGTCAGTTTATAGGCCACACGTGTGAGAGTGCCACTCTGCTGTCTAGTCTATCTTAGCAATTTTAGGGACACTATTGCTGTGAGGAGTGACACTGTCCCTGTCCACCATATGAGAAGAATGTGGGTTTTGGTTTCCATTTGCTAAGATGACATTCAGCTGATATAGTCCAGAGGAAAGAAAGGAAAACAGAGCAACTCCCTTTTGATATCTTAGTTGATGACAGCCATAATTAGTGAGTAAGAAAAAATGAAAAGATTTCCAGTCGAAGATGACTGACTAAACATGAGAATTTACCCTTCCTCCCTGTTTAAATCCTATTTCAGGGACCAAAGGGATATAAAATGGAGAGTAATTCTGTAGCAGCATTGGAAATTTAGAAAAGGTGCTTTTTGTGTTTTAAAAATAGATTTAGGGGGTACAAGTGAAGTTGTGTTACATGGATATATTGCATAGTGGTGAAGTCGGGGACTTTTATTGCAACTGTCACACAAATAGTGTACATGACACTCATTAGGTAATTTCTCATCCCTGAGCCCCTTCTCACCCTCCCACCTTTTGGAGTCTCCAATGTCTATTGTTTTATTCTCAATGTCCATGTGTACACATTGTTTAGCTCCACTTATAAGTGAGAACATACACTATTTGACTTTCTGTTTCTGAGTTATTTCACTGAAGATAATGGCCTCCAGTTCCATCCATGTTGCTACAAAAGACATGGTTTCATTTTTTTTAATGGCTGAGCAGTAGTCCATGATGTACATATATACACCACATTTTCTTTATTCAGTCATCCATTGATGGACACTTACGTTTATTCCATGACTTTGCTATTGTGAATAATGCTGCAATGAACATACAAGTGCAGGTATCTTTTTCATATAATGATTTCTTTTCCTTTGGGCAGATATCCACGAGTGAGATTCCTATATCAAATGGTAGTACTACTTTTATTTCTTTGAGAAATCTCCATACCGTTTTCCATAGAAATTGTACTAATTTATATTTCTACCAACAGTCTATAAGTGTTTCCTTTTCTCCACATCCTTGCCAACATCTGTTGTTTTTTTGACTTTTCATAGCCATTCTGACTGGTGTAAGATTTTTGTTTGTTTTTTTGAGATGGAGTCTTGCTCTGTTGCCCGTGCTGGAGTGCAGTGGTGTGATCTCAGCTCACTGCAAGTTCTGCCTCCCGGGTTCACTCCATTCTCCCACCTCAGCCTCCCGAGTAGCTGGGACTACAGGCGCCCACCACCACGCCCGGCTAATTTCTCTTTTCTTTTTGTATTTTTAGTAGAGACGGGGTTTCACCGTGTTAGCCAGGATGGTCTCGATCTTCTTGTGATCTGCCTGCCTCAGCCTCCCAAAGTCCTGGGATTACAGGTGTGAGCCACCGCGCCCGGCCAAGATTTTATCTCTTTGTGGTTTTAGTTTGCATTTCTCTGATGATTAGTAATGTTGAACATTTTTTCATATGTTCGTTGGTCACTTGTATATATCCTTTTGAAAAATGTTTATTCATGTCCTTTGCCCACTTTTTAATGGGGTTATTTTTTTCTTGTACAGTTGTTTGAGTTCCTTGTACATTCTGAATATTAGTCCTTTGTTGGATGCAGAGTCTGCAAATATTTTCTCCCTAGACTTCATAAATTACTTCAGTAAAGTTTCAGGATACAAAATCAATGGTACAAAAATCAGTAGCATTTCTATACACCTATAACAACCAAGCTGAGAACCAAACCAAGAACTCAATCCCATTTACAATAGCTATGAAAAAAATACCTAGGAAAATATTTAACCAAGGAAGTGAAAGATCTCTACAAGGAGAACTACAAAACACTGATGAAAGAAATTGTAGATGACACAAACAAATGGAAAAATATCCCATGCTCCTGGATTGGAAGAATCAATACTGTTAAAATGATCATACTGCCCAAAGCAATCTATGGATTCAATGCAATTCCTACCAAACTACTGTGTTAGTCTGTTCTCAAATTGCTACAGATACATGAAACTGGGTAATTTTTAAACAAAAAAGGTTTAATTGGCTCACAGTTCTGCTGGCTGTACAGGAGGCATGACTCTGGCATCTTCTCAGTTTCTGGGGAGGCCTCAGGACACTTACAATCATAGTGGAAGGCAAAGGGAGAGTGAGGAGTCTCACATGGTGGGAGCAGGAACAAGAGAGAGACCGGCAAGGTGCTACACCCTTTTAAACAACCAGATCTCATGAGCACTCACTCACTATACAGTACCAAAAGGGCATGGTACTAAACCATTCATGAGAAACTGCCCTCATGATCCAACCACCTCCCACGAGGCCCCACCTCCAACACTGGGGATTACAATTTCACATGAGATTTGGTGGGGACACAGATCCAAATAATATCAATTACCAATGTCATTTTTCACAAAATTAAAAAAAAATCCTAAAATTGATATGGAACCAGGAAAGAGTCTGAATAGCCAAAGCAATCTTAAGCAAAAAGAACAAAGCTGGAGGCATCACATTACCTGACTTTAAACTACTCTACAAGTCTATAGTAACCAAAACAGCATGGTACTAGTAAAAAATAGACACATAGATCAATGGAATGGAATAGGGAACCTAGAAATAAAGCCACATACCTACAACCAACAGATCTTTAACAACATAAACAAAAATATACAGTGGGGAAAGGACACCCTATTCAATAAATAGTGTTGAGAAAATTGGCCAGTCATATGCAGAAGAATGAAACTGGACCAATATACAAAAATTAACTCAAGATAGGATTAAAAACTTAAATGTAAGACCTGAAACTATAAAAATCCTAGAAGAAAACCTAAGAAAAACTCTTCTGGACATTGGCCTACACAAAGAATTTATGATTAAGACCTCAAAAGCAAATGCAACAAAAATGAACAAAGAAAAACAGGACTTAAACTAAAAGGCTTCTGCACAGCAAAAGAAATAATCAGCAGAGTAAAACGACAACCTACAGAATGGGAAAAATATTTGGAAGGGATGTTTTTAAGAGATCAGAAGAGACAAAACATTCTTGAAGATATAAAGTAGATGGAATCAGATTGGTGGCAGTTCTAGAATTTGGGTGCAGAATAAACCTGCTAGCATTGCTCCAAAATAAAACAAGAAATTGTACTAAAGGTTTAGGTAGTGCTAAAGAGAAAGAGAGGGCTGGGCGCGGTGGCTCACGCCTGTAATCCCAGCACTTTGGAAGGCCAAGGTGGACAGATCACCAGAGATCAGGAGTTTGAGACAAGCCTGTCCAATGTGGTGAAACCCCATCTCTACTAAAAATACACACACACACACACACACACACACACACACACACACACAATTAGCTGGGTATGGTGGCACACACCTGTAATCCCAGCTACTCGGGAGGCTTAGGCAGGAGAAGGCGGAGGTTGCAGTGAGCTGAGATCGCACCACTGCACTGCAGTCTGGGTGACAGAGCGATACTGTCTCAAAAAAAAAAAAGAGAGAGAGAGAGAAAGAGAGGATGTTGGGGCTGGAGAATAGAATCAGTACTCTCAGGTAACAGATGCATGGAGTGGGGACAAGGAGGATACCTACTAAGAAGTCAAGCAACTCGGAGAATCTAAATGTCAGTCTGTCTAGTCACAGGTCAACTCGTTGCTATGTCAGAAAAGCAATCAGTTCTAGAAAATTAAAAACACATTCTAAAATAAAAAATCGAATGACTGTTTCACAAAGAATGGGCCTAACCGAAGATCTTATCAGAGAGCTGAAAGACTGAATAGAGGAATTCTCTTAGAATACAGTGCAAAACAAGATGACAGGGATAAAGCCGAATAAGTCAGCAATTATAATTAATATGACCAATGTGTAGTGCTCATAGAGTACTTGGGTTCAAATCCTGCCCAATCCTTTCTGATCTTGGGTAGGTCATGGAATCACTCAAATCCTCAGTTTCTTCAGCTGTTAACTGGGGACAACCAGAAGAACTACCTATAGGCTAGGTCTGAGCACTGTATAAAATAACGCGGGTAAAGTGCTCAGTAGAATACCTGAATTGAGAGGACTCAATACTGCTTAGCTACGTTCCTATCACTATTAATATTACTAATGGGCCATCAGACATGCTAAAAATAAATACCTACAACAGAGTGGAGACCCTGTCACTAAAAACATAAATAAATAAGTAAATAAAATATACAACCACACTAACATTCACAAAAGTATTCTAAAATAAAATTATTCAGGAATGTTGAAAATTAAATGACAAAGGTAGTCACTTATTTACAAAATCTGTGAAAGATGAGAAATGTGAAATTAAAAAAATGGAATTTAAAGCCAAAAATATTCAATAGGACAGATTTTATATTTACACATAAGAATACGAAGACACTAGAAGAGCAATGAATCTTTATGCCTGAACAACATGCTATCAGAATATATAAAGAAAAATGAATTGATAAGTTAACAGTCAAAATGAGAGGATTTAGTAACTTTCTCAGGAAAGAACTGATTTAATAGACAAAAAGCAGTTTTAGATTTTGAGATCACAAGGCTGACTCTGTAGTAATATACAGAAATTTGAACTCAGTATAGAATATACACTCTTTGTAAGTACACGTATACTATCTACAAAAATTGACATAGTAATAAACCAAAAAGTCTCAATGAATTTCAAAAAGCGGAAAACATTTAGGCTAATTTTCTAACTACCATGCAATAAAACCAGAAATTAGAAATAACAAAGAAAAGAATATCCCCAATCAAAAAAAAAAAAAGAAAAAGAAAGAAAAAGTTATATGTATTTGGAGATAAAAACAAAGCAAAACAGAGAGGCTTTCTGTTATTTATGCGTAAACCAGGAAATCATGGTTGCGATTGCCAACAGTTTATGCTGGGACAAGGGCTCAGTGTAGTAAAGCCAGCAGGATGTGGCCAAAAAATGTAAGAAGACAAGGGAAAATAAATGAACTCTAAATATTAGGAGACAAAGCATAGAAAGTAGAAATTTTAAAATAAAAAAGCAGAAATTAATGAAACAAACAAACAGGGCAAACAACAAAATTTGTTAAGCCCCAAATCGAGTTCTTTGAAAAATAGCTAATACAACTGTGAAACTACTGGCAGACCTGACCCAGAAAAAAAAAAGGAAGAATTAGAAAAGAAATATAACTATAAATAGGGAAGAGATTTAAAACTTGTAATCAACTCTATAGAAATAAATTGGAAAATGTGTAAGAAATGAATATTTTTATAAAAATGTAAACTACCACAATTAACGAAAGAGTCAGAAGACCCAAATCCTTGCTGGTTCTGTTGAAGAAATGGAAAAGGTAGTCAGAGGTCCGGCCCTGAAACAGGCGGCAGATATAGGTAGTGTTATGGGGGATGCTAGTGAACCTTCAAGGAGCATGTGATTCCAGTTATTCAAACTGTCAGAGCACAGGAACAGATGGAAAGTTTTCCTTCTCCTTCCAAGTCTAGCAAAATCTTGATAACAAAACTCATTTGAACGATAAGTATATGAAGTAATGCATATGTTAATTAGCTTGATTTAGCCATTCCACAGTGTCTACATATATCAAAACATCATGTTGTACACCACAAATATATACAATTTTTATTTGTCAATTAAAAAAATAAAGTCAAAACAAAACAAATTTGCACTCAAGGGGTACAGAGGTTTGCATGGAAATGCTTCAAAAAGGCCTGGAAATAATCCAGATGCTAGCAGGCTACCTCCTAGTGGCTGGAGAAAGAGGGCTGTCACTTTTTACCCTACACACTTCTGTACAATTTTATCTTTTTTCTTTTTTTTTTTTTTTTTTTTTTTTTTTGAGACGGAGTCTCGCTCTGTCGCCCAGGCTGGAGTGCAGTGGCGGGATCTCGGCTCACTGCAAGCTCCGCCTCCCGGGTTCACGCCATTCTCCTGCCTCAGCCTCCCAAGTAGCTGGGACTACAGGCGCCCGACATCACGCCCGGCTAATTTTTTGTATTTTTAGTAGAGACAGGGTTTCACCGTGTTAGCCGGGATGGTCTCGATCTCCTGACCTCGTGATCCGCCCGCCTCGGCCTCCCAAAGTGCTGGGATTACAGGCTCTTTTTTCAATAAGTATGTATGAGTGGATTAACAATGGAATGATTGTTTAATGCATTCATTATTTTATTACTTTTTAAACCATAAGAAGAGGTAGGAAGTATTATCTACATAAGGGGTTGGCAAATTTTTTTCTGTAGAGAGCAAGATAGTAAATATTTTAGTCTTTGGGGGCCATGCGGTCTGTTGCAACTACTCAACCTTGGTGGCTAGCATGGAAGAAACCACAGACTATATGTAAATGAATGGATGTGGCTGTGTTCCGTTAAAATTTTATTTCAAAAACAGGCTGCAGGTTGGATTTGGTCCACTGCCATACTTTGCTAAATCTGATTTCTATATCAGTGGGGAAATTGGTATTTTGATATATTTTATTAAGCCTCAGTCCAATATTTTATTCATTTATTTAAAAATATTTACTAAAGACCTTTATGTTCCAGGCACTGCTGTAGGAACTAGGAGTACTGGGAACATACCAGTGAATAACACAAAGCCACTATCGTCATGGTGGTTGCATTCTATTCTGAGAAAACAGACAACAAGCACATGCAGAACAAAAACAACAAAACAAAACAAAACAAAAAACATGCTCAAGAGTGATCAATGCTATAAAGAAAACAAAGCAGGATAAGAGATAGAGGGCGCTGGAGTGGGGGTTGGTACAGTTTTAGAGGGGATGGTAAGAAAAGCCTCTGGGCCGGGCGCGGTGGCTCACGCCTGTAATCCCAGCACTCTGGGAGGCCGAGGCGGGCGGATCACAAGGTCAGGAGATGAGACCATTCTGGCTAACACGGCGAAACCCCGTCTTTACTAAAAATACAAAAAATTAGCCGGGCGTGGTGGCGCGAGCCTATAGTCCCAGCTACTCCGGAGGCTGAGGCAGGAAAATCGCTTGAACCTGGCATGCGGAGGTTGCAGTGAGCCGAGATCGCACCACTGCACTCCAGCCTGGGCGACAGAGCCAGACTCCGTCTCAAAAAAAGAAAAGAAAAGAAAAGTCTCTCTGAACGATATGTGACCATCAGGGAGTGTGAAGTCCTGAGCCAGAACCAGGAGAAGGCTGATGTGTCTACAGGGGGCTGAGAGGCGGGTGATGGGGTGACGGTGGTGCAGGGAATCCAGGGTCTGGGCAGTGACTCGGAGGAAGACAACATGGTGAGCAGTTGTAAGATCCTGAACACAGTTTGAAGGTGGAGCTGGCAGGAATACTGGTGGCTGGGATGTGGAGTGAGGGAAAGAGAAGGGCGGAGAATGATTCAAGTCTTTGGACAGAATGGCCATTTGCTAAGACCTGAGCAAGTAATGGGTTTGGTGGGGCGCTAGTTCTGAGTTGTTGTTGTTGTTGTTGTTGTTGTTTTGAAGACGGTGTCTCACTCTTGTTGCCCAGGCTGGAGTGCGATGGCGCTATCTCTGCTCACTGCAACCTCCGCCTTCCCGGTTCAAGCGATTCTCCTGCCTCACCCTTCCAAATAGCTGGAATTACAGGCGCCCACCACCACACCCGGCTAATTTTTTGTATTTTTTTAGGAGAGACGGGGTTTCGCCATGTTGGCCAGGCTGGTCTTGAACTCCTGACCTCAGGTGATCCACCCTCCTCGGCCTCCCAAAGTGCTGGGATTACAGGCGTGAGCCACCGCCTGGTTTTGCATGTGTTGTTGGGGCTGCCTGTTAGACTGCAAGTGGCTTCTGTGAATAAGCAGTGAATTGGAGGGTCTGGGGTTCAGGGAGGGGTCAGGCTGGAGAGGCAAATATGGTACTTATAGGGTAGAGGCCCATGAGATCATCAGGAAAACACTCGGAGAGTGTGCAATGAAGAAGACCTGGGGCCCCGGAGCAATATAAGGATACAGGATCCAGGATTCAGAAAAAGAGAGGAAAAGCTGGGCAGGAGAGCAAGGAGGAACAGGGGGAAGTGTGAGCCTCAGAACCCAAGAGAAATGTTAATGAAAGGCCAAAAGATGAGAACCAAGAAGGTTCTCACTGGCAACCTTAACGGAAGAGTGGGGTACAGAATAGGTTCAAGAAGGAATGTGATGTGAGGAAGTCAAATCCAGCGCTTGGAGGCCCCGGCTTTGGGACAGAGAATTGGTCCCTGCAGAGCACGGTCTGAGGCCAGTGTGACTTTCACCTCTGCTCACTGCAGGACAACCAGAGAGCTCCATCCCAGGCTGAGCTGGGCTCTGAAATTAAAAGGTGGATTGAAAAGGTTCCTTCCCCTTTTGTGTGTATGTCGGGGTAGGAGGGGGTGGAGGGTGAGGGCTGCTGGAAGAAGGTGAGGAATGAAACAAAAATGGGCAATACATTCTGATAAGCATGTAAACAGGGGCCAATGCAAGGGTGTATGGAAACAGAGGAGGCTCCCATCCCATTTGTCCAGGTCTGTTCAGTGGAGGACAAGGGGAGTTTGAAAATAAAATGCCCAAGGATTTAATCAACCAAAGAGCCAGGACCCTCCATACGTACGATGTTGCCATGATGACCATGCCCGTGTGGGTGGTAGTTTGGCCGTTTCCTATCCAAGGCGGACGCCCCGGTGGGCAGGGGTAGGTGGGAGGCCTGTGTTTCCATCCTGAAGCTTAAGAACCAGGCCGGCCCATCTCGGGTTTGTGTCTGGGCACATGCACCCTGTGGGTGAGATGCACCAGGTCATTGTAGGCCACAGGCTCTGGAAAGGGCACAGAACACGGGGCCTGAAGCAAGTCACTTCAGCTCAGAACCTCAGTTTCCAAGCCTGCCATTTTGGGGAACTGGGGTTCATGATACCAGGGAGTGAAAAATTCTAGGTATAATACATGACCAGCATTTCTTTCTACTTCTCCCACACGATTCCCTTTTCAGCAGATTAAATGTTTGTGAGCCAAAGCACAACGTGGGCTTCGCTTCTCTCTGCATGCTTCAGCCTTGTCCAGACATGGCGTGTCACCTGTGTCTCCGGCAGTCACCAGCTGTCCTCCAGGCTGCTGCTGTGGGCTTCTCATTGGTGGATCCGAGGTCCTGGATACTGTCGCCTTGGTGAATGCACAGTGATGCGTGTGGGGAGGTGCAGAAGCTCTTCCGAGTTATTCTCTGCACTTACAGATTGAGTTTATCCCGTGATGAAGCTCAAAATCAGTTATGCTTTTCTATCTCCTCTGTTGTATTTCTCCTCAACGTCCACTTCTGTGAGTGAGTAAGGTTGTCTGTTTTGACAGCTGAATGAACAGAAAAAGGAGGTTTTAAAAGCAAAAGTCTGCTGTGTCCCAGTTTCCCAGTTAACTCCATTCTCTCTAGCCATTCATGGCATGGAGACAGAAAAATCACAGAGCAATCAGAGTGCATTTTCTGAAATCAGTCTCAACTGCGGAGTGGGAACGTGCCACTCTGAGGAACTTCCTTCCGGCCCGGCTTTTGTGACATGTCGTGTGGTAGCGGTCGTATTCCATCCCACCTTGTCCTCCAATGCTGAGCTCAAGGATTTGGGAAAGCACATGGTCCCACCCCGAGGTCACAGGGAGGGCTTTCGCCACAGCAGATGTGTGTGCCGTTCACATGTCCTCGACAGCCAGCGGAGTCACAATTGATTTTGATGTTAATATGGCAAAATCCATTAGGGAGAAAAACTTTCCCCCATTCATTGACTCACAACCCAAGTAGAAATTGTTTTTTGACATTATCCACATTCCTGTTCTTCCCATGAGGCATATTTGAGGCGGGCAGATCACCTGAGGTCAGGAGTTCGAGACCAGCCTGGCCAAAATGCTGAAACACCGTCTCTATTACAAATACAAAAATTGGCTGGGTGTGGTGGTGCGTGCCTGTAATCCCAGCTACTTGGAGAAGCTGAGGCTGGAGAATTGCTTGAACCCAGGAGGCGGAGGTTGCAGTGAGCCGAGATCTCACCACTGCACTCCAGCCTGGGTGACAGAAAAAGACTGTCTCAAAAAAAAAAAAAAAAAAAGAGCTGACATTCTAGGTGTTTAATAATACCATACTATCATATCTAGTGTGATAAAATAACAACATGCATTTTCCACAGGACTATATTTCAAAAGAGTATGAGATGATTATATTATATTTTTAGACCAAAGTTTCACTGATGCAGAAAAATCTGTAAGTTGCAGGTTTATTTTTAATAAACAAAATCGACTTTATGCACCTTGTAGGTTAACCTAACCGACATTATTGTAATTTATTCAGTAGGTAGGGAAGTTTGAACTCTACTCTTGAATTCATGGCGGGATATATTAATAGTAGGGAGCATGCGGGGAAGTACGCAGACATTGTTAGCAATAAGCAGTGAACACACAGGGAGTGGTGATATAAAGATAAACCAATACAGACAGAATGTCCAAATAAGGCCCCAGTAGGGCATGTTTTCCACGTTTCCTAGCAGGGTTGGGAATACCCTATTTAGATTTTCAGACCAGAAAAGGGTAATGAAGTCAGAGAGATTAGCCTGGGCAGAAAGGGAAGAATGGACCAGGGGCCATCCATTCTTCCCTGTGCTGGTGAGAGCACAGGTCACGGCTACAGAGAGGGGGGTCAACCTAAGGATGCAGGCAGGGTTGGCTATAACAGTTCCTTGGGAAATGGAAGTGTAGGAATATTGTTGGCTTAGTTTTAAACCCAGAAGAGGAAATAGCTCTGGAACTTAGGCTGGGGGATGGGGGCAGAAAGGACTCAGGTCTTTATTCCTAGACTACTCCAGTACATATCTTACCCCATGGGCACCTGTATCAACAGACTCTGAGGGAAAGGTTTGCAGCAGACATGGACCTTGAAAATGCTGGAAAAAGAGAAGGTGCTGATCCTCCCCAGGAATCAGAAGACCAAAAGCCTTAGAAACTCAAAGAAAGAAAGCTATAGCAGGGGGGCTACTTTGGCTCCCAGACTTCAGCTCTCAGGGCCAACATAGAGCTATGATTTGAGGACTGTTCTTTCCATCTGTATTAGTTAGAATTCCTCCAGAGAAAGAGAACCAACAGAATACAAACACACACACACACACACACACACACAAAGATATTGAGATAAACATCTCAGTATATATGTGTGTATATTTATATACACATATAAAATTTGATGAAATGTATTTTAATGAATTGGCTTAAGAGACTGTGAAGCAGTAGTAGATCCAAACTATGCAGGGTTGACCAGCAGACTGGAGACCCAAGGAAGAGTTACAGTTAGATTCCAAATGCAGTCTGTTGGCAGAATTCCTTCTTTCTCAGGAAGGGTTAGTCTCTGTTCTATTGTCTTTAACTGATTGAATGAGATCCCCCACATTTTGAATAGTAATCTGCTTTTACTCAAAGTTCACCAATTAATTTATTAAATTATTTATTTGAGATGGAGTTTTGCCCTGTCGCCCAGACTGGATTGCAGTGGCGTGATCTCAGCTCACTGCAACCTCCACCTCCCAGGTTCAAGAGATTCCCCTGCCTCAGCCTCCTGAGTAGCTGGGATTGCAGGCGTGCGCCACCACACCTGGATAATTTTTTTTTTGTATTTTTAGTAGAGACGGGATTTCACCATGTTGGCCAGGCTGGCCTTGAACTCCTGACCTCAGGCGATCCACCTGCCTCGGTCTCCCAAAGTGCTGGGATTACAGGCGTGAGCCACCGTGCCCAGCCCAAAGTTCACCAATTTAAATGTTAATTTCATCCAAAAAAAAAAAAAGAAACATCCAGAATAATGTTTGACCAAAGATCTGGGCACTGACCTGGCCAAACTGACACATAAAATTAATTATCACACCATCTTAACACTGTCCCTGGGTAAAGGACTAAAAAAGAAAAGACAGAAGGAAGAAGGAGCTAGGACCCAGGGATAGGTAGGATGTATCAAGGAATAAGAATCAGCATACTGTGTTTCCACAAAACACAAGAAAGAAAGTAAAAATCTAGAAAGATCTGCAGCACTGTTTAATTCAGTACATGTGCCTCAGGTATTTCTGGGGGCTGGTTGGGGGGCCAGTCCCAGGCAAACTGAAGGTGCGGAAGCGGTGGTGGGATTAGCTTAGTCAGCAGGCCTGGTACGCATGGACTAGTTGCATAAAGTACTGGAAGCCTTGGACCTGATGGTTGTCTTCAGAGTAAAAAAGGAGGTAAGCAGAAAAATGCAGTCTACAAGCTGCTGAGTCAGTTACCACTTAGCATGACTTGAGTGCCAAAGATATGACAGGCATAGAGTAGTTTGGGGCACAGAAGAACAGATCAGAGGAGGTTACAGGTTTTTGTGCATTTAATCCTTACGACAAATTTATGAGACAGGTGCTGTTCTTTATCCTCATTTTCCAGATGAGAATCTAAGGCATAGAAAGGTTTAGCAGTTTGCCCAAGGCTGCACAATACTTGTGATGCTTAATTTTGTCTTAACTTAGCCAAGCCGTGGTGCCCAGTTGTTTGGTCAAACATCAGCCTACATGTTGCTATGAAAGTATTTTTTTAGATGTGATGAACTTTTTTTTTTTTTTTATTGAGACAGAGTTTCACTCTTGTGACCCACACTGGACTGTAATGGCATGATCTTGGCTCACTGCAACCTCTGCCTCCTGAGTTCAAGCGATTCTCCTGCCTTAGCCTTCCGAGTAGCTAGGATCATAGGTGCCCACCACCACACCCAGCTAATTTTTTTGTATTTTTAGTAGGAACAGGGTTTCACCATGTTGGTCAGGCTGCTCTCAAACTCCTGACCTCAGGCGATCCACCCGCCTCGGCCTCCCAAAGTGCTGGGATTACAGGTGTGAGGAGTCATGCCTGGCCAGATGTGATGAACATTTATATCAGTAGACTTCGAGTAATACATATTTCCCTTCATAATGTGCATGGGCCTCATCCAATCAGTAGAAGGCCTTAAGAGCAAAGACTGAGGTTTCCTGAGGAAGAAGGAATTCTCTTTAAAACTGTCACATGGAAACTCTGCCTGAGTTTCTAGTCTCCTGCCCCATGGAATTCAGATTCAAGACTGACTGCAACATTGACTCTTACCTGAATTTCCAGCCTGTCAGTTTTCCCTACAGATTCTGGACTTGCCAGTCCCCATAGTTGTGTGAGCCAATTCCTTAAAATAGATCTCTTTCTCTCAGCATGTGTGCATATTACAGTTACATATAAATGAGGCTCTGTCTCTCTCTCCATACTGAAAGCAGGAAGTAGAAGAGGAAAAGAAACAGAAATCACATTTTTGTCAAATCCCAGAGGCACTTGCAGTCCAGAATCTTGTATTAGGAAGGGCAGTGGGTGATGGGGCAAACCTTACCTCCTGGATGGGGCTGTCAGGACTTCATGTCTCCATGGAGGGGGCCCACCCCAGAACCACCAGCTCAGCCCCAGCCAGCAAAAGCCTCCTGGCTCTTCAGGAGCCTGCTATCACAGGGAACCCAAGTCCACCCACGTCAGGCTCAGGGACCTTGGAGGGCTTTGTCCTGCGATTACATTGGTCTCTATCCAGCAAAAGAAAAGTTGGAAAGCAGTCTGTGTGCTTTCTAAATGAACACACTGTGATAATGGGGGCCCAAAGTACATATTTCTAATAACAAACCTGATTAGAGGTAAAATTAATTGTATATGCTATTTAAACATAGTATATGTTGAGTTGTATATTATATTTTTTTACAATACTTACTCATGGTTGTGCCTTGGATGCTTATATGCCATAAGCAAGTTAAAGAAAACATATGGCTTACATACCAACTATTGACATTCCATTCATGCCTTTATTTTTTATTGTTTATTTTTATTTTTTTTGAGACAGAGTCTTGCTGTGTTGCCCAGGCTGGAGTGCAGTGGTGCAATCTCAGCTCATTGCAACCTCTGCCTCTCAGGTTCAAGCAATTCTCCTGCCTCCACCTCCTAAGTAGCTGGGATTACAGACTCCCACCACCACACCCACCTAATTTTTGTATTTTTAGTAGAGATAGGGTTTCACCATGTTGGCCAGGCTGATCTCGAACTCCTGACCTCAACCGATCTGCCTGCCTTGGCCTCCCAAAGTGTTGGGATTACAGCATGAGCCACCATGCCCAGCCTCCATTCATGCCTCCAGAGGTGGGAAGGACACTGCATGGAGTAGGGACCATTTGGATCGTTGCTTTGTGTTCTCATTTTATGCAAATTCTTCCTATCAGACAGTCTGTACCTGCAAGGAATAGCCATGAAGGCTTACCGCAGTTCAAGTGTTACTCTAGCCCACAAAACACATAATTTATGAGCCAAAAGAGAAGCTGGAGGCCATTTATGTTGGAGCAACTTCAAAATGTCTCACCAGCAATTAAGACTATTTTTGTTTTCCTTTCGGAGAAGCATTAGCACACATTTTAGAGAATGACCGCTTAATTTATAACCTCTTACTCATATTTTAGAGGTTTACTACTGAAGGGCAGAGTTATTTGGAATGTTCGGAATGAGTTGCATCATCTTGTTTTAGGCTCCAGCAAAGAACAAAAACTAAGAACAGACACCAGGCACACACTTCAACGGCATCAAGTGCCCACAGTCAAATGGAGTCAAGTGCCCACAGTCAAATACCATTCTTCTCATACTGCGGAACAACCAAAAAAATCACACAGTGGCCTAAGTATGTCCTAGAAAATATTAGCATCAGCAAAACAACGTGTAAGTAGCCAAAGGACGCAGTGGAACAAGAACTATGAGGAGAGGAAGAAAATGAAAAGTAAAAAGACAGGCCTTTTTAAAGATTACAAACACACCGAGAATGTTAACATACTTGTTACATAATTGGAGACTTTGTTCTTGATCTTCAGTGTCAAAAGCACTGCTACGATCGGGTTGAGTTCCAACCCTTGCTTTTTCTTCTGCAGCAGATGCATTTTGTAAGGTCCTATGGGTTTATTCTGCATTATAACACAAATGGGTATCACATTTCTGGCAAGCTCACCCACTGGTTGCTTTTCTTTTTTAAAATTATAACAATATGTTGCTGGAGATTTAGCTATCCCAAATTGTATACAAAAGAACAAACATTATTCAGTTTACATTTCTCTAAACAAACATCCATTCATTCATTGAAAAATAAGTCATTACCAGTTGTTCAAAATAAATAAGTGCTTGTCTCGGCTAGGAATAGAGTGGCCCTTTTTCAAAAGTGCATGCTGCTATTTTTCTGAACATGCGGCTTTGAGAGGAAATACCCACATTCTTTTTTAATTTAATTTAATTTTATTTTATTATTATTATACTTTAAGTTTTAGGGTACATGTGCACAATGTGCAGGTTAGTTACATATGTAAACGTGCCATACTGCTGTACTGCACCCATTAACTCGTCATTTAGCATTAAGTATATCTCCTAATGCTATCCCTCCCCCCTCCCCCCACCCCACAACAGTCCCCAGAGTGTGATGTTCCCCTTCCTGTGTCCATGTGTTCTCATTGTTCAATTCCCACCTGTGAGTAAGAACATGCGGTGTTTGGTTTTTTGTCCTTGTGATAGTTTACTGAGAATGACGATTTCCAATTTCATCCATGTCCCTACAAAGGACATGAACTCATCATTTTTTATGGCTGCATAGTATTCCATGGTGTATATGTGCCACATTTTCTTAATCTAGTCTATCATTGTTGGACATTTGGGTTGGTTCCAAGACTTTGCTATTGTGAATAGTGCCGCAATGAACATACGTGTGCATGTGTCTTTATAGCAGCATGATTTATAGTCCTTTGGGTATATACCCAGTAATGGGATGGCTGGGTCAAATGGTATTTCTAGTTCTAGATCCCTGAGGAATTGCCACACTGTCTTCCACAAAATACCTAGGAATCCAACTTACAAGGGACGTGAAAGACCTCTTCAAGGAGAACTACAAACCACTGCTCAATGAAATAAAAGAGGATACAAACAAATGGAAGAACATTCCATGCTCATGGGTAGGAAGAATCAATATCGTGAAAATGGCCATACTGCCCAAGGTAATTTATAGATTCAATGCCATCCCCATCAAGCTACCAGTGACTTTCTTCACAGAATTGGAAAAAACTACTTTAAAGTTCATATGGAACCAAAAAAGAGCCCGCATCGCCAAATCAATCCTAAGCCAAAAGAACAAAGCTGGAGGCATCACACTACCTGACTTCAAACTATACTACAAGGCTACAGTAACCAAAACAGCATGGTACTGGTACCAAAATAGAGATATAGATCAATGGAACAGAACAGAGCCCTCAGAAATAATGCCGCATATCTACAACTATCTGATCTTTGACAAACCTGAGAAAAACAAGCAATAGGGAAAGGATTCCCTATTTAATAAATGGTGCTGGGAAAACTGGCTAGCCATATGTAGAAAGCTGAAGCTGGATCCCTTCCTTACACCTTATACAAAAATTAATTCAAGATGGATTAAAGACTTAAATGTTAGACCTAAAACCATAAAAACCCTAGAAGAAAACCTAGGCATTACCATTCAGGACATAGGCATGGGCAAGGACTTCATGTCTAAAACACCAAAAGCAATGGCAACAAAAGCCAAAATTGACAAATGGGATCTAATCAAACTAAAGAGCTTCTGCACAGCAAAAGAAACTACCATCAGAGTGACCAGGCAACCTACAAAATGGGAGAAAATTTTCACAACCTACTCATGTGACAAAGGGCTAATATCCAGAATCTACAATGAACTCAAACAAATTTACAAGAAAAAACCAAACAACCCCATCAAAAAGTGGACAAAGGACATGAACAGACACTTCTCAAAAGAAGACATTTATGCAGCCAAAAAACACATGAAAAAATGCTCACCATCACTGGCCATCAGAGAAATGCAAATCAAAACCACAATCAGATACCATCTCATACCAGTTAGAATGGCAATCATTAAAAAGTCAGAAAACAACAGGTGCTGGAGAGGATGTGGAGAAATAGGAACACTTTTACACTGCTGGTGGAAATACCCACATTCTTTGCAATATTTAAAAAAGGGCTTCATGGAATCAGGGGAGGAAGGAAAAGGAGGCACCAGAATCACTTTCAAATATGGCTTCTTCCTGAGCCTCTGACCGATGATGCGCACGACTTCCCCATCTTGGGCTTGGGTTTGGGCTTGGTCCCTCTTGAGCTTGGGAACCAGAATCAGAGGGGGTTCTGGCTGACTTCTAAGACTCACCAGTTGAACTCGTCTTGCTCTTCCTCGGGATCTGACCATGATTTCTGCCTCTGCCTGGACAGCACCTTCACAGCACACCTGGTTGAACGCTTCTGCCACTTGGTTCCCTCATAGGCCTTTCCACCCTGCTTCCCATCAGGCCCAAGAGGCAATGGTCCCCAGCAAAGAGCTGATAGCACATGGATTGAAACCTTCTGTGGGTCCCCTTTAACTCTCAAAGCCCGCCCCACGCACCTCTTCACCCACCCCTGCCCAAACCACCCTCCACCTTTGTTCACGTCTTCTGCTCCTCCAGCTCCTGAAGGCGGCGTCCATCCTCCCATCATCGTGTAGTCAGTGGCAGCCCTGTGCCTGCTGGTTGTAAACACATAAGCATACAATCACACTGAATCACGTCACTGTGGAAAAGCCCATCCCAAGAGACAAGCTATGGGAAAGATGGTTTCGGGAACCACTTTCCCTGAGCTTTCCTGGTATGTTCACACTTCAATTGCCCTTCTAGCTCTAGCTCTTGCTCATCTTCCCAATGGGAGAAGGTCAGGAACAAAAGAAATGTGGTGGCCACTTTAAGAGGTGGGAAATGCTGTAGGGATGAGCCTCTTGCCCCTACTCCCCAGTCCCTGGGAGGTGGCTCTTCCCCTGTAATTAGAGGTGCCAGTCATTCTTTTTATGGTACAAGTGACCTGTTGCAACAACCAGTATTGTCCACAAACAACATTAAAATGTGGATATAAAACATGAAGAGACAGTATAGGACTTCCAGGCCCCATGAATATCACTAGCCATGATAGCGAAATACCGCAGGTTCTTGCCTTCAGCTTTGTGCTGAATTGATAATCCTGCCTTCTACGGAGCACTCTGCAGCCACACTGCTCACTTGGAGCTTTCTTGCTGTGCTACCCTAGGATGCAGTTATTTAATAGTCTGTGTTTCTAATCACGGCAGCTGATTGTTTTTGTATCACAAGAACTATAAGGCTTCCTCAGAATTTATATGAGCTGAGTCTACCCCATACAGTGAGAGGAAATGGATTTCCTTCTGAAGTTGGATGTCGTTATAACCGATCATAAATCACCCTCTTTGGGGGCACCCACAAAGGGTGAGCCCCATTGAACACAGATGGATCACCCAGTGCTGAGAGGGACTTGAGACTTTGCAAAGTACTTGCTTTATAGCCTGGGATTGATTATTACCCAGGGCATCACTTACAAACATTAGTCTGAAAGTCTACATTCTGACCACTGGTATGACATTCAGGTAGCAAAAGAACTTGAACATTTTCAGATTTTCTTTTTTCTCTCTTTCTTTTCTTCCTTCCTTCCTTTCTTTCTTTTCTTTTCTTTTTTTTTGAGACACAGGTATTATAAGGTATTATAATAATAATACATTATTATTATTATTTTTGAGACACAGCTTCGCTCTTATCACTCAGGCTGGAGTGCAATGGCATGATCTCGGCTCACTGCAACCTCCACCTCCTGGGTTCAAGTGATTCTCCTGCCTCAGCCTCTCGACTAGCTGGGATTACAGGCACCTGCCACCATGCCTGGCTAATTTTTGTATTTTTAGTAGAGATGGGGTTTCACCATGTTGGCCAGGCTGGTCTCGAACTCCTGACCTCAGGTGATCTGCCCGCCTCAGCCTCCCAGAGTGTTGGGATTACAGGCGTGAGCCACCACGCCCAGCTGAGAATTTTATTTTTCAAAAAAAAAAAAAAAAATCTCAAAAACAATCTCTCCAGTTAAACTCTGGTAATATAATTGCTATATCTTTTTTTAAAATACAACTTTTAAGTAGTTTTAGATTCTCATGGAAGTTGCAAAAACATGTAGCTTTCATTCAGCTACATAGATGAATAAATACTTCTCAGAAAAAAATTGTATTACATGACAGCCTAAAGTAACATAAGAAGCCATTCATAAGTATTCATTTTCACCAACTTGACTTTTTCAGGGGATTGATTATTTTATTCAATGTTATGGGGGCTGTGGAATGGAAGGGCTTGTAATTAACCCACAATTTGCCACAACTATCCTAAAAGCCAAGGGCAATTTTTCCAGAGACAAATCTTAAAATATATGATGTCAATATATTGTAAAATATAAAAGCTTAACTTTATTACAAAAGCTTAAAATATAAGCCTGGGCCCTTATGGTTCTGTCTTGGAGAAATGTAGGCAAATGAAGACCAGCAACCAAATGCTGCTTCAAAATAGTTCAAATCCTTTTCTTGCAATTCTCTAAAACCTGAATAGGTCCACATGCACACAGGCCATCGTATCACAAAATAGGAATTCCCTGTTCTTGCATCTGTCCCCGTTACTCCTGCAACTTTCCCAGAACATCCGCTGCAGTTACCTTCCCCAAACCCTTCTCTTCTGACCAGCCCTGTTCACCTTTTCTTTCTCACACTCTTCTTTCCCTCCCCCACTCTTCATTTCTTTATGACATTGGTCAACCCAAACCCTCTCCTAGCAAGAAAGAATCTTTTCTCTTGAGAAGGAAGGAGGTTGGGAAATTAGAATAGGCAATTATAGGTCTCTCTTTGGAAGGCTGGGAGAAGAGAAACAGTTGGGAAGACTTCCATGCCAGTTTTTTTTTTTTTTTGAGATGGAGTCTCACTCTGTTGCCCAGGCTGGAGTGCAGTGGCACCATCTTGGCTCACTGCAACCTCCGCCTCCCAGGCTCAAGCCATTCTACTGCCTCAGCCTCCCAGGTAGCTGGGGCTATAGGCATGTGCCACTACACCCAGATAATTTTTTTGTATTTTTAGCAGTGACAGGGTTTCACCTCAAATGATCCACCCGCCTCGGCCTCCCAAAGTGCTGGGATTACAGGCGTCAGCCACCTCACCCTGCCCCATGCCAATTTTTTTAAATGACAACTTTATTGAGATGTAATGTGCATACCACAGAAATCACCCTTTTAAATATATGTAACATATTTAATATATTTTAAAATATTTACTATATTAAATATTAACATATTTATATTTATATAGCATATTATATAACATATTTATTATATATTATATATTTATTATAATATATATAATATATAATATATTAATATAAAATATATACTATATATTATATTAATATATCATTATATATGATTACATATTATAATATATTAATACAATATATTATATTAATATATGATATTATATTATCATATATTATATAATATATGATATATCATATATTATATAATATATGATATATCATATATTAATATAATACTAATTATTATAATAATATATTATATAATGATATATAATAATAATATAATAATTATATTATATATTTATATATAATATTATATTATATTATTTTTATTATTTATTTTTTATTTTTTATTTTTTTATTTTTATTTTTTATTTTTATTTTATTTTATTTTATTTTTTAAATTTATTTTTATATTTTTATTTTATTTTATTTTATTTTTTTATTTTTTATTTTTATTATATATTATATTATATTATATTATAATATTATTATATAATAATAATGTAATATATTATATTATATATATTTATATCATATTATATAACATATTTATATTTATATAACATTATATAACATTTATATTTAATATTAACATATATTTAATATATTAAATATATATAACTATATATAAATATTTATATTAGTTCAGTAGTTTTTGGCATATTCACAGTTGTGTGCAAACATCATAATCTAATCTCAGAACATTTTCATTATCTCAAAAAGAAATACTGTATCTGTCAGCAGTCACTTCCCATTCCCCCACTACTTCTGCTCCTGGCAACCACTAATCTACTTTGTCTCTGTGGATTTTCCTATTATGGACATTTCATAGGAACGGAAACCTACAGATGTACGTTTTGTGATGGGCTTCTTTCTCTTAGCATAAAGTTTTAAAGGTTCATCTGTGTTGTAGCATGCATCAGTAATTCATTTCTTTTTACAAAATAATATTCTGTTGTGCAGAGAGACCATATTTTGTTTATCCATCTGGTTGATGGGCAATTGGGTTGTTTCTACTTTTTGGCTATTATGAATAATGCTGCTATGAACCTTCTTAGACCAGTTTTTCATGGACACATTTTCATTTATCTTGAGTTTAGGAACCAAGAATGGAGTTGGTAGATCATACGTCAACTCTAGCATTTTGAAGAACCATGATCATTTTTGTGCCTCTACGTGCAGAATGAAAGCTAAGTCCAGCTTCCTTAACCTATTAATATTTTATGTCTTGCACTTAAAAATCCTCATTAAAACAAGAAAGATATAAATATTTCTATAAGATGATTAGAAATCATCCCTCAGGTTGTGTCAGGAGCTGTGCACGGTTTTATTGGGCATCACAGATGCTTACTTCTATATCACGAGATTTTAGAGAGAAGCATTGGGTATTTTTATTAAAGTAAAAATCAATGCAGGGTTGAAACTCATGATTACATACTGTGGCTGGGTACCTGATATTTTGGTTAGATCATAATTAAGCTTACTACTTTTTAGAGCAAACTATGTCCTTACCTTTGTAATAAAGAAAAAAACAGGTGAGTAGGTAAGGGCAGAATTCCTCCAGATGAGAGCAGAAAGCACAGAAGGCACTTGCACCTTTGAAAAGGAGCTACAGGAGAAAAGCCTCCACTCTCTTGGGATAGCAATCCTGAGGGAGGATCTCTCGGTACTCCTTTAAGGAGAACAGCCATCAGACGCCAAGTGCGGGAGCGCCTGACTCACAGTGAATTCCTTCAGGATCTTCTCTTTATAACTCATCAGTATCCGAGAGCCACTTGTTCCTCTTCTCCTTTTCTCTCTGTGTTCTTGTCTCACTGTCATAAAACCAAGACTTGGCTCTTCTCTCAAACATCCTGGTGTGTGGAGAACTCGGGAAATATCTCCCTCCTGGGTCTTGCTGCTCTGTGCCCTCCGTGGGCAATGTCCACACCGCACCGACACCTACAACCAAAACCATACTGCCACCTGGAATTATTACAGATCTGCGGGAGGAAGGGAGGCTTCAGATTAAAGCCAGGAGCTGCCCAATGCTGACCGTCCTGTCCCAAGACAATTGTGCTGCACTAATCAACCCCTTGCCGCAGTAAACTTCAAAAGACGAAAAGAGATGCAGTCTGGCTAACCCCTGATCAATGTAAATCCCTCCTTTATCTCCAAATAATCATTTCCCCAGCTCCCCACACCCTCAAATGATGACTTTCAACACTTTGAATATAACAGGCTCACAGTCTGTATTCAATGGTCTCATCATAAGGCAGGAAGCCCTATCAGGAACTGCGCTGCTCTCCTATCCCTACACTTCCCACCACGTAGTTCGGGGTTAGGCAGGGAATTGCAGTAAAGCTATACACAGTAAAGAAAAGTTGGTTTGTGTGTGTGTGTGTGTGTGTTGTTTGTTTGTTTTTTGAGACCGAGTTTCGCTCTTTGCCCAGGCTGGAGTGCAGTGGGACAATCTCGGCTCACTGCAAACTCCGCCTCCCGGGTTCAAGTGATTCTCCTGCCTCAGCCTCCCGAGTAGCTGGGATTACAGGTGCATGCCGCCACAGCCAGCTAATTTTTGTATTATTAGTAGAGACGGGGTTTCACTATGTTGGCCAGGCTGGTCTCGAACTCCTGACCTCAGGTGATCCACCCACCTTGACCTCCCAAAGTGCTGGGATTACAGGCGTGAGCCATCTTGCCCGGCCGGCATTTCAGTTTTATTAAACTGTCTACTGCATGCCAGTTCTTAGTAGCACAGTCTCTTTTTTTGTTTTAGAAACTCAAAACCTTCTAAGTGATCACCTGGTTAAATAATGCAATCCCATAAATGACCCCTCTCTTCTGATCCATGCCTGGTGTCCATTTAATTAAACCAGATTAGAAAAAGGGATTATTGCTGGCTCAGGGAGGCTGCTGCCACAGACAATGCCTCACTTCGGATTGTGCAGATATAATATGATTGCTCCAAGCCAGCCTTCATGTTTACACCTGCCTGGAAGCTCTCAGGCCCTGGAGTAACCTCAGGACACTCCTGGCCCTGTCTGCGGGTAACCAGTTCTTCTCTCAGATGTGCGGTCTGTGCTGTTCCTCCCCATCTGCCAGTACAAGTAAGGTGTGGCACCTGGGCCCTTCTCCCACTCACATTGCCTGTGTCCTCTCTCTAAAAGTCACCTTAAGACCATGCGGGTAAAGAGGAGTGACTTAAAGGAGCTCAAATTCATCTTACTTTTTTCCAGTTGGGAAATTGGCAAAAAGTTCTGTAGTTATGGAAATATTCTTGCCAGTTTATAGAAGCAATTAGATCTTTTTCTATAGCATCTGTGTGGAAGATTTCCTTTTCAGGAAATCAAAACTCCTTTGAGTGGCCTGACAATAGTAACCATAAGAAAATAATTTTCCTGGAATTGCTTCTGAGCTCGTTTGTGAACTGGAGAGTATAACTTTGTGTCACTATACTCCATTTTACTAACCATGTGGTTCAGATGCTTTGTCATTTTGGAGCCTTGGTGACCCTGGAGAGACTGCGTCTTCCAGGGTTAGCCAGTTCCTAGAGATAGCAAAGAACTTGCCTGAAAGCCTGCCTTTCATACACAAATCAACCAATCCATTACAGACCAGCCTGGCCAACATGGTAAAACCCTGTCTCTGCTAAAAATACAAAAAATTAGCTGGACATGGTGGTACATGCCTGTAATCCCAGCTACTGGGGAAGCTGAGACAGGAGAATCTCTTGAACCTGGGAGGCGGAGCTTGCAGTGAGCCAAGGTCGCGCCACTGCACTCCAGCCTGGGCGACAGAGCGGGACTCCATCTCAAAAAAAAAAAAAAAAAAAAAAAAAAAAAAAAATCAAGCAATCCAGTGCTCATACCCCAGCCCCCTCCTTTCTCAGACTCCTATACTCTGGGCCAGGATCCACCTGCCCTAGTCACCCCAGGGCCAGCTACCAGAATACTACGGACAGCCGTATGCCCCAGTCAATCATGCCCCAGAAATTATTCAAACCAGTCAGTGCTAAGTCTGCTTACCCTGCCTCACCTGTCCCTTCCCGTGGAAACCACAAGAAAGGCTCTTGCCCTCGTTTTCCTCCTGCTCTGTCTCCTGACCTACCTGGTGCCCCTTCCTCTTGGGAACAGTAAAAAACTCTCTTTCCAGCAGCAGTCATCTCCTGATCTGTTGGCCTCATCACACCTGAATCATAATAATACCTATCTTTAATAACAGCCATGGAAAGTATAAACCTGGGGTTGGGCTGGGACAACATTGTGAAGCTCTTTTAGCTTCATGAATAACGGGGCCGGGGGCAGTCACAATCCCTGCTACACTCTTCAGCAGTAGCAATTTCTGGAAATGCAGCCCTCATTGAAGCTTCCGAGAGAAAGAGTGCCATCTTGTGGTATTTTGTAGTTTCTTAGGCCATTTCCTTTCTCTCTCGCTCTCTTTTTTTTTTTTTTTTTGAGACTAAGTCTTCCTCTGTAGCCCAGGCTGGAGTGCAATGACACGATCTTGGCTTACTGCTCACTGCAGCCTTTGCCTCTTGGGTTCAAGCGATTCTCCTGCCTCAGCCTCCTGAGTAGCTGGCATTACAGGTGTGCGCCACCACACCTGGCTAATTTTTGTATTTTTAGTAGAGACGGGGTTTCACCATGATGGTCGGACTGGTCTTGAACTCCTGACCTCGTGATCCTCCCGCCTCGACCTCCCAAAGTACTGGGATTACAGGTGTGAGCCACCGCGCCTGGCCTCCTCTCTCTTTTAAATAGATCATTTTTAGAGCAGTTTTAGGTTCACAGCAAAGTTGAGCAGAAAGTACAGACAGTTCCCATATAGCTCCTGCCCCTACACATTCACAGCCTTCCCCACTACCAACATGGGCACCAGAGTGGTCCATTTGTTACAATCAATGAACCTATATTGATGCACCATTATTGCCCAAAGTCCATGGTTAACATTAGGGTTCGCTCTTGGTGTGTTGGATATTTTACGGATTTGGTTGAAAGTATAATAACATGTGTCTATAATTATTGTATCATAGAGAGTAGTTTCACTGCCCCCAAATCCTCTATGCTCTGCCTATTCATTCGTCCCTCCCTTCAACCCCTGGCAATGACTGATCTTTTCACTGTTTCCATAGTTTTGTTGCAGGCCATTTTTACTCCAAGATTTTCTTTGTTTGGCTGTCCACTTTGTGCTGGGTGTGTAATATAGACTCGTGATGAGTAAGAGAGACAGCCTGGAGCATCTTGGAGTCCATATTGGGATGGACTCATGAATTCCTGTATTTTCCTACTCCAGGAAAGAGGTGCAGGTAAGGATAGAAAAAAAAGTCAAGTAGACAAATAAAAATAATTAGGCTGGGAGCGGTGACTTACGCCTGTAATCCCAGCACTTTAGGAGGCTCAGGCAGGTGGATCACCTGAGGTCGGGAGTTTGAGACCAACCTGACCAACATGGTGAAACCCTGTCTCCACTAAATATACAAAAATTAGCCAGGCGTGGTGGTGGGCGCCTGTAATCCCAGCTACTCGGGAGGCTGAGGCAGGAGAATCACTTGAAGCTGGGAGGTGGAGGCTGCAGCAAGCTAAGATCACACCATTGCACTCCAGCCTGGGTGACAAGAGTGAAACTCTGTCTCAATAATAATAATAATAATAATAATAATAATAATAATAATAATAATAATGTATTATTTACAGGTAAAGTAAATTCTGTAGTGTTCAAGAGATAAAATAAATTGTCTCAAGCAAAAGTCAAACTAGGATGATTTTTTTTTGTTATTCAACTTATTTAGAAATTAGGTTTTTTTGTTCCTGTTGAATTGTTTTGTTCTGTCTTAGGTACTAAAAATAATCTTTCATTCTTTGGAGCTGCTGATATTTACTATGACAGGCAAACAATTGCCCTTCTCCATACCACCACATTTTTGTTGTTAATATTCCTGGTGTCCATAAATGTTTTTGCTTCTTTCTTTTTTTGTCTTTGCTTATTCAATTACCTTTACCTAGAAATGCCATCTCCTTACATCTGTCTATGCTTCTTAAGGACTCGCCCAAATGTTATCTCCTGCAAGCAACAGAAATCTCCACTAGCTCACCACCACCTCTAACTTCTTCCTGGATTTACCTATTTAGGCATCAGTTATTTACTTTTTACTAAAATACATGAGAATTTAGCTCTTATACCACCCACTTCCCCTTCCTCAAATATTATCTTTAGTCATATAAGTAATCTCTAATTATCATTAGGACTTTGTAGAATAAAGCCAAGTTTTCTAGAATATTTAGGATAGGATATTTCTTTTCTTGGCGCTGCTTTTTGTTTTGCAGGTCTTCCTCATAGTAGTAATTTTTAATTTAAAAAAATGCTGTTGTAGCCCTTTCTGTGAGATCTCCTTCTCTTTTGAAGCCTTTGGCTCCTCTGAGCCCATCTTGGCAGGTTGTTCTTTCGGTTGGCTGTGCAGATGCCATCTTGAGGTTTTTCACATCTCCTCTCCTAGAGTAGATCCATTGTTTCCTGGATCCCATGTCATCTTTCTTGGCTTAACCTTTCTCATTTTCCCTGACAACATCCTCAAATAAAACTCTAAGAAAGCATGCAGTGGTATCTTTTCTGAGCTCTAGCTTCCAAAAAAATATGACCCAGTGTTTGAGTTTTGGAGCCAGTCCGAGATAGGTTTGAATCTTGGTTCTCCTACTTATTAGCTGTATGTCCTTGGGCTGATTCCCTAATTGCCCTATGCATGAATTTTCCATTTGCAAAATGGGGGAACCAGTAATAGTAGTAGTACCTATGTTTTTAGGGAGCTATGAGGATTTATTGAACTGGTACATGTAAACCATTTAGAACAGTGCCTGCTGCATATCACATCCCCATCAGTATTCACGTCTCTCATATTCTACCCTCACACTTGATTGATAGTTTGGTTGATTATATATTTCTAGGTTGAGGATAATTTTACCTTAAAATTTCAAAGTCTGTGCTGTTGTCTTCTAACCAGTCGTGGTGGTGAAGCCTCATGCCATCCTGAGTTTCACTTATTTATGCATGACTTTCTCCCTGGAAGCTTTTAGGAGTTTGTCTTTTCCTTGTTGAGCTGAAATAGCACAACAGTGTACTTAGTGTGGGTCTTTTTTCATTCATTGTGCTGGGTACACCAAATGGACAGGCCTATGGATAGGCTCTTTCAAAGTTGGAGTCTTGAATCTTGTCATATTTTTGTTGTTAACTTTCTCTTTTCCATTTTATTTGTTCATTTTGAAGTGTCTGTTAATTGGATTTTAGACCTCTTGTCTTGAGTCTGGTATCTCACATTATTTCTAAATTTTTTTTAAATTTTAAGTTCTGGAATATTTTTCTTATCTTTCGACTTTCAGGAAATTTTATTTGGACTATCATAACTTTAAGTTTTGTTTTGGTTATTTATTGTTGCTTAACCAATTATCCCAAAACTTAATGGCGTAAAACTACACATATGTCTATCTGTCACTACTGTATGGATTAACTGGGGCTAGCTGGACAGTTTTCTTGCTGGTCTTATTTGGCAGCTCTCACTGTGCGGTCAGACAGTGTTAGGGACTGGTCATCTGGATGCTCAGCTGCAGTGGAATGTCTGAGACGGCTTCTTCACCCACAGGTCTGCTGCTTTGGTGTTTCTTCATGTGGCCTTTCTCTCTGCATAGCATCTCATCCTCTCGAATCTCTTCATGTGGCTTTTCTTTCTCCAAGAGGGTAGCCAATTCTTATTTTTGGCTTCCAGAAGCACAGAAATGGAGCTGCCAGGGGTTCTTAAGGCTTAGACCTGGAACAGGTCCAGTGTCATTTCTACCACATGCTATAGGTTAAAGTGAGTGTTGGGGCCAACCCAGATTGACTATGGGATGGGCCTGTCTAAGGACATGATGACAGGAGGTATGGCTCATTGGAGACCAACTCCCAAGATGGAGCATGAGTTCTAAGAACTTTTTCTTCTCTGATTATTTCTTATTCATATTGTTTTGTTTTATACATGTAATATATTCACAAGTGTCTTTATGAAGTGATTTTGATACTCTTTGTCTTCTCCCTGGCATCTCTTTGTTCTTTAATAATTTTTTTTCTTAGTTTATTTTGGTCTTATTTTTCTTTTTAAAGCCTTTCCTTAAATATCTATTCTATGTTGCTTATCATTTGTAGTCTTTTTTTTTTTTTTTTTGAGACCCAGTTTCGCTCTTGTTGCCTAGGCTGGAGTACAATGATGTGATCTCGGCTCATCACAACCTCTGCCTCCCAGGTTCAAGCAGTTCTCCTGCCTCAGCCTCCCAAGTAGCTGGGATTACAGTCATGTGCTACCACGCCCAGCTAATTTGTGTATTTTTAGTAGAGATGGGATTTCTCCATGTTGGTCAGTCTGGTCTGGAACTCTCAACCTCAGGTGATCCACCCACCTTGGCCTCCCAAAGTGCTGGGATTACAGACATGAGCCACCGCGCCTGACCTGTAGTCTTTTTCTCATTCCTTTATTTGCTCATTCATATTTGAGAGAGGTACTAAAAGACTGGGAGCCGGGGTGTGGTGGCTCACACCTATAATCTCAGTGCTTTGGGAGACCGAAGTGGGAGGATCACTTGAGCCCAGGAGCTCAAGACTAGTTTGGGCAACATAGTGAGACCCCATCTTTACAAAAAAAAAAAAAATAGCTAGGTGTGGTGACACCCATCTGCAGTCCCAGCTACTTGGGAGGCTGAGGCAGGAGGATTGCTTGAGCCCAGGAGGTTGAGGCTGCAGTGAGCTCTGATCATGCCACTGCATTCCTGCATTCCAGCCTGGGCGAAAGAGCAAGACCCTGTCTCAAAAAAAATAAATAAATAAAAATAAAAATAAATCAAAATTGATTGGGAGTTCTTTGTGGCCAAGACTTGTCAACTGATAGCTTTTAGGGGGAATGTATGCTGATTCCTAATTGTTATCCTCCATCCCTCTATCTTATCTCCTGGTGCAATCATAAATGATGGCTGGATGACTACTCCATTCCTCTGGATGTAAAATCTACATTGTCTTGCCTGAGGTGGATACGTTTGCTTGGGTTCTGTTTAAGGAGATGGGGCCAGCAGTGTGTTTCAGGGCCTGTGAAATGTGTTCTCTATCCGGGCTTTTGCTTAATCTCTGTTTTCAGTCTTGCCTATCAGTCCCACTGTCGGGGGTACCTCGTGTCTGGGTCTAGAACCTTTCCAGGTTGCTGTGGGACAGATTAGCCTCCTTGTTCTCAGTATCCCCCTGACCTCCACCTTTGTTTGCTTTGCTCCATGAATTAACCATTTTCCATGTACTGTCATTGTCTAATGAAGATGAATTCTCTTCTGTTGGTAACCCCATTCCTTTTTTGTAATTGTGTGCTTATACAATGTTTATTCTTCACTGTATTTCTATTGGAGCCTCAGGACAAAGAGCAGATGGTAAGAATATGTGTTCAGTGTTAAGTTTTCCTTCTGTAAGACATCTGCAACTTGTGTTTTTCACTGAATAGATCATGGACTTAATGCATATAGAGCTACTTTGTTTTTCATGATTTTGCCTTCAATTATATGTAGAAATATAATTTGTGAATTGCCTAATGAATTTTTCCTAATTTTGAATCATCTTTGCATTCCTATAATAAACACTGTTAGAATGGCTGTGGTAATATTTTATTTTTGCATTTTTACTTCTGTATTAAATAAGATTATAGTTTTGTTTGTTTCCAATAAGGCTGTTATTTCATTTCAGTATCAAGGGTATGCAGGGCTGAGTTGGGAAGCTTTACATCTTTTTTCTAAGATCTAGGATGTAGATCTGGTTTACACAGTAATTTTCAACTGCAGGAGTATTTTGCCTCCTATGGGACGTTTCGAAATATCTGGAGACATTTTTGTGGTTACAACTGGTCAAGGTCGGGAGGTCTTATTGGCATTCTGTGGGTAGAGGGAATGTTACTAAATGTCCGACAACACACCAGGAGAACCCTCCACAAAGAATTATCTGGCCAAATATATCAGTATTGCTGAGGCTGACAAATTCTGGTTTAAATAAATATCCAATTTGGAGGATGAGTCTTTGTCTTTTTCCTTCTTCTGCGTATTGGTCTCCAGATTTTCCACTTCTTCAGTTAGTTTTTGTGACTGTAGAATCTTAAAAAAAAAAATGAAAACTTTGGCCGGGTGCAATGGCTCATGCCTGTAATCCCAGCACTTTGGGAGGCCGAGGCGGGTGGATCACGAGATCAGGAGATAAAGACCATCCTGGCTAACATGGTGAAACCCTGTCTCTACTAAGCCAAAATACAAAAAATTAGCCAGGCGTGGTGGCGGGCGCCTGTAGTCCCAGCTACTCAGGAGGTTGAGGCAGGAGAATGTTGTGAACCCGGGAGGCGGAGCTTGCAGTGAGCCAAGATCGCGCCACTGCACTCCAGCGTGGGTGACAGAGCGAGACTCCATCTCAAACAAAAAAAAAAAAAAAAAAAAATGAACATGTCATCCATACTTCTAAGGTGTTGTAAAGATGTGTAAAGTTTTCACTTTTTGCATCATATTCACATGTGGCTATATGCCCTTTTCTCTTCAAAGTTTTCTTTATCTTGATTACTTATCAGAGGCTTGACTGTTTTATTATCTCAGTCTTTTGAAAGAATCCTCCTTTAGTTTTATTTTTTAAATCTAGTGGTTTTTCTTTTTCCTTTTTCCTTAGGTCTTAATTATTTCCCCCTTTTTGTTTGCTTTGCTTTTCCTAGTTTAGTGGATCAATGTAATTTAAATTGCTTTTTAAACAAACATGTAAGGGTATACATTTTCGTTGGGTGCTGTTTGACTTTGTTGCACAAGTTTTAAAATCTTTTTTTTAATAGCTTGTATTTTCTAAATTATTTTATTGCATCTTTTGTTCACATTGCTCTTACTATTAATTTTTTATTTTTATTAATTAATTAATTTATTTATTTAATTATTAGATGGAGTCTTGCTCTGTAGCCAGGCTGGAGAGCAGCGGCATGATCTTGGCTCACTGCAAGCTCCACCTCAGAGGTTCATGTCATTCTCCTGCCTCAGCCTCCCAAGTAGCTGAGACTACAGGTGCCTGCCACCATGTCCGGCCTTTTTTGTATTTTTAGTAGAGATGGGGTTTCACCGTGTTAGCCAGGATGGTCTCGATTTCCTGACCTCATGATCCACCCACCTTGGGCTCTCAAAGTCCTGGAATTACAGGCATGAGCCACTGCACCCTGCCCAAAAAGCTTTGTGTTTTTACAGATATTAGACATGTTTCTTGTTTAAGAAAAAAAATCTTAACGAAAACGTAGGAGAATAAGAGAAACATTTTTCCAAAAAAGAGAAATCATTGTGATTATTTTATCTTATTAGAATGTTGGATAATATAGTCTGCTTCATTAATCATCAAGCATGCTATGCATTTTCCATTTTTATAGGATCTGTATCTCAGTTAAGGTAATACTGGTAATTTTTGTACTGTAATCAAAGATGAAAAATATAGGCCAAAATCATGGACCTTGCATAGAAGCTGGATAATGAAGACAGCTATGGAGAAAAACATAGATACACACACACGGACACACATATATATAAAGTATACACACATATATTTTTTAAAGTTTTAAAGCTTTTAAAGCAAAAGCCGGCCCCTCTTCTCTTCCAGAGTGGGAGGCCTCTCCCCTCTCTTAGAGTGGGTGGGGAGAGCAGTTGCCATGGGCAGCTTTCCTTGTGAGCCACAGGTCCCTCTGGACACACTGCTTTCTGGCCACGCCCCCTTTCCTTTTCATCTTTCTCATTGACCAATGGGCTTGGAGCATTAAGGCCACGCCCCTATTCCGCATTCTACTGGGGCCCTGGTTACGCCTCCTCTGGCTCAGTCACACAGCTGCCTGGTAGGTGACTGGAGGCCTTGATCGGTTCTCATTGAGATTTTGCTGCTGTGACCCCAACCCTGCCTCCCTCCCCACCCTGCGATGGCAGAAGAAACTCAACACAACAAATTGGCTGCAGCCAAGAAAAAGGTAAAAACGCACTAGGTCATAGCCCCTCAACCCAGCCACAGATCCCCTCTGATGACAAGACCCCTGCCAGAGTCTATACGACTCCTGAGGCACACTGGACTGGTCCCCCCTACCCCGGTGCCTCTGGGCTACCCCCACCAAAGTTTTGTCAGTCAGCCCCACCCCTTCAGCAAGCAGCCCAGTCCTTGCCCTCGCCAATCACCCCAGGGTGACTTTGGGTGGGTGAGTCCTGGGGCTTCCCGCTCCATTACTGGGCCCTCATCTCCTGCCGCCCCAAGCTTGATCTCCCTGGGCTCTTTGGGCTCTCATCTCCAAGGAGCCAGGCCCCACCCTCGCCAGTCATCCCTGGGTGACTTTGGACTGGTGACTCCTGGGACTCCCTGCTGCAGACTGTGCCCTCCCCTCCTGCTGCCTCAAGGTCGACCTCCCTGGGTTCTTTGTGCTGGCGTCTCCAAGGAGCTGGGTCCCAACCCTGTGCTTCCCTCCCCCATCGTGGAGCAGCGACTTGGACATGGTGCTGACATGGTCCCTCCCCCCGACCAGGAGGAGTGGAATGTTGTGATGTCACAGTCCACCTAGTAACTGCTGTTACTGCAAGACTGGCCTTTGATCTTACGACCCAGTCCCCTAAGCGTTCTCACCCCGTTTCTGGTTCCTCTGGTCACAGCACAAATTTCCAGCTGGAAGGGGAATGGAGACTATGGGACCTAGGAGCAAGAGGTTCCAGGCTGCCTCACTCCCTTACAGATGTTGACGGTGGGAAAAGCCTACACTTCCCCCATGAACTCAAAACGTTGACAGTATCTCTGGGTGGCAATGAGAGAATGCGTTTGGTTTGGTTTTCTCCCAGGCTTCTACTTTCCAGAGAGATTTTAACATTTTTTTCTGAGTTCTCCACCTCATATTCTAATTCTCCATGGTTCTGGGACCAGACTCTCCTTCAGTCAGTGGTCTCTGAAGTGACATTTGCTCATCTTCTGTGGAATAGATCTTGGGAAACTGAACTTGACACCTTGAATCTTCCTCATATTATCTCAACCTTGGGTACTTTGAGTGCCACAGGATAAATGTGGGACATCTTTCTGAAGCATCAGTTTCCCTTGATTCTCTTGAGATCAAGAGAAAAAACATGAATGTACTTAGGGATGACAGTCACATAGGTTTCTAAGAGTATACCAGACCTCTCTCTGAAATGAGGCTTGGGTTGTCCTCTTTCTGATAAATTCTGATTTAAGAGAAAGGCTGCCTTCTGCCATGAGGACACATTGATATAAGAGTTTGAGAGGTACTGGTGCACTTCTTCACACTAACAGACGTGTGAGGATGTATGACTCTAAACCACATGGCATACAGTTCCTGCCTACTTAATGTTTACTTTTCTACCTCTGCCTCTGGTTTTGGTCCCTGGCAGCTGCTGATTCTTGGCAAAACCTCAGAGCTTGGAGTCAGAAGACTGAGTTTCAAAGTTCCAGTATTGCCTTTTTCTTTTTTTTTTTCTAGCCATGATATCAATCCTTCTCAGTCACTAAATGAGTGTGACAACACCTTGTACAGTTGTTGGTGTCATTAAATCAGATGGTGTGTAAGTGTATTTTGTAAAAACTGTAAAGGAGGATGTGGCTGTAGGGGCTGACGGTTCTCATGAGTATTACTGCTCTTCTTTCCAACAGTTAAAAGAATATTGGCAGAAAAACAGCCCTAGAGTTCCAGCAGGAGCGAACAGGAACAGGAAAACAAATGGCAGTATCCCTGAGAAAGCCACTTCTGGTGGTTGCCAGCCACCTAGGGATGTGAGTCTTGGCTGACCAGGCTTCTGGGGACAGGGGGCCCAAGGGGCAGTAGAGGGTAATTGTTAAGATTGTGGATGGACTGCTGGGTACTGGTTAAGAATTCTGGCTTTAGCCGGGTGTGGTGGCCCACGCCTGTAATCCTAGCACTTTGGGAGGCCAAGGCAGGCGGATCATGAGGTCAGGAGATCGAGACCATCCTGGTTAACACGGTGAAACCCTGTCTCTACTAAAAATACAAAACATTAGCCAAGCGTGGTGGCGTGTGCCTGTAGTCCCAGCTACTCAGAAGGCTGAGGCAAGAGAATGGTGTGAACCTGGGAGGTGGAGCTTGCAGTAGCCAAGATTATGCCACTGCACTCCAGCCTGGTGACAGAGCAAGACTCTGTCTCAAAGAAAAAAAAAAAAAGGAATTCTGGGTTTGAATCCTGCCTCTCCATCTGCTCTGCTAGGGATATGATTTAGGGCAAGTTGCTAGACCTCATCGGGCCTCTCTTTTCACATCTGTATAATAGAGGTGTTATTGTTTCACTTCCATTTGTGAAGTTTAAATGAGATTTGTTATTGTTGTTTTTATGTTAATCCCTAGTACATGGCCTGCTGTAAACACTCAGGACACCCAGGATATGGTTTGATTTTCCTCATCCCCAGTCTCAGGGGGAAACCAGGACAATGAGAACAGCCACTTGCCATCAGGAGTCACTGAAGGGGCCCCAGGATGGGATGGTGGGGAGATAAGAACCATGAGAGAAGTTGGCACAAAGGAGTTATGGGACAAAAGGTCCAAGATAGGCAGAAAAGAAAATGTTGCCAGTTGATGGGGAAGAAAGGAAGTCAGAGGGCTCAGACACTGTGGGGGACAGAACATCTCCATGTGCACTCTCATCTCTTGTAGTCAGCAACAGGTTTCCACAGGGAAGGCCCTACATCATCTGCTACCCTGAAAGATCTGGAGGTAAGAGGCTCTGGGCGGAGGTGCAGTGACCCTTCGGGTCAACCCTCCAACCTCCTCCTCCAGGTGGGACTGGGTGCCCCTCTGCCAGCTGAGACAGCCCACACACCCCAGCCCTAATGATTGTTCTCTCTACCTCTCCCCCCACTCCTGCTCCACCTCCTCCTCTCTGCATGCACCTCAGAGCCCGTGCCAAGAACGAGCAGTAGTCCTGGATTCAAGGTCCGTAGAAATCAGTCAACTGAAGAACACCATCAAATCTCTGGTAAGAGTCCACTGGGGTCCCCTGATTCCACGCTGCCAATCCTGGGCTCCAGTTTCCCCTTGGGGCCCTGAAGAAAGGGGCTGGGGGTCCCTGGTGCCTGGGACAAATAGGGAGCTTGGGTGCCCAGGCCTCACCTGGAGGGACCCCAGAGCATGCAGCATGGCTCTTCTTTTGCTGCCCTCTTTGCCGACTCTCTCCTCTCCAGACACCCCTGCTCGAGTCCTTGCTACACACGCCCTGGGGTTGTTGCCTCTTGGGGAAGTGCTAGCCTGACTGGTTGTCAAGGGCCCCGTATTTCTGCCATGACTCAGTCCCTAATTTGCTCTTTGATTCTGGACAAGCCACCTCTCCTTTTTGGGCTCGTGTTTCCAGAGGAGGTAGTGAGTATCAAAGGTCTCTGTTAGCTCTCGAGTCTGAGATTTAAAGGCCCCCTAGAACGGAAACCTCAGGGCTAAGGGCTCCTGTCTGTCCTTTTCCATCCTATATCTGCTGTAAAGAACCGTACCTGGCCCATACATGCTCAGTAAATGTTTATTGAATGAACCCACTTCTCTAAATCACAAGCTGCCAGAAGGAGGGGCCTTTCTGAAACTCCATCTCTAGAGGTTTATATTGCTGTCCTCTCAAGAGATTCCAGATTCAGACTTTGAGTTCTGTGGCTGTGGGCAAAAGCCAACAAAGACCCAAATCCTCTGTCCTTGGGAGCTTGAGGAGAGTTTACCGGTTCGTGTTCCCATTATGTCTGAGAACTTTGCCTTTAAAATCCATTCCTGGCCCCTGCCTACCGCTTCCTGGTCTGGGGAATAGAGTTGAGGGGGCCACCCTCCATCACCTTATTTGACTCTCCCCACAGAAACAACAGAAGAAACAAGTGGAACATCAGCTGGAAGAAGTAACGTGATTTCGTTTCCTCGCAACATGACTGCTGGGTTTGGGGGGCACTCAGACATACAGGCCCCAGTCTCGTCTCACCCACTCCCAGCCTGGGGATGAAGGCTCACCCTTCAGATTCCACCCCATCCCCACAGGGCCCCTGATAACCTGGTCCCATGGGTGGGCCTGTCCTGGGGCATTGGTGGCATTCTGGGGGCATGTCTCTTGCTGTGCCATCTCTGCCTCCCCCTGGTAAGAGCTCTGTCTTCCTCTTCCTACAGGAAAAGAAAGCAAACAACAAGAAACAGAAAGCCAAAAGGGTGCTAGAGGTGAGTGGAGGGTGTGCAGTTTCCTCCTGTCCTCCGGAGAAGGTTTCTTTCCTTCTCTTTCAGCACTTGCTTGGCTTTTCTCCCAAAGGTTCAAATCCAGACATTGAACATACAGAAAGAGGAACTAAATACGGACCTGTACCACATGAAACGTTCTCTCAGATACTTTGAAGGTGGGAATCTGGGCACCCTGTCATCCTTCAACCTGGCACTTTGACAGGTCTTCAGGGGGAGTCCTTTGGGCCCCATCTCAACTCTCTCATTACAGAAAAGTCCAAGGATCTGGCTGTCCGCCTGCAACATTCATTGCAGCGTAAAGGAGAGTTAGAGAGTGTTCTCTCTAATGTCATGGCCACACAGAAGAAGAAGGCAAACCAGGTGAGTCCAACCACCTGCCCCATCCCCTGGGAGCCTGGCTTTGCAGATGGAGGAGTGAGCCTAAAGGTCCCTTCTGCAGGATGGAGTGTCCTGCCCAGAAGGCAGCATGGCCATTTCTTGCTACTTTTTTGTATGGTTTTTAATGGCAGCCTGGGGCTGAGTCAGCTGCTGTGGGTGAGTTGGGGGTCACTGTGTGGAGTGAGCACTGGACGCAGAGCTTGGAGGCCAAGTGCCTGCCCCGCCCTTACCTGTCTGTGGTCTTGGGCAAGTCCTAGTCCTAGGTGGGGTATTGGGTACTTGTACTGTGAAGGTACAGAAGAGTACCTTTAGTATGTTACCATTTCTGTAGAAAGAGGAAACGTGTGTGCGTGTGTGTGTGTGTGTGTGTGTGTGTGCATACTGTGATAATATACATAAAACATGTCTGCAAGGGTTCATAAAAAATTCAGGAGAGAGCAACAAGATGGCCGGGAGATACTTCCCTTCTGTACCTTCTGAGTTTTGGACTATGCAAATGTATCATCCTTTCAAAAAGTGAACAAAAGATTAATTTTCCCCTTCCTATCTGTGCCCCCATCCCCAGCAAGAAAAACGGGCTTAGAGAATTGGATAGACCTGGGTGTTTATATCCCAGCTCTGCCTAAGTGAACTTAGGCAAGCACTTAACCTCAAATACTCCATGTTTTTTCATCTCCACAATAGAGGGAATCATAGTAACTGTCTCCTATGGTGGTTGCGAGGATTAAATGGGATTGTTAGCACGGTACCTGGTGAAGCATTCCACAAAGGTTCAAACAGTGGTAATAATAACAGTAATAACAATAGCAATATTATCTGATCTCTCTGGGCCTCTGTTAGCCAGCTATAAACTCAGTCTCATTCCCTGTCCGTTCCAACTTTACTGAGTTCTTTTAAAAACCAGACCACGGGCTTGGAAATGCCTTGATCTTTACTGACCGAGTTGTATATTGGGCCTAGCCCTAGCCCTTTTAAGGGGCACTGTGTGGAAATGCCCAGGCTCTCCAGATTGAAACTTCTCACTCTTCACCATCCAGTTGTCCAGCCGCAGCAAAGCACGTACGGAGTGGAAGTTAGAGCAGTCCATGCGGGAGGAGGCACTACTGAAAGTGCAGCTGACACAGGTGAGGTTTTCTGAGGGAGTTATGTGGAAGGAAGATGACCCCAGGTGGCCAGGAGCAGGTGAGGACCAGTGACAGCCCTTCCTAAGTTCTGTGCCCATTCTTGCAGTTCAAGGAGTCATTTCAACAAGTCCAATTAGAAAGAGATGAGTATTCTGAACATCTAAAAGGAGAGAGGGCCCGGTGGCAGCAGAGGATGAGAAAAATGTCGCAGGAGGTGAGATCTGACCCTTCAGCCCCCCCACATTAGATAGGTCACTGGATCTTTCTGGTCATCTGTAAAATGGGAATAGTAGAGCCAGAGGTGGTCATGGGTCTGGGCTTTGTGGAGGTGGGGGCAGAGAGGGAGAGGGCAGCCTGTCCAGCCTCCAGCCCCTCTCTCCAAGGCCCTTTCCCCTTGTGCTTTGGGCAGATTTGCACATTAAAGAAAGAGAAGCAGCAAGATATGCGTCGGGTAGAGAAGCTGGAGAGGAGCTTGTCCAAACTCAAAAACCAGATGGGTAAGATGGGGCTGGCATGACCTGGGAGCAGGACTGGCATCAGAGGGCTGTGAGGGTGGCTTAGAGTGCCCCAGGGAGGTGGGTGGATGGAAGGGCTTTGAGGCAGAGGGAAAGAGATCTGTGCCAGGAGACGGCGAGTCTTGTCATCTCAATGAGTCTCAGTGTCTCAGTGTCCCCATCAGCAAAGAGGGCCCATTGTCAGCCACCCGCAGTGCTCTTTCTCTGAAAGTGCTTTGGAAGACTGGCTACCATCTGGGTGCGAGGAATCATTAGCAGTGAGGCCAAGTTTGAGGAGCCTGAGAGGAGCTGTGCGCCAAGAGGAGGGTTTTTCTTTTCCGAGAATCCAGAGGCCCTTATTATCTGCTTCCTTTGTCAGCTGAACCCTTGCCCCCGGAGCCCCCAGCAGTGCCCTCTGAGGTGGAGCTGCAGCACCTGAGGAAGGAACTAGAGAGAGTGGCAGGAGAGCTCCAGGCCCAGGTCAAAAACAATCAGCGCATAAGTCTCCTGAACCAGCGACAAGAAGAGAGGATTCGGGAGCAGGAAGAGAGGCTTCGGAAGCAGGAGGAGAGGATTCAGGAGCAGCACAAGAGCCTTCAGCAGCTGGCCAAGCCACAGAGCGTCTTCAAGGAGCCGGTGCGTTGCCCAAACTGGGGAGCTTGCCCTCCTCCCTAGACCTCCGGGCCTTTGTTTCCCCACCTCTAAAATGGGGCAGTGTAGCCCTCACATGAAATGTTACTTCTAAAGGCACCTGTGAGCCAGGTGGCTGTGGGAGAGAGGGGGTGATTTTTCTAACCTGCCTCCAGCCTTCCCAGTGCCATGGGAGGCAGACACCAAGTTCTGGGGTCTCCAGCTGCAGTGGGTGGCTGCTGATTGCTTCTCTCTGTCCAGAACAATGAGAACAAGAACGCACTGCAGTTGGAGCAGCAAGTAAAGGAGCTACAGGAGAAGCTTGGCGAGGTGAAGGAGACGGAAACCTCCACCCCATCCAAGAAGGGCTGGGAGGCGGGCAGCAGCCTCTTGGGAGGGGAGGTGCCAGGCCAGAGGCAGCTTCCAGCCTGGGGGCTGGTGACCACAGCACCCCCCAGGGCAGTCCTGTGACTGTTTCTTGCTTCCTGCCTCTGACTTTTAAAGGTGGGTAGCCCTGGGCTCCTCTAAGGTCTGGACATCATCATCCCAGCTAGAGGCATGGAGCCCCCAATCACAGGGGAAGAGACAGTGCTATAACAGGCTCCTTATACCAGGTGCAGTGGCTCATGCCTATAATCCCAGCACTTTGGGAGGCTGAGGCAGGAGAATCACTTGAGGTCGGGAGTTTGAGATCAGCCTGGCCAATGTGGTAAAACCTCATCTCTACTAAAATTACAAAAAAAAAAAAAAAAAAAAATTAGCAGGACATTGTGGCGCATGCCTGTAATTCCACCTACTCGGGAGGCTGAGGCACGAGAATTGCTTCAACCCAGGAGGTGGAGGTTGCAGTGAGCTGAGATTGCACCACTGCACTCCAGCCTGGGCCACAGAGTGACACTCTTGTCTGAAAACAAAACAAAAAGACTCCTTAGATTAAAACTGGATTCCAGCCTCGGTTCCACTGGTCACCATTCAAGTACTTTGCATCTCTAAGTCTCTGTTTCTTTAACTTCAAAGGGAAGTTAGCATTTTCCTTACAGAGGTGCTGAGGATTAAATGAGAAGAGGGTATGAGATTTGAGGCTGGGGAAGGAGGCATGGGGTTCTAGGAAAGGGAGGCAGTCACTTAGGCCTGGAGTAAGGGGACAGGGGCCTGGGCAGCTGACAGAGCCCCACAGTGCCCTCGCTACCCTATTAATGGGCCCAGAATCTGGAAACCAGCCACCACGTGCCCTCACACCCAGGGTCTTCCTGCAGGTGGAGCTGAAGAGCCAAGAGGCTCAGAGTCTGCAGCAGCAGCCAGACCATTACCTGGGTCACCTGCAGCAGTACGTGGCCACCTATCAGCAGCAGGTGGCCGCCTATCAGCAGCTGACCTGTGAGAAGGAGGCGCTGTACAGGCAGTGACTGCAGCAGACCCAGCTAATGAACCAGCTGCAGCAGCAGGAAGCTTGGGGCAAAGCGGTGGCTGAGATGGCCTGCCAAAAGTTGCAGGAGACCCAGGGGAGGGAGCTGCCGAGGATGGGGCTGTGAGGGGGATGACCTGGCAAACTCCACCCCTTCTCACTCTGTCCTGGCCCCTTAGGAGCACCTGGAAGCTGCCAGCCAGCAGAACCAGCAGCTAACGGCCCAGCTGAGCCTCATGGCTCTCCCTGGGGAAGGTACGGGAGACTGCTCAGAGGAAGAGGAGAGAGCCCCAGGAGGAAGGGGGGACTGCTAGCAGCATAGGATTGAGGAGTTGGAAGAGACCTTTAGAACAGCTGGTCATTATGCCGACCGGGTGCCTGCACTAAGTTCGGCATCAGTGTGGTGACCTCCTGTGAGCGGGGGGTCACCAAGTTGCCTAAGGATGGCTGAACTGGCCAAGGTCAGAAAGGGAGCAGGTCAGAACTCCCACATCGACCAGTAGTGGGAGTGTGCCTGGGCGGAATAGCAAGATCTTGATTCTTAAAAGTAAAAATAAAGAACAACAGCTCATTCCTCTCTGGGGAGGGGCAGGCTCAGGGTTACACAGTGAGGGTGGAGGTAGAGGTGGGCCCACAGTACCTCCCTTGTTGGGTTGTCTGAAGACCCGTCTGACCACCCCCCACAGGACACGGAGGAGAACATCTGGACAGTGAGGGGGAGGAGGCACCTCGGCCCATGCCGAGTGTCCCAGAGGACCCGGAGAGCAGGGAGGCCATGGTGAGCCTGACTCCCCCTGCACCCATTTTGCCACCTTTCTCTGTGGTCCCTCCAAGACCCCTTTATGCTCTTCGTTTCCCTGCCTTCTGATTTCTCTGGACCCTCACCCCTTCCGAGAGCCAGTGGTCAGACACCATTTCACCTGTGGCCAACAGGTGCACTCTCTGAGGCCCCAAGGGAAGGGGTTGCGCTCCACCTCTCTGCCCCATTTCTTCTGTGTATGCCCCTAGAAGAATGCTCACATCTTGCCCTCAGGTGGCATTTTTCAAGTCCGCTGGAGCTAGTGCCCAGGAGAAGCAGGCACAGTTACAAGAGCAGGTGAAAGAGCAGAGGGTGTGCTGCCAGCGCCTGGCTCACCCGGTGGCCTCGGCCCAGAAGGAGCCAGAGGCAGCCAGAGGCCCTGGAGCCCCAGGGCCTGGGGGCGAGTCTGTGAGTGGGGAGACCCACTGGGCCCTGCAGGAAGTCACGGAGAAGCTGGCCCATGCCAGGACTCACCTCCACCTTCTCCATGACTTGAAAATGCCACCTGAGGGCAGGTCGCTGCCGAGATGTGACTGCAATATTTTGGCTCCAGAGCAGCTTTATGGACCACCTGGAGGAGAAGGCAGACCTGAGTGAGCTGGTGAAGAAAAAAGAACTCTGCTTCATCCACCACTGGCGAGAGAGATGCCATCAGTGAGTGGGAGGCCAGGGCACGGCAGGGGGAGCTACAGGGCCGTCGGAGGGGCCCCAGCGTCTGAGCCCTGTCCTCCCGCAGGAAAACCCATCACCTTTTATCAGAACCAGGGGGCCGTGCCAAAGATGCGGCACTGGGAGGAGGACACCATCAGGCTGGAGCTCAGGGAGGAGATGAAGGTAGGGTGTGCAACATTTCTGTGGGGGTGGGGGTGGGGGTGGGTGTGAGGGTGGGCGCAGGCAGCGGCATGGCAGCTGAGCACCCCTCCCTCCAGGTGAAGCTGCTGGAGCTGCAGCAGATGGTATTGCGGCTTACAGCAACTACAACAATGGGCACAGAAAATTCCTGGCCGCTGCCCACAACTCTGCTGATGAGCCCGGTCCAGGAGCCCCAGCCCCCCAGGAGCTTGGGGCTGCAGACAAGCATGGTCGTGAGTAGAGCCCTCAGGTGGGGTGGGCAGGCAGGAAGAGGGGGCTCCCACTGTGCTCAGATCCCTGCCTCCCTCTCTCCAAAGATCTTTGTGAGGTGAGCCTCACCTCCTCTGCCCAAGGAGAGGCCAGGGAGGATCCTCTCCTTGACAAGCCTACTGCACAGCCGATCGTGCAGGACCACCAGGAGCACCCAGGCTTGGGCAGCAACTGCTGTGTGCCATTCTTGTGCTGGGCTTGGCTGCCAAGAAGAAGGAGATAAACATCACCATCCTCAAAGAGCTGCTCAAGAAATTTTTAAATAAGAAACCAAGTTATGGGGTTAATCTCCTACACAATTCATTTACTTCCTTTGAATGTTAGAGTCACTCATGATTATTTGTTTTTCTAATTTATAGTTTTAAGTTTATTTGTAAAAAGTTAAAAGAGAGTGGGTGTCTGTGGCTCTCACTGATGTTCACTCTGGCATCCTTTAGCATTTTTCTTTTTTAATTTCATAATTGTAGGTCATTAGCGTGCATATCGAGTTTGCCCTTACGTGGTGGGAGTTCAAACACACAAAGACCCACTCTTTGCCCAAAACTGTTCTCTTTGGTTTGGAATAGGCTGCCATGCTTTTTTAATGTTATTGCAGCATGTATATTCACTACAGAATTCAGACAAAATTTGCCTATGTTCTGCTGTTGTTTGATCTAATCTTAATCACAGTGAGCTCTTCATTAGCTCAATATGTAGTTTGCCCCCAAGTGTGCACTGTTTATTACTTTGTAATATGCCACTATGAGTACTGACATTTAGAGTTGTTTAAAGGCCAAGAACTGGAAACAGCCTTTCCTCCATTTTCTGTGTGTTGGTGATGGGAGTGATAACCTTTTGGGGGAGCTTTTTAAATCTCACAGAAGAGGAAAGTGGCCTCCTCTGGCAGGTACGTGCAGGATAGAGTGTGTTTCATCTGTTCCGGTGCCCGGAATTAGCAGTGTATTATGGTGGTTCCCTTAGGATTTGTATGTGCTCTGGGCTCATGAAGATACTGCATCATGAGCTGCAGCAGTTGTACTCTTTTTCGATGACCTAAAAAGGGCTTATTTCTGAGGAATGAAAGGTTCCCATCATTGACTGTGGATGTGGGAAACCTTTCCTAGCTTAGAGCATTTGTATCTACAATACATTTTAAAGTCAGAGTTCATGTTACCTGTTTTAATCACATGACTACATGTCCCAGTACACAAAAGGGCACTGGTTGGCATTCTTCTTAATGTATTTAGTGAAGATCATAAGAAATCCTTTATGAGTTCAAACGTTCCTGGAACAGGCATACAGGCTCTAGTCAAGAATGAATTAGAGTGAAGGAAAGCTGTGTGACACCTGGCATTCCTCTCTGTTCACGGAGATTCTTTGAGGCTTGAAGATTGATTTTACCATCTAGACCTCTTTGGCTAATACCTATTCTTCAACCACCTTGGTTACTCTGACATAGGAATTTACTTCTTTTTCTTTGAATGGAAAACACTTTAAAAAATAATAGAAACATTATTATAAACTAATATATGTGAGATACTTAGTTGAAACAAAAAGGAGTTTTAGTAGACGGTATTGTACTCTCTTTGAAAATCAAGGAGAAGTTTATGAAACTTAAAATGTGTACAAACTGCAGTGCAATCTACTGTTCGTGAATGTCAATGTATTATCAGGAAACGTGTCTATACAATCACAGAGTTATATTTTCTCACAGACTTCTTTACAAAGTGAAATATGTTTTTGTACCTCTGGGTTTCTGTTCGGGACATATTTTGTGCAATATTTATGTGATTGTGCCTATGCATGATGAATGAATACATTTCAGTTATATATTGCCTAAATCATAACTTGATGATGCTTGGGAAAGACTCAACAGTTAAAACTTCATGAAGTTCTAATGTCTGTGTTCCAAAACACATCACATTGTTAGGATGCAGGGAGATAGGTGTGTGTGCTCCCTGCGGTGGGGATTTCTAGTTACTAGATCATCTCCATTTTTAGCATTTGGCATCCTCATGATACTTCTATAAATATGACATTAACAGGAGAGCAACAATACGATTTTACCGATGGAATAACAGATTTGCTGGCATTCACTGAAAGAGTGCAAATATTCGGTCCTTGTGACTTCCACTGACTCTTCCAAATTTTATGAATGTATCAATGTATTAGATAAACCCAGTTTCAGAATGATAAAGAAAAAATTTAGACCAAATAATGCAGCTAATTAACAGTGGTACGATTTGTAGCCCGTGGGTTTAAAATGCACTTAAAGTCCTGTTCTCGCCTTTTATTTTCTGAACTTGCCGCTTTTGCATTCTTTGAGTTCAGTTTAAAGACAGTTACTTTAAGAGCATTTTAAACCCTCGGGCTAGAAATCGGACCACTGTTAATCAGCCACATTATTTGGTCTAACGTTTTTTCTTTTATCATTCTGAAACTGGGTTTATCTAATACATTGATAAATTATTGCAAAGGTACTTTTATCGTTGAAATCACTTCACTTTTACCCTGATAAATATCAGTGACTAGGAATGACCTTCGGATAGCGTTTAGCATCTGTAACCAATCTGACAATAATGTGTTCATGAGGTGCCTATGGATTAAATCACACACTGGCATATTTAAGCTGAAGGTCAGTCTGGAAAATAAATTTACTATATTGACTGAAATACCACTCTTTGTGTAGGTATTTGTCATATATTTAAGAAAAAGTTAAAAAGAATGGAAATTGTATGACAATAACTCAAGTCTTTCTCCAAAGTGCATGCAGTCTTTTGCGATACCTCATTCAGCCGAGTATTTGTGCTCTTCCTCATTCAGTATAAGGCAGCTTTCAGTTTGCTTAGAAGGCAACATTGGAATGTTAGAGTTCATCAGAAACATAGAATTTTAAACTGTGAGTTCCACTGAATACATTTTAATGTCTGTAGGAAGAATCAAAACACCTATTTAAAGATGGCAATATATAATAATCATTTTAAAAGTATTTGATTCAACCTGATAATTTTCCAGAAATGAAAAAAAAAAATCAGCTCTTAAACCAAAGCTGATTTTAGAAAATTTGAAAATGTAAATCAGCCCTATCCATAATATAGTTTCTCTAAAACTTTATTTTAAAGAGTCATTTTAAAATAATATAACTATTAAAAAATGTAACTGCTATCTTAATGTTCTGAAATAATTTAAAACATTTTAAAATATGAATACTGTAGTATAAAAGAAAGAAATGGTGGGAACGAAAAGCAGAGAAAGAAATGCCAATTCCAGTCCAAAGTTTTATTTGCCAAGTTTTCTTAGAATGAATTTTACCAGTTTATGAATTATTGTAAAGAGAATGTGTCGTGGAAATACTGAAAGATTTTTCCCTAGAGTGGCCTTATTGACTGCTGGTGTGATGCCACTGTAATGTAATAAATTATTAAGTTGTTTCAATGTGTTGTTTTTGTCTTAAAATTTTATTTTGCGTTTCTTGAAAACTATAGTATTAAAGGTATTGATACTGTGCAAATGCTGGGCATGCTTGGCATGAGATAATGTGTTTCATTTTTACAAAGTTGTAATATAACTATGCAAGTGTTTCTTAAAAGAACACAAGATTTTAAAAGTTATGGGATTAAAAAAGTTATGGGGTGAAAAAGTTATGGGATAAAAAATGTAAAAACGTTGTGGCAAAAAAACTTGTGGGAACAAAGTAGAAAACAGTATTATGAAAAGTTACCAAAAAAGTTATGAAAAAGAAGTTACGGGATTCTTTTTTAAAAAGTCATGGAATAAAAATAAAAATTAAAAGCAGGCCCCTGTCAGCAAAGCCTGGAGAAGTGGGGCTGGGGTCTCCACCGCCACCATGTCCCTACCACCCCTTCCCAGGCACCCCTTTACAATTAGGGTAGCAGGACAAGACCTCTGTCTAATGGGGAAAGACAAACAGACCCTTTGCCACCCTGACCAGGGCTGAGTCCCTAAATTTCTGGATGATGATGATTGTTATTTAAGAGCCAGAGGCTGGTGGAGTTGGTTTGTTTGGAGGAGGCCTGATGTCCCCCTTACTCTCACCATAGCAACTTTTCCCTCAGGGGGGCTCCCTTCTTATTCAGAGAGGCAGGACAGTGGGGCTAACTGTGGACCAGGCGAGGGCACGGGCTGCTGGGGTGGCCCCCGTTCCCCGGTGTACACATTGTGTCTGTGTAAGGTTTTGTATATTCCAGAGGGTAGGGCCACCCCTGTGTCATACCTAGCTGAGGTTGGAGCCGGCACATGGGGAGGAGGTTGTAATAATTATTTGTGGCTGGGAAACTTATTTATTGCTAGCATAGGACAGAGGAAGGAGGCGGGGATGGGGTCATGGCTCCCTGGTGATGCGACTCCTGTTTATTTTGCTTTTTATTTTGGAATAAATGGATTTAGCCATACTGCTCGGCCTGGTGTGTTTCCGTTTCCCTCACTGGGTCCTGGAGTTTGTGCCACCAAACAAGGAGTCCCAGAGTGTCTTGAGCATGTCCAGCTAGGCTGTTGGGGACCTTCCAGGCGTGTTACCTGTATGCTGCCTGGTGGCGCCTGGGGGATTCCAAGGGGACTGCCATGTAGTCTATGGGGCGCAGTCTGGCCCTGACAGCCAACAGGCTCAGAAGCCTGATCTAGCGGTGGCCGGGAAGACAGGTACCAGCACCTAAGGGCACTGACTTCCACCCAGCCCCGGCATCTTCCGTTCTATCCCCTTGTCTCCCTCTCCTGTCTGCACCTGGTGGCCTGTTCTGTCTGTGCCTCCAGAGTGCCGGCTGCCCTGCAGGCTCCCTCTGGGCTGAGTTCATGGCCCTGCCCCCTGGTGGCCAGAGCCGGCTTCACAGGATAAGAGCCCGCTAAGCTCCAGGGGCTTTCCAGGAAAAGTGTCCCTTGGAAAGGGCATGGCCTTTTCACTGCTCCCAACAGCACCCTAGAAATGGCTTGGCCTTTCCCCTCCCCTGAGCTCCACAGAGAACACAGCCAGCAGAGGACACACTTCCCCGCCATCCAGAAGCGGGTTTGATTTTCAGCCAAGGGACAGCAGGACTGGTAGAGACTGTCAGGCCACACAGCTGCCTGCACAGCACTCCCATGCTTGGTGGGGGGGGGGGGGGCGGGAGGGATGGCGGGGTGTGTCTCTCCATAGGCTGGGCGTGACAGGGAGGCTCACTGAAGGTAGCGCACTTTGGAGGGGCAATGTCAGGGGTTAGCTTTCTCTTGTTTGGCCACAAGACTCCAAAAGGACAGCACGGTGACTGATTCCCAGCGCTAGAGGCGAGGCGGTTGGCCACATGTAGGTGTGTGTGTGTGTGTGTGTGTGTGTGTGTGTGTGTGTGTGTGTATGTATATGGGTATTTGTAGATATTTCTAGAACAGGGCAGGGGCATACCACAGAGGGGGGCACAAGTTTTCAGCAACGGTCACACCTGGATGTGTCAGCTCACCGCAACAATAGACGAAGTCACAGATGAAGGGGGCTGCCTTTGGGGCTGGGGGAGCCACTGCCAAGTCACAGAACAGCCGCCCAGGCAGGCTTGGAAAGGGAAGTCTCTGAGAAGAGGAGGAATCTGTTTAGAGGTCAAAGGGGGGCCTGGGGCTCTCAGGATGGGATGGACTTGCCTGAGCCGATTGGCTGGCAGTTGGAGAGAAAGCAGAGAGAAGACAGGAGAGAGAAAAGCGAGCATATCATCTCACACCAGTTAGAATGGCAATCATTAAAAAGTCAGGAAACAACAGGTGCTGGAGAGGATGTGGAGAAATAGGAACACTTTTACACTGTTGGTGGGACTGTAAACTAGTTCAACCATTGTGGAAGTCAGTGTGGCGATTCCTCAGGGATCTAGAACTAGAAATACCATTTGACCCAGCCATCCCATTACTGGGTATGTACCCAAAGGACTATAAATCATGCTGCTATAAAGACACATGCACACGTATGTTTATTGCGGCATTATTCACAATAGCAAAGACTTGGAACCAACCCAAATGTCCAACAATGATAGACTGGATTAAGAAAATGTGGCACATATACACCATGGAATACTATGCAGCCATAAAAAATGATGAGTTCATGTCCTTTGCAGGGACATGGATGAAATTGGAAATCATCATTCTCAGTTAACTATCGCAAGAACAAAAAACCAAACACCGCATATTCTCACTCATAGGTGGGAATTGAACAATGAGAACACATGGACACAGGAAGGGGAACATCACACTCTGGGGACTGTTGTGGGGTGGGGGGAGGGGGGAGGGATAGCATTGGGAGATATACCCAATGCTAGATGACGATTTAGTGGGTGCAGCGCACCAGCATGGCACATGTATACATATGTAACTAACCTGCACATTGTCACATGTACCCTAAAACTTAAAGTATAATAATAATAATAAAAAAAAAGCGAGCAGAGAGCTGGTGAGGCAAGTGCAGAGCACAGGTGTGCCACAGCAGCTGTGGGAGGGCCAAGGAGTAAAGGGTGCACGTGCGGGTGTGGCAAGGTTCCTGGAAAAGAGGGGCTGGAAGGGAAAGGGGAGGAAGACAGAGGGAGGAGCCGGAGTTTCACAGGTAGTGCCTGGGGGCTGTGGCAGCCCTCCCCACCCCACACGTGCTGGCCTCTTCCACGGCACCCAGTGCACCCACTGTTAAGACTGATGCTCAGCCCCTTTGGGCTTCCCTCTTCTCTGGGCACCGTGTCTTCCAACCCACTTGTCCAGGGCCACCTCTCGCCTTGGGGAGCCCAAAACAACAGCCACCAGGCCTGATAGAGAAGAAACACTGCTTGAACCAGGATGATGAAGCTAAAAGGGATGGATGGGTGGAGTGATCGCCGGAGCCCCCTCTGGGGGGTCAGAAAGCCCAGGAACCCTTGAAGGGTCCCTGGGGGAGGAAAGGAGGGCATGCAGCTGGATGCCACTGGCTATAGACTTATAAGTCTAAGAGGGGAGCCTCAGCTTGTTGGGGGTTGCAGGTCGGATAGGTGAGGCTGGGCCCTTCCTGCTGGGAAAAGCAGAAGAGGGAGAGTCTATGGCAGGGGAGGTGGGTGGGCTTGTGGGGCGGAGGTCAGCTGGGCCAGCAGGCACTGTGGTCCCCTTGGCTGAATAGCAGAGGTGACCTCTAGGAGCAACACTCCAAGGTGCGTGAGCCTGCTGGCCAGCAATAGTGCTTCAGCGGGGGCCAGGGACCCTGCCTTCAGTCACACGCTAGCAGCTATGATGGTACCTGGGAGGGAGGGAAGGGGCCTGTGTTTCCTGCCTGGCCTGTGAGGTGTGTTGTGGGTTGACCGTGTGTATGGGACTCTCAAGGTTTTATCCTATCTCACCACTGCATTGCCGACAGATAGAGGAGGTGGGACTCTGACTATCACCCCTGCTCTGCAGTGGATTTGGCTCTCAGCACTCCCAGGCTGGGAGCTGGATGCCCTGCCCTGGCAGCATGACTCAGACTGCCCAACAGGTGCGGTGTGCACAGGAGGACTATCCTAGGACTCTGGCCGCCTCAGAGTACAGCCCCACACACCACCCCCTCTAAGCTCTCAGCCCTTACACCATAAACCACGAGCTCTGTGACGGCTCCAGGGAGCACCCATGTCTACCAGCGTGGGCACGGAGCCTGTTCCAAGAGTCCCCAGGCTCAGCCATGGGGGCTGGGGGGCTTTGGGGCCGTGGGAGCCAGCCTTGGTACCTGCATCCGGCAAGGACGCTCTGCACCTGCAGGCAGGAGTTGTCCACGGGCCCCCATGTGCGTGCTGATGGTGGTCGTGTTGATGTCGCCGATGATGCCGAGTGCCTCCTTCAGCACGTGGTACATGCGCAGCATCTCGTCGCGCCACTGTGCCTGCTCTGCCGACTCTTCCATCAGCGTTTTCTGGTCCCCACGTGAGTACAGGTTGGACAGCAGCTCCGAGAAGATGAACTCCTTGGTCTGAGAGCGGGCAAAGAGGGAAGGAGGTTGGGACCTGATGCCTTTGCTGCCCTGGCCTCCTGCCGGGCCCTGCTGGGACTGTGTGCTGGACTTGGAGCCCTGAGTATGGCTTTTCAGACGCGGCTTCTACACCGCTTAGACTCAAAGATCTGCCTCCCCACCGCCCTTTTCTCACTCAGATAGGGACACTGAGGTCCAAAGGAAAAGTCACCTGTCCAAGGTCACACATCTGGGAGGGGACCCAGGACCTATCATGCCACCAGGACACCGGTCTACTCAGTTTCTTAAAAATGTTTTTTGGAGATAGGATCTTGCTCTGTCGCTAGGCTGGAGGACAGTGGGCGAGATCACCACTCACTGTAGCCTCAACTTCTTGGGCTCAAAGTGATCCTCCAATGTCAGCCTGTCGAGTAGCTAGGACTATAGGTACGTGCCACCACCAAGCCCAGCTATTTTTAAAATTTTAGTGTAGAGATCAGGTCTCACTATGTTGCCCAAGCTGGTCTCGAACTCCTGGGCTCAAGCTATCCTCTTGCCTTGGCCTCCCAAAGTGCTGGGATTACAGACATGGGCCACTGTCCCCAGTCCCACGTTATATTTCTATGAGACAGCTCTGGTCTGGACTGTGCCTCCCTCCCTGGACCTTGGTCCCATAGGGCTGGTCAGCATCTCCCCCAGGCCAACATGGCCACCTGCATCCCCAGTGCTACAGGAGCCCCCTGCCCCTATGAGGCGGTGCATGCACGTTGTTGATCATGACGTGCATGATGGTCTTGGGCATGACACCAACCATGAGGTCCCACACGGTCTTGTTGACAATGGCCATGTAGGAGTCCACAAGGTTCTGGGTGGTTTCCATTTGCCGCTCCAGCTATGGGTCCATGGAGTGCATGAAGCTGTCGGAGCCATTCTCCTCAGCCTTGCTGTCCTGTCATGGAGAACACAGTGGCATCAGGGTGGCCAGGCCATGCAGCCAGGCTCCAGGAATCCCTAGGATCTCAGCACCTCCAAGGGTACCTGGAACATTGAGGCACAGAGAAAAACAACTGGCGTGAACATGCACCGAGCTCCCCACACGCTCTAGACGGTTTCAGGTATCTGCCTCTCAGGACCCCAGACTCCCCTGATTCAGTCTCCTCTTAGTTCTGACTCTAGTGCCCAGAATCTGCCTCAAGTTACCAATCCAGAAACTGGAAAAAAACATCTCCAGGTCCCCTGTTGGAGACCTGGCCAGAGCTTGTGCCAGGCTGCAGACGCCTGGCAGGGGGCAAGAAAGGGGCATACTCACTTTCCCCTTGTCCTGGGAGGCCCATGCACCAACACTGCCACCGCCGCCGCCACCAGGGAACACGGCAAAGTAGACACACACAGAGAGGAAAACGGGAAGGGTTGAGTGAACCTGGGACACTGCACCCCAACTTTAATGTGTTGTGGAATTCAGTTAGCTAATATTTTATTGAGGATTTTTGCATCAATATTCATCAGTGATATTGGCCTGTAGTTTTCTTTTTTGGTCTGTGTGTTTGATTTTGTTATCAGGGTAATGCTAGCCCTGTAGAATGAGTTTGCAAGTATTCCCTCCTTCTCTATTTTTGGAATCGTTTGGGTAAGGTTGGTATTAGTTCTTCTTTAAATGTTTGCTAGAATTCAGCAGTGAATCATCAGGTCCCAGGCTTTTCTTTGCTGGGAGACTTTTTATTACCACTTTGATCCCATTATTTGTTATTGGTTTGTTCAGGTTTTGGGTTTCATCATGGTTCAATCTTGGTAGGTTAGATGTGTCTGGAAATTTATCCATTTTTGGTAGGTTTTCCTATTTATTTGCACACAGTTGCTGACCACTAGTGATCCTTTGAGGTTTTTTTTCTTTTCTTTTTTTATATGGAGTCTTGGTCTGTCGCCCAGGCTGGAGTGCAGTGGCGCGCTCTCAGCTCACTGCAAGCTCTGCCTCCCGGTTTCACGCCATTCTCCTCCCTCAGCCTCCCAAGTAGCTGGGACTACAGGCGTCCGCCACCACGCCCTGCTAATTTTTTGTATTTTTTCCGTAGAGACGGGGTTTTACCGTGTTAGCCAGGATAGTCTTATCTCCTGACCTCCTGATCCACCCGCCTTAGCCTCCCAAAGTGGTGGGATTACAGGCGTGAGCCACGCCCCCTTGGGACAGGGACACACACACACACACATAGACACACACACACACACACACACACACACACACACACACACACACACACACACACAGAGTTGGTAGTTGTGCCGCCCAGTCGCGAGTGTGAGGAAGGGACCAGATCGGTCGGGCAGAAAGGTGCTGGGTCAAGAGAGGAGGGGGCAGCCGGTAGCGCGGGCACGCCGGGTGCGCGCGGGGCGCGCCGGGTTGAGGGGTGAGGGGTGAGGGGTAAGAGGTGAGGGGCGACGAGGACCGGGGCGGGGTAGGGGCAGCCCTTTCCCAGGCGGTAGCGGGGGCAGTGGTGCTGTTGCCCTTTTAAACTGCGGCTTGACGGGAGCCGCGCCTCCTGTCGGTGGAGTCGGTTATAAAGGGAGCAGCCCCGCAGGCCGCCACATAGCTCCCGCCAAGTCCTCGGTGCCCCTTGCCATTTTCCAGCCGCGCTCCCACGAGGGTCACGGCGGCGGGGAGAGGTGGAGCCGCGAGAGCTCGGCCGGGGGCCCCGCCTGGTGGTCGCGGCCATGACAGCGGCTCGGGACTGGCTCCTTTTCCGCGCCCCTCCCGCCGGAGGTGAGGGGAAGATGTCCATGTCCGGGTTCAAGGGCAAACCGAAGTTACTGGCCTCTATCTTCCAGGAGAACCAGGAGCCACAGCCGCGGCTCACGCCCCACCGCAACATTAAGGTGAGTCGCCGGGTGGCGGCCTGGCGGGGCAGGGCGAGGGCGGAAAGCGGGTGCCCAGAGTCCCAGGAGAAAGGGGAAGCTGCCCCAGAGAGGCCGCGGTTCCCCGCCCCTTTCTCCCGCAACTGGCCCGCCCGGCAAGGCAGAGGCTTGGGTGGGAGAAGGCGGAGGGCGCGTCTCTCCAACTCCTAGCGCGGGGCTGGCTTGGGGGCTGCTGGCCCCTCTCGGCCCCTGTCGCTGCGCCTCGAGGTGGGAGCCCGCGGCTGCGGGAGCTCTCTTGGGACCCATGGTCGCCCTCAGTCAGCCCACCTGCTCTAGGGACCGCGACAGGGCGGGGCAGGGCGGCTCCCGCGTTGTTGGAGCCCAGGCGGGGAAGGGGAAAGGCCTTTAAGATTTTCGGTTTTTTGGCCGGGCGTAGTGGCTCACGCCTGTAATCCCAGCATTTTGGGAGGCCAACCGGGCTGATCACTTGAGGTCATGAGTTGGAGACCAGCCTGGCCAACATGGTGAAACCCGTCTCTACTAAAAAATAGAAAAATTAGCCGGTCGTGTTGGCAGGCGACTTAATCCCAGCTATTTGGGAGGCAGAGGCAGGAGAATCGTTTGAACCCGGGAGGCGGAGGTTACAGTGAGCTGAGATCGAGCCATTGCACTCAAACCTGGGGGAGAAGAGCGAGACTTCTCTCTCTCTCTCTCTCAAAAAAAAGTTTTCTTTCTTTTTTTCTTTTTGTTGAGACAGAGTCTCACTCACTCTGTCGCCCAGGCTGGAGTGCAGTGGCGCGATCTCGGCTTACTGCAGCCTACCTCTCTTGACAGTCCACTGGTTAAAGCGATTCTCCTGCGTCAGCCTCCCGAGTAGCTGAGATTACAGGCGCCCGCCACCACGCCTGGCTAACTTTTGTGTTTTTAGTAGAGACGGATTTTTTAGTAGAGACGCGGTTTCACCATGTTAGCCAGCATGGTCTTGATCTCCTGACCTCATGATCCACCCGCCTCAGCCTCCCAAAGTGCTGGGATTACAGGCGTCAGCCACCGCGCCCGCCCTCTGTTTTGTTTTATACATGTAATATATTCACAAGTATCTTTACGAAGTGATTTTGATACTCTTTTGTCTTCTCCCTAGAATCTCTTTGTTCTGTAATAATTTTTTCTTAGTTTATATTGATCTTATTTTCCTTTTTAAAGCCTTTCCTTACATATCTATTCTATGTTGCTTATCATTTGTAGTTTTTTTATTTTTTATTTATTTATTTATTTATTTATTTATTTATTTATTTTTTATTTTTTTTTTTTGAGAGGGAGTCTCGCTCTGTTACCCAGGCTGGAGTGCAGTGGTGCAATCTGGGCTCACTGCAAGCTCCGCCTCCCAGGTTCACGCCATTCTCCTGCCTCAGCCTCCTGAGTAGCTGGGACTACAGGTGCCAGCCACCACGCCCCAACAATTTTTTGTATTTTTTAGTAGAGACGGGGTTTCACCGTGTTAGCCAGGATGGTCTCGATCTCCTGACCTCATGATCTGGCCACCTTGGCCTCCCAAAGTGCTGGGATTACAGGCGTGAGCCACCGTGCCCAGCCCTGATTCTATATTATAGTGAGTTGTACAATTATTTCATTATATGTTACAATGTAATAATAATAGAAATAAAATGCACAATAAATGTAATGTCCTTGAATCATCCCAAAATCATCTCCCCCAACCTTGTCTGTGGAAAAATTGTCTTCTGCAAAACTGGCTCCTGATGCCAAAAAGTTTGGGGACTGCTGGCATAAGTGGTCTCATATAGTAGTTGTCCTTTTGTGCCTGGCTTATTTCACTTAGCATAATGTCTTTAACGTTCATCCATGTTGTAGCATGTGCCAGAATTTCATTTGTTTTTAAGGCTGAATAATATTCCCTTGTATGTATTTAATATGCCTTTTTATCTTTTCCTCTGTTGATGAATACTTGGGTTGCATCCACCTATTGGCTATTGTGAATAGTTTTGCATTGCCTGTCTTTCTCATGATCGCCATCCTATTTCGCATCTAGCAGGTGTGAAATTCCATTGATTGAGTGATTGATTGAGACAGGGTCTGACTCTGTCGCCCAGTCTGGAGTGCAGTGGCATGATCTTGGCTCACTGCAACCTCCATCTCCCAGGCTCAAGCAATTCTTCTGCCTCAGCCTTCCGAGTAGCTGGGATTATAGGCATGCACCACTACCAGCTGGCTAATTTTTGTATTTTTAGTAGAGACAGGGTTTCACCATGTTGGCCAGGCTGGTCTCGAACTCCTGACCTGAAATGATCCACCTGTCTCCGCCTCCCAAAGTATTTGGATTACATGTGTGAGCCACTGCGCCCAGCTAGTAGGTGTGAATTTCTATGTCTTAGTGGTTTTGATTTGCATTTACCTGATGGCAAATGATGTTGAGTATCTTTTCATGTGTTTATTGGCCATTTGTCTGTTTTTTTGGGGAAATACTTATTCCAAAATTTAACTTATTTTTAATTGGGTTATGTATCTCTTTATTATTTAGCTGTAAGAATTTTTTACATATTCTAGATAGGAGTTATAACAACTTTCTTCCTTTTTCTGGATTGTCTTTTTTCTTTCTTGATGGTGTCCTTTGAAGCAGAAAGATTTTAAATTTTGATATAGTCCAATTTATCTTTTTTCATTTGTGTTTTTTTGCTCCTTGTGCTTTTGGTGTAATATCTAAAAAAACGTTGCTACTCCAAGGTCACAAAGGTTTCTGCCTATGTTTTTTTCTATGAGTTTTATAGTTTATCAATATCTCTTATATTGAGCTCTTTTATCCATTTGAATTAATTTTTGCATGCGGCATGAAGTAGGGGGGTATAGCTTCATTGTTTTGCACCTAGACATCCAGTTATCTCAGAACTATCTGTTGAAAAGCTTATTCTTTCCCCATTGAATTGTCTTGGAACGCTTATTGAAGATCAATTGACTGTATATGTGAAAGTTTATTTCTGGATTCTATTCTTTTCTCTGTTCATCTGTCCTTATACCAGTAGCACACTCTTGATTACTGTAGCTGTTTAGTAAGCTTTGAAATCAGAAAGTATGAATCCTCCAGAAAGTTTTTTAAGGTGGGTTTGGCTGTTCCGGGTCACTTGCATTTCCATATGAATTTTAAGATCAGCTTGTCAGTTTCTGCAAAGGAGCCAGCTGGGATTTTAATCACAGTCGCATTGAATATGTAGATCAACTTAGAAAGTACTGCCATTTTAACAATATTAAGTTTTCCTCCATGAACACAGGATGTATTTGTACTAATTTAGGTCTTCCTTTAATTTCTTTCAATCGTAGTTGTGTTGAATGCAGACCTACTTTGAATTAATTCTAAGTAATTTTTATGCTACTTATTGGTTGACAAATATAATTGCTTTTAGTTTTTAACTGTAGTTTTGATGTAATGTGAACTGTATTTGGACCTTGTGAAGCTTATTTCTGCTTTGAAATTTAGTATAAATTGGTTATAATAAAATCTGACTGTGCTAATTTTTTGGTTATGTGAAATAGAAAATCAATGTAAATTTAAAAATTTATTCTGGGCCGGGCGCAGTGGCTCACACCTGTAATCCAAGCACTGTGGGAGGCTGAGGAGGGCAGATCACAAGGTCAGGAGATCAAGACCATCCTGGCTAACACAGTGAAAGCCCATCTGTACTAAAAATACAAAAAATTAGCCGGGTGTGGTGGTGGGCACCTGTAGTCCCAGCTACTTGAGAGGCTGAGGCAGGAGAATGGTGTGAACCTGGGAGGCGGAGGTTGCGGTGAGCTGAGATCGCACCACTGCACTCCAGCCTGGGCGACAGAGTTAGACTCCGTCTCAAAAAAAAAAAAAAAAAAAAAAAAATTCATTCTGAAATGCGATAGATGTTGAAGCTCTTCTGGCAGATGGTTATAAAGAGGAATATATAATCATTCTATTGAGAAAATATAATCAATAATGTGAATACCTAAGGTAGTTTATTTTACATATATATCTCGGTATTTATTTATTTTTGAGACAGAGCCTCACTCCTGTCACCCAGGGTGGAGTGGAGTGGCACGATCATGGCTCATTGCAGCCTCAACTTCTTGGGCTTAGGTGCTTATCTCATCTCATCGCAGCCACCTGAGTAGCTGCGACTACAGGTGTGCGCCACCATGCATGGCTAATTTTTTGTATTTTTAGTAGAGGTTTCCCCATGTTGTCCAGGCTGGTCTGAAACTCCTGGACTCAAGTGATCTGCCCGCCTCGGCCTCCCAAAGAGCTGGGATTACAGGTGTGAGCCACTGTGTTGGCCTTATGTTTTATAATTTTTAAATGATACTTTTTATTCTATTACAAAACATATATAATTGTAAAAAACTTGTAAAATATAAAAGAGGACAAAGACAGTAGAAAAATTATTTACAATGTAATTCCCAAGTAAACACTGATTACCTTTTTTTTTTTTTTTAGAGCCTGTTGCTCAGGCTGGAGTGCAGTGGCACCATCATAGTTCACTGTAACCTCATACATCTCATACATTTTGATATTACTACTTCTGGTTTTATACATAATGTGTTCACTTTGAAGCAAGAGAGTATAATTTTATAACGATTATTTTCATTTAATGATCGTGATCTCATTGCAATTATTGATCATTTAGTTTATTCCTGAACATTTTGTTTTATATATTTTTGCTATTGTGAGTGGGATATTTGTTATAACTTGGCATTTGTGCCTACACTCAATTTACCTATAGGAAACTAATTTTTGCATACAATTGTTTTAATTGGTGCAGTGGCACAATCTCAACTCACTGCAACCTCCGCCTCCCAGGTTCAGGTGATTCTCCTGCCTCAGCCTCCTGAGTAGCTGGGATTACAGGCACATGCCACCACACCCAGCTAATTTTTGTATTTTTAGTAGAGACAGTGTTTCACCATGTTGGTCAGGCTGGTCTTGAACTCCTGACCTCGTGATCCACCCGCCTTGGCCTCCCAAATTGCTGGGATTACAGGCTTGAGCCACCGTGCCCGGCCTCGGCCTCTTTGTGTGTTTTCGTATATCTTTCATCTGAGTTGCAAGGGGCACCTTGGGTTTCCAGGAATTTTCTTAGCTAACTCTGTTCCTTTATCTATGACCCTTCCTCACTAGTTTTGGATAATTTATTTTCCTTCTTCCTTACTTCACTGATTTACTTTTCTATTTTATTTAGTTTGCTAGTCATTGTTTCTTTTAAGGTTCTTAAGCATAAATCCTTTTTTTTTTCTGATGGGAAATACTGGGGCATAGCACTAGGAATACAAATTATGTTTAAATAGAGCACAAAGAACCATCTCAAAGGAATAACTGATGGTGAATGTCTGGTGATTGATTTTATTATGTATCATCTCTAATGAGGCTTAATAAATAATTGAGGTTTAACACTTAGGTAACCGGTCTGTATTTAAGTCTGAAAATTTTTGTATGTTACAGTTTCAACTTCACATTGAATATTCTGTAAAGCAGAAATAAATTGATCAGCATTCTATGAATGAAAAATAAAGCCATGGGTCGGGTGCAGTGGCTCACACCTATAATCCCAGCACTTTGGGAGGCCGAGGCAGGTGGATCACCTGAGGCCAGGAGTTCGAGACCAGCCTGGCCAACATGGTGAAACCTTGTCCTAGCTACTGGAGAGGCTGAGGCAGGAGAATGACTTTAACCCAGGAGACAGAGGTTGTGGTGAGCTGAGATCGCGCCACTGCACTCTAGCCTGGTGACAGAGCAAGACTCTGTCTCAAAAAAAAAAAAAAAAAAATTAGCTGGGCATGGTGGTGCACACCCGTAATTCCACTACTTGGGAGGCTGAGGCAGGAGAATCACTTGAACCCAGGAGGCAGAGGTTGCAGTGAGCCAGGGTTGCACCACTGCCCTCCAGCCTATGTGACAGACTGAGACTCCATCCCTAAAAAAAAAAAAAAAAACAAAAAAAAACCATGCTGGTAATCGAAAAAGCAGTTTGCCTCATCAGAGTTTAGAACGTTGAATTGTAAAGATCTTTTTTGTAGTCCTAGCCAGTTTTAATGGTAACATGAGCAATTCAGTTACTTTCTCAGAGTTTTATATTTTTATCTGTAAAATGGAAATTATGGTACCTACAGTTTAGGATTTTTGTGAAAATCAAGTGAGACTGCAAGTGTCTTGAATAGCAGTGGAAGTACATTGATATAGGTGATATTTTACAGTGGTGTCTTCCTCAGCATCATATTAGTTCAGTGTTTTAAAGCTCTATATTAGTCACAGAAACAAAGTCAAATTTTTGTTCTCATTTCAGATTACAAGTGGACACCTGAGTCAGCAGGACCTGGAATCCCAGATGAGAGAGCTTATCTACACGACTCAGATCTTGTTGTCACCCCCATTATTGACAATCCAAAGGTGCAGAAAGCACTCTGACAAGTGAGTTGTAGACTTTACTGAGATCTGAAATCTGCATAAGATTTTCATTCAGAATATTATTTACTGTCTAATCTTTCCTGTTTCTCTTGTCCGCTACTCTTTCATTTGTGCTGCATGTCTGCATTTCCAGCTCCCGCTCTGTCTGCAACCCTTTCCTCTGCCTTCACTTCCGCTTCACTGGAGTTCTAAGTTTTCCCCCCTCTGTTTTGAATGAGTCAGCTCTGCTTCTCACTACTGCTTTCTTCCACATGCCACGGAGGGGTTGCCAGCCTCTTGACCTCAGACCTTAGCTCTCAGTCCCATCGTTTCTCCATCTGCACTAATGTGAATCACTCTAAGTATTCTAGTCTCTGATGTGTTTTGAAGGCAGAAGCAGTCAGAGGGCACTGCTCACCAGGCTGGGCTGGGCAGGCAGATCACACGGAAGCCCTGCCCTGTCACAGGTTGTTAATACTGCAGGGGAGATGGTGGGGAGACACTATGGGAACTTGAGGAGTCATGGTTCACAATGTACTTCTAAACCACTGTGAGTTTTTTTGCTTCTTGTCTTTTGGAATATAATACTTTATTGCTGGGGGATAATGAGTATTTACTTTAAAAAACAGATGCATTTCTAAGTCCCTCTGTTTTGTCTTGACTTCCAGCTCCCCAACATACTCACATTCCACTACTTATTCTCTATTTTAACTTTACTGCTTCTTTTACTTTTTTTTAGTTTTACTTTTATTTTTTATTTTTTTGAGACAGAGTCTTGCTCTGTCACACAGGCTGGAGTGCAATGACGCGATTTTGGCTCACTGCAAGCTCCGCCTCCCAGGTTCATGTCATTCTCCTGCCTCAGCCTCCCAAGTAGCTGGGACTACAGGTGCCCGCCACCACGCCCTGCTAATTTTTTGTATTTTTAGTAGAGACAGGGTTTCACCATGTAAGCCAGGATGGTCTCGATCTCCTGACCTTGTGATCCACCCACCTCGGCCTCTCAAAGTGCTGGGATTACAGGCATGAGCCACCACACCTGGCCTTCTTTTTCTTTTTTAAATATCTTTTTCTGTATTAATTCATGACTGTTTTTTTCTTGTCTCATTGGGAACATTAGTGTGGTTTAGAACAATGTAAGGGTTTTTGGATTCATGTTTATTTTCTAGATAGACAGCATTTTATATAGATGATTTAGCTGTTTTTCATAATGGAGCTAATTCTTTTTGTGAGTTCATATGTCTGGCAGTGTAACTTTATTATGCTAAGTTTGATGTGCATTGGCGCATTTTCAAAATGGGCTTTCTAGAACAATTTGTGATATCTTTCCCAGGGGTGTCCAGTCTTTTGGCTTCCCTGGGCCACACTGGAAGAAGAATTGTCTTGGGCCACACATAAAATACACTAACAATAGCTGATGAACTAAAAAACCAATAAAAAAAATTGCAAAAAAATTCTTACAATGTTTTAAGAGAGTTTATGAATTTGTGTTGGGCCATATTCAAAGCCGTCTTGGGCCGCATGCAGCCCACGGGCTGCGGGTTGGACAAGCTTGCTTTACACAATATTCTGTGTTTCCTTTTTTCCTCTTATAACCATATTTGATAGTTTATGGGAAGCCTTCATCAGTGGAAATTTTTGTGTTTAACTTTTAATTCTAAACTACTTTTAGAGAAAAGATTAAAAAATAGTTGAGAACCCCTGTATAGCTTTTGCCCAGCTGCTCTTAATGTTCACATCTTATAGGTCTATAGTATAGTTAGCAAAACCTGGGAATTAACACTGGTATAGTGTTAGTCAGGCGGGATAATCCTTACCTGTGCCTCCTTTTGGAGGGCAGTAGAATGTGGTAGTTGGAGTTGCATGATACTTGATTCATATCTCTGTGTAATGATGGCATGCAATACCCTGACTGCTCCTTTCGAATTCTTCCTGAAAAGGGAAAAATAAAACATGAGAATAGTGCTGCTAACTACCAAATGCATTTGAATTTTACCGGTTGCCTCTAATGTCCTCTTTTTTTTTGTTCCAGGATCCCACATTACAGTTAGTTGTTATGCCTCCTTAGTCTCATATAGTCTGTCCTAGTTTTTCACGGTTTTGTCAGAATTTCTCAGACTTTGCTTGTCTTTCATGACCTTGACAGTTTGTCTTTTAGTTTGTTTTGTTTTGTTTTTTGTCACCCAGGCTGGAGTGTAGTGGCGCGATCTCAGCTCACTGCAACCTCTGCCGACCGGGTTCAAGCTATTCTCCTGCCTCAGCCTCATGAGTAGCTAGGATTACAGGCACCTGCCACTGCACCTGGCTAAGTTTTGTAGTTTTAGTAGAGATGGGGTTTTACCATGTTGGCCAGGCTGGTCTTGAACTCCTGACCTCATGATCCACCTGCCTAGGCCTCCCAAAGTGCTGGGATTACAGGCGTGAGCCACGGCACCTGGCCTTTGTATGTTTTTGTAATACATGTTATAAAACGTATGACTCAAGTCCTTGACACTTTGAAGAGTAACTGGTTGGGTGTTTTGAAGAATGTCCCTTAATTTAGGTTTGTCTAAGGGTTTCTCATGACTCGAATGAGATTATGAATTTGGATTATGAGATTAGAATGAGAATATGCATTTTAGTAAGAATACTACAGTAAATACAGTAATGCTGGTTACTTAATTAGTAAAGGTTTTAAAAATATTACATATAGAAGTTTTGCAGAAGTTAGGTATAGAAATGATGGTTGAATTTTTAATTAAAAGTCTCAAGATGCAGTATCTGGCTGTCCTAAGCTCATGGATCCAACTACATGGTTTCTTCACATTTCTCAAATAAATTATGCACTTTCCAATTCATGCTATTATGGCTTCCTTGAATGGTGTCTTCTCTGATATAACCATAAAGTTCTAGCCATCCTTCAAGACCTCAACCCACCTTCTACCTCTTCCGTAAACCCGGTGTCAACTATATCAAGTAAAGTGCTTGCTGTATTCTCTAAACTACTATTTACAAAAAAAATTCTTTCTGTCCAGGGTTTTGTCTGTAGTTATGTCCTGCCTCTTTTGAATTGTGAAATATTTTCTTGTTTATCAAATGTTTGTCTCATCTTCCCAACCAGAAAGTCAGCTCGCTGAAAATAGGATTGTGTCTTTTATATCTTTGTATCCCCCTTAGCACTTGACATAGAGCCTTACCTTGGCAGGTAAGCAATAGATATTTGTTGAAAGACTGAATTTCTAATTAGAGGTAAATTACCTAAAAAGTAAGCCAGGATGGGGTGAAATTTTTCTTTGAAGCTTTATTTTATTACAGATATCAATTGAAATGATTTTAAAAAATAAATTATTATCTATATTTTATGTTTTAATCTGAAAAGGCATCGTTCTTATTGTTTTTGGTAACAAATTTTACACATTCTTTTTTTGTCCTCATTGATTTATTATCTGATATAAGGGACATATAAGGAGACAGATATCCATCTTTAAAATTGCCTCAAAAGTTTTTTTTTTTTTAACCACAGATAATGAAACAACCACCATCGGTTAAATTTGATGCAAAAATATTGCATCTACCAGCATTTTCAGGTAGGATCATAAAGGAGTTATCGAACATGTAGACTGTCTGTATACAGATACGAATATGAAATTTATTCACAAATGGAATATTTGTATGTGAACAACTAAATTTATTTTGTCTTGACAATTGGTTATATTCTTGGGTCAGTGTTATGTGAATTGTAAATAATCTGTAATTCATTTGTGCCAGCTGTTGACATTTCTCAGCTGAGTCTGGGCTGCCCTGTCCTCTTGTGTGTGGGGAGGTTCCTGTAGATCTGGGCAAGTTTTCCTGTAGAGTGGGTGGGGGGCCTCCTCCCTTCCGTTCATAGAGCTGGTTGAATTTCCACCATTTATGGCAGGTGTAGGTGCACAGGGTTGGGGACAACAAGGAAGGATTGGGATTCTATTGGCGGGACCAGGACATTTGAGAACGGGACTAGGTGGTTCATGACTGTGGAGATGGTGTGGGAGTGGAGATACTTAAGGGATAATTATTACATTTCTGTTGAGCTAATGAAAATCTTATTTAGGGTGAAAGTCAGAAATTTTTACATACCTTAAACTTTTTTTTTTTTTTAACAAATTATATTTTAAGCTGTTAAACTCAATTTGGGGAAAATTATTCATTGTGGCTAGAGTAGAATCTATGATTTGAAGTAAATTTAAAATATATTTAGGTTTAAATAAACCAGCTAAGGGTTTATATCAGTCAACTTAATTAGTGATAAAAACAACCAAAAAAACCTGTGTAGAAGGACGTTTTTGAAAGACCAAAGTGAAGCAAAATATTAATAGTGCTTTCAGTGCCAAGTAGGTCTATTTATGCAAACCTAGAGAATTATTATCGGGAAATACTATTTCCTTTTTCTTCTTTGAGTTACTTAGGAAATTATATTTACAATTTCTTTGTCTAAAGATTGAGATCAGCAAAAACATGTTAGCAAAAAATTTTAGGGAGTATCACATTTCCTAGATTTTGCCCTTTTTTTATAGGGATTTGGAGGTAGGAATTTCAGGTGATTTTAGCTATCATGTTATCCTCGTTATTTTTTTACAGTAATTTCATTGGAACTTTTTAATAACTGTGTGGTTTGTGCTTTTCTCAATATCTGAGAGTTGATTTATTTATACAAAGGCTTTTTTGTCTTTTACTCCAGTTGTATTGAACTTTGCATTTTGTTATAATCTAGGTTGTGAGACAATTCTGCTTTAGACATCTGCTTGGTTTGAAAGCATAGTTTTCCATTGAAGTGTTTAAAAAGTTTCCATGGATAGATAAAGAGATGAGGAATATAGAAGGACAAATAGAAGTAGTGTCATCTTTGGAGTATTTTTGGTGTTGACAGAGTAATGTTTTCTTTGTCCTCATCTTAGCTGTCGTAACTCTGTGTTTATTTCTCATGTAATGTTTCCAGCAGTTGTTTTTCTCATCATCATACTTTTGTTATTTTCTTTCCTTGGCAATGGATAAGTTATAATTTCTGAAAGACCAAGATTGGAATGACTTTTTGTAACAAGTGTGCTCGCAGATCGACTCCAGTGAGAAGAGCTCGGGGACCTCCTGAGCCAAGTTTAATCTCCTTTGCTGTTTGTGCGTGGTGGCTGGTCACCAGGAGGTGGCCACCAGGCTCCTCCTTTCCCCGCTGGTAGGCCTCTGTGACATGACTTATGCATTTAAATTTATGTTTTTATAGAGGCTCAAACAAGTGCTAAAATAGCAATTTGATTTAACTACCATGAAAAAACTGATTTATCACGATTTTAGGTTTATGCAAATTATCCTCTGCTTAATCCTTACGTCTTAAAGTAGATAAGAGTAGACGGTGATTTTGAACTTTTTGTTGTTGTTGTTGTTTGTAATACTCAGGTTTCCATTTTATGTTAACTTGTAAGATTTTTAAAAAATATGTGAAATCAGGCCGGGCGTGATATCATAAGACAGACCTTTTACCTTCTCATCAGTGACTGGAATGAACGCCTGTAATCTCAGTACTTTGGGAGGCCGAGGCAGGTGGATCACCTGAGGTCAGCAGTTTGAAACCAGCCTGGCCAACATGGCGAAACCCCATCTCTACTAAAAATACAAAATTAGCAGGGCGTGGTGGTGCACTCCTGTAATCCTAGCTACTTGGGAGGCTGAGACAGGAGAATCACTTGAACCCAGGAGCCAGAAGTCGCAGTGAGCCGTGATCATGCCATTGCACCCCAGCCTGGGCAAAAAGAGCGAAACCCCATCTCAAAAAATAAAAACAAAAAACAAACAAAAAAAAATGTGATATCATAAGACAGACCTTTTCCCTTCTCATCAGTGACTGGAATTAACTGCCCATGTGGAACGGGTTGTGGGTGTTGGTTCCTTTACTGGGTCATCTGGTAAACTGCAAGGTTTCTGCTGTGACATTGAAGGCAGACATCAACCCTCTAAGACATTTTTTTCCTATCCTCTGGGAATATTACTTTTTGGACAATCTTGGTCCATTGGTAAGCTCATGGGAATTTGTCAGAGTTTTTTTGTTTCTTTTGGCTCATGTTTAGCATCGATTGGCAGAGTGTTTGGAGTCATCCTCAGAAAGGAATTACAGTGGTTCGGAGGTGTTTTCTGTAGTGGGCCCTCATTTGGGAATTGGCTTGAAAAAAATGTAAGTTCACTTGCTTCCAGGATGGTATTAAGATTGCTTTTTTTGATAGTTGGCGTGTGTCTATCAGGTAAGGGCTGTCATTTAGAGAATATAAAGTGGTAGGAGAAACTAAAAGTACTGTTCTTAGTTTTTATTTTAATCTTATTCGTATACAAGTGCCTTTGTAATTTAGCAAATATCATTTTTGGTGTACAGTATAAATTTCCTTTTTATAAAGATCTGAGTTTTTAACTTTGCTGTCACTTTCTGTGTTTCATGACTTAAATATTTTAATTTTTTCTTTTTTTACATTTACATTTTTTATTCTAGTTCCAATTGCTAATCCAGCATTTGTGGATAGCTGCAAACTGCGATATGTAAGTAACATTTACATTTTAAAAATTATTTCTCATGGTTTTATTAAGTAGTTACAGCATACATATTTATCAAAAGCAGAGTCCTAAGTAATTATCATAAATTTTCCTGATGTAATGATGAATTTACTCATAGGCAATTTTTATGGGCATTCCAATTATAAACTTTAGAATATTTAAAAATAGCCCTTCTCCTAATATAGATACGATTCTGGGATTATCTAAGCTACTCCTGGAAACTTTATTAACTGTTGTTGTTTTTTTATTTTCGTAGAGACAAGGTCTCTCACTATGTTGCCCAGGCTGGTTTCCAACTCCTGGGCTCAAGTGATTCTCCCATCTCTGACTCCCAAAGTGTTAGGATTACAGACGTGAGCCACTGCGCCAGGCTAACTGTTACTGTTTTGAGTATTGGTTATAAAATACTTCAACCCTGATCCCTGTGTATTAATTTAGTTATACTTCCTCAAAGTTTCCCTTGGGCACCCTTATCTGTCCCTATGTAGCACATAGCTTCCCTATGATGTTATTTATAATCTAATGAGATTAATTATGATTTATAAACTCCCGATGGAAGGAAGTGTCCTTACTTTTTATAGAAGCAACATACCAGGTGGAAAGCACCGTAGATCAAGTGTTAGAAGGCTCTGGGTTCCTGTTGCCTATAAGACTTGGCCAAATGATTATCTTTTTCTCAATCTCTGTTTCCTGGGGAGTGTGGGTGGGACAAGGAAATGGCATAGGTTTAGGATTCAGACAGACCTGGGTGTGGATCAAAGATCCGCTTTCTGGGCCAATTACTTTAATTGCTGAGCCGCAGTTTCCTCATCTGTAAAATTGGGATGGGATAACTACTTCATAGATTTTTGGTAATTATTCAACTTTGAATGTGGTAAATATGTGAGATACCTGGTATAGTGCCTGTTTCTTTCTTTTTTTTTTTTTTCTGAGTCGGCATCTCCCTCTGTCACCCAGGCTGGAGTGCAGTGGTGCGATCTCAGCTCACTGCAAGCTCCGCCTCCCGGGTTCACGCCGTTCTCCTGCCTCAGCCTCCTTAGTAGCTGGGACTACAGGCGCCCGCCACCACGCCCGCCCGGCTAATTTTTTTCACCGTGGTCTCGATCTCCTGACCTCGTGATCTGCCCACCTCAGCCTCCCAAAGTGCTGGGATTACAGGCATGAGCCACCGTGCCTGGCCGTATAGTGCCTGATTCTTAGTGGGTATTTCATTGACAGTGGGGTTGGGGTTGTAGAAGTTGTAGTTATTATCATGAAGCTTGCTTATCTCATGATTGTTAGGACAGGCACATGAAAAAACGGAGGTGAAAGGATTTTGTGAATTGTGGCAGTGGTATAATAATTATTCTTCTATGCTGGTGAAATATGGGTGAAACAATAGGAGTTTAGAAAATGTTTAATAATAAGGGTAATTCTTATTATACGTCTTCTAATGTTACTCTCGCAAAATAAAATCTGGTAATAGAAAGTAGGATTTTTAGGTAATGGTTGAGCATTTAATACTTTGAGAAGGCTTATGGTATGCTCATTAAAAATGAATCAATGAAATATGTATCTAAACACTTTTATTTAAAACGTGTTATATACCTGAATGGGGTGCTCCCTGCTGACATTTTCAGACAGACATTCCAAATCATTTCCGAGAACAGTCATCCCTCTGTATCAGCCAGGAGAATGGTTCTAGTATCCCCTTGGATACTAAAATTAACACATACTGTTTTTTCCCCCACTGTTAAAAATTGAGGTTTGATTGTAAAACAGTTTTAATTTGAATAAAATGATACTGAGGTAGACAAGTTCTCTGGTAGGAATCTTCTTTTATTCTCTTTCTCCATCCAAAGCCACTTCCAGCGAGGTTTTCTCTGACCTCAGGTTATATTACCTTGATAGCATATGATAAAGGGTCCTTAACTTAGTCTGGGAGATAATTATTATTGAAGTAGATACTTAGTTTTGTTTTGCTTATAAAAAATTAGAATCACATGATATAGTTTTTTATGTTTGTTTTCCCCCATAACATATATATTATGTATTTTAAATGTTATCAACATTTTAAAATAAAATACATAATACTTAAGGTAAACGTTTTATATGTTGTGAATATCTGATCATTTTGTTTACTATTTTTGGATAGTATTATAATGTTGTAAACAACATTTTGATGAACATTTTTGAGATTAAATCTTCGTGCCCGCTTTTTCTTTTTCCCTTTAGGAAAGATTCATAGAACTAGAACAAATGGGTAGAAGGCAGTAAATATCTTTGTGACTTCTGAAAAATTGCTGAAATACTCTTAAAAAAACATTGTATCAATAGATAATCCCAGTCAATGTGTTTAAAATGCCTTTTGTTAGAACTTCCAACGTTGAGTATTTATCAAATTGTATATCCTTTTATCCTTGCCAATCAACTTTATGAGGTATAATTCATATATAGTAATAGTGTAATACTGTAACTTTAAAATGTGTTACTTGTAAATTACACATAATTTAAAATGTTCCATTTTAGCTATTTTTATGTGTACAGTGACATTTAGTTCATTCCCATTGTTGTGTAACCATCACCACTATTCATTTCCAGAACTTTTTCGTCATCTTAAACAGAAGCTCTTTACCCGTTAAACATAACTTCCCCTTTCCTTTCCCTTCCCCAGTCCTGGTAACCTATACTCTACTTATTCTATCTTGGTAAATTTGCTTATGGTGAGTACCTCATATTGCTACTGAAACATCGAGGGGTTTGGTCTAGGTCCTGTTGCTCACAGCGCAGAAAGCCAATCACGGAGACGATGAGTGTTGCTAGGGAACAAGGCTTCAATTGGGTGCTGCAGCTAAGGAGATGGGAGATCAATCTCAAATTTGTCTCCTCGACTGACTAAAACCACAGGTTTATTTAGCAGGGAAGAAATGTAACCATGTATGGGAAAACAGGAGTTAGGGAAGGGTGAGGGAGAGGAGTTGGTCGACAGGAAGCAGGTAGTTGGTTAGGCAATTGTGATGGGTGAGGTGGTCTGGTGTCTTATGGTCCAGATGTGGTGATCTGGTAAGTTTCAGTTCCTTGATAACTATCTGGGAGGCCTGATGGTTGGTTTCCCAAGAAAGGAACTCAGATAAGACAAATGTAACTTTCTCAAGTTTTAAGACTGGGAGGGTCAATTTCTATCTTTATTTTAAAAGACTGTAAACATCAGTTCTATAGGACAATTGGGCTGGTTTCATTTGCAAGGTTTATCCATGTTGTAACTAACATGTGTCAGCATTTCATTCCTTTTTAAGGCTGAATAATATCCCTTTGTATGTAATATACCACAGTTTATCTTTTCATCTGTTGTTGGGCACTGGCTTGTTTATATCTTTTGGCTATTGTGAACAATGCTGCTATGAACATTAGTGTTTTCACACCTGATGGGTATGAAGTTAGTATCTCATGGGTTTGATTTGTATTTTGTGACTAGTGATGTTGAACATCTTTTTTTGTGATTGTTGGCTATTTGTATATCTTCCTTGGAGAAAGGTCTAGTCAAGTCATTTGCCAATTTTTTTTTCTTTTTTTGAGATTGAGTCTCGCTCTGTCGCCCACGCTGGAGTGCAGTGGCGTGATCTCGGCTCACTGCAACCTCTGCCTCCCAGGTTCAAGCGATCATTCCATCTCAGCCTCCCAAGTAGCTGGGATTACAGGCACCTGCCATCATGCCCAGCAATTTTTGTATTTTTGTAGAGACGAGGTTTCACCGTGTTGGCCAGATGGTCTTGAACTCCTGACCTCAGGTGATCCACCCGCTTTGGCCCCCCAAAGTGCTGGGATTATAGGTGTGAGCCACCGCACCCAGCTGGTAGATTTTTTGTTTTGTTTTGTTTTCAAGAAGGCCTCTCAGTGGCTTACCTCTGTGCCATGCTTTGGAGTTTGAGCTGTCTTCTCTTTACTAACTGTAGCTCTGTAGGACTTGGGAGTCAACCTTACCTTCTTTTTTCCTCCCTATTTTGTAGGTCTTGTTTGAGTTAGCTTTTCTTTTTATTCCAGGCCTGTAAATTTTACTAGATTGTCTCTAGGAATTTCATTTTACTAATTTGCTTCAGCCTGCCTGCCTGCCATCTCTTTTTACTAATTTGCTTCTGCCTGCCTGCCTGCTTCCTTCCTTCCTTCTTTCCTTCCTTCCTTCCTTAATTCCTTCCTTCCTTCCTTCCTTCTTCCCTTCCTCTCTCTCTCCCTCCCTCCCGTCCCTTCCTTCCCCCCTCCCGTCCCTTCCTTCCCTTCTTTTCTTTCCATTTATTTTGAGATAGAGTCTTGCTCTGTTGCCCAGGCTGGAGTGCAGTGGCGCAATCTTGGCTCACTGCAACCTCCGCCTCCCGGGTTCAAGCAGTTCTCCTGCCTTAGCCTCATAAGTAGCTGGGATTACAGTTGTACGCCACCATGCCCAGCTTATTTTTGTATTTTTAGTTTAGAGATGGGTTTTCACCATGTTGGCCAGGCTGGTCTCGAACTCCTGACCTCATGTGATCCTCCCGCCTTGGCTTCCCAAAGTGCTGGGATTACAGGTGTGAGCCACAATGCCCAGCCTCCTCACCCCTCCTTTAGCTATTATATTACTTCCTAGATTTCTTCCTCTCTATTTCACCCTTTTTCTGTTCCTGAAACCCCTACAGGATGGGTGTGGGAGTTTGTGTCTCATGACTCTTCTTTCAAATTTTCTTTTGCTTTCTCACTTTCTCTTGTTTATTGAGATATAATTCACATACCATAAAATTCACCATTTTAATGTGTACAGTTCAGTAGGTGTCAGTATATTGAAAACTGTTCAACCATTGCCACTATCTAATTTGAGAACAGTTTTCTCACCCAGTGAAACCCAGTACCCATTCTTCTCCAACCCCTGGCAACAACTAATCTACTTCTTGTCAGCTGATTTGCTATTCTTGATATTTCATATAAATGGAATCATACAGTGTGTGGCCTTTTGTGTCTAGCTTCTGTCATTTAGCATAATGTTTTCAAGGTTCCTCCGTATGGTGGAATGTGTGAGTACTTCATTCTTTTTCTAGCTGAATAATCTTTGTATGGCTATTCCACATTTTGCTTATGTGGTCTTGATGGACATTTGGGGTTGTTTCCACATTTGGCTATTATGAATAATGGTGCTCTGAACATTTGTCCACAGGGTTTTGTGTGAACATATACGTTTTTATTTCTCCTACAGTGGTGAGATTGCTGGATAAAATGGTAACTCTGTGTTGAACCTTTTGAAGAACTGCCAAAGTCTCTTTGTTAAACTTTTATTTTAGGTTCAGGGGTACACATGCAGGTTTGTTATATAGGTGAACTCATGTTATGGGGGTTTGTTGTATGAATTATTTGGTCACCCAGGCACTAAGCTTGGTAAGGACCAATTGTTATTTTTTCTGATCCTCTCCCTCCTCCCACCCTCCACCCTAAATAGGCCCCCGTGTCGATTGTTCCCTCTTTGTGTCCATGCAAACTTTCTTCTTTTATTGCTCTTCCTTGACTTTATCTTTGAGCTCTCAAACTTGATATTTATCCCCACTCATTTTATTATTTAGGATTTCCAGTTAATTTTTTAATTTCAACAATCATATTTGAAAGTTTTTGTTCATTTTCTTTTTCTCTGATTGGTCCTTTTTCCTAGCTGCCTATATTTGGTATATAATATACTTTTGAATTTGAGGATAAATATTAGGATTATAAAAATCCTCATCTTGGAGCAGAATTTAGAATTAAATATTGTTATTAATATTTAAGGCTAAACATTAGGATTATATAATATAAGCCTGGAACCTGGACTTTGAAAAAAAGGGAACAAAATTAGGATTATGAACATTGTATTCTTATCTCTTGAACTTGCAGGTCACTTCTTTTTCATCATGGTCCTGCTTTTTAATGCTGTTTATTTCTCAAATGCCTGGTGATCTCTGGTTCTTCATTTATATTATGAATAAATGATTAAATTGATTGGTATAGAAGTTGGCAATATGAGTTTCCTTTATTCTTGCCTAAGTCTCTTTCTCCAATAGCTTCTCCTTTAAAGAAAGGGCTGGTATGTGGGTAGGTGAGGCCTGTTGACTGGTTGACTTTAATTTGGGATTCCAGCTGGCTGAAGATCAGTAGGCAGGCTGGAGGCCTCTGCAATTGCCAGGGTGGGTTTTTCTTTGCAGTGGAGCTGGCTTTCCTCATTTATTCCCTTCCCCGCTTCGGTATCTGGAGGACCACAGTTGCTGCTTCCCACATCCATCCATCCAGTGAGCAAGGTGGATTGCTCACTGTAGGAATGATTTTCCACATTTACTCAGGAGGCCAGGGCTGCAGGGTTTATTCTGTGTACCAGGGAAGGGAGATGGAAAAGAGACAGGACCTGATTGGCTCTGCTGTTCCTTGTACAAGGACACAATTTTTCCTTGTGCAGTTGTTTAATCTGATTATTGTCCTGTGGCTCATTCTTTCTTTTTGTCTTAGTTTATTCCAAGTCCCTGAGGCTTCCTTGGGAACGTCTGTCTACCTGTGGTTCTTAGACAGGGGATTCCTTTGTTGATTCTCTGTCAGTCTTAATTCTATTTGTGCATGTCATCTGAGATTTTCTCAAACTTTCTAGTCCACTTTTAGCCCTCCTTTTTGTTTCCAATTATCATTTAATAAAAAGAGCTTGTATTTTAGAGACTCTGGAGGGTTCAGAAAAGTGAGTGTCAAGTGTTCAGTGTGCAATCATTAAAGACAGAGAATATCTCATAAGTTTGCATCTGTGTTACTTACACGATTGTGATTTAGGGATGCTTTATTTCTTTCCCTTTCCCTTTTATTTTTCCTTTTGTTTCTTTTATGTATTTATTATTATTATTATTTTTAGAGACTCACTCTAAAAAAAAATAGGGTCTCACTGTGTTCCCCAGACTGGAATGGGACTACAGGTACATGCCACCATGCCTGGCTAAATTAAATTTTTTTTTTTTTTTTTTTTTTTTTTAGAGACAGGGTCTCACTTTGTTGGCCAGGCTGGTCTTGAACTCCTGGCCTTAGTGATCCTTCCATCTTGTCCTCCTAAAGTGCTGGGGATTACAGGTGTGAACCACTGTACCTGGCCAAAGTTTTTATTTTTTAATATGATGTATAAGGTTTAGAAGTGCTTTATTTTATTTATTTATTTATTTTTGAGACGGAGTCTCACTCTGTTGCCCAGGCTGGAGTGCAGTGGCACGATCTCGGCTCACTGAAACCTCCACCTCCTGGGTTCAAGCGATTCTCCTGCCTCAGCCTCCCAAGTAGCTGGGATTACAGGCGCCCACCACCACGCCTGACTAATTTTTGTATTTTTTAGTAGAGATGGCATTTCACCATGTTGGCCAGGCTGGTTTTGAACTTCTGACCTCAAGTAATCAGCCTGCCCTGGACTCCCAAAGTGCTGGGATTACAGGCGTGAGCCACCATGCCCAGGAGAAGTGCTTTTAACTCCACACGTGTTTAGGTTTTTTGGTTTGTATTTGTTATTTTTACTTTTTTCCTTTTACTACATCAAAATGAGTCCTTTATAATTTCTGCCCTAGGGAATTCTAATAATTTTTCTTTGTGGTCCAATATAAAATCATTTTTAATGTATGCCATGAATGTAGTCAACTATTGATAATAATGTAGTACTAGTAGTTTGCTCAGTCAGCACAAATTGTCAGGACACAGTGGTAATTTCTGCATGTGGATTATCTCCTGATTCTTAGAACAACATGAAACCAGGCTCATGAAAGATGAGTAATTATCCCAGGGTACTGTCTCCCTCACCTCCAATGGTGGGCCAGAGCTAGGTCCAAGACTTTGAATTCTAGAGTGTTAGACACCATCCTATGCAGCCTCCCACTGAGTAAGGGTGGTCACTGTTTGTAGGGTGTAGAGTTTGATAGATACGTCTGTTACTTTGACTTCATTAGTTTTATTTAGAATGCTTGAATGTGTGAATGTATTGATTAATATATTCGTTATTGCCTTCTCTCTGTGCTTGGAAGAGAAGAAAATTGAAGTTTACCACTACCATGGGTTTACTTTGCGTGCTTTGTTATTTGGTGTATAAAGATTCACATCTTAGATCTTCTGTAGGTCATATGGTGTTTCGTTTAAAGGGAATCTTCTTCTGAAGAGTTTAGCCTTGAATTCTGCTGAGATTTACATTGGCAATCCTGTTTGCATTTTGTTTGCCTTGGACAGCCATACTTTTATGCACTCCTTTCCTACTAATGTGTTTATTTTGCTTTTGATGTTGATATATTTGTTCAACCAACATTTTTAGATGCCCGAGTGCGCTCCAAGCACTGTCTAGGTGTCACAGTGGCGATTGGGATACAGTCCTGCCTTCATGGATCTTCTGGGCTGGTCGAGGAGACAGACAATAAACCAGTCAATGAATGAATAAGTAACTGCAAAATTTTAGTTCTGCTCTAATGTGGTAGCCATTCACTTCATGGGGGTTATTTAAATTAGTTAAATTAATAGTAGCTTACTCATTCAGCATGTATTGTCGGACACAATGGTACTTTCTGCACATGGATTATCTCCTTTGATTCTTTTAACAACATGCGGTATGTATTGTTATCGGTCCTACTTACGAGGTAACCAGGACTAGGCACATGAAAGATGAGTAATTACCCCAGGGCACTGTCTCCCTCACCCTCAACTGTGGGGGTAATTTTTAAAATAAAAATTAAGGCCAAATACAGTGGCTCACGCCTATAATCCCAGCACTTTGGGAGGCTGAGGTGGGCAGATCAGTTGAGCTCAGGAGTTCAAGACCAGCCTGGACAACATGGTGAAACCCTGTTTTTACTAAAAATACAAAAATTAGCCAGGTGTGGTGACACACACCTACAGTCCCGGCTACTTGGGAGGCTGAATTGGGAGGATTACTTGAGCCCGGGAGGCATTGCAGTGAGCGGAGACTGCGCCACTGCTCTCTAGCTTGGATGACCCTGTCTTCCAAAAAAAAAAAAAAAAATTAATTTGAATAAAATTTGTTGTTCCTCACTTGCATGTGTCATATATTATGTGCTTGATAGTCATGTGTCTAGTGGATACTGGATTGAACAGTGCAGATGTGGGACATTTGTCAGTGCACGAAGGTTTGGTAGACAGTGGTGCCTTAGATGCCGTCATGGAGATGGGTTGGTTCTGAGGTACAGTGTCAAGTCACTGGGGGCACCTGGAGTGGTGACCTGAGAAAACCTGAATTTTGAGAAGGAACCTGTACTGTGAGGGTGTTGTCTATGGGGCATGTGGTACTTGTATTTAGGATTTTGGTAAAAAGTGACTATTCATAAGCTATTTAAAGTTTCTATTTTAAAAGTATAGGGTTTTTAGGTAGTGTGTTTTCTTTTGTTCTAATAGGAATTGTTTTGGTCATATTAGGGAAAATAATTGGCTTGTTGATACATTTTTATTTCCATTGATTAAATCTGGTAGCCATTATTTACTTTTATAGATTGAAAAATGGTTCAGTGTTTCAAAAGTATTTTGAGCTTGTCTTTGAAAAGAGATAGACAGGCAGGTGCAGTGGCTCAGACCTGTAATCGCAGCAGTTTGGGAGGCTGAGATGGGAGGATTGTTTGTCAGGAGCTCAAGGCCAGCCTGGGCATCATAGCGAGACCCCATCTCTACAAAAAGTAAAAAAATTAGCTGAGCGTGGTGGTGCACGCCTGTAGTCCCAGCTACTTGGGGGGTTGTGGTGGGAGGATGGCTTTTCCAATTATCCTACAGATATTTTTCAAAATGATTACTTTTAAACTATAATCTTTTTATTCAGAGGTAGGATGCTAGTTCTACAATTGCCTAGGTCTTCTTTAATTTGTATATGTTAAGAAATTTTAATGGGCAATTTAATAAGTGTTGAAATTTCTAAGAATTATTTCTGTATGTTAGAGTTGTGATAACGCAGACATTTTCCCTGAAGTACTTCTCTGAGTCTGATTTGTTTTCCTCCATGGGTGCCACATAGGTTTATTTTAAGAAGGTAAAAAATAAAAGCTGACTAAGGTACATATTGATTATTCCAGACAACATGCAGACATCACTCAATGAGTGCAGTTCTCATCAACTCACCATTTGTTTCAATTAGAAAAAATTCTCATCAAAACTAATTTTTCTGCATGAAATACCTTTTCAAATCACACTGAATGTGATTTATTAATTGTGATTTATCAAATTCAGTTTTCTGCTGGATACTAAAGGCACACCTCATTAAGACTAGTGATTATGGAAATAATACAATATTTTAGAAACTTTTGATTGTAAAAATTTCTTTTAAAATGAATACATACAGATATGTTATTGTTCAGATATTTAACACTTACGTAGAAACTCACTGATCTACTAACAAGTAGAAAAGAGACCTTTAGCCAAATGCCTCTGTACTCAGCAATAAAATGATTAATTACTGTGTTGCTCTTTTCTCTGGTTAAGGCTTTTAACAAATTTTGTTTTTCCTTTTACTATTACACCATAACTTGTTTAAATTTTGTTGCTGTTGCAGAATTACAGCAGACATTACAGTTCATGTCTCCCTGTGTATACGAGGGAGAGTTTCTCTGGGCTGTGTACATGGGGGAGTGTGGGCCTGACCTGTCACATTCAATTTTTATTTCACAGTCTTATATCTAATGCTCATCATTGCATAATGTAACTAGCTGGGGTTAGTTTCCTCAGTCCCTGACTCTTCTCTTCAGAGCCTGTTTTCTCTCCGTTTACAGATGGGCCAAGGTTGCTCGGGTGATTGGTTTACTGGCTTCGCACAAAACTGATCTCCAGGAAAATACACCTGTTGTTGAGGTAATGTCTTTTATGACTGAAATGTGATGAATGACAAGAAATACTGTTGTTGATTCTGTAATTTAGAACATGTGGCTTTCCTTGACCTTCACTTGACTTTTCTTTGTGGGATTGTGGAAATTGTTCAAAAACTTATCACCTCAACAGACCTTTAGGCTTAAACATAGCGGCTCATTTACAATGTAGTCCATCATTAAAATGGCACAGCAGAGTTAACAAGGCTCGTGAACCCTACTCATCATTATTTCATTTGTTTTTGAATAAGACTTGTTCATTTCCCGTTTTCTTGTAGTCTGTCCAACATTTTGTTACAGCTAATGTATTTCCTAATTAAATCATAGCTTATAATTCAAAATTCAAATTCTTCTGGCTTTTAGTGTTTTCGTATGAAAGATTACTTTCTACCTATTCTGTTAATGTATATTACACTTTATTGGTAATAGAGTGTTATACCTTGAACTGGGAGAGGCTCAAGAGTCAGTGTAGGTGAAAAGAACCAAGGCTTTTTAGGGGAAATAGCAAGAGGTCCTGAAGGAAGTTAAAAAGGGTAAGGGAGAGAGGATTTTGTAGAGCTGAAGCTGGTTGTGTGGTATTTGGGGCTTTAAGAGGAATTGGAAAACTTTCTATGTCTGTGTTGTCCACTATAGTAGCCAATTGGTATTTGGAGCCTCAAGAGGAATTGGAAACTTTTCTCTCTGTGCCATTCACTGCAGTAGCCAATTGCTGGGATAGTATACCAGCTGGCCTTACAGTGTCTGGGTGGAGATTAATATAATTTCACTGTATTTCCCTTGCTTACAATTACATCTCTATTTCCTGCAAACTGTTGGATCTCTGAGCTACTAGTAAAATGCCACTAAGTCTAATTTTTTCCTTTTTTGGGGGGCCTAAAATAAATGAATTGTGACCTGTGTGATTACTGATGGTACCCAACTTGGTTCTCAGAGATGTGTCGAGTAGATTTTTATCTAAAAGATTGAGCATATAGGGCAGTATTACCAGGAAGATGAGAAGGCTTAGGATCTTAAAAATGGGGGTTCCTTCTGATGGCTCAGAGCAAAAGGTCTCCAGTGAGATGGAGTAGCTGTAGAAGATGGGAGAGAACATAAAGTCCAAGACAAAGTCCCAAGATTTTAGAGGATATTCATGCATCGTCAGAGCAGGCATTTGTTGCTCAGAAGCTGTGAAGAAAGAGCCTCTGAATATGTAAAATATGACTGTTGAATTAAATGATTCAGTAGTTGCAGTAGATTATGGATACTTTAGGAAGCTGAGTTAGTGAATTTGAAGATCAGTTGGATGAATTCTCTTAGGATTCAGAAAGAAAGAGGATAAAGATTGTGAATTAAAAAGGCATGGATGATAGTTTCAGATGTGTTCCACTATCCAGTATAGTAGCCACCAGCCACTGTGGCTATTGAGTGCTTGAAGAACAGCTAGTCTGAATTGAGATGATCAACTTATAGAAAAGAATACTATGGGCACCCTGTAATTTCCAAACCCCTTGTTCTACTTGATCTTTTTCACAGCATATATCACCACCTGGCATTTTATGTATTTATTTCTCTTTCCATACTAGACTACAAGCTCCATTGGAACAGGGATTGTGAATTGTCTTGTTCAACACTCCACCCCCGTGCCTAGACAGTGTCTTGTGTATATCTAGATACTGACAAATATTTTGAAATAAGTGAATGAAAGTGTATCAGTATGCTTGGGACTCCCTGTAGCAGTGCCTGGAAGATGGTATGTTTTGCTGCTGCAGGAATTCTCAAGGGACTGGGCAGAGGGCATGTGAAGTAATCTGGGACCTGCTTGTCACCCTGGGTGATGTGCTGCCCTTGTTCTACTGGTACTTGCTGTTGCGGCTGCTGCACTCCCACTTGGAGAGTTTGGCCCAGCAGTTCCTGGACCATATTTGTTACTTGTGCTCACTCAGGTTGAGTTCTGTGGCCAGTTTGTATTCTCAAAGTATTTCTGCTACTCCAGTTATACTTTGTCAACGTTGTATTCCTGGTCCTGCCTCAACTGAGAGGAAAGGGTGGGTGTTAATTCCCGAGGTTCTTGTATCTTTGATTCCGGTACTGTTCTCTTCATGGGTGTTTGCTGATGCTTTATTAATTTGAAATGCAAGACCTTAGGGAAAATCATACTTATTTCATTTAAAAAATGGTGTGTACTGAACTATCTGGTGAACTGTTTTGAATTACACACACTGTATTGTGAACTACATTTGGTTGGATAGTAGGGAGCTTATATAATAACTTGAAATTGAGCCAGGTGCTCCTTTGTGATGCCATCTTAATTTTATTATTTCTCCACACCTTTTAGTTCTTTAGTTCGTTACTTTTAATGGCAAAATCTGTGAATTTCTTTTACATCAACCTATTTCCTGCTGTGAGCAATTGGCTGTGATAATTTAAGGAGCCACTAGAGGTCATTCAAGCACTAGAAAAAAAGTTGTGCAAGTTTTAAGAATTTGTTTCAACTTCTGGAAGCAGGATCTGTAGAGGCTGAGCAGGTACATGGTACCACGTTTCATCTTTTTCCTGGTTTTTTAGAAGTTTCTGCTACAGGATGTGTGGCTCCATTCCACTGGTGATTTTTACCATTTGAGAGGAATCAGATGAATGAAAACCATTATAGCCTCTCCAGAAAAATGCAGTCAGCACCTAGCACATGATTTCAGGGGATCTGAAAACTCTGCGGAGTCCACTGGTGAATCTTTGGTTCATAACTCCTGAGACCAGGTTTCTGTAAAACTCACAATTGGGTGCTTGTAGATAATTTTTCAGTAATCAGTAACAAAATTTCAAGTGTAAGATAAATCCTGAATTCTCTATTAGATTTACTATCAGTGAACAAGAAAAATTGTGGTTGAAGTTCCTGTAAGCATTTTATTTTTTATTTTACTTATTTATTCATTTATTTTTTGAGACAGAGTCTCGCTCTGTTGCCCAGGCTGTAGTGCAGTGGTGTGATCTCGGCTCACTGCAACCTCTGTTTCCCAGGTTCAAGAGATTCTCAGCCTCAGCCCCAGCCCCACAAGTAGCTGGGACTGCAGGTTCATGCCACCATGCCCCGCTAACTTTTGTATTTTTAGTAGAGACAGGGTTTCACTATATTGGCCAGGCTGGTCTTGAACTCCTGGCTTCAAGTGATCCACTTGCCTTGGCCTCCCAAAGTGCTGGGATTACAGGTGTGAGCCACTGCACCAGCCTGGTACTTTCTAATATTTTGGATGCTTTCTTACTTGCTAAGCACTTTCTCTTACCTGGAATGTTTTTTACATTACCCCCTCCCCCAGTGATCTAATTTCTACTTTCTCTTTAAAGCCCAGCTAACATTCCATTTTCTCCATCAGGCCTTCCCTAACAGTCCCAGAACTCCTACATTGCCTGGTGTGCTGACCTAAAGCCCTCATTAAGACCAGTAACAAATCAAGCCTATCTTATCAACTGACAACACATTCTGGAACCATGGCGTGTCCATGGATAAGACATGAAGTCCTTCTTTCAAGACTTGGTTTTCTGGTACTGGAAAATACCAATATGGATAAAAGACCTTCAAAGCTGCTACGATGGGTAAGGAACAATGCACACAGTATACCATTAAGGCAAAGAAGATAGTCTTAATCCTGTATGAAATGCCAATGAAGATGTAATTAATGAATAGACATTTCATTGAAATGAAATCAAAAGACATTTTCCTTCTCTGACATAACAGAGTAGAACTCTCTAGTAAGAACACAAAACTGACCAGCCTGACCAATGTGATAAAACCCCCTGTCTCTACTAAAAAGACAAAAATTAGCCATGCATGGTAGCAGATGCTTGTAATCCCAGCTACTCAAGAGGCTCAGGCATGAGAATCTCTTGAACCCAAAAGGTGGAGGCTGCAGTGAGTCGAGATCGCACAACTGCACTTCACCCTGGGCGACAAAGCAAGACTTTGTTTTTTAAAAAAAAGAAGAAGAAGAGAAAAAGAAAAAGAACACAAAACTCTGGTTACTGCTCTATGAGAATTAAGTGAATGTGAAGGAGAAGTTGGAATAATATTACAAGTTGGTGAAATATTGGAATTCTGGTCTGTTGGTGATTGGTCTTCATCTTTTCTATAAGAGATAGCTCATTACACAATGTATTCTCATTTGTCTGAACGGGATTATTTCCCTTAAGGCGATGGCCTCTTCTGCATCTTTATGTCTCTAATGTCTAGCATGGGAACTACTCAATATATATTTCAGGTTGTTGACAATGATTGCTGCTGTCTATTCCATCTAGGTAAGGGTTTTTGCATTCAAAAGGCCCTTTGCCTTAAGACCTAAAGAGGTTTTGGAACATCAGCAAGCATCCATCTCGAGGTAAATAACTGGAATCCCAATGGGCTGTGTGTGTGTGTCTGTGTGTGTGTGTGTGCGTGCTAACTGGAATCCCAGTGGGGTTTGTGTGTGTGTGTGTGTGTGTGTGTGCTAAATGGAATCCCAATGGGGTTTTGTGTGTGTGTGTGTGTGCGCTCATGCCTGCATACACATGCGTGCACTTCTGGTACATTTTGAACAGGCATCAGATTACGTTCCCACAGCCCCTCTTCATCAAAATGAAGACCTTGTACGTCTGAAATACAGTTTGTGAAAGTCAAATTGTTATCCCTGTGACATAGAACAGCCGTTAAAAATGTATTTCACTGGAATGTCATTCTAAATGAATATTTTTAAATAGATATCCAAAAATAAGAAAATACAGTGATTTTAGTGTAATAAAACTGATTTCACAATTGTTTCAAGAAACTCAGAAAATAAAACTTCAAACTGGAAAAATGTGGCCATAAGAATGCATGGAGCCGGACGCGGTGGCTCATGCCTGTAATCCCAGCACTTTGGGAGGCCGAGGCGGACAGATCACGAGGTCAGGAGATCAAGACCATCTTGGCTAACACGAGGAAACCGCGTCTCTACTAAAAAATACAAAAAATTAGCTGGGCGTGGTGGTGGGCGCCTGTAGTCCCAGCTACTCGGGAGGCTGAGGCAGGAGAATGGCGTGAACCTGGGAGGCGGAGCTTGCAGTGAGCCGAGATTGAGCCACCGCACTCCAGCCTGGGCAAAAGAGGAAGACTCCGTCTCAAAAAAAAACAAAAACAAAAACAAAAAAAGAATGCATGGAGTTAGTTCATTCTTCTCGCCCCCTGGAACTTCTGATCAAAAGTCAATACCTTTGTGACCTACAAGTCTCTTTATTTGCCCTCCATTATAGACTGAGCTGTTAATAACATTTAATGAGCTCACATGGATTCACTGGCTAATAAAGAAGAATAGAGTTGAGGACATTGCTGCCCTGTTTATGCCCAAAAATTACCCTAAACTGAAAGTTGCTTTGTGTTCCTTCACTCCCCTCTGCTGGTAAATTTTAATATAGTTCTTAATTTTTTTAAGTCAAATTGATAGAAATATCAATTGTGTTTTTAAAACTGTAAGAAAAAATAATGTTGAACATCACAAAAATGTACTCAATCTTTCCCAAAACCCATTTCTTTCCAGTTAGTTTTCATAACTGTAGGTTCTTAAAAAAAAAAAAATGAACACTTTGGCCGGGTGCGATGGCTCATGCCTGTAATCCCAGCACTTTGGGAGGCCGAGGCGGGTGGATCACGAGGTCAGGAGATCGAGACCATCCTGACTAACATGGTGAAACCCCGTCTCTACTAAGCCAAAATACAAAAAATTAGCCAGGCGTGGTGGCGGGCGCCTGTAGTCCCAGCTACTCGGGAGGTTGAGGCAGGAGAATGTTGTGAACCCGGGAGGCGGAGCTTGCAGTGAGCCAAGATCACGCCACTGCACTCCAGCGTGGGTGACAGAGCAAGACTCCGTCTCAAAAAAAAAAAAAAAAAAAAAAAAATGAACATGTCATCCATACTTCTAAGGTGTTGTAAAGATGTGTAAAGTTTTCACTTTTTGCATCATATTCACATGTGGCTATATGCCCTTTTCTCTTCAAAGTTTTCTTTATCTTGATTACTTATCAGAGGCTTGACTGTTTTATTATCTCAGTCTTTTGAAAGAATCCTCCTTCAGTTTTATTTTTTAAATCTAGTGGTTTTTCTTTTTCCTTTTTCCTTATGTCTTAATTATTTCCCCCTTTTTGTTTGTTTTGCTTTTCCCAGTTTAGTGGATCAATGTAATTTAAATTGCTTTTTAAACAAACATGTAAGGGTATACATTTTCGTTGGGTGCTGTTTGACTTTGTTGCACAAGTTTTAAAATCTATTTTTTAATAGTTTGTATTTTCTAAATTATTTTATTACAACTTTTGTTCACATTGCTCTTACTATTAATTTTTTATTTTTATTAATTAATTAATTAATTTATTTATTTATTGAGATGGAGTCTTGCTCTGTAGCCAGGCTGGAGTGCAGCGGCATGATCTTGGCTCACTGCAAGCTCCACCTCGGGGGTTCATGTCATTCTCCTGCCTCAGCCTCCCAAGTAGCTGAGACTACAGTTGCCTGCCACCACATCCGGCCTTTTTTGTATTTTTAGTAGAGATGGGATTTCACCGTGTTAGCCAGGATGGTCTCGATCTCCTGACCTCATGATCCACCCACCTTGGGCTCTCAAAGTCCTGGAATTACAGGCATGAGCCACTGCACCCGGCCCAAAAGCTTTGTGTTTTTACAGATATTAGACATGTTTCTTGTTTAAGAAAAAAAAATCTTAATGAAAACGTAGGAGAATAAAAGAAACATTTTTCCAAAAAAGAGAAATCATTGTGATTATTTTATCTTATTAGAATGTTGGATAATATAGTCTGCTTCATTAATCATCAAGCATGCTATGCATTTTCCATTTTTATAGGATCTGTATCTCAGTTAAGGTAATACTGGTAATTTTTGTACTGTAATCAAAGATGAAGAATATAGGCCAAAATCATAGACCTTGCATAGAAGCTGGATAATGAAGACAGCTATGGAGAAAAACATAGATACACACACACGGACACACATATATATAAAGTATACACACATATATTTTTTAAAGTTTTAAAGCTTTTAAAGCAAAAGCCGGCCCCTCTTGTCTTCCAGAGTGGGAGGCCTCTCCCCTCTCTTAGAGTGGGTGGGGAGAGCAGTTGCCATGGGCAGCTTTCCTTGTGAGCCACAGGTCCCTCTGGACACACTGCTTTCTGGCCACGCCCCCTTTCCTTTTCATCTTTCTCATTGACCAATGGGCTTGGAGCATTAAGGCCACGCCCCTATTCCGCATTCTACTGGGGCCCTGGTTACGCCTCCTCTGGCTCAGTCACACAGCTGCCTGGTAGGTGACTGGAGGCCTTGATCGGTTCTCATTGAGATTTTGCTGCTGTGACCCCAACCCTGCCTCCCTCCCCACCCTGTGATGGCAGAAGAAACTCAACACAACAAATTGGCTGCAGCCAAGAAAAAGGTAAAAACGCACTAGGTCATAGCCCCTCAACCCAGCCACAGATCCCCTCTGATGACAAGACCCCTGCCAGAGTCTATACGACTCCTGAGGCACACTGGACTGGTCCCCCCTACCCCGGTGCCTCTGGGCTACCCCCACCAAAGTTTTGTCAGTCAGCCCCACCCCTTCAGCAAGCAGCCCAGTCCTTGCCCTCGCCAATCACCCCAGGGTGACTTTGGGTGGGTGAGTCCTGGGGCTTCCCGCTCCATTACTGGGCCCTCATCTCCTGCCGCCCCAAGCTTGATCTCCCTGGGCTCTTTGGGCTCTCATCTCCAAGGAGCCAGGCCCCACCCTCGCCAGTCATCCCTGGGTGACTTTGGACTGGTGACTCCTGGGACTCCCTGCTGCAGACTGTGCCCTCCCCTCCTGCTGCCTCAAGGTCGACCTCCCTGGGTTCTTTGTGCTGGCGTCTCCAAGGAGCTGGGTCACAACCCTGTGCTTCCCTCCCCCATCGTGGAGCAGCGACTTGGACATGGTGCTGACATGGTCCCTCCCCCCGACCAGGAGGAGTGGAATGTTGTGATGTCACAGTCCACCTAGTAACTGCTGTTACTGCAAGACTGGCCTTTGATCTTACGACCCAGTCCCCTAAGCGTTCTCACCCCGTTTCTGGTTCCTCTGGTCACAGCACAAATTTCCAGCTGGAAGGGGAATGGAGACTATGGGACCTAGGAGCAAGAGGTTCCAGGCTGCCTCACTCCCTTACAGATGTTGACGGTGGGAAAAGCCTACACTTCCCCCATGAACTCAAAACGTTGACAGTATCTCTGGGTGGCAATGAGAGAATGGGTTTGGTTTGGTTTTCTCCCAGGCTTCTACTTTCCAGAGAGATTTTAACATTTTTTTCTGAGTTCTCCACCTCATATTCTAATTCTCCATGGTTCTGGGACCAGACTCTCCTTCAGTCAGTGGTCTCTGAAGTGACATTTGCTCATCTTCTGTGGAATAGATCTTGGGAAACTGAACTTGACACCTTGAATCTTCCTCATATTATCTCAACCTTGGGTACTTTGAGTGCCACAGGATAAATATGGGACATCTTTCTGAAGCATCAGTTTCCCTTGATTCTCTTGAGATCAAGAGAAAAAACATGAATGTACTTAGGGATGACAGTCACATAGGTTTCTAAGAGTATACCAGACCTCTCTCTGAAATGAGGCTTGGGTTGTCCTCTTTCTGATAAATTCTGATTTAAGAGAAAGGCTGCCTTCTGCCATGAGGACACATTGATATAAGAGTTTGAGAGGTACTGGTGCACTTCTTCACACTAACAGACGTGTGAGGATGTGTGACTCTAAACCACATGGCATACAGTTCCTGCCTACTTAATGTTTACTTTTCTACCTCTGCCTCTGGTTTTGGTCCCTGGCAGCTGCTGATTCTTGGCAAAACCTCAGAGCTTGGAGTCAGAAGACTGAGTTTCAAAGTTCCAGTATTGCCTTTTTCTTTTTTTTTTCTAGCCATGATATCAATCCTTCTCAGTCACTAAATGAGTGTGACAACACCTTGTACAGTTGTTGGTGTCATTAAATCAGATGGTGTGTAAGTGTATTTTGTAAAAACTGTAAAGGAGGATGTGGCTGTAGGGGCTGACGGTTCTCATGAGTATTACTGCTCTTCTTTCCAACAGTTAAAAGAATATTGGCAGAAAAACAGCCCTAGAGTTCCAGCAGGAGCGAACAGGAACAGGAAAACAAATGGCAGTATCCCTGAGAAAGCCACTTCTGGTGGTTGCCAGCCACCTAGGGATGTGAGTCTTGGCTGACCAGGCTTCTGGGGACAGGGGGCCCAAGGGGCAATAGAGGGTAATTCTTAAGATTGTGGATGGACTGCTGGGTACTGGTTAAGAATTCTGGCTTTAGCCGGGTGTGGTGGCCCACGCCTGTAATCCTAGCACTTTGGGAGGCCAAGGCAGGCGGATCATGAGGTCAGGAGATCGAGACCATCCTGGTTAACACGGTGAAACCCTGTCTCTACTAAAAATACAAAAACATTAGCCAAGCGTGGTGGCGTGTGCCTGTAGTCCCAGCTACTCAGAAGGCTGAGGCAAGAGAATGGTGTGAACCTGGGAGGTGGAGCTTGCAGTAGCCAAGATTATGCCACTGCACTCCAGCCTGGTGACAGAGCAAGACTCTGTCTCAAAGAAAAAAAAAAAAAAAGGAATTCTGGGTTTGAATCCTGCCTCTCCATCTGCTCTGCTAGGGATATGATTTAGGGCAAGTTGCTAGACCTCATCGGGCCTCTCTTTTCACATCTGTATAATAGAGGTGTTATTGTTTCACTTCCATTTGTGAAGTTTAAATGAGATTTGTTATTGTTGTTTTTATGTTAATCCCTAGTACATGGCCTGCTGTAAACACTCAGAACACCCAGGATATGGTTTGATTTTCCTCATCCCCAGTCTCAGGGGGAAACCAGGACAATGAGAACAGCCACTTGCCATCAGGAGTCACTGAAGGGGCCCCAGGATGGGATGGTGGGGAGATAAGAACCATGAGAGAAGTTGGCACAAAGGAGTTATGGGACAAAAGGTCCAAGATAGGCAGAAAAGAAAATGTTGCCAGTTGATGGGGAAGAAAGGAAGTCAGAGGGCTCAGACACTGTGGGGGACAGAACATCTCCATGTGCACTCTCATCTCTTGTAGTCAGCAACAGGTTTCCACAGGGAAGGCCCTACATCATCTGCTACCCTGAAAGATCTGGAGGTAAGAGGCTCTGGGCGGAGGTGCAGTGACCCTTCGGGTCAACCCTCCAACCTCCTCCTCCAGGTGGGACTGGGTGCCCCTCTGCCAGCTGAGACAGCCCACACACCCCAGCCCTAATGATTGTTCTCTCTACCTCTCCCCCCACTCCTGCTCCACCTCCTCCTCTCTGCATGCACCTCAGAGCCCGTGCCAAGAACGAGCAGTAGTCCTGGATTCAAGGTCCGTAGAAATCAGTCAACTGAAGAACACCATCAAATCTCTGGTAAGAGTCCACTGGGGTCCCCTGATTCCACGCTGCCAATCCTGGGCTCCAGTTTCCCCTTGGGGCCCTGAAGAAAGGGGCTGGGGGTCCCTGGTGCCTGGGACAAATAGGGAGCTTGGGTGCCCAGGCCTCACCTGGAGGGACCCCAGAGCATGCAGCATGGCTCTTCTTTTGCTGCCCTCTTTGCCGACTCTCTCCTCTCCAGACACCCCTGCTCGAGTCCTTGCTACACACGCCCTGGGGTTGTTGCCTCTTGGGGAAGTGCTAGCCTGACTGGTTGTCAAGGGCCCCGTATTTCTGCCATGACTCAGTCCCTAATTTGCTCTTTGATTCTGGACAAGCCACCTCTCCTTTTTGGGCTCGTGTTTCCAGAGGAGGTAGTGAGTATCAAAGGTCTCTGTTAGCTCTCGAGTCTGAGATTTAAAGGCCCCCTAGAACGGAAACCTCAGGGCTAAGGGCTCCTGTCTGTCCTTTTCCATCCTATATCTGCTGTAAAGAACCGTACCTGGCCCATACATGCTCAGTAAATGTTTATTGAATGAACCCACTTCTCTAAATCACAAGCTGCCAGAAGGAGGGGCCTTTCTGAAACTCCATCTCTAGAGGTTTATATTGCTGTCCTCTCAAGAGATTCCAGATTCAGACTTTGAGTTCTGTGGCTGTGGGCAAAAGCCAACAAAGACCCAAATCCTCTGTCCTTGGGAGCTTGAGGAGAGTTTACCGGTTCGTGTTCCCATTATGTCTGAGAACTTTGCCTTTAAAATCCATTCCTGGCCCCTGCCTACCGCTTCCTGGTCTGGGGAATAGAGTTGAGGGGGCCACCCTCCACCACCTTATTTGACTCTCCCCACAGAAACAACAGAAGAAACAAGTGGAACATCAGCTGGAAGAAGTAACGTGATTTCGTTTCCTCGCAACATGACTGCTGGGTTTGGGGGGCACTCAGACATACAGGCCCCAGTCTCGTCTCACCCACTCCCAGCCTGGGGATGAAGGCTCACCCTTCAGATTCCACCCCATCCCCACAGGGCCCCTGATAACCTGGTCCCATGGGTGGGCCTGTCCTGGGGCATTGGTGGCATTCTGGGGGCATGTCTCTTGCTGTGCCATCTCTGCCTCCCCCTGGTAAGAGCTCTGTCTTCCTCTTCCTACAGGAAAAGAAAGCAAACAACAAGAAACAGAAAGCCAAAAGGGTGCTAGAGGTGAGTGGAGGGTGTGCAGTTTCCTCCTGTCCTCCGGAGAAGGTTTCTTTCCTTCTCTTTCAGCACTTGCTTGGCTTTTCTCCCAAAGGTTCAAATCCAGACATTGAACATACAGAAAGAGGAACTAAATACGGACCTGTACCACATGAAACGTTCTCTCAGATACTTTGAAGGTGGGAATCTGGGCACCCTGTCATCCTTCAACCTGGCACTTTGACAGGTCTTCAGGGGGAGTCCTTTGGGCCCCATCTCAACTCTCTCATTACAGAAAAGTCCAAGGATCTGGCTGTCCGCCTGCAACATTCATTGCAGCGTAAAGGAGAGTTAGAGAGTGTTCTCTCTAATGTCATGGCCACACAGAAGAAGAAGGCAAACCAGGTGAGTCCAACCACCTGCCCCATCCCCTGGGAGCCTGGCTTTGCAGATGGAGGAGTGAGCCTAAAGGTCCCTTCTGCAGGATGGAGTGTCCTGCCCAGAAGGCAGCATGGCCATTTCTTGCTACTTTTTTGTATGGTTTTTAGTGGCAGCCTGGGGCTGAGTCAGCTGCTGTGGGTGAGTTGGGGGTCACTGTGTGGAGTGAGCACTGGACGCAGAGCTTGGAGGCCAAGTGCCTGCCCCGCCCTTACCTGTCTGTGGTCTTGGGCAAGTCCTAGTCCTAGGTGGGGTATTGGGTACTTGTACTGTGAAGGTACAGAAGAGTACCTTTAGTATGTTACCATTTCTGTAGAAAGAGGAAACGTGTGTGCGTGTGTGTGTGTGTGTGTGTGTGTGTGTGTGTGTGTGCATACTGTGATAATATACATAAAACATGTCTGCAAGGGTTCATAAAAAAGTCAGGAGAGAGCAACAAGATGGCCGGGAGATACTTCCCTTCTGTACCTTCTGAGTTTTGGACTATGCAAATGTATCATCCTTTCAAAAAGTGAACAAAAGATTAATTTTCCCCTTCCTATCTGTGCCCCCATCCCCAGCAAGAAAAACGGGCTTAGAGAATTGGATAGACCTGGGTGTTTATATCCCAGCTCTGCCTAAGTGAACTTAGGCAAGCACTTAACCTCAAATACTCCATGTTTTTTCATCTCCACAATAGAGGGAATCATAGTAACTGTCTCCTATGGTGGTTGCGAGGATTAAATGGGATTGTTAGCACGGTACCTGGTGAAGCATTCCACAAAGGTTCAAACAGTGGTAATAATAACAGTAATAACAATAGCAATATTATCTGATCTCTCTGGGCCTCTGTTAGCCAGCTATAAATTCAATCTCATTCCCTGTCCGTTCCAACTTTACTGAGTTCTTTTAAAAACCAGACCACGGGCTTGGAAATGCCTTGATCTTTACTGACCGAGTTGTATATTGGGCCTAGCCCTAGCCCTTTTAAGGGGCACTGTGTGGAAATGCCCAGGCTCTCCAGATTGAAACTTCTCACTCTTCACCATCCAGTTGTCCAGCCGCAGCAAAGCACGTACGGAGTGGAAGTTAGAGCAGTCCATGCGGGAGGAGACACTACTGAAAGTGCAGCTGACACAGGTGAGGTTTTCTGAGGGAGTTATGTGGAAGGAAGATGACCCCAGGTGGCCAGGAGCAGGTGAGGACCAGTGACAGCCCTTCCTAAGTTCTGTGCCCATTCTTGCAGTTGAAGGAGTCATTTCAACAAGTCCAATTAGAAAGAGATGAGTATTCTGAACATCTAAAAGGAGAGAGGGCCCGGTGGCAGCAGAGGATGAGAAAAATGTCGCAGGAGGTGAGATCTGACCCTTCAGCCCCCCCACATTAGATAGGTCACTGGATCTTTCTGGTCATCTGTAAAATGGGAATAGTAGAGCCAGAGGTGGTCATGGGTCTGGGCTTTGTGGAGGTGGGGGCAGAGAGGGAGAGGGCAGCCTGTCCAGCCACCAGCCCCTCTCTCCAAGGCCCTTTCCCCTTGTGCTTTGGGCAGATTTGCACATTAAAGAAAGAGAAGCAGCAAGATATGCGTCGGGTAGAGGAGCTGGAGAGGAGCTTGTCCAAACTCAAAAACCAGATGGGTAAGATGGGGCTGGCATGACCTAGGAGCAGGACTGGCATCAGAGGGCTGTGAGGGTGGCTTAGAGTGCCCCAGGGAGGTGGGTGGATGGAAGGGCTTTGAGGCAGAGGGAAAGAGATCTGTGCCAGGAGACGGCGAGTCTTGTCATCTCAATGAGTCTCAGTGTCTCAGTGTCCCCATCAGGAAAGAGGGCCCGTTGTCAGCCACCCGCAGTGCTCTTTCTCTGAAAGTGCTTTGGAAGACTGGCTACCATCTGGGTGCGAGGAATCATTAGCAGTGAGGCCAAGTTTGAGGAGCCTGAGAGGAGCTGTGCGCCAAGAGGAGGGTTTTTCTTTTCCGAGAATCCAGAGGCCCTTATTATCTGCTTCCTTTGTCAGCTGAACCCTTGCCCCCGGAGCCCCCAGCAGTGCCCTCTGAGGTGGAGCTGCAGCACCTGAGGAAGGAACTAGAGAGAGTGGCAGGAGAGCTCCAGGCCCAGGTCAAAAAGAATCAGCGCATAAGTCTCCTGAACCAGCGACAAGAAGAGAGGATTCAGGAGCAGGAAGAGAGGCTTCGGAAGCAGGAGGAGAGGATTCAGGAGCAGCACAAGAGCCTTCAGCAGCTGGCCAAGCCACAGAGCGTCTTCGAGGAGCCGGTGCGTTGCCCAAACTGGGGAGCTTGCCCTCCTCCCTAGCCCTCCGGGCCTTTGTTTCCCCACCTCTAAAATGGGGCAGTGTAGCCCTCACATGAAATGTTACTTCTAAAGGCACCTGTGAGCCAGGTGGCTGTGGGAGAGAGGGAGTGATTTTTCTAACCTGCCTCCAGCCTTCCCAGTGCCATGGGAGGCAGACACCAAGTTCTGGGGTCTCCAGCTGCAGTGGGTGGCTGCTGATTGCTTCTCTCTGTCCAGAACAATGAGAACAAGAACGCACTGCAGTTGGAGCAGCAAGTAAAGGAGCTACAGGAGAAGCTTGGCGAGGTGAAGGAGACGGAAACCTCCACCCCATCCAAGAAGGGCTGGGAGGCGGGCAGCAGACTCTGGGGAGGGGAGGTACGAGGCCAGAGGCAGCTTCCAGCCTGGGGGCTGGTGACCACAGCACCCCCCAGGGCAGTCCTGTTTCTTGCTTCCTGCCTCTGACTTTTAAAGGTGGGTAGCCCTGGGATCCTCTCAGGTCTGGACATCATCATCCTAGCTAGAGGCATGGAGCCCCCAATCACAGAGGAAGAGACAGTGGTATAACAGGCTCCTTATGCCAGGTGCAGTGGCTCATGCCTATAATCCCAGCACTTTGGGAGGCTGAGGCAGGAGAATCACTTGAGGTCGGGAGTTTGGGATCAGCCTGGCCAATGTGGTAAAACCTCATCTCTACTAAAATTACAAAAAAAAAAAAAAAAATTAGCAGGACATTGTGGCGCATGCCTGTAATTCCACCTACTCGGGAGGCTGAGGCACGAGAATTGCTTCAACCCAGGAGGTGGAGGTTGCAGTGAGCTGAGATTGCACCACTGCACTCCAGCCTGGGCCACAGAGTGACACTCTTGTCTGAAAACAAAACAAAAAGACTCCTTAGATTAAAACTGGATTCCAGCCTCGGTTCCACTGGTCACCATTCAAGTACTTTGCATCTCTAAGTCTCTGTTTCTTTAACTTCAAAGGGAAGTTAGCATTTTCCTTACAGAGGTGCTGAGGATTAAATGAGAAGAGGGTATGAGATTTGAGGCTGGGGAAGGAGGCATGGGGTTCTAGGAAAGGGAGGCAGTCACTTAGGCCTGGAGTAAGGGGACAGGGGCCTGGGCAGCTGACAGAGCCCCACAGTGCCCTCGCTACCCTATTAATGGGCCCAGAATCTGGAAACCAGCCACCACGTGCCCTCACACCCAGGGTCTTCCTGCAGGTGGAGCTGAAGAGCCAAGAGGCTCAGAGTCTGCAGCAGCAGCCAGACCATTACCTGGGTCACCTGCAGCAGTACGTGGCCACCTATCAGCAGCTGACCTGTGAGAAGGAGGCGCTGTACAGGCAGTGACTGCAACAGACCCAGCTAATGAACCAGCTGCAGCAGCAGGAAGCTTGGGGCAAAGCGGTGGCTGAGATGGCCTGCCAAAAGTTGCAGGAGACCCAGGGGAGGGAGCTGCCGAGGATGGGGCTGTGAGGGGGATGACCTGGCAAACTCCACCCCTTCTCACTCTGTCCTGGCCCCTCAGGAGCACCTGGAAGCTGCCAGCCAGCAGAACCAGCAGCTAACGGCCCAGCTGAGCCTCATGGCTCTCCCTGGGGAAGGTACGGGAGACTGCTCAGAGGAAGAGGAGAGAGCCCCAGGAGGAAGGGGGGACTGCTAGCAGCATAGGATTGAGGAGTTGGAAGAGACCTTTAGAACAGCTGGTCATTATGCCGACCGGGTGCCTGCACTAAGTTCGGCATCAGTGTGGTGACCTCCTGTGAGCGGGGGGTCACCAAGTTGCCTAAGGATGGCTGAACTGGCCAAGGTCAGAAAGGGAGCAGGTCAGAACTCCCACATCGACCAGTAGTGGGAGTGTGCCTGGGCGGAATAGCAAGATCTTGATTCTTAAAAGTAAAAATAAAGAACAACAGCTCATTCCTCTCTGGGGAGGGGCTGGCTCAGGGTTACACAGTGAGGGTGGAGGTAGAGGTGGGCCCACAGTACCTCCCTTGTTGGGTTGTCTGAAGACCCCTCTGGCCACCCCCCACAGGACACGGAGGAGAACATCTGGACAGTGAGGGGGAGGAGGCACCTCGGCCCATGCCGAGTGTCCCAGAGGACCCGGAGAGCAGGGAGGCCATGGTGAGCCTGACTCCCCCCTGCACCCATTTTGCCACCTTTCTCTGTGGTCCCTCCAAGACCCCTTTATGCTCTTCGTTTCCCTGCCTTCTGATTTCTCTGGACCCTCACCCCTTCCGAGAGCCAGTGGTCAGACACCATTTCACCTGTGGCCAACAGGTGCACTCTCTGAGGCCCCAAGGGAAGGGGCTGCGCTCCACCTCTCTGCCCCATTTCTTCTGTGTATGCCCCTAGAAGAATGCTCACATCTTGCCCTCAGGTGGCATTTTTCAAGTCCGCTGGAGCTAGTGCCCAGGAGAAGCAGGCACAGTTACAAGAGCAGGTGAAAGAGCAGAGGGTGTGCTGCCAGCGCCTGGCTCACCCGGTGGCCTCAGCCCAGAAGGAGCCAGAGGCAGCCAGAGGCCCTGGAGCCCCAGGGCCTGGGGGCGAGTCTGTGAGTGGGGAGACCCACTGGGCCCTGCAGGAAGTCACGGAGAAGCTGGCCCATGCCAGGACTCACCTCCGCCTTCTCCATGACTTGAAAATGCCACCTGAGGGCAGGTCGCTGCCGAGATGTGACTGCAATATTTTGGCTCCAGAGCAGCTTTATGGACCACCTGAAGGAGAAGGCAGACCTGAGTGAGCTGGTGAAAAAAGAACTCTGCTTCATCCACCACTGGCGAGACAGACGCCATCAGTGAGTGGGAGGCCAGGGCACGGCAGGGGGAGCTACAGGGCCGTCGGAGGGGCCCCAGCGTCTGAGCCCTGTCCTCCCGCAGGAAAACCCATCACCTTTTATCAGAACCAGGGGGCTGTGCCAAAGATGCGGCACTGGGAGGAGGACACCATCAGGCTGGAGCTCAGGGAGGAGATGAAGGTAGGGTGTGCAACATCTCTGTGGGGGTGGGGGTGGGGGTGGGTGTGAGGGTGGGCGCAAGCAGCGGCATGGCAGCTGAGCACCCCTCCCTCCAGGTGAAGCTGCTGGAGCTGCAGCAGATGGTATTGCGGCTTACAGCAACTACAACAATGGGCACAGAAAATTCCTGGCCGCTGCCCACAACCCTGCTGATGAGCCCGGTCCAGGAGCCCCAGCTCCCCAGGAGCTTGGGGCTGCAGACAAGCATGGTGGTGAGTAGAGCCCTCAGGTGGGGTGGGCAGGCAGGAAGAGGGGGCTCCCACTGTGCTCAGATCCCTGCCTCCCTCTCTCCAAAGATCTTCGTGAGGTGAGCCTCACCTCCTCTGCCCAAGGAGAGGCCAGGGAGGATCCTCTCCTTGACAAGCCTACTGCACAGCCGATCGTGCAGGACCACGAGGAGCACCCAGGCTTGGGCAGCAACTGCTGTGTGCCATTCTTGTGCTGGGCTTGGCTGCCAAGAAGAAGGAGATAAACATCACCATCCTCAAAGAGCTGCTCAAGAAATTTTTAAATAAGAAACCAAGTTATGGGGTTAATCTCCTACACAATTCATTTACTTCCTTTGAATGTTAGACTCACTCATGATTATTTGTGTTTCTAATTTATAGTTTAAGTTTATTTGTAAAAAGTTAAAAGAGAGTGGGTGTCTGTGGCTCTCACTGATGTTCACTCTGGCATCCTTTAGCATTTTTCTTTTTTAATTTCATAATTGTAGGTCATTAGCGTGCATATCGAGTTTGCCCTTACGTGGTGGGAGTTCAAACACACAAAGACCCACTCTTTGCCCAAAACTGTTCTCTTTGGTTTGGAATAGGCTGCCATGCTTTTTTAATGTTATTGCAGCATGTATATTCACTACAGCATTCAGACAAAATTTGCCTATGTTCTGCTGTTGTTTGATCTAATCTTAATCACAGTGAGCTCTTCCTTAGCTCAATATGTAGTTTGCCCCCAAGTGTGCACTGTTTATTACTTTGTAATACGCCACTATGAGTACTGACATTTAGAGTTGTTTAAAGGCCAAGAACTGGAAACAGCCTTTCCTCCATTTTCTGTGTATTGGTGATGGGAGTGATAACCTTTTGGGGGAGCTTTTTAAATCTCACAGAAGAGGAAAGTGGCCTCCTCTGGCAGGTATGTGCAGGATAGAGTGTGTTTCATCTGTTCCGGTGCCAGGAATTAGCGGTGTATTATGGTGGTTCCCTTAGGATTTGTATGTGCTCTGGGCTCATGAAGATATTGCATCATGAGCTGCAGCAGTTGTACTCTTTTTCGATGACCTAAAAAGGGCTTATTTCTGAGGAATGAAAGGTTCCCATCGTTGACTGTGGATGTGGAAAACCTTTCCTAGCTTAGAGCATTTGTATCTACAATACATTTTAAAGTCAGAGTTCATGTTACCTGTTTTAATCACATGACTACATGTCCCAGTACACAAAAGGGCACTGGTTGGCATTCTTCTTAATGTATTTAGTGAAGATCATAAGAAATCCTTTATGAGTTCAAACGTCCCTGGAACAGGCATACAGGCTCTAGTCAAGAATGAATTAGAGTGAAGGAAAGCTGTGTGACACCTGGCATTCCTCTCTGTTCACGGAGATTCTTTGAGGCTTGAAGATTGATTTTACCATCTAGACCTCTTTGGCTAATACCTATTCTTCAACCACCTTGGTTACTCTGACATAGGAATTTACTTCTTTTTCCTTGAATGGAAAACACTTTAAAAAATAATAGAAACATTATTATAAACTAATATATGTGAGATACTTAGTTGAAACAAAAAGGAGTTTTAGTAGATGGTATTGTACTCTCTTTGAAAATCAAGGAGAAGTTTATGAAACTTAAAATGTGTACAAACTGCAGTGCAATCTACTGTTCGTGAATGTCAATGTATTATCAGGAAACGTGTCTATACAATCACAGAGTTATATTTTCTCACAGACTTCTTTACAAAGTGAAATATGTTTTTGTACCTCTGGGTTTCTGTTCGGGACATATTTTGTGCGATATTTATGTGATTGTGCCTATGCATGATGAATGAATACATTTCAGTTATATATTGCCTAAATCGTAACTTGATGATGCTTGGGAAAGACTCAACAGTTAAAACTTCATGAAGTTCTAATGTCTGTGTTCCAAAACACATCACATTGTTAGGATGCAGGGAGATAGGTGTGTGTGCTCCCTGCGGTGGGGATTTCTAGTTACTAGATCATCTCCATTTTTAGCATTTGGCATCCTCATGATACTTCTATAAATATGACATTAACAGGAGAGCAACAATACGATTTTACCGATGGAATAACAGATTTGCTGGCATTCACTGAAAGAGTGCAAATATTCGGTCCTTGTGACTTCCACTGACTCTTCCAAATTTTATGAATGTATCAATGTATTAGATAAACCCAGTTTCAGAATGATAAAGAAAAAATCTTAGACCAAATAATGCGGCTAATTAACAGTGGTACGATTTGTAGCCCGTGGGTTTAAAATGCACTTAAAGTCCTGTTCTCGCCTTTTATTTTCTGAACTTGCCGCTTTTGCATTCTTTGAGTTCAGTTTAAAGACAGTTACTTTAAGAGCATTTTAAACCCTCGGGCTAGAAATCGGACCACTGTTAATCAGCCACATTATTTGGTCTAACGTTTTTTCTTTTATCATTCTGAAACTGGGTTTATCTAATACATTGATAAATTATTGCAAAGGTACTTTTATCGTTGAAATCACTTCACTTTTACCCTGATAAATATCAGTGACTAGGAATGACCTTCGGATAGCGTTTAGCATCTGTAACCAATCTGACAATAATGTGTTCATGAGGTGCCTATGGATTAAATCACACACTGGCATATTTAAGCTGAAGGTCAGTCTGGAAAATAAATTTACTATATTGACTGAAATACCACTCTTTGTGTAGGCATTTGTCATATACTTAAGAAAACGCTAAAAAGAATGGAAATTGTATGACAATAACTTAAGTCTTTCTCCAAAGTGCATGCAGTCTTTTGCGATACCTCATTCAGCCGAGTATTTGTGCTCTTCCTCATTCAGTATAAGGCAGCTTTCAGTTTGCTTAGAAGGCAACATTGGAATGTTAGAGTTCATCAGAAACATAGAATTTTAAACTGTGAGTTCCACTGAATACATTTTAATGTCTGTAGGAAGAATCAAAACACCTATTTAAAGATGGCAATATATAATAATCATTTTAAAAGTATTTGATTCAACCTGATAATTTTCCAGAAATGAAAAAAAAAATCAGCTCTAAAACCAAAGCGATTTTAGAAAATTTGAAAATGTAAATCAGCCCTATCCATAATATAGTTTCTCTAAAACTTTATCTTAGTCATTTTAAAATAATATAACTATTAAAAAATGTAACTGCTATCTTAATGTTCTGAAATAATTTAAAACATTTTAAAATATGAATACTGTAGTATAAAAGAAAGAAATGGTGGGAACGAAAAGCAGAGAAAGAAATGCCAATTCCAGTCCAAAGTTTTATTTGCCAAGTTTTCTTAGAATGAATTTTACCAGTTTATGAATTATTGTAAACAGAATGTGTCATGGAAATACTGAAAGATTTTTCCCTAGAGTGGCCTTATTGACTGCTGGTGTGATGCCACTGTAATGTAATAAATTATTAAATTGTTTCAATGTGTTGTTTTTGCCTTAAAATTTTATTTTGTGTTTCTTGAAAACTATAGTATTAAAGGTATTGATACTGTGCAAATGCTGGGCATGCTTGGCACGAGATAATGTGTTTCATTTTTACAAAGTTGTGATATAACTATGCAAGTGTTTCTTAAAAGAACACAAGATTTAAAAATTATGGGATTAAAAAAAGTTATGGGGTGAAAAAGTTATGGGATAAAAAATGTAAAAACGTTGTGGCAAAAAAACTTGTGGGAACAAAGTAGAAAACAGTATTATGAAAAGTTACCAAAAAAGTTATGAAAAAGAAGTTACGGGATTCTTTTTTAAAAAGTCATGGAATAAAAATAAAAATTAAAAGCAGGCCCCTGTCAGCAAAGCCTGGAGAAGTGGGGCCGGAGTCTCCACCGCCACCATGTCCCTACCACCCCTTCCCAGGCACCCCTTTACAATTAGGGTAGCAGGACAAGACCTCTGTCTAATGGGGAAAGACAAACAGACCCTTTGCCACCTTGACCAGGGCTGAGTCCCTAAATTTCTGGATGATGATGATTGTTATTTAAGAGCCAGAGGCTGGTGGAGTTGGTTTGTTTGGAGGAGGCCTGATGTCCCCCTTACTCTCACCATAGCAACTTTTCCCTCAGGGGGGCTCCCTTCTTATTCAGAGAGGTAGGACAGTGGGGCTAACTGTGGACCAGGCGAGGGCACGGGCTGCTGGGGTGGCCCCCGTTCCCCGGTGTACACATTGTGTCTGTGTAAGGTTTTGTATATTCCAGAGGGTAGGGCCACCCCTGTGTCATACCTAGCTGAGGTTGGAGCCGGCACATGGGGAGGAGGTTGTAATAATTATTTGTGGCTGGGAAACTTATTTATTGCTAGCATAGGACAGAGGAAGGAGGCGGGGATGGGGTCGTGGCTCCCTGGTGATGCGACTCCTGTTTATTTTGCTTTTTATTTTGGAATAAATGGATTTAGCCATACTGCTCGGCCTGGTGTGTTCCCGTTTCCCTCACTGGGTCCTGGAGTTTGTGCCACCAAACGAGGAGCCCCAGAGTGTCTTGAGTATGTCCAGCTAGGCTGTTAGGGACCTTCCAGGCGTGTTACCTGTATGCTGCCTAGTGGCGCCTGGGGGATTCCACGGGGACTGCCATGGTGCCTATGGGGCGCAGTCCAGCCCTGACAGCCAACAGGCTCAGAAGCCTGTTGTAGCGGTGGCCAGGAAGACAGGTACCAGCACCTAAGGGCACTGACTTCCACCCACCCCAGGCGTCTTCCCTTCCGTCACCTTGCCTCCCTCCCCTGTCTGCACCTGGTGGCCTGTTCTCTCTGTCCCTCCAGAGTGCCGGCTGCCCGGCAGGCTCCCTTCAGGCTGAGTTCGTGGCCCTGCCCCCTGGTGGCCAGAGCCGGCTTCACAGGACAAGAGCCAGCTAAGTTCCAGGGGCTTTCCAGGAAAAGTGTCCCTTGGAAAGGGTATGGCCTTTTCACCCCTCCAAACAGCACCCTAGAAATGGCTTGGCCTTTCCCCTCCCCTGAGCTCCACAGAGAACACAGCCAGCAGAGGACACACTTCCCCGTCATCCAGAAATGGGTTTGATTCTCAGCCAAGGGACAGCAGGACTGGTAGAGACTGTCAGGCCACTCAGCTGCCTGCACAGCACTCCCATGCTTGGTGGGGGGGCGGGAGGGATGGCGGGGGCTGACTCTCCATAGGCCAGGCGTGACAGGGAGACTCACCGGAGGTCTTGCACTTTGGAGGGGCAATGTCGGGACAGCTTTCTCTTGTTGGGCCACAAGACTCCAAGAGGACAGCACGGTGACTGATTCCCAGCACTAGAGGCGAGGCCGTTGGCCACATGTAGGTGTAGGGGTGTGTGTGTGTGTGTGTGTGTGTGTGTGTGTGTATGGGTATTTATAGATATTTATAGAACAATGCGAGGGCATACCACAGAGGGGGGCACAAGTTTCACAACAGTCACACCTGGACGTGTCAGCTCACCACTACAACAGACTAAGTCACAGATGAAGGGGGCTGGCTTTGGGGCTGGGGGAGCCACTGCCAAGTCACAGAACAGCCGCCCAGGCAGGCTTGGAAAGGGAGGCCTCCGAGAAGAGAAGGGATCTGTTTAGAGGTCGAAGGGGGGCGTGGGGCTCTCAGGATGGGATGGACTTGCGTGACCTGATCGGCTGGCAGTTGGAGAGAAAGCAGAGAGAAAAGAGGAGAGAGAAAAGGGAGGAGAGAGCTGGTGAGGCCAGTGCAGAGCACAGGTGTGCCACAGCAGCTGTGGGAGGGCCAGGGAGGGGAGGGCGCAGGTGCGGGTGTGGCAAGGTTCCTGGAAAAGAGGGGCTGGAAGGGAAAGGGGAGGAAGATGGAGGGAGGAGCCGGAGCTTCACAGGTAGTGCCTGGGGACTGTGGCGGCCCTCCCCACCCCACACATGCTGGCCTCTTCCATTGCACCCAGGCAGTGTACCCACAGGTCAGACCAACGCTCGGCCCCTTTGGGCTTCCCTCTTCTCTGGTCACCAACCAACTTGTCTTCCAAGTCGTCTTCCAACCTGTCTTCCAACCAACTGGTCTAGGGCCACCTCTCACCTTGGGGAACCCAACATAACAGCCACCAGGCCTGACAGAAGGAAAATTGCTCGAACAAGGATGATGAAGCTAAATGGGATGGATGGTTGGAGTGATCGCCGGAGCCCCCTCTGGGTGGTCAGGAAGCTCAGGACCCTCTGAAGGGACCCTGGGGGAGGCAGGGTGGGCAGGCAGCCAGATGCCACTGGCTATAAACTTATAAGTCTAAGAGGGGAGCCTCACCTTGTTGGAGATTGCAGGTCCCATAGGTGAGGCTGGGTCCTTCCTCCCAGGGAAAGGAGACGGAGACCATGGCAAGGGAGGTGGGTGGGCTTGCTGGGCAGAGCTCAGCTGGGCCAGCAGGCACTGGGCTCCCCTCGGCTGAATAGGAGGGCCAATCTCTAGGAGCAACAAGCCAAGGTGCGTGAGCCCGCTGGCTGGTGGTAGTGCTTCAGCGGGGCCCAGGGACCCTGCCTTCAGTCACATGCTAGCAGCTGTGATGGTACCTGGGAGGGAGGGAAGGGGGCTGTGTGCCCCTACCTGACCTGTGAGGTGTGTTTTGGGTTGACCATGTGTATGGGACTCTCGAGGTTTTATCCTAGATCACCACTGTTTTGCCAACAGATAGAGGAGGTGGGACCCTATCACCCCTGCTCTGCAGTGGATTTGGCCCTCAGCACTCCAAGGCATCCAGGCTGGGAGCTGGATGCCCCACCCTGGCAGCATGGCTCAGACAGCACAAAAGGCATGGTGTGCCCAGGATGACATTCCTGGGCCTCTGGCCACCTCAGAGTACAGCCCCACACACAACCCCCTCCAAGCTCTCAGCCCTTACACCATAAACCACGAGCTCCCTGATGGCTCCAGAGACCACCCACATCTGCCAGCTTGGGCACGGAGCCTGTTCCAAGAGCCCCCAGGCTCAGCCATGGGGGCTGGGGAGACTTGGGGCCATAGGGGCCAGCCCTGGTACCTGCGTCTGGCAAGGACGCTCTGCACCTGCAGCCAGGAGCTGTCCACGGGCCCCCATGTGCGTGCTGATGGTGGTTGTGTTGATGTCACCGATGATGCTGAGCACCTCCTTCAGCACGTGGTACATGCGCAGCATCTCATCTCGCCACTGTGCCTGCTCTGCCAACTCCTCCATCAGCGTGTTCTGGTTCCCATGCAAGTACAGGTTGGACAGCAACTCTGATAATATGAGCTCCTTGGTCTGAGAGGGGGCAAAGAGGGAAGGAGGTTGGGACCTGATGCATGTGCTGGCCTGATGCCTGTGCTGGGACAGTGTGCTGGACTTGGAGCCCTGAGTATGGCTTTGCACACGCGGCTTCTACACCGCTTAGACTCAAAGATCTGCCACCCCACCGCCCTTTTCTCACTCAGATAGGGACACTGAGGTCCAGAGGAAAAGTCACCTGTCCAAGGTCACACATCTGGGAGGGGACCCAGGACCTATCATGCCACCAGGACACCTGTCTACTCAGTTTCTTAAAAATGTTTTTTGGAGATAGGATCTCGCTCTGTTGCTGGGCTGGAGTACAGTGAGCAAGATCACCACTCACTGTAGCCTGAACCTCTTGGGCTCAAAGTGATCCTCCAATGTCAGCCTGTCGAATAGCTAAGACTATAGGCATGTGCCATCACTAAGCCTAGCTATTTTTAAAATTTTTGTGTAGAGACCAGGTCTCACTATGTTGCCCAAGCTGGTCTCGAACTCCTGGGCTCAAGCTATCCTCCTACCTTGGCCTCCCAAAGTGCTGGGATTACAGGCATGGACCACTGTCCCTAGTCCCACATTATAGTTCTATGAGACAGCTCTGGTCTGGACTGTGCCTCCCTCCCTGAACCTGGTCCCATAGGGCTGGTCGGCATCTCCCCCAGGCCAACATGGCCACCTGCATCCCCAGTGCCACAGGAGCCCCCTGCCCCTATGAGGTGGTGCATGCACGTTGTTGATCATGACGTGCATGACGGTCTTGGGCATGAAACCAACTATGAGGTCCCACACAGTCTTGTTGACAATGGCCTTGTAGGAGTCCACAAGGTTCTGGGTGGTTTCCATTTGCCGCTTCAGCTGTGGGTCCATGGAGTGGACTTAAGATTGAGTCTAGACCTAGACTGCTGCCGGGCTTTGCAAAACCCAACTGGAGTTGGGTCCTGGGCTGCTCTCTGTGGTTCTGAAGCACCATCTCCCACCAGTGTGGCTGGTTCCCCTTAATCTGCATCTCTGGTGTCTCCTATACAGCCTCTGCCAGAAATTCAAAAGCAGAGAGGGCTTTTATTTTCTATCTTCCAAAATAAATTTCAAAGTATTATTGGCAAACTTGAATAGTGACTTCTGTTTCATAATTTTTCATCGCCTTTTGGTTTCATCTTTAGAAAGTTTTTTAAGTTATGAGAATTTTTCTTTCCCTTAGAAGTTGATGCACATAAATCCCCTTGTTTGCCACATTAATGGCAGACCTTACTTTCCCCTCCCCGATTCCTGCAGGGGATCTCCAAAAATCTAAGCGTTAGGAAAGAGCCCAGCCAATCGCATCCCAGTGGTATCCCCACCCTTCTTCACCTATCCCAGACTGTAGCCTTGCCCCACCCTCTCAGCCACCAGGGACACTCACAGGGAATCTTGTTAATCTCATTGAAGAACTTCTCCTTCAGTTTGGCAAACATGTCCTCCTGGCTCTCCCCAGCACTCCCACTCTCGGTGGAGTTGTCCACGGGTCCAATGGGCATCGTGACGGTGGTGGTGGCAGGAGCCACAATAGGCTCTTGGTTCCTCTTGAAAATGTTCCTCATGGTGGCAGAGGGGACAGATGGGGATGAGAGGGGAAGAGGGCAGGGTGAGCATCCCAGAGGTTGTCTTCCCCTCAGAAAGCCATGCCCAAAGGACCAGGAGAAGCTCTTTATCGATCAAAGATATTTTGCATAATATTAACAACTGTAGTAAACCAATAATAATAGACATCATCCAATTAGTACACAGTCAGCCTGGGTAGCATAGCAAGACCCTATCTTTAGAAATTTTTTTTTTTTTTAATTAGGCATGGTGGAGGCTGAAGTGACAGAGGATCACTTGAGTCCAGGAGTTTGAGGTTACATGAACTATGGGTGACTAAGTAAGGTTCTATCTCTTAAAAAAAATAGTAGTACATATATGTGCCAAGCACTATGCAAAGCACTTTCCATGCATTATTCATCTAATCCAAAAAATAACCTAATGGTTTTTATTGTTTCCATTTAACAGATGGGGAAACAGGTTCAGAGAGGTTAGAAAGTTTTTCCAAGGTCACTTAGCTGTAAGTTCTGAAACTGAGGTTTGAACTGGTCTACCCAACTCCAGAGCTTGTATAGCTAATCACTCTCCTATATCTCATTTAAATCTAACCTCACCACTCTAGGAAGGAGACAAGGTTTTACACTGAGGGCTCCTCTTTCAACCTCTCTCCTTGACTTCCAAGGATTTCTAGATATTACTCTGCCTAGAATCTCTGCCCAGCTCCATGACACTTGAACTCTCCACATCCCTGACTCCAATTCCTCCTCCTGCCCTCCAAGACTCCTCAGCCCTCTGTAGTTTCTTCATGGGCTCCCTCAGTGCCCACTCAGGGTTTGTTTTGACCTCTCCTGTAGGAAGACGGCACCCACATCTCCATCTCTAGCCCTTCCTCCCGGGTCCACTCTGTAGCCCCTACTCCAAGTTCATCTCTAGCCCTGCCCCCACATGCAGCTGCACATTAGCCTTCCTGCATCAAAGATGTGATGTTTATTAATAACATAACCCAGACTTACTGTAGAAAATTTGGGGAGAGAGAGAAATCCCCCCATAATTCTACCCTCCAAAGTCAACTAGCATTTGGGGCATTCTATGCTGGTATTTTTTCTGAGTATGTTTTACATGTTGAGGCCATGCTATGCATAGTTTTTTTGAAGATTTTTTACATAAAATTTCATCATAAGCCTTTTCCTTTATTGTTTTGTATTATTAAATAGCTACAGAATATCGTACTACATGGTAACACCATAATTTGTTTAGCCATTCCACTATTAGACATTTAGGCAGTTTTCAACTTTTTGCTAGTAAAACACTGAGCATATATGTTGGTCTTCATTTAAGGCAATGTTCTTACGAGCTTCCAAACTCTGCCCCCCCATAATTCTGTCCTCTCCACCGAGCTCTTTTTGCTCCTCGGGGCTATGCACTCATTTCTCAACTGAAAGTCCTATGAGGGAAGATCCTGTGTTGGCAACAGCACCCCTCCTGCCAAGCACACAGTGGGCACTCAGGGTATTTGTTGATTGAGGTCCTCTGAGGCAACATAGCAGCATACACCCACAGGTATTCCAGGATGCAGGAATAAACAGCACAACTCCCTGAAGCATCCGTTTTACTGAATGGCAATTTACAGTATTTTTAAATTAAAACAAGCTGGAAATATAGAGTAGGATGCATACAGCACAAGAATTTAAAGAAAAAATGTGAGACTTTTCTTACTGCATGTTAGGGATGTGTTAACTCTCCTCTGGACTCAGGGTTCTTCTGAAGGAACATTTTAGAAGCTCTTAGGTTCTGTCCCTTCCTTTCAAAACCTGCTGAGATCCCCTCCCCAGCCCTGGAGACTGCTCCAGCCTTAAGTACTTTTGGTGACCTGCACATTGATGCAATGTAGGTTCATTCACCAAGCATTTATTAAACTCTTACTACCTGCCATGTTGAAATAGCCTTGACCCCAAAACTGGTCTTGAAGTGAAAAACCAAGGTCCACTGGACTTCACCTCTGGGGACAAAGAGATGGGTGCAGTTTGGCGGGAACTGCAAGTAGCCACACAAGGGGATAAATATGTGTCCAGGGCCTTCCGCCATGTCCATCTCCCCTCACTTCTACAAAACTGTTAAGGGCTCTGTGACCTTTTTTTCAAAAAACAGCTTTATTGAGATGTAATTCATATATAAGTCACCCATTAAAGTATACAGTTCAGTGCATTTTATTGTATTCACAGAATTGTGGAACAATTTGCATAACCTAAGTAGAACATTTTTGCCACCTCAAAAAGAAACCCAGTCCCATTAGCAGTCACTTTTCGTTCCCATCCTCTTCCCAGCTCCAGCAACCACTAATCTACTTTCTGACTCTATAGATTTGTCTATCCTAAACATTTCCTATCAATGGAATTATAAAATATGTGGTCTTTGTGACTGGCTTCTTTCATTTAGTATGATGTTTTCAAGGTTCATCCATGTTGTAGCATGTATCAGTATCTCATTCCCTTTTTATTGCCACATAATATTCCATGGTGTAGGTAGAACACTTTTTTTTTTTTTTGAGACAGGGTCTCACTCTGTCGCACAGCTGGAGTGCAGTGGTGCAACCATGGCTTACTACAGCCTCCACCTCCAGGGCTCAAGTGATCATCCCACCGCAGCTTCCTGAGTAGCTGGGACTACAGGTGCATGCCATCACACCAGGCTAATTTTTTAATTTTTTGTAGATATGGGGTCTCCCTATATTGCCCAGGCTGGTCTCAAGCTCCTGGCCTCAAGCAATCCTCCCACTTCAGCCTCCGAAATTTTGGCATTACAGGCATGAGCCACCGCACCTTGCCTAGAACACATTTTATATTTATCCGTTCATCAATTTATAAACATTTGGGTTATTTCCACTTTGGGCTATTTTATAACTAAATATGGCTAATAATATCCCACTTGTGGGGTATTATGAATAATGCTGCTGTGAACATCCATGTATGTTTTTGCATGGACATACGTTTTCATTTCTCTTGGGTATATACGTAGGTATGGAATTGCTGGGTCATAACTATGTTTGACATTTTAAGGTGCCAGCACCAATTTATGTTCCCACCAGCCATGTATGAGGGTTCCAAGTTTTCCACATCCCAGACAACACTTCTTTTTTTTTTTAATTATACTTTAAGTTTTAGGGTACATGTGCACAACGTGCAGGTTAGTTACATATGTATACATGTGCCATGTTGGTGTGCTGCACCCATTAACTCATCATTTAACAGTAAGTATATCTCCTAATGCTATCCTTCCCCCCTCCCCCCACCCCACAACAGGCCCCAGTGTGTGATGTTCCCCTTCCTGTGTCCATGTGTTCTCATTGTTCAATTCCCACCTATGAGTGAGAACATGTGGTGCTTGGTTTTTTGTCCTTGCAATAGTTTGCTGAGAATGATGGTTTCCAGCTTCATCCATGTCCCTACAAAGAATATGAACTCATCATTTTTTATGGCTGCATAGTATTCCATGGTGTATATGTGCCACATTTTCTTAATCCAGTCTTATCATTGCTGGACATTTGGCTTGGTTCCAAGTCTTTGCTATTGTGAATAGTGCTGCAATAAATATACGTGTGCATGTGTCTTTATAGCAGCATGACTTATAATCCTTTGGGTATATACCCAGTAATGGGATGGCTGGGTCAAATGGTATTTCTAGTTCTAGATCCCTGAGGAATCGCCACACTGACTTCCACAATGGTTGAACTAGTTTACAGTCCCATCAACAGTACAAAAGTGTTCCTATTTCTCCACATCCTCTCCAGCACCTGTTGTTTCCTGACTTTTTAATGATTGCCATTCTAACTGGTGTGAGATGGTATCTCATTGTGGTTTTGATTTGCATTTCTCTGATGGCCAGTGATGATGGCATTTTTTCATGTGTCTTTTGGCTGCATAAATGTTTTCTTTTGAGAAGTGTCTGTTCATATCCTTTGCCCACTTTTTGATGGGGTTGTTTGTTTTTCTCTTGTAAATTTGTTTGAGTTCATTGTAGATTCTGTATATGAGCCCTTTGTCAGATGAGTAGGTTGCAAAAATTTTCTCCCATCCTGTAGTTTGTTTTGCTGTGCAGAAGCTCTTTAGTTTAATTAGATCCCATTTGTCAATTTTGGCTTTTGTTGCCATTGCTTTTGGTGTTTTAGATATGAAGCCCTTGTCCATGCCTATGTCCCGAATGGTATTGCCTAGGCTTTCTTCTAGGGTTTTTATGGTTTTAGGTCTAACATTTAAGTCTTTAATCCATCTTGAATTAATTTTTGTATAAGGTGTAAGGAAGGGATCCAGTTTCAGCTTTCTACATATGGCTAGCCAGTTTTCCCAGCACCATTTATTAAATAGGGAATCGTTTCCCCATTTCTTGTTTTTGTCAGGTTTGTCAAAGATCAGATGGTTGTAGACATGTGGCATTATTTCTGAGGGCTCTGTTCTGTTCCAGTGGTCTATATGTCTGTTTTGGTACCAGTACCATGCTGTTTTGGTTACTGTAGCCTTGTAGTATTGTTTGAAGTCAGGTAGCATGATGCCTCCAGCTTTGCTATCTATGACAAACCCACAGCCAATATCATACTGAATGGGCAAAAACTGGAAGCATTCCCTTTGAAAACTGGCACAAGACAGGGATGCCCTCTCTCACCACTCCTATTCAACATAGGGTTGGAAGTTCTGGCCAGGGCAATCAGGCAGGAGAAGGAAATAAAGGGTATTCAATTCAGAAAAGAGGAAGTCAAATTGTCCCTGTTTGCAGATGACATGATTGTATATCCAGAAAACCCCATTGTCTTAGCCCAAAATCTCCTTAAGCTGATAGGCAACTTCAGCAAAGTCTCAGTATACAAAATCAATGTGCAAAAATCACAAGCATTCTTATACGCTAATAACAGACAGACAGAGAACCAAATCATGAGTGAACTCCCATTCACAATTGCTTCAAAGAGAATAAAATACCTAGGAATCCAACTTACATGGGACATGAAGGACCTCTTCAAGGAGAACTGCAAACCACTGCTCAATGAAATAAAAGAGGATACAAACAAATGGAAGAACATTCCACGCTCACGGGTAGGAAAAATCAATATCATGAAAATGGCCACACTGCCCAAGGTAATTTATAGATTCAATGCCATCCCCATCAAGCTACCAATGACTTTCTTCACAGAATTGGAAAAAACTACTTTAAAGTTCATATGGAACCAAAAAAGAGCCCACATTGCCAAGTCAATCCTAAGCCAAAAGGACATTTGCTATTATGTCTTTTTGTTTACCGTGATCCTGGTGGAGGTGAAGTGGCATTTCATTGTAGTTTTGATTTGCATTTCCCTGATGTCTAATGATGTTGCATATCTTTTCATGTGCTTAAGGGCCATTTGTGTGTCTTCCATAGAGAAATACCTATTCAAATCCTTTGGTCATCTTAAAATATTTTGTCTTTTTATTATTGAGTTGTAAGAATTTGTATATATTCTGCATACCAGTTCCTTGTTGAACATATAATTTGCAAATATTTTCTCCCATTCTAGGGTTATATTTTCATTTTGTGTGTGTGGTGTTTTTTTGTTATTTGTTTTTGAGATGGAGTTTCACTCTTGTTGCCCAGGCTGGAGTGCAATGGCACAATCTCAGTTCACTGCAACCTCTGCTTCCCAGGTTCAAGTGATTCTCCTGCCTCAGCCTCCCAAGTAGCTGGGATTATTATAGGCGCTCACCAACATGCCTGGCTAATTTTTGTATTTTTAGTAGAGACGGGGTTTCACCATGTTGGCCAGCCTGGTCCCAAACTCCTGACCTCAGTTGATCTGGCCTCCTTGGCCTCCCAGAGTGCTGGGATTACAGGCATGAGCCACTGTGCCCGGTCATATTTTCAGCTTTTAATGGTGTCCTTTGAAGCAAAAAAGTTTTCAATTTTGATGATGTCCAATTTAGCTATTTCTTTTGTTGCCATATTTTTGGTGCTATATCCAAGAAACCATCACTAAACCTAAGGGCACTAAGATTTACTCCTTTGTTTTCTTATGGGAGTTGTATAGTTTTCAGTCTCACATTCAAGTCTACAATCCACTTATTTTTTAAGACACGGTCTCACTCTGTCACCCAGGCTGAAGTGCGGTGGCACAATCATGGCTCACTGCAGCCATGGCCTCCTGAGCTCAAGTGATCCTCCAGCCTCAGCCTCCCGAGTAGCTAGACTACAGCTATGTGCCATTACACCTGGCTAATTTTTAATTTTCTTCTAGAAATTAGGTTTCACTATGTTTCTACAATCCACTTTGAGTATGGCATAAGGAAGGTGTTCACATTCATTCGTTTGTATGTGGATATCCATTTGGTGTATAACATTTGTTGAAAAGACTATTCTGTCCTCCATCCAATTGTCTTATTCCCTTGTAAAATAGCAACTGACCACAAATATGAGGGTTTATTTCTGGACTCTCAATTCTATCTGTATGTCTAACCTCATGGCAATACCACACTGGTTTTATTTTTTATTATTTTTTTAATAGCACCTGCCTACTATTGACCATACTGTCTTGATTACTGTAGCTTTGTAGTAAGTTTTGAAATCAGGCAGAATGGGTCTTCCAACTTTGTTTTTTGTTTGTCTGTTTTTGAGCCAAGGTCTCACTCTGTCACCCAGGCTGGAGTACATGGCGTGAACATGGCTCACTGCAGCCTTGACCTCCCGGGCTCAATTGATCCTCCAACCTCAGCCTTCTGAGTAGCTAGGACTACAGCCCCATGCCACCACAACTGGCTAATTTTTGTATTTTTGTAGAGAAGGGGTTTCACCATGCTGCCCAGGCTGGTCTTGAACTCCTGGGCTCATGCAATCCACCTGCCTTGGCCTCCCAAAATGCTGGTACTACAGGCATGAACCACTGCACCAGGCCTTTTCTTCTTTAATCAGGATGTTTTGGCTATTCTGGGTTCCTTGCATTTCCATATGAATTTTAGGACCAGCTTGTTAATTTCTACAAAATAGCTGGAATTTTGATAGGCATTGTGTTGAATCTGTAGATCAGCTCAGGGATCATATCAACAATGTTGAGTTTTCCACTATTTTCCCACTTATTTAGACCTTTAATTTCCTTCAAGATTGTTTTGTAGTTTTCAACTACAAATCTTGCACTTCTTTTGTTCCTAGGTATCTTACTCTTTTTGATGTCATTATAAGTGGAACTGTTTTCTTAATTTCACTTTCAGATTGTTCATTGCTAGTGTATAGAAATATAATAGATTTTTGTATCTCAGTCTTGTACCCTGCCATATTGCTGAACTCATTGGTTCTTTTTTTTTTTTTTTTTTTTTTTTTTTCAGACAGAGTCTCACTCTATCGCCCAGGCTGGAGAACAGTGGTGCAATCTCAGCTCACTGCAACCTCTGCCTCCTGGGCTCTAGCAATTCTCATGCCTCAGCCTCTCTAGTAGCTGGGATTATAGGCATGTGCCACCATGCAGGGCTAATTTTTGTATTTTTAGTAGAGATGGGGTTCCACCATATTGGCCAGGCTGGTCTTGAACTCCTGACCTCAGGTGATCCGCCTGCCTCCACCTCCCGAAGTGCTGGGATTATAGGTATGAGCCACTGCGTTCAGCCTGAAATCATTTGTTCTAATAATTTGTGTGTGTGTGCGTGTGTGTGTGTTGGTGGATTCCTTAGGATTTTCTAGATATAGAATCATGCAAATGAAGACAGTTTTCCATTTTCTTTTTCTTCCCTAATTGCCGTGACTAGAACTTCCAGTCCACTGTTGAACAGAAGTGGTGACATTGGGAATTCTTGTCTTTTTCCTGATCTTTGGGGGAAAATCTTTCAATCTTTCTTCACTTAACATAATGTTAGCTGTTAGCTGTGGGCTTTTTGTAGATGCCATTTATCAGGTTGAGCCTAGCTCCTCCATTCTACCCTTGCCCCTGGATTGGCAGTCCTCCTCCCCTTTCTGCAGACAGCTGCCCACAGCCGGTCCACGGTCCCTACAGCACCCCACCCTCTCACTCTCCACTGCAGGGTGGGCAGGAGGCAGCACGGGCTGCGGGAAGAGGCTGAATGTAGTCCCAAGAATGCCAACCACTTGTCATTTGACTCCAAACAAATCCCTTTGTGAAACTTGATTTCTTCAATATACAATTGTGGAAAATAATACCTAATTTTCAGAACTGCTGTGAAAAATTTAAAAATAAATTTGGTTGTGTCTGGCACATAGAGGGCATTCAATAAATGTGGGTTGGATGTGAATCTGAGAAGTGTTCATTGAACCTTATCTGAGGCACCTGGAAGTGGCCCTGGCACTGTAGAGGGACCCAAGGTTCATGGTGGATGCGGGCTTTCTCTCCAAGACTGACCATCCAGAAATGGTCCTGTAGCAAAGTAAAGCTGCTTGGAGTGAAATGAACCAGCCAGGAATGAAGATGTTTAATGCTCCAGAGGTTCAGGGAACCTGCAGGCCAGGAATGAAGGGGGAGAACTGCATTTCAGGAGTGTTGGAGTCCAAGAAAAGGAGATTAGACTTCCCTCTATACCCAGCAGGAACCACTGAAGGGTGCTGAGCAGTTATAAGTGGGGTTTGTGAAGTTAGCTCCATGGGGAGTGGAGCAGGGAGGCTGGTTCCACAGACCAGAAATGGTAAAGACCTGCACTAGGATGGGAAGGTAAGGAATGGAGTAGAGAGAACAGATGTGAGAGACACATTCATTCATTCATTCATTCATTCATTCACTCACTCAAGTATTTACTGAGCTCATATCCTGCTTCCCTCATGGAATTTACCATGCACTTCACATAAGTGCATATGAAATTGTAATTATGAGAAGTGCAAGAAAGGAGAGCCATCTGGTGGTGGTGAGCATTTATAAAGGGGCATACCTGAACTAATCTGGGAAAGCAAAAGTGCTTTCTTGAAAAATTGATGATTGAACTGAGACCCGAAGGGTGGGTATTTATCCAGGTAAAGAGGAGATGAAAGGGCAGCCTAGGCAGAGAGCACAGCCTATGCAAAGGCCCAGAGGTGGGATGCAGTGTGGTGAGTCCAAAGCCTGAGGGAAGGCCAGGGCAGCTGGAGTGGATGGAGCATGGTTCAGGGTGAGGCTGGCAGGCCGGGCAGGGCAGAATCAGGGGCACCATAGGCTGCGTCAAGGAGTTTTGTCCTTCGCAAAGAGGAATGAGAAGCTGTGGGAGGCCTTTTAGGGTGGGGGCAGGGGTAACATGTACAAATGCATATTTTGAAAGTTTCACTTTGGCTGTCATAAGTAAAAAGACTAGGATGGAGCATAACTCCAGAGGAAAGGGGGGAAAGAGTTGAAAACAGCCAATAACAAATGTCATCCCCGAGCTCTTATGAAAGACAGACAGTGTTCCCGGGGAACCTGCCAGAGGAAGATGACTTAGAGCTGCAGAGAGGGAATGTGGGGAGTCCATGAAGCAGCAGCAGCAGATTCGAGGCTTTTCCAGACTCCAAAAAAACCAGGAGGCTATAGCTGCCCAGACAGCAAGGGAATAAAAGATGCCTGAGAAGGAGGCTCTCGGTCAAAGGCAGGCATGGGCAGTGGGCCCAGAGAGTGGATGGGGTGGATTCAGGGCCCACCTCTCAGTTATGCACCCAGTACATGGCACCAGGTGCTGAGACCAGAAGCCTTGGGGTCATCCTTCCCATCCATGTGGGGTCACCCCCCACATCCCAGGTGTCTGCAAACTCATCAACAACCCACAGTGCCTTCCAAATCTGGCCGCTTTCCACCCTCCACCTGGAGTACCACAGTAGCCTCCAATCTGGAAGCTTCCACTCCCCTCCACTCAGCCTGATCTCCACACTGCAGCCAGACTGATCTATTTAAAACCCTCCTGTGGCATCTTGTCACATTTAGAATAAGATCCCTGCCTGGCCTGGCCCCTGGCTGGCTCCCACAGGCATCTCCTGTCCCTGCTCTCAGTCACTCAGTTCCTGCCATGCTGGCCTCTTGCTACCAGCCACAAACCCACCAAACAGACCCCCAGCCCACAGCCTCGGCACTTACTCTCCCTCAGCCTAGAATGCTGTTCCTGGAGAAATCTCCCTGACCTTCCCGGGCCACCATCAGCCCCTCTAGTCTTCTTTTCCCACCATGGTCTGTGGTGCCTACAACTTGTTCACAATTCCCTGCACTCCCTTGGCATTTTTGTGGTATTCACCTGGCAAAGCGCCAGCCCTGGAGAAATCCCACTGACAGCTTTCTCCTTCTCCATGGCTACCCCTGACTGCTGAGCCCCCTGGTGAGAGTCTCCCCACAGTACGAGGGCAGCCCGTGCCCCATCAGTCCCCAGGATCATCCAGGCCCTCTGCACTGCACAGAAACTGCAGGAAACGCCTCCCCACCAGCTTTGCCTCCTCCTCCAGTCTCCGCAGGCCTGTGGCTCCCTCACACCCCTCCTGTCTCTTTCCTGTTGTTTTAAAGAAAAATAAAAGTGAGAAATCTCTCAAAATGTCCCAGCCTCGGGTCAAACCACAGACCTTTCCTCCTGACCCCTTCTCAGTTGAGGGCTTTTCCTCTGGTTAAGCCAGTTCCCGCTCCTGCACAGGATCCCTCCTGACTTCTCAGGAAGTCTTTGCCATCCCTGCCCTTTCTTGTGCCTAACATTTCCCCCTTCCCTCGGCTGAGGCTGGACCAGTCCAGTTTATCACATCACCCACCAAAAATGAGCTCCACCTGCTGCCTTGTTCTCCCTTTCCCTTTGTGACCACACACACACACTTGCGCACACACATACACACATGCACACACATACACACACGTGCACACACACACACATACACGCAACACATGGTCCCCATTTCATCACGTCCGCCTCACTCATCAGCCCCTCCGTTGTGGCTTCTGCCCCATCCCTCTGCTGAAGTAGTTCTTTGTAAAGTCATGGATGATGAACACAAGGTCACTAAACCCAGGCCACATTTTCATTTTCCTTGAGCTGGACCCCTGAGCTGTGGTCACCAGCTGGCCGCTGCCTGCTTTCATCATAACTGTGACTACTCCTCCTTCGGTTGCCTCAGGCTTGCCCTTGGGGTCCTTCCCTTCTCAGCCATGGTGTCTCCCTGAGTGGTTCCTTCCACACCCTGGCATCAGTGCCATCCTCTTCGGTCAGATTCAAGCCACTTCTGAGCTCCAGGCCCACAGGTCAACTGGCCCCTGACATAGCCGCCTGATCTGGGTCTCCTCTTGCTCACCTCCAGTCAGTTCCGTATTTGCCACCAAGGCAATCTTCATAAAATGCAAAGCCGGTCATGTCGCCGTAATGAAAAGCCATCCCAGGGAGACAGGCCAAAAGCCCTAGCGTCGCCTACAGCCCCTCATGCTCTCCATCCAGCAGCACCTCGGCTTTCCCTCCCTGGGTTGCTAACACCAGCCCATACTCCTTCTTTTGTTTCCCCTAATACACTGTATTACCCTCCTCGGGGCCTTTGCACATGCTGTGCCCCCTTCATGGAGCTAAAGCCTATGATACAGTTTGGATCTGTGTCCCTGCCCAAATCTCGTGTCAAATGGTAATCCCTGATGTTGGAGGTGAGGCCTCGTGGGAGGTGATTGGATCACAGGGTCAGATCTAGTGATAGTGAGTTCTCATGAGACTGGTCATTTAAAAGTGTGTAGCACCCTCCAACCCCCACTCCCCTGCCTCTTCCTCCTGCTCTGGCCATGTGAAGTGCTGGCTCCCTCTTCACCTTCCGCCATGATTGTAAGTTTCCTGAGGCCTCTCCAGAAGCCGAGCAGATGCCAGCATCATGCTTCCTGTACAGCCTGTGGAACTTCGAACCAACCAAACCTCCTTTCTTCATAAATTACCCAGTCTTAGGTGTTTCTTTATAGCAGTGCAAGATCAGACTAATACAGTCTACACATCTTTCTCAGCTCAAACAGCACTTCCAAGTGCGCCTTCCTCCACACACCCATGGCTCCCTCCTCCCCTACCCCGCATCAAGGCCCCAACCACCTACTTTCCCGGCTCTCCATTCTCATCCCCATGGTACTCATGCAGCTTGTGACTGTATAAGCAGCCACCTCATTTGTCTTGCTCACTGCTGCTGCTCTAGTGCAGGTGTTGGCCAACAGCAGTCCAGGGGCTAAATCCAGTCCCCCACCTAATTTTTGTAAGTAAAATTTTGTTGGGACGCTCACTTGTTTACACATTTGTTGTTGTTGTTGTTGAGACGGAGTCTCGCTGTCTGCCAGGCTGGAGTACAGTGGCATGATCTTGGCTCACTGCAACCTCTGTCTCCCGGGTTCAAGCGATTCTCCTGCCTCGGTCTCCCAAGTAGCTGGGATTACAGTTGCCCACCACCACGCCCAGCTAATTTGCTGTAGTTTTGTACAGAAGGGGTTTCACCATGTTGGCCAGGCTGGTCTCGAACTCCTGACCTCAGGTAATCTGCCCACATTCAATAAATATGTGGGTCTGTAAATGATCAAGCAGGAAAGACTTGAGATTGGGTCACATTATGTCATTTCACAGAAGACACTGAATTCTGTGGGGAAGTGGCCTTCCTAGGGTTCCCCCGTGCAGTACAGGCTGGCTCTGGGCCCGGGGCTCTTTCCACAAACCATGTTAAGACTCAGTCGTCATCAGGCTGTATCCAGGGGCACCCACTCAAGCATAGATTGGGAAGGAACCAAGGTCTGGTGTGAGAGTGTGTGTGTGTGTGTGTGTGTGTGTGTGTGTGTGTGTGTACAGTGAGACCCCAAAGCTGGCATGGGAGGTAGGGGCATTGCGCACAGCTTTGGGAACTGCCCACCCTTCCTCTCCTCTTGCAGCAGGCCTAGGACTATAGAGAGTCAGACATACCCCCTTATGAACCATTTCACCTCATGTGGTTTCTTTCACCTCTCTGAGTGTCAGACTTCTAAACTATTGGAATGCAGCTTTTATTCCTAAACCCTCGAGTTGAGGCTGGGATTAAATGAGACGTTGCATGGGTGGAGACCACATGTCCTTCCCACAGCCCACGTCTACCCAGCATGTAGAGAACCACTGCTTATTTTTCCCAGGCTGCCCTTGGGTTGCATTTCCATTTTCCCTGGGAGACATGCCAGTAGCTGAGAGACCAAGATTCCCTCGGCTGTCTCTCCTTCTGATGTGACCCCCTATCACCTGGCTCTGCTGTCCCTTCTAGAGTCAGAGAAAAAAAAATGTAGAAAGAAGGAAAACAGCAGGAGCCCTTTCATACCCCACATGCCACCCCCAAGACTCCTGGAGGCCCGGAGAAGTGAAGCCAGTTGTCCAGGGTCGCACAGGCATTTGGTGGAGGAAGAATCTAAATCCCTGGACCCCCAGTCCAGTGCTTCCTTCCACAGCCCAGCAGCCTCCTCCGCCTCCAGGACTATTTCCCCCACTCTAGGAGGCAGGGCTCCCATGGCTGTGGAGGAATGGCGGTGAGAACGGTGTGAGGGAGAGCCAAATTATCGGGAACTCACAGCTGCCTCGCCTCCCGCATGGCTGGGAGCTGCAGTCCCTGGGAGAGCAGCCAGCTGGAAGACTCAAGGACGATAAATGGATCTGGGTGCCAGGGCTCCCAGGACAGAGTGAACTCCTCTGTCTGGTCAGAATCACCCGAGCAGGAAAGCATGAAATGGCACCATTAGGTGAAGGCTGCAGCTGTCCGGGGAGGGAGGCTGGGGGTGTGGAGAGATGCCTGCTCCCAGCCTGCTGGGCCACAGGTCAAGGTCTGAAGAGGAAGGGGCCTGGGAGGCCCCAACAAGGGAGAAGACACACAAGGGAAGGGACTGAGGAAGGGTCTCTCAGGCTTGGCCTGCATCAAGCCCCCCTGGGGAGTTTGTTAAAATGTAGACCCTCTGCCATCGCACCTGTCTCCCAGAGCCTAACTCAGAAAACTCAGTGGACTGGAATGTGCCCAGGGATCTGCATGGTAACAAGCACCCCCATTTCCTCTCATGCAGGTGATCTGGGCACCACACTTTGAAAAAATGAGGTTCTAAGTAATTCAGAAATTCTTGCCAGAGAGGTCAAAGTCCAAGCCCAGTTGCTGGAAGTAAAATAAGCCTCAGAGGCACTGCGGACCTGGAGGGCATCAAGGCAGGGCAGGCAGGAGGACATTGGTGGCAACAACAGGTTCAATCACCATAACTCTGTTTGGTGAGCACACAGATGTTCTCATCTAACCCACCTGGGAGGAGGGCACAATTACCAGCATCATTTCAAAGACAAGGCAAATTCTGCTCAGACAGGTCGTAAGTGACCTGCCCAAGGTCACACAGTTGATCAGAATAAAGAACCGGGTCTAAATTTGACTGAGGCCAGGTCTCCTGCTCAGGAGCAAGGTAGGGGGCCCAGTCCTCAGGGAAAGCTCAGGAAGGGGGAGTCTCCAATAGTGAGAAATGATGCTGGAGAAGCAGGGGTGGACCAGAAGCAAGGTCACTAAACAGAATCCACGCAGGAATTCCCTTCTCTCCCTGGTCCACTGGCCACTGTCCTTCTGTCTGCCCAGGATGGCCACTTGGCCCCTGTGACAGTGTCAGTCCCAAGCACTCAGGCCTCTGCAAGTGGCCCCAAGGCTGGGAGCAATGGGTCCAGGAGGAACCATGCTTGGCATGCATATCCCAGCACAGACCCTAGAACATGCCTGGGTCTCGGAGTGCTAGTTAACTGCCTCTGGCCCCCTTTGCTGGGGAGAACAGCCACATTTGGCCTGGGTTGGGTGAGGAGTTGGGGAGCAGGTGACAACCTGGTTGGCTTATCCTTTATCTTATCCTTTTCTTTCTATCATGTAGAGAGCTGTCAGGGCAGAAAGCAGGACTTCAGGTGAGTATCAAAAAGAATGCTCTCAACAGAGAGCCTAGGGATACACCAGGATGGGGAGTGCAGGGGGAAGGGGCCACCATCTCTCCCCCTATTATGAGCCCTCTTATAACAAGCAGAAACAGCATGTCTAGAGGCTCTCTCTTTCCTTAACTCCAAATGCCCAGATGTGCTCAGAGCTCAGCCACAGTTCTTGTACCTAAACTAAAGAGAGACTTGATTGACAATCAAGTTGAGTAGGAGGGAAGGGGAGCTAGGCTGGAGGAGGAAGGTGGGGTGAGACGACCTCACACACTCACCCTCACACTCTCAGTAGTTCTGGGATGTTCTGCTTTGAGGGTCTTTACTCTGCCCATGGTCAGCCCACATGGGAGAATCACAGAAGACCCAGATGCCCTGGAGCTTTGCTCTGTGTGGGTGAACAGGGAATGATCTCCAAGGGAGATAGTGGAAGAATCAGTGTGCAGGGGAGTGAGCATGATACCTGTGTAAAAGGGTGGGGGAGAAGCATATGTATGCTTGTATGCTTCTATATTCACAGCACGGCTCTGGAAAAGTGCATAAGGAATCGATGACATTAGCTGTAGTTGCTTCTGGGGAGCAGAGTTGGGAAAGCAGGAGCTGGAAAATATTTCACTGGGTATCTTTCTGTATCTTTAAAATTTTGAAGCCCATGAAAATCTGCCTGTCTCTTCCACCCTCTGGTACTTCAGAACCCTGGAGCTGGATCCTCAGCCTTGAGAAGGAGAAAACAAACGAGGGGGGTTTGTGTGTTTTTAAATTTATTTAATTTTATTTTATTTTTTACAGACAGCGTCTCACTCCCTTGCTCAGGCTGGAATACAGAGGCGTGATCATAGCTCACTGCAGCCTTCAAACTCCTGGGCCCAAGCAATCCTCCCACCTCAGCCTCCCAAGGAGCTAGGACCACACACATGCATCACCATGCCTGGCTAGTTTTAAAATTTTTTGTAGAGACAGGGTACCACTATGTTGCTCAGGCTGGTCTTGAACTCCTGGCCTCATGCGATCTTGCCGCCTTGACCTCCCAAAGTGCTGGGATTATAGGCATGAGCCACTGCGCCCAGCCAAAAGAGAGAACAAATGAGTGGGTTTGTGTAGCTCACCCGGAAATCGCCTGACCTGCTCCAGGTGGGAGGCATGCTGCAGGGAGAATGCCACCAGGACCTGCCCCCCTCACCCTCAGAGGACACCTGGACTCTCACTTTGCCTCTTCTTCCCTACAAAAAGTCGGGAGACTAGAAGCCCTGTTGTCTCCTCTAGCAGGCTTCTGGGATTCCCTTGGTGTGCCCCCAAATGAGACTGCCTCCAAAATGGGATCCTGATGCCACATCAAAGATGAGTAAGTTCGATCCTCACCCTCACCAAAAGCATATGTGTGTGTGTGTGTGCGCACATGTACACACACTCACCATCAACTGCCACCCCAAATCAATTAAATATGATCTGGGGACTAGGCACTTCTGTGGATTATCCCACTCAGTACTGGCCTCGATTAATGCAGATAATGGAGAGCTGACTGGATACAGCTTACAGTATTTAATCTTTCCCGGCATTGTATTTGCAGAAGCCAAAGTAATGAGATGGAAATAGGTTAACCAGCAAGACACCTGTCGCCGAAGCTCGTAGGCTAAAAAGATCAATACTTAAGGAGAAATGTTTGTCTTTATGTTTTGCACCAGTGCTTCAGTCCAACATTTGGTCCTGGGAGGCTGAGGATAAAGTGTTAATGAATTAATTTTCTAGCTCATTCTGAAAATAAATTACCCATTTCTTTGAGTTCCTTGTGTACCGAGGTCTGATGAGCCTTCTTGGTCAGTCCACGCACACCTCCACTTTGGAGCAAGGTTGTCATTCTGCACACATAGAAGCAGAGTCTGTTCTTGACTGGCCCTGGGGAAGCTAACAACTCCCAGGTTCCTGAGAGTTGGAACGTCCTTCTAGTGTCTAACTTCAATCTCTCCTGCTGCGGCAACACTCATTTTCCTTCTCTTGCATCTATGCTGAGATCAGCAATCCCAGGCCACCTGAGGGGCACCTCAGAATCCAATGGCTGAGGATTGAGCCCTTCCTGCATCAATCTTGGGCTGGCCTGTTAGCCTCCCTGCGCTTGTGCAGCTGTGTGTGAGGGTTAAGCATCCCTGCCCTCCCTGCCTTAAGGACTGCTTCCATGATCAAAGGTGAAGTTTCCTGAGTAAGGCTCTGCAAATCTGCAGCACCTCACGCCTGCCTCGGATTATTTCTCTCTGAACCTAGACCCCAGGCATGGATACCCTTAAATCACAGACAAATATTAATAAAACCCAGCCTGTGAGGGCTGAAGGACTCTTACAGACAATGCAGTCCACAGCCTCTTTTCGAAAACAAAGAAATCGAGGCCCCAAAGGGAGGTGGCTTACCTCCATCACACAAACAACACCACTAAATGGTGGCAGAACTGCCTGAGTTGTCAATTCCTGGATTCCAGGCCTTTGTAGCTCCTCAGGCCACCCCACCAAGCCCTGGCTCCATTTGATCCTTGGCTAACGCTTGTAGGGTGTAGGGGTAGCGGTGGTGAGGGGGCAGAGGGATGCCCTGGCCAGGCAGGCCCCTCAGCACACCCTCCGCTCTGCCACCCCAGCCAGGATCAACTTGAAACAGCACAGAGGAGCCCGCCATCCCCGTGGGAGAGAAGCTGGAGTCCAGGCTCCCTGGAGAGGGAGTTAATACTGCAGCACGGCGCACTCTAGCCAAGGCGGAGAAGCTGCTGAGTCACAGTCCAGCTGCCTGGCCAGCCCTGAGCTGCCTGCTGGGGCCCCCAGCTGCTCTCAGCCCAGGGGGCTGCCTCTGGCCCCCAGACAGGCTGCCTTCCCACCTCCTTCTCCAGAGACTCAGCATCTTGGGCCTCCAGGGTTCCCCACTCCCCAGCACCCCACAACATCTCCCAAACCCACAGGCAGCTGTCCTGGGGCGGAGGAGAGGGTCTTCCATTGGTTGAGTGTCAAGATGCTTGGGAGCACGCCAGGAAGGGTGGGGGACCCCGAATGAGTGATTGAGTGGGGACAGATGGAGGCTTGGGGACCAGTGGGCCCTGGGCTGCCTGGTGTAGGATACGGAAAGTGTGTGTGGGGGGGGGTGCACCCGTGGGCCCCAGGAGGTCTGTTGTGCGCATGCTCTGAGTGTGAGGGAGGACGGGTAGGACCGTGGGGGTCTGCCCTGGTCGTGCTCCCAAGAGAGGCACTGCTTTCTGCAGAGCGCGTGGGCAACTGTCAGCTGGGGAAGCGCTCACCAGGGGAAAGGGGAGCTCTCTGTGGCTTAGCAGTGATTAACCCACACAATCAATGGATCCTCCAGCCACAGTGTGAGCAGCTCTGCCTCATGTGAGGCACACAGCACCTTCCAGCACAGTCCCGATATCTTTCATGCCAGATGCACATCTTCAATTTCAGCTACAAACCATTACAAATTGATGCATTTTCTTTCTGACTAAATGTTACAAGGTTTGAACATACTATCTCTGCCGATCACCGCCCCTCTAAGGGATGGGTTTAGAGGTTTGGCACGAAAGCAAAAGCCTTTTAATAGGAGTGCGTGAGTGTGGTGGTGTGTGTGTGATGTGAGTGTGCATATGTGGTGTGTGTACGTGTGTGGTGGGTAGGGGTATACGTGGTGGTGTGTGTGTGTAGGATGTGTGTGCTGTATGTGTAGTGTGTAATGTGGGCTCTAGGGTGTGGGGGACAGTGGGGTGTGTGTATATGGTGTGTGTGTGTGATGTAGGGGGTGGTGTGGGTTAGGGGTGGAGGCTCTAGTGGGGTGTCAGGGGGTATGTGGGTAGTGGTGGGTAGTGGCATATGTGTGGTGTGTACATATGTGTGGTATGGGGGTATAGTGAGTTTGTGTGGGATGTGTGTGTCAGTGTGTGTGTGATGTGTGTGGTGTGTGTGTGGCGTGTAGTAGGGTGTGTGTGTGGTGTGTGTGGTGTGTGTGGCGTGTAGTAGGGTGTGTGTGTGATGTGTGTGGTGTGTGTGTGGCATGTAGTAGGGTGTGTGTGTGGTGTGTGTCTGTGTGGTGTGTGTGGCATGTAGTAGGGTGTGTGATGTTTGTGGTGTGTGGTATGTGTGTGGTGTGTGTCTGTGTGGTGTGTGTGGTGTGTAGTAGGGTGTGTGTGTGGCGTGGACTGGGGGTGTAAGGGGAGGGGGTGTTGCCAGTGTGCGGGGAGGGGGAAGGGAGCAGGGGCAGGAGCCCGGGCTGGGTGGCAGGTGCCCCCGCTCAAGCTGCGGGAGAGTAGCTGGAGAGACCGCAGCCTCCTCCCCAGCCTGGAGGCCCGGCTCCTCCCTTCCTGTGGCCCGGCGAGGAGACCTAGTGGTGCCCCCTGCTGTCCGTCCAGGAGCCTGCCGCCTGCCTCCAGCCCCATCTCCACCCAAGCCAGGCCCATGCCCTCCGCACACAGCTGCACCCCCGCCAGGCTCACTGCCTCCCAGGCCCCCAGTCAACGCTCACACCCTGGAAAGGAGGAGGTGGGCAACCGGTGGGAGGCCGGAGGCAGAAGGAGGCTCCATCAACCCAGTAATGGAGCAGAACATCAGCACTGTGGCATCTGCTAGCCGGCAGCACCGGGGTGGGGGTCCTGTCTCCATCTCTCAGGCCCAGCTGAAATGGGTGACAGCAGCCAGTGCAGGGACGTGGCAGAGAATGCCAGAAAGGCTGTGTATGTGTATGTGGGTGCACGTGAGCGCCATGTGTATGAACACCATGTATGAATGTATAAACATGCATGAACCGGCACTGTGAACATGCATACAAACATTGCGTGCAGGTGCATTACACTGCCACATGTAGAAATGTGAGAAGCCCCAGGGAAGGGAGGGCTGGGGGTCTGGGGCCACAGGACTTGTCCCGGAAGCTGGGGTGATAGCTACAGGCCCTGTACTTGGGTAATGGGAGGGGGTGGACTACGGTGCAGGTCACCTTACAGCCTCGGGGTTGGAAGAGACCACAGGGTCACCAGCCCCCACCCTCCCTCTGCAGCGGCAACTCTTGCCAGACCCTCTGTCTCCAAAGGTGGCAAGAGGTCTGGGACCTGAAAGAGGCATCAGGAGACCTGGTTTCTCTCCACTTCTTTCCATCCTTTGGAAAGTGGCTTTGCATCTCCCAAGATAGCCTCTCAGCTTTCATTTTTTTTTTTTTTTTTTGAGACAGGGTCTCACTCTGTCACCCAGGCTGGAGAGCAGTGGCGCAATCACAGCTCACTGCAGCCTCGACCCCCACGAGTAGCTGGGACTACAGGCGCACCACCATGCCCGCTCTTTTTTGTAGAGAAGGTGTCTCGCTATGTTGCCCAGGATGGTCTCAAACTCCTGGGCTCAAGCAATTCACCTGCCTCAGCCTCCCAAAGGGCTGAGATTACAGGCCTGAGCCACCGCATGCGGCCTAGATAGCCTCTCAGCTTTTAGAACCGAGCCTTCCGAGATGCTTGGAGAGTTCTACCTCTGAAGGCGAGCGGGCACAAAGAGTAGTGGGGTCATGAGAGAACTTGGGCTTTAGAACAGCCAGGGCTGCTTTCCAACCTGACACTTAGCAGCTCTGCAGCCCTGGGAGATGAGTTCATTTCCCTGGGATCATTTCTTAGCTACAAACCGAGGATCAGGTGCCTGTCTCACAGGGATGTTATGAGGATTGAAGAGGCCACATGTGCTGGCACAAAGTGGTCCCTAAATAAATACTCATTTCCTTTCCTCAGTTCTCCTCTCAGCGGGGCTAGGCCGAGTCCATGCTGACCATGGACTCAAGGACGGACCTTGTGTTACCCACAACGAGGGGTGCAGTGCTCGCCAAGTCAGGGACTCTGAGCCAGCCCAGGCTCTGTCCAGGAGGGCAAGGGTTGCTGCAGAGGTTGTGCGGCTGGGGAGCCTGAGGCCCAGAATTCTCTTCCCTGGCTCTGTGTGTTCCTCTTGCAGAGACTGCGTCACTTCTTCCTGGTGTCAAAGGTACTTGTATAAGCAGCTCAGCTCCTGGAGGATCACTAAGGCTGTGAGGTGGGAACGTGTCTTGTTCACGACTGCATTTCCTGCCAGCTCCCAGAGGAGCAGCCTGATTGCTGAGCCTGGTAGCAGGCAATGGAGGAGGTGGGGGATCTCAGCAGGCACTGCCCCCCCAACTCTGGCAACCTCTGTCCCATCAAGCTCCCTGCTAAAGGAGAGAAGAGAAACCCCAAAGCCGAAAGAGGCACCCTGTCTAGTTCAGACCCTGACACCCAGGGCCTGAGTGGTCATGGGTGGGGTGTGGATGGGCAGGCGCACTGCCTTGCGGTGCTCCACTATAGGTAGGCAGGCCCGTGGCTCCCCATGGGGAAAGAAGGTCCAGTGCAGCTCAGGTTCTCTGGAGAGTCATGCGCGAAGGAAGGGCATGAAGACCACTTCCCCAGTTAATGAGGGTTTGGCCAGGAGTTGTCTGCCTTACCCAACCTTGAAAATAACCCCTAGCATGTTTAATTGCTTAAAAATCCACTCTTTCCTCTGATCTTCACTTTCGTTTTCTCCAAATCCTATGTCAGGCTCCGTGCTAAGTGCTGGGAATACAAGAAGAATAAAACCCAACCCCATCCTGAAGCAGCTCACGGGGAGACAACAGAGCTCAGGCCTTTGGGAGGTGCAGCAGATGTGGTTCTGCCCCTTGACAGAGGAGACAGCTAAGGCTCAGAGATCAGCTTGCCCAAGGCCTCCCGGTGCACTTGAACCCTGACTTCCTAGCACTCAGCCCAGGGCTCTTTCCTTCCCAACAAACAGCCCCAGGGAGCTCCTGAAGCACACTGGGAAGGTGGGTCTAACGGGAAGACCACAAAGGCACCGGGCTCAGAGGTGGGTGCCGGGGGCAGGGAGGGAGACCTCCACTGTGCCCACTCCGTTCCAGCGGTGTATTTCATTTCATCCGGGCCCTGTGAGGTGGGGACTGTGATTCCCATTTTGTAATTGAGGAAACTGGGCCTCAGGCGGAGCGAAACAGGTCGCTCGCTCACAGCACCCTTTCCCAGAGGACGGAAACAGCTGTACTCCCAGGCAGCAGAGTAGCTCGCTTTGGGCCACACCGGGACCTGGGAGAGGTCATGAGACGTCTGGAGAGCCCAGCCTGCTCTCAGTGGGAGCTGGGAGCCAGCCAAGGAAGGTGCAGTCTGGTCCTCCCGTTTCCAAGAGCGCCTCCGTCCTTCCAGATGCTGGCCAGGCGCCAGGGACAGAGATGTACCCATCACTCTTCAGACAGAGATGCCCATTATCACCAACACCTATGACAGCTCGTGGTCTCCAGAAACTAAAGTGGAGCATGCAAGTCCCGGGGGCACAATTAGGTGCTCCAAAGAAGCCAGCTCTCTCCTGCCTGACCGGGAGCCGGGACAGACATGGGAGGTAGGGGCCAGGAGGGATGAACCATGGCCTCAAAACACCCATGGGCTGGAGGAGTGGAGCAATGAGGGGGAGAATTCCAAATTGGAAAGCCTCAACTTGGAATTCTATGTGGATCCAAACCTAGAAGACAGCTCTGCTGAGGAAGAGGAGCCAAGTGAAACACCAGGTGCAGCCAAGTGGGGTGAATTAGCACCTGGGCTCTGGACAGACTGACCTGGACTGGAGTCTCAGCTCTGTCACTTTTAGCCATGGGAACTTGAGCAGGTTGCTTAACCTCTCTTGGCCTCAGCACTCCATCTGCATAATGGGAATGATAATGGAAGCTGCTGCGCAGTGCTGCGAGGCTTAGGAGCACTGTATGTAAAGCATGGCATTATGTCCATGGCTGGTTCCTGAGCCAGGCTGGGCACAGGCCTGTCAGAAGCACACGGGGATGGCTCCAGTGGAGAGGTGGGGCAGCCTCTCTGCTAACCCCCTATTAAGGGCCAGATTAAGCCACCCCTTTTTAAAATTTCCTGGGATAATTCAGGCCTCTCTTAATCAATGGTCCTCCTTCTACCCATGCCTTTAGCTCCAGCCCAGACGGCCTTCTTGATGCCCACCTCTGGGCCAAGTCCTCTCTTCTGAGCCACTGCACTATCCCTGGCTTCTTTCCTGCCCCTGTGTCCAGATCCTGCCAAGCCTTTCCCCGTCCTCCAGCCCACCTTCCCCAATACTCAGGCCTCTCAGCAGCCATGGCTTCTCCAACCGTGGCTGCTGAGTCTCTATTTTGGTTGCTCTAATTTTCAAGTTCTCATTTGTGGGTATCTGACCACATCCTCCTCTCAGAAGTCAGCAGAGTCTAGCTGTTCTTCCTCTAGCTGCCACTCCCATCCTATAGATGACAACACTGGGATGTGAAGAGGTGAGGTTGCCCAGACTCCCCAAGGATGTCCCAGGCAAAACCTATCCCTAGTGTGGTGGCTCATGCCTGTAATCCCAGCACTTTGGGAGGTTGAGGCCAGCCTGGACAGCACAGTGAAACCCCATCTCTACAAAAAATTTTAAAATTAGCCAGGCATGGTAGTGCATGCCTGTCGTCCCAGCTACTCAGGAGGCTAAGGTGGGAGAATCACTGGAGCCCAGGAGTTTGACATTAGGTGAGACCTAGCCATGCCAGCAGACCAGCCAAGCGGCCATACCCAGCAGGCAGCTTGGAGGGGAGGGGCAGGTGTGTTGCTCAGAAGTGACTCTGGAAGTCACTAGCACAAAAGAATAATCCGCTGGGGAGAGTGTGGGCATAAGAAGAAATCCAGAGATGGGCTTCTAGAAATATCAGCATTTGGAGGATTTGTAGAGAAAGAGGAAAGCCAGGGAGATTGAGGAATGACCAGGAATCGGAGGAAAGCTCTGAAGAACAGAAAATGACTCCATGGCAATAGAGCGGTTACACCGGAGGGGCAGGCAGGGGCTGGGAGGGGACAGGGATCCTTCTGGGGAATTTCTTTGGTGATTATACTGGTGCATATATCCATAAGTTGTGCACTTTGCTGAATCTAAGTTATAACTTCATCAAAAAGAAAAACGAATGTGCAGAGCAGAAAGAGCTAGGGGTGGACCCCTGGCTCCCACACACTCTGGCTTGACCAGGTGCTGGAGGACACCATGGGTAGAGAGAGCATAGACCCTAATAGAGCGCCGTGCATCCCATCGCCAACCGGCTTTCCCATGATGCACAGGCGCTTCTGCTGAGAACCACAGGGCAAAGGCACCTAGAACCAGGGAGCCACTGAGGAAAGGCTTCCTGGAAAAGCAGCAGGGAGCCAAGGTTTAGGAGGAGATGGGGTGGGCTTGGAAGAGGCTGGCCAGTTTCCAGGCAAGAGACGTCCACCTGGGTGGGTGTCTGGCAACCACAGACCATGATGGGACCCCTCACAGCCACCACCCTGGAAAGCGCAGCGATGACAGCTGACTTGGGAAGGTGATGACACGGCAGAACACACCCCGGCTCCAGAGACGCCATCATCTGGGACCCTCTCCACAGAGCCTGACTTAGGGCAGGAGAGCCTCCCTGGTCCAGGACACCAGAGGCCTCAAGGTTTTCCCTCACAGGAGCCTCTTTCCACACCCCCGGCCCCAGCAAACATTTGAGAATGGGCCGTTGCCCTGCCTAGCAGTACACAGGGCTCTGGCCTCCCTGCTCTGGGCCAGAGGAGAGGGGAAATGGAAGTGGGCAGAGGACTGTCCCTTCATATGACCACTGGTGACAAACACTGTGTCCTGCAGAGCACGGCCCAGGATGAAGCACCTCCACCCACACACATGGCATTCGGCAGCTGCAGGGCCCAGCCCTGCACCATTTCTGAAGGTCCACACATAGCACATATCACAGCTGAGGAAACTGACAGCCAGAGAGAGGAAGGGACTTGTCCGAAGTGACAGAGTAAGAAGCCTGCCTTACTGTGCTCTTCCAAGCTGGCTTGGAATCCAGTGCTCTTCCAAGTGCTCTTCCAAGCTTGGAATCCAGTGCTCTTCCAAATCATCCAGTGCTCTTCCAAACTGGCAAAATCCTGAGCCTCCGAGAGGCTTACTGAGCTCCCTGCCTACCAAAGCCAGCATGGGTGAGCATCTGTGGCTCTCTGGAACCGCAGGGAGTTCCAGTCACCCTGCTGATGACCCCTGCTTGGAGCTATAACTATAAGTGGAATACCTGGGGTGGCTCCTTATTAGACCCTGACTCCCTGGAGCTGGCAACAGAGAACCAGCATGTAACGGTCCCCACAGACGGAGCTAGCCTGCATCAGGGTTTCTAATGTTCTGCTGCAGGTTCACTTCGCACTTGAGAAGGAGGAACGACTTCAGTTTTTTTCTAGCAGCTTCTTGGCTCTTCCCAGTGGCCCCTCCCCCAAGCAAAGTCCCCTGAGAGGAAAAAATCACACCACATCTTTGTGGATCAGTGGTGCCTCTGCCCCCACCCAAGACACCGGGCATGTTTCCTCATGAAGAGTGACTTGCGGCTCCCTCGCAGCACTGAGGGCTGGAGCCAGAAGAAGGATGAACCCACTGCGGGGGTCTTCTCTCTTCATGTTGGAAAACAGATTTAGGCTCAAAATGAAGGAGGGTTTTTGCACAGTCAGCACCACCCATTGATGAGTTCGTGGTCCCAGGAGGTAATGAGTGCTCCATCATCGGGAGCATTCAAGCTGAGGTTAGCCCACTATTGGGAGGGATATTATAGACAGGACTCAGGTAAGGGGACACAGCATTGACCTAGATGAAATTTGAGGTCCCCCTTCCAACCCTGAGAGCCTCTAAATCTCTGACATCTCCATCCCAGCCCTTGCTGCCAATTGGCCTCATTTGCCTGGCCCTGCTGGTTTGCCAGGCAGTTTGTCCTCAGAGAGAAGTAGCTGCCAATTATGTGGGGACCACAAGAGTTTCCTTTATGACATCACCACTCTGCAGGAAGGGGCTGAGGTGGGGTAAGAGAGGAGAAACAAGACAGAAGGTGGTACCAGAGAAGGAGTCAGCTCCCCAGGGCCTGGAATCTGCAGTGTTGCCACCACTAGGTAATTTGTGGGGCACACTGCTGTGGGGGTCTCAGGAAGCCAAGTCTGGGCCCCGAAGGGAAATAGCCCAGTTCTGGCCTCCTGACTGGGGTGGGGGACTGTCAAGGGAAAAATAAGCCCAGGCTAGCTCTCTGAGGCTCATTAGAGAAAAAGGTAAATGTCGAAGACGTGTCATGGCAGGCAGCTCATTAAGCCCACGGAGCTTAAAAATAGTGAGACACACAGATATTGGGGGATGGGGAGCTGGGGATGAGACGCCGGCTCATCACACTGCAGGGAAGAACAGCAAACCTGGGAGAAAGTGACTCTATAACCAGTGGAAGAAAGGCTGTGTAGCCATCACCGGATCTCTGGGTAAGCTTGGCGCACAGGGCTGCTGGAAATGTCAGACCCTGTTCTGTCAATGAGAAGACTAAGCCCAGAGGAGGGTGTTCCCAGGCATTACCCAACAGGCTCGACTGTTCTCCATGCAGGGGAAGAGAGAAGACACAGAGACACAGACCTGCCCCGGAGGAATCCAGAGCCCACCTGCCCAGAGAGGCTCCACCTGATTTCCCTGGCTCTGGGCACCCCCTTAAAAGCCCTTTATGCCATCTTTCCTTTCAGTCGAGTGATGCAGGATTTGGGACCAGACAGCCTTTGCTCAAATCCTTCCACAGTTATCTACCAGCTTGGTGGCCTTGGAGAAGTTATTTCCCTGTTCTGGATGTGCTTCCTCTTCTATAAACTAGAGACACTACAAATTCCCACCACAGAGGGGTAAATGCAGCATCCTGTACGTTATGTGTTTGGCACAGGACCTGGGATGCAGGAGGCACTCTGACCGGTGGCATCCAGGAAGTAAGGAATATGGACTAAAGGGAGGGCCAAGGAAAAGTTTACAGGCTGTGGCTGTGCAGTTGGAAGATGCAGAAGCGCCTCGCTTGGTGCTGCCAGGTTAGGTTTGCAGAATGCAGTGAATGCTCTTGCTGACAAAGGATGGGGATAAGTGAACTGGGGAATCATGACCTAGGGGAAGCCACTAGCTCAAATACTGATCCCTATTTAAGTCACCAAAATATGCTGGGCACCCAGTGGGTGCCCAGCGCTTTCCCATAAGTGATCCCAAACCAGGAGCTAGTCCAAGCCTCCAAAAGTGGCTGGGTAGTTCATTGGAATGAGGGCTGCAGTGACTCCAGAGGGAGCAGGACTCCAGAGGAGCAGGACTCAAGAGAAGGGGAGCCAGGGAAGACTGAGGGGATGTGTAGGTGAGGTGGCTCTTTTCTGGCTGAGAGAAGAGAAGGTCCCCAGCCCACACCAAGGGCTCCATAATGGAAGGGAGGCCTAGGGTGGGTCCTCCCCCTCCCCATCTTCATCCCACTCAGCCCCTACCTGGCCTTTAACACACTGGGTGGGAGAAGTGTTGCTGAGCACAGCAGTGACCTGAGGCCCTGGGCACCCATCCCAGTTTAGCTCCACAGGGGACTCCAGTTGCTGAGGAAGAATATAGAACTTATATAGGATGGGGGAGCTGGAAGGAAACTTAGGATCAATTGTTCCAGCCTCTAATTGAATGGTGGGGAAACCCAGAGACAGAGAAAGGAAATTACTACCCCTTCCAAGCCAGTGAGAGAGCCAGATCTAGAATCCAGGGCTCTTTCCATGATATTGCACCTCCCATCTCAGTCCTGTCTTTATGAAATGCCATATTGAAGCTTTATGTATTGGGGAAATTTAACTGAGGCTCAAACGGACACAAATTCCCTAAAGCCACATGGTGAGTCAGACAGCGAAATGCAAGGTGTCTGGTCCTTTCCCAGCATCCAACGAACGTTTCTTGGGCACCTACTACAGTCAGGCTGGGAGCACTTTCAGACGTTCTCTCACTTAAATCTCACATGTGGGAGCAAGTTGGTGGAAGAGCGAAGGCCCAGAGGCCAGGGTCCAAATCCTGGCTCTCTTAGCTGAGTCTCCTTGGACAAATCCCTTGATGTCCCTCAAATGATGCCTCCATTTCTTCACTTTATAAGAAGTGGATTCATAATAGTACCTACCTTGTAGAGTATTATGATAATTAAAGGAGACTATCCATATGAAATACTTAGAACAGAGCCTAGTAATATAAATATACCATTTAAAAATAAGTATACTGGCTGAGTGTGGTGGGTCACACCTGTAATTCCAGCACTTTGGGAGGCCCAGGCGGATGGATCACCTGATGTCAGGAGTTCGAGACCAGACTGACCAACACGGAGAAACCCCGTCTCTACTAAAAATACAAAATTAGCTGGGTGTGGTGGTGCATGCCTGTAACCCCAGCTACTTGGGAGGCTGAGGCAGGAGAATCACTTGAACCCAGGAGGCGGAGGTTGCAGTGAGCCGAGATTGTGCCATTGCACTCCAGCCTGGGCAACAAGAGTGAAACTCCATCTCAAAAAAAAAAAAAAAAAAAGTATACCATTTGACAATCCTAGGCATATACCCAAGAGAAATGAAAACACGTATCCTTACGAAAACCCTTCCACAAATGTTGATAGCGGCATTATTCAGAGTAGCTGAAAAGTGGAATCAACGAAATGTCCATCAACTGATGAATGGAGAAATAAAACGCAGTATATCCACACAATGGAATGTTATTTGGCAATAAAAAGAAATAAAGTACCGATACATGCTTCAATGTGGCTAAACCTTGAAAGCATTATGTGAGTGAAGGAAGCCAGGCACCAAAGACCATGTGTTATATAATTCCATCTAAATAAAATATCCAGAAGGTGCAATTTCATAGAGACAGAAAGTAGATGATTAGTTGGCTAAGGCTGGGAGGAATGGAAGAATCGAGGGTGACTGTTAATATGTATGGAGTTCCTTTTTAGGGGTGAAAAAATGTTCTGAAATTAGATCGTGGTGATGGTTGTGCAATTCTGTGAATATATTAAAAGCTATTGAATCGTGCCCTTAAATGGGTGAATTGTATAGTATGTGAATTATAGCTCAATAAAGCTGTTTTCAAAAAGTAAATATATATTTATAAACTTCTATAAGTTAGTAAATCATATCCATTCCAGTTTAATGATAAGGCTCAGAGCCAGTCAGCAACTTGCCCAAAGTCCCATGCCTAGGAGGCCGCAGGACCTGATTTTGGACTTTGTGTTGTCGAACTCCTGAAGCTCCTAAGACCTGATCCAGTTCAGACTCATGGAGAGCAGGCCTGCCCTTATGTATCTTGGGGAAAGCCTCCATTCCCTGTCCCAATGAGGCCACTCAGGAAGTTCTCCCCGCTCTCTAATCCAAACCCATACAACTTACAAGGGATGATATTCAGGGGGATTTGAGGTCAGGAGCAGGGTCACAGGAGACAGGCACCAGAAGGGAAAGCTACATTTCTAGGCAATGCTGGATATCTTCTTTAGGGAAGCCTGGGGAATGGGGCAGATGAAGTATAGTGGACTTCAAGACATGAGCTCACGGTTGATTTTGGGGGTGACCTTGGCCAAGAAACCTCATCTCTGGGGCTCTTGGTAAAATGATATTCAGGAAGAAGCTCTGAGGACAGCTCCAGAAGCAGACATTTCTAAGGCTATTTATAAAGTGGCCTTCCCTCTCCTTACACACAACTCACCCCAGATGATCAGGTGGGAAGTCTGTAGGGCAGTGGGCATCACTTGGTTGCTTGCTTGGGTATATACAACCTGGTCACCCCCATGGTTCTTGGCAGAAGATATTGGGGCCAAACCAAGAGGCCCTAACCTAACCATCACTCCAATACTGTGAGCAGGTCAGGTTGGCTCTCCCTCCCAGCCAGGAAGGAGGAAAGAGAAGGAAGCGACAAGGGCACTAACAACCAGGGTCCTTGTCTTACCTGGCAGGAAAGATGCTGAATGTGATATTGACTCAATGTGCTGCTTCTGATCAGCCCCCTGCCTGCCTCCCTGCACAGTGGATAGTCTGGCTGCAAGTGGTAGGGGGAAGGAGCTCCCACTTTTGACAACCCAGGAAAGGCATCACCTCAGTTTGTCTGGAGCTCATGGCCAGGGTGTCCCAGCTTGAAGGAGAGGTTCTCCTGCCCCCTTCTCTGCTTGTACAACTATACACTGCATTCAGAAACACTCCTTCTCCCTTGCTAAGGAGCATTAGGAGATACAAAACCACCATCCTTTTTCCAGGTGAAATAAGGAAGAACAGAAAATGAGGAGGGCCAGATTCAGCCCAGAGCCACCCAGAGTCCAAGTGGCCTCACTGGGAGAGCAGTACACTGGGTTTGGTGCCCTTGGTAGAAAGCCCAACATGCCAGGACCTCAGCCAGCAAGCCAGCATGTGCTCCAGAGCAGGGACAGGGAGAGGCCAACCTGTGCATCCGCTAGGCTCACTGGCTATTTCAGACCATCATCTGCCTCATTCGATCCCAGGACATCTTGGGAGAAGTGAGGAAGGCAGGCATCCCTCTCCACATTTTTTAATGGGGACCACTGAGGTCCAAGAGATAGGGAAAAACCGCTTGCCTGGGGCCATGTGCAGTAACTTAATAGTGGGTTCACTGGATTCTAGATTCTTCTCATCAAAGCCAATCATACCCCTGCCTCGCCCCACTCCCAGCTCTGCTGCTATGTTTCTTTACCTACAAAACATCAGTCAGTTTTCAGAAACACCATAATAACACTCTTTATAGCACTTTATGGCAAAATCTTTATAGCACCGTGTGTCAGGCACTGCCTATTCTTAGAGCTATATGTAAATAGTCATACATCAAATCCTCATGCCAACCTGATGGCAAGCTATTTCATTTCCATTTTACAGATGAGGAAACTGAGGTAACAAGTGTTTAAGTAACTTAGCCAAAGTCCCACAGATAAAAAACTGGAGGAGCTGGCATTTGAATACAGGCAACCTAGCCCTAGCATCTGAGGTTTAACCACTGCACCACAGTGCCAAGCACATACAAGTACAAGGCTTCGCATATTCCAAGTCTCACTAAAACATGGACTAGGGGCTGGGCATGGTGGTTCACGCCTGTAATCCCAGCACTTTTTGAAGGCTGAGGTAGGAGGATTGCTTGAGCCCAGGAGTTCGAGCCCAGCCTGGGCAACATGGTGAAACCCTGTCTCTACCAAAACAACAACAACAACAAAACAAAAACAAAAACAAAGAAAAACCTTGCAAAACAAAAATTATCCAGGCACGGTGGTGCATACCTGTAGTCCCCGCTATGTGGGATGCTGAGGTGGGAGGATCACCTGAGCCTCGGGAGGTTGAGGCTGCAGTGAGCCGTGATCACACCACTGCACTTCAGCCTGGGTGACAGAGTGAGACCCTGTCTTAAAAAACCTGAAAACCAAAACCAAAACCATGGACTAGGGGCACACGACTAGGCTCAGGACGAAGTGTGTGTGCAGGAAGTCCACATAAGTCCAGAAGCTGGGCTGTGCTCTCACCCAGGTGCCATGTGCTGGGGGCGGGGATGGGGGACAGGCTGCAATTTGTCTCTGAGCAGCCAGCTGCCCTCAAGTCCCAGCCCAGCCGAGCAGTGGGGAGCAGGTTGAAGGCAGGCTTGGAGCTGGCAGGCTCCGTCTGCCCCACTGTGAGCAGCAGCTTTGAGACACTCTCCTGCCGGCTGCTGGTAGGTGCTGCAGTATCTCTCCTGGCTGCAGGGCTGGCTGGGCTGAGGCCAGGCCAAGGGCCTTCCTTCCCCCTTTCACCCTCTGCCCCTCCCTCAGTGCCCGGGGCCAAACGAAGGGCTTAGGAAGCTACTCTGGCTTTCTGGTCTCCAAGGACTGCCGGCCCTGATGATTAATTTGGTGGCTGTGGGACTAGGTTTAGTCTTGGGTGGCAGCACTGACCTCCAGGAATGTCACTGTGGCCCCTTCAGGGGCAGGTAACAAACCTGGCTCATTCCCAAGAGAGTAAGTGAGTCCGGTGGATCAACTCCCACGGTTTTCCACCTAGCATATTTGCCAACAGCGGGCAATTCCCAGGTAGGAAGTCCTTCCTTGTACCTCACATGAGCCCTTCCTGCTGCAGTATAGCCACATTACCTTCTACTAGAAACCCTTCTGCTTCCAAATGCACCCTTTGTTAAATTGCTAAGATGTGATTCCATGAGCAACACAGCAATCACAAAAGCCATTGAAGCAGACGGCAGCTGCTACAGGGTTCAAGCATTCCATTCCAGCTGGGGAAAGGCTGTGGGCTTTGCCCCTCCTTCCCCCCCAGCCCCTCCCCAATCTCAGGACACAGAGAAAAGAGGAGCAACATGCGGAGAAGAAAAATGGAAAGGTAACAAAGCAAAGGCAGAAAAAAAATTCACAGCCTCCCTTGACCTGCCAAGGACTTCTTCCACATCTTTCCCTAGGCTTGGGGGCCCAGATAAGGAACTGAGACTTTCTTTTTTTTTTTTTTAATTTTATTATTATACTTTAAGTTTTAGGGTACATGTGCACAATGTGCAGGTTTGTTACATATGTATACATGTGCCATGTTGGTGTGCTGCACCCATTAACTCATCATTTAGCATTAGGTATATCTCCTAATGCTATCCCTCCCCCTCCCCCCACCCCACAACAGTCCCCGGTGTGTGATGTTCCCCTTCCTGTGTCCATGTGTTCTCATTGTTCAATTCCCACCTATGAGTGAGAACATGCAGTGTTTGTTTTTTTGTCCTTGAGATAGTTTGCTGAGAATGATGGTTTCCAATTTCATCCATGTCCCTACAAAGGACATGAACTAATCACTTTTTATGGCTGCATAGTATTCCATGGTGTATATGTGCCACATTTTCTTCATCCAGTCTATCGTTGTTGGACATTTGGGTTGGTTCCAAGTCTTTGCTATTGTGAATATTGCCGCTATAAACATACGTGTGCATGTGTCTTTATAGCAGCATGATTTATAATCCTTTGGGTATATACACAGCCTTTCTTGCAGCTTCTGCAGCCTCTGCCTGAGAGATCCGCTCAATGGGCCATCTGCTCGGAGGCCTTTCTGCAAAAGCTTTAAGAGTTCCATTTCTCCAGGGAGCTGGAAGCTGGGGAGGTGTCAGCTCCAAACAATAAGGGAAGTTTATTAGGGATCAGGGTTTCCAGGAGGATGGTGCCTGCTAATGGGGCTGGATGCACTCTGAGGTACAAAGGGTTATTTAATGCGGAAAATCCAAAAGCTCCTTTAGAAGTCAAGTGCTCACACCCGAGGCCCTACACACTGCAGCCTTCCTTTTCACTCAAAAAACCTGAAAACCAAAACCAAAAACCATGGACTAGGGGCACACGAGTCAGCTCAGGACTGCCAACAGCGGGCAATTCCCTGGTAGGAAGTCCTTCCTTGCACCTCACATGAGCCCTTCCTGCTGCAGTATAGCCACATTACCATCTACTAGAAACCCTTCTGCTTCCAAATGCACCCTTTGTTAAATTGCTAAGTTGTGATTCCATGAGCAACACGGCAATCACAAAAGCCCCATCACCCTACCCTGTTTGCCCCTACCCCGCCCCATCCCAAGTCACACTTATTCCCTGTCCTTTGCTACTGGGCAAATATTGACTTTCTTTCACTCAGCCTTGTCAATGGAAGTGAGACCAATGGGGCTGGCTATTGTCTCCCTCCTCTCTCCTGTCAGAGGGCAAAGCAAGCTGTCAGCCTCAACAGCGGGAGCAGGGGCCAACTGAGACAAGCTGAGAAAGAAAAGTGTGGTCTTGGAAGTAATATTTCTGTCTTTTGGTCTTTTGTCTTTCTGTCCTCCCTCCCTTCCCCAAGCCCATCTGGGTTTATTTTTTTCACATTTGGCTATCCTGCTGCCCTGTCTGGCTCAAGAGCAGCAGCGTGGCATAGCTGGCATAACTGAGAGAGCTCAGGCCTGGGAATTCAAGTGTCTGATACTGGGTCACCTTATGCTAGTTCTTTAATTTTCTTGGGCTTCCATGTTCTAGTCTGCAAAATGGGAAGGTTGGACCCCATGATCTCAGTATCTAGATCAGGAAGTTCCTTCCTATCAGGACCCATGTCCTTTCTGCTGCAGTCAAGGCATTTTACCTTGTGCTCTGATTTCAGAAAAAATGGAAAATAACTGCTTGGTGCTTAACAGGGAGGAAGGAAAGAGCGTTGCATTGAGGTTCTACAAGGGCTGGCAAGCTCCATCGCTGGTACTAACATGCTGTGTGATCCTGGGCAAGGAGCTCCCCCTCTCTAAGCCTCAGTTTCCCCATAATCAAAACAGAGGGCTGGATGAGATGATCCCACAGCCCCTTTCAGTGCCTCGTCCTGCCGTGGCACTCATCTAACACATCCCTGCGGAAGGCGATGTCCCCCGCTCCTTCAGCTTTTCTCCAAGGCAGCATCTCACAGCCTTTCCTCATGACTAACCTTGAATGGAGGGATGCCATGCCGCTGGCTCGTGTTCCTTCATCATCAGGAGCCTTTTGTCAGCCACACTCCTCTCAGACTCATGCTTGCTTGGCCTTTGGCCTTTGTGGCTGAGCTCTTCCTTTCTCCAGGTCCCATGATGAAGACCAGAGCATGCAAACTCCTGGAGCCTGCGGCCAGTGCACAGCAGGAGGACGACACAGGACATTGGGGCATTTTGGGGGATTGTGTGCATGGTGACAACTGCAGGACTGTGAACTGTATCCCTGCTCTTCCTCTAACTTGAGCCCTCTCTGTGATAACACAGAACCTCAAAAACCCATTCCTTGTGCATTAGTCAGTATCACACTATGGACTTCCTATTCCAGGTTGGCAATATTCCCTTTTCACAGATGAGACAATTGAGGCTCAGAGAGGTTGGTAATTTGCCTGAATTCACACAGATATTAAGGAGCGAGCCAAGATGGGAACCTAGATGTATCTATCTGCAAAGACTTTGCTCTTAACCATCAGCGCTCTTACTGAGAAGGGGAGGTCATCGCCTCTCCCCAAGCTGACTTACAGGACTGGAATCACAGGGCAGTGAACACCCAAAGCCTGAATGACTCCAACAAACCTCCCACCCCCTCCACCCCCACCCAGCCTCGGCAAAAGCAGAGCCAGCAGGGTCGTGGATCAACAAAGCCAGAAGGACTTTGGGTCATCTAAACCAAGCTTTCACTTCACATACAAGAAAACTGAGGTCCACAGTGGCGTGCGACTTGCCTAAGGTCACACAGCAAGTCTAGGGTAAACCTCGGTCCCGGCCATGGGGTCCTGGGAGTCCCCCTCCAGGTTGAGCCAGTCCCTTTGCCACTCCTTCCACCTGGGTGTAGACATGCCTTCAGCCACTCACTCCAGGGACATCTGGCCTTACCCCTCTCTGCTTCTCAGTTGGTCCCTTCCTAGAAGGTTCGGGGAATGGAGTAAAAGGCCCATTTTATCATAACCAGAGGTGTGGCAGAGAGTGGGGAAGGGAGAACCAAAGGAAAACAGGTGTGAGATTATTGGAAAGTCAAGCAGTCTCTCTGTTTCCCATGAAGTTTCTAATGCAGAATGGTCCTAATGATCAGAGAGAGAGAGAGAGAGAGACAGAGAGATAGTGCTGATGTTCCCATTTTGTAGGGAAGCTTTGAAGATGGTAGGGGAAGATCACACTGCAAATCTACAATCTTTCCCTGCTCCCCATGGCCACTGCTCACAGCTGCCCTGCCACCTGCTTGCTACACAGCTTGTATTATTATTAACAATAGCTACCACTCACTAAGGACTTAGCTCAGTACTGGACCAAGTATTTACATATGCTTCTTGTTTAATCCTCATAAAAACCCTAAAATACCACCACTATTCTCATTTTGTTTTGACTACTTAGTAACTGAAGCTCTAAGATATAAAGTAATTTGCTCAAGGTCACACAGCTAATAACCAGTAGAGCCAAGGTCTCCTGGGGACTCCCTCCAGGGGTGTGCCGGGCTTTGAAATTCATATACTGTATTTGTCTCAAGTTGTCTTGACTCTGGTGACAGAAGTGGGAGGGCAATGCATTGGGAATTCCTGGAGACCACCTGCTCCCATCACCCAGCCAAGCCCACTTCCTGCTACTCAGACACCAGCCCAGAACTGCAGCCACAGAATTGTGGGGTTGCAAGGGCCTGAGAAGTTAACTAGTTCTACCTTCTCAATGTACAGGGGAGGAAAGCAAGAAAGGGCCTTGCCCAAGGTCACACAAGGTCACAAAATTGGAGGCAGAGCCTGTAAATTAAACTCAGCTCTCTTGTCTCAAACTCGGACTCGTCCGCAACACCCTAATGCCCAGTATGAAGTTATTGTCTCATCTCAACTGAAGACAGAACCAGAGTTCATCCCAAAAAGGAGTTAGATTAGACTTTCCTATGGCAAGGACTGTCACATTGCACAGTGGGGTGCTCTAGGCTATTGTAGTGGAGATCTTTCTAAAACGAGACAATTCCTTCAGATCTTCCTTATCTGAGATGAATGCAGCCCTGTCTGGAGGTAGAGAGCAGACAGCATGACCTTGTGAGGTCCTTGACATCACCCTTTAACCTATGGTCATCTGTCTGTCACAGCGAACCTTTCCCTAGGAAAGAATCTGCCCTCTGCAAAGAGGATGTGTAATGCTGGAAAGCCCGCCTTTCTCCCCATCAGCTGGATTCTGAGAGTTGGGAGAGATGACCAATGAACAGGCTGAGGGTGTCACAGCCCTGCTACTTTGGGATGGGGGGTGCAGTAGGGGAGCTACAGTCTTCCCAGAGGCCAGGTCATTCTACCCAGCTGCACCCCATCCCCAACCTTTCAGTGGGCGACACCTGCAGGGTGTTGGGACTGGGAGAAACCTCAGATACCTTAAATTCCAAACCCCATTTTCCAGATGAAGATACTGAGGCCCAGAGTGGGTCAGTGAGTTGCCCAAGGTCATAGGACAGGTCAGAATGGAAGCTTTCCGACTCTCCCCGGGGCGCTGGGTTCACAGCTCCACCTTGCCACCCCCTGCCCCGGAAGTGAGCACTGAAGTCACTTAAGAGAGGCCAGTGACCAAAGGCAGCGATTCCCAGGTGCAGAGGCTGGGGCAGACGTGCCCATGAGCTTGTTCCCCCGCGCACCCTCCCCCACCTCGTCCCCATTCCTGTCTTGGTTACCATGTGCCTCCATCATCCTGAGATTCAGAGAGGTGCAGCGGCTTGTCGAAGGTCACACAGCACACTGAGTAGGGCCCTCGTTTCCACTGCCCAGCTGCCCCCTCCCATTGCCCACCCGGGCCTCTGCAAGCTTGCCAGGATCCCCGGGAGCCTGCTTCCTCCAATGCACAGAGCCGTGGCGCGTGTCAAAGTGTGGGAAAGTTCCTGGGAGAGGGAAGGGGTAGAAAATACAGCCGCTCATCTCAACCTTGGACGGCTGCGGCAAGGCAGGGGCGCTCAGAAAGGCAGCCAGTCCTGCGCACCGCCGGTGCCTCCGGCACACCCCACTCTGCGCCAGGGGCTCCCCAGGGTCGCGCGAGCATGTTCTTCCAGCTCCTCCTCAGCGAAGCAGGCGCGGCGGGGTCCCACGCGCCCAGCACCCACTTCTCTCCGCACGCCCACTTCATGCACCTCCCCGCGCCCTTCCCACGGCTTCTCTGCGGCGAGTCGCCTTTGCTTCCCCGCAGGTCCCCGGTCCCAGCGCTAAGGCACCGCGGCTTCTCTCGCCTTCTCTCCGCGTTGAACCCGGGCTCTCCGCGGGGAGAAATAGGTTGGGGGCGAGGGGTTCCCGAGATAATTCAGGACACCTCCCCGGGGTCTAGCCAGGTAATTCCGACGCCCATGGATTTCCGGATTACAGTTCCCACCGCGGGCTCAGTCCTACTCTTAGTTTATCCCGCGGTGAGCGCCAAGCCCCAAAAGTCGGAGTGTCACCGTTTGGTGACCCCGCGTCCGCCCGCGCCTCAGGCCCTGGAGGTGGCCACTGTCGGTCCAGGCACGGCTTCGCTCGGGACTACTGGCTGCCCTCGTGGGGTGCCCCGCCTGGGGTTCCCTCTTACCCTGGGACGTTCCAGGCGCGTTCAGCCTGAGCTGGTGGAGAGGGCGGGGGCGGGGGCGGCTGGGGTCCCGAAGTCCAGGTCCCTCTTCCCACTTCCCCGCCGGCCCTGCCGCTGCGGCCCTCGCTCCCGCGCTCGCTCGCTCTCGAGTCTCTCCCTCTCTCTCTTCTCTTCCTCTCTCTCTCTCTGCAGTAGTAACAACCTGATCCCGCTTCCCCCACCCGCCTCTTGAGATGCTCCTCACATCCGCCTGCACACAGCGCGTGCGGCCCCTCCGAAGGCGATCCCCGCAAACCGCGACGCAGGTCCTCCGCCCCAGGCAATCCCCGCTGCGGGAGAGGCCGCCTCCTGGCGCCCACGCCCCCCTTCTGCAGTCCGTACTGCCGGCCGAGGGGGAAATGGGCGACAGGGGAAGGGGAGGTGTGTGCGGGACGGACTAGGCTGGGGCAGAGGGGTTTAAACTGGCGCGGTCCTACAGAAGTTTGAGGAGGGCGGGGCCGGCTCCGAGCCCCCGGAGCCCTACGGGACTCCCCCGATTCTACTGAGGAGTCCCCGCCAGCTCCGTGCACTCCTGCAACACTCCCCACCCCACCCGCCAGCTCCGAGTTTACAGCCTCTCGGGTCCGGGGATTGGCTGGGGGAGGGGACGGGGGGGAGGGGACCCCCTGGCTGTAGGGAACGGCGTGCGGGCGGGGGTGGGAGGGAAACGATTTGCTTCAGGAGATAGGGATGAAGGTTTTCCTGAGTCAAGGGAGGGAGAAGAGAGGTGGAACAAAAGGCAGATGCTGGAGGGGAAGGGGAGCTGGGGAGCTCGCCCCGAGGGCTCCGGCAGCCCGCGGTCCCCTGCCTCAGTCTGTCCCAGAGGGTGAGGTCAAGGCTGGTGCCAGGGCTCTTCACCGGCCACCTGGAGAGGGGAGAAAGAGGGATGCAGGGGTACGGGGTTGGGGCAGAGGAGGAAGAGCGTCTGCTGGCACAGGACCCTCTGCCTGCTCTCAGATAGGAACCCAGCAGAAGGGCTCTGCCATGGACCCAACACCTCCCACCTCCGCAGATCTGCTTTCTCCCACTTGGGAAAAGCGAGGCTGACACCCACTGTGAGCACCAGGAGGGGCAGGAAGAACCGAGAGCCTGGGCAGCACTCCTGTGCCTCAGTCTCATCCTTGGGCCTCACCCTCAACCCCCAACCTCACCCGATAAGACCTCGGGGCCCCAGCTCGCCAGGTGGAATTTCTGCTGCTGTCTGGCCATTAACTGCCCCTGACCTTCCCAGCTCCACCTCACCCTCGCCCTCTCCCCTCAGCCTCTCCTTCACCCTCCATGCAGCTGCTTTCTGTTTGCCTTCTGCTCTGCACACTCAGGACCAGGACTCGAGTTTGGTGTTTGACCCAGGAAGTGACATTCCTCACCCACCAACCCACACACACAAAAATCCTGTGTGCATGTGTGTTGGGGGGGAGGGGCAGTCATTCAGGGCTTTCCAGGGCTTCTCATCCCCACAGAGTCTGGGGAACTGGGAAATTCCCAATACCCGCAGTGAATCCCCCTTCCTCCCCTCCTCCAGGCATCCCCCGCCCCAAGACAGAGACCTTACTCCAGAAGCCGGGGACTGCAGTGCTGCAGCAGCCGCGGCTCCTGGCCGGCATGGAGCCTCTCTTCAGAAGGGCAGCAGCTCGCTTGTCACAGACCCTGGACGGCAGAAAAGCTGATTCAGGGATTTCCGGGCGGCTCCTCCTGTGGGGGAGTGTGCATCTGCATACCTGGGTGTTGGGAAGGGTGTGTGCGTGTGTTCATGTGTGGGCTGGGGGAGAGGACCCATGCCTGAGACCCTCTAGTCAGGTCTGCTGATCCCTCACTGTTCTTCAGATGGAAAGGGGGAGCTGGGGTAAAGGGCTCAAGGTCAGATGCTCAGCAGGAGGGCACCAGGGGTTTCCCCCCACTCTGCTACACTCCGGTAACCTACCCCCACCACGTCGCCCCACACTGAGGAGGGGACCTGTCACCTGAGATGGGTGTGTGGGCTGAAGAGCAGTACCTGCTGCTCCTCTTCGGTTTCTCCCTGGGGAGAGAAGTGCTTCTGTTTTGAAATCTCCCCCAAACCTTCTTTTGCTAGAAGGAGGGAGGATGGGACTGAAATTTCATTCAGCAGGCTGGATTCAGGTTTGACTTTGGGGTTTCCTGATGCTAAGGGTCTGGGGCAGCATCCTGCTTGACAGGGAAAGCTTATGCCTTCACGATTGGAATGTAGTGCTGCTTAGATGAAAAGGGATGGATGAAATGACCCCCATGGTTCCTTCTGATAAAATGGACCAAGAGACGCCTGAACCTTATACAAAGCTGCCTCCAGTAAAACAAAATCTAGTTACAGAAAATAAAGCACTTCTGTAAGGTTATGTCTGCTCCTTCTGAAAATACCGTGTTTAATGTCTGTGCTGCCTCCAATGTGTCCTTTCCCCTCTTGGGTGGAAGTGGAATTCTGATGGCCTGTGGAAGGATTGGGTGACACTTGCACAGGCAGTGGCTGGGCCACAATGGGGGAGGATGGGAACACGGTGGGTCCCTGGAGAAAACACAGCTGTGCTTTACCCAAAGCCCCTTCAGGCCCCAGAGGACCCTTCCCCTGATAGGGATGACAATGACAGCCTGACAGTCTTAATTTCACTTGATTCTTATCAACTTTCCCAGGAGGCAGCAAGGCGAGGAAGGGATAATTCTTCACTCCACTGAGGCACAGGGAGCCCCCAAAGGGTGGATGACTCACCCAAGGTTCTCAGGTAGGTTCCTACCTTACCCTGGGGTTTTATGTTTCTATTCTCAACACTAACGTTTCTCATTCCTCCACAAGTTAAATTGCTCACTCCAGCCAACTGAAGCATGCTTTTCTTGACACAGTTAGCTCGAGGCACACGGTTGGTGTTAAAAAAAAAAAAAAAAAAAAAAAAAAAAAAAAAGAGCGTTATGTCAATTTCATTGATCAACAAAAGTGATGGCTCCACTGCAAATTCAAGTTGATAGTGCCTGGGCCTCTTGAGTTCAAGAGCCTTCTAGACAAAGGGCTCTGAGCTGAAACATGAGCATGCACACATATGCCTGTCGCTGGGTCTGATGAGATAATTTGCATACTTGGTTGTTATCCCTGAGCATTTTCCTGCCTCAATGCACGTGTAGCCAACACAATAATAATCATAGCTGATAAAGGCTAAAGCTGAGGACTTTCCTGAGCCAGGCAGTGGCTTTAAAACCTTTAAAGTGGCTTTTAAAACTTTAACAGCTAAAGCTGAGGACTTTCCTGAGCCAGGCAGTGGCTTTAAAAACTTTAAAGTTTTCACATAGACTCTCACTAAATAATTTCTGTTTTTCAGATCAACAAACTGAGACTATCACATTTGGGATTAAGTTAAAAAAAGAAAGAAAGAAAGAAACTGAGGCTTAAATACTTGCTTAAAGCAAGTATTTCACAGCCAGCAAGTGGCTAAGTTGGAACTTGAGCCCAGGCAGTCTAGCCCCGGGATCCTGTGCCCGGCAGAAAGGTGCTGGGTCAAGGGAGGAGGGGGCAGTCGGGAGCGCGCGCACGCTCTGGACTTGTGCACCCGCGGAAAAGGGTGCGCCGAGGGGGTAGGGGCGACGGGGACGGGGGCGGGGTAGGGGCAGCCTTTTCCCAGGCGGTAGCGGGGGCGGTGGTTCTGTTGTCCTGTTGCCCTTTTAAGCTGCGGCTTGACAGGGGCCGCGCCTCCTGTCGGTGGAGTCGGCTACAAAGGGAGCAGCCCCCCAGGCCGCCACACAGCTCCCGCCAAGACCTGGTGCCCCTTGCCATTTTCCAGCCGCGCTCCCAGGAGAGTGGAGGCTGCAGGAAGAGGCGGGTCTTTAGGCTCACAAGAGCTCGGCCAGGCGGCCCCGCGGGGTGGTCGTGGCCATGACAGCGGCTCCAGACGGCTCCCCTTCCACGCCCTTCCCGCCGGAGATGAGGGGAAGATGTCTGTGTCAAGATTCAAGGCCAAACTGAAGTTGCTGGCGTCTATCTTCCACGAGAACCAGGAGGCTCAGCTGCGGCTCACGCTCCACTGCAACATGAGGTGAGGCGCCCGGCGGCGGCCTCGCGGGGCAGGAAGAGGGCGGAGAGGGGGTGCCCGGAGTCCCGGGACAAAGGGGAACCTGCCCCGGCGAGGCTCCCCGCCCCTTTCTCCCGCAACTGGCCCGGCCCGCCCCGGGACTGCGCGAGGCTTGGGTGGGAGGAGGCGGCGGGCGCGTCTGTCTCTCCGGCTCCTCGCATGGGGCTGTCTTGGGGGCCACTGGCCCCTCTCAGCCCCCGTCGCCGCCCCCCGAGGTGGGAGCCCGCGGTGGCGGGAGCCCTCTCGGGACCCATGGTCGCCCTCAGTCAGCCGGCCTGCTCCGGGGACCGCGACAGGGCGGGGAATGGCGGCTTTTGAGCCCAGGCGGGGAAAGGCAAAGGCCTTTAAGATTTTCGGTGTTCGAAACCAGCCTGGCTAACATGGTGAAACCCTATCTCTACTAAAAAATACAAAAATTAGCCCGGCGTGGTGGCAGGCTACTTAATCCCAGCTACTTGGGAGGCAGAGGCAGGAGAATCGTTAGAACCCGGGAGGCGGAGGTTGCAGTGAGCCGAGATCGAGCCATTGCACTCAAACCTGGGGGATAAGAGCGAGACTTCTCTCAAAAAACAAAAACAAAACAAAACAAAAAAAAACAACTTTTTTTTTTTTTTTTTTTAGACAAAGCCTCACTCTGTCGCCCAGGCTGGAATGCAGTGGCGCAATCTCGGCTCACTGCAGCCTACGTCTCTTGACAGTCCACGGATTAAAGCTATTCTCCTGCCTCAGCCTCCGGAGTAGCTGGGATTACAGGCGCCCGCCACCACGCCTGGCTAACTTCTGTGTCTTTAGTAAAGACGGGGTTTCACCATGTTGGCCAGGCTGGTCTCAAACTCCTGACCTCAAATGACCCACCTCTGCCTCCCGAAGTGCTGGGATTCCTTCAATCCAATCAAGTTGACTCTGAGTATTAACCATCACAAGTGTCTTCAGAATTGTCATTCTTTTCTGCTGTGGCCTCCCTCTCCTGGTTTGCAGACCCATGCTCCGCCTGTGACACTAGGATGGGGAGGTGCTGGCAGGAGAGCTTTCTAGCTCCTGAGTTAAAAGGCAGAGATGGAGTCTGTTTTAAGATTTTGCTGCTGTGTTGAGTTATATTAAAAAACATTTTGTCTTTTCCCTCTGGTTTTCACACTCATAGTAAGAGGCCATCAAGATAGGCTTCTTATATGGGAGGGTGATTCTTACCAACTGTAGTTGGGACAAGAACGGTAAAGAATGTTAGATTCTTCTGGAAAAAAGTGGTCCCTCCATTATTTGGATTGGGTTTGTGGCCTTCTCAAGCCCAGCAGTCTAATTCCATCTGCTTTGTGTCTTCCGGCATGTCCCTGTAGTTTTGGTTCACTAAGGGTATTCTCCTTGTATCTGTTATTTTTCTGCTGCTGTGTCAGACTTATTCTGTTTAGTAAAATACTGTCATTTTGGTGGGATTTTGGAAAGAGGACCAGGCCACATCTTGAAATTCATCTTAGGATTTTACAACCCTAACTCACTTTTTGTTTTGATTAAATTACCCTTTTTGAGGGGTGGGGGCTCAGCTTTATCATTTGCAAAATGAAGGATAGTAACTGGGCTGATGGTTACAGATGTGGATGCGTGTCAGAATCACCTCAGAGAGCTTTTTAAAAACACATTCTCCCCAGCACTTTGGGAGGCCGAGGTGGGCGGATCATGAGGTCAAGAGATCGAGACCATCCTGGTCAACATGGTGAAACCCCGTCTCTACTAAAACTACAAAAATTAGCTGGGCATCGTGGCACGCGCCTGTAGTCCCAGCTACTTGGGAGGCTGAGGCAGGAGAATCGCTTGCACCCAGGAGGCGGAGGTGGCAGTGAGCCGAGATGGTGCCACTGCACTCCAGCCTGGCAACAGAGCAAGACTCCGTCTCAAAAAAAAACAAAACCAAAAACAGATTCTCTGGGTATGCTTTGAAATGAGCATTTCAAAAATGCTCTTTCAATCACTGATGCAACCAAAGTCTTTGGGACTTTTAGGCTAAGAATATATTCTTTAGATACCCAGAATAGTTTAATGTGGAGTATAACAATTTAGGGAAATGAAGAAGGGTTGAATTACATTTTGGAAGCTGCTGCTTGCTTCCTTTTTCCATTTAGTTTTTAGAAGACAAAGAATGTCTAAAGAGATACAGATTTAAAGCAAATATAAGTTAATTCTTCATGGGTATGTTTATCTACATGGCTTTCTCCAGCTGACTGATCCAGAAGAGTTCTAATACCCTCTGTGATCATGGGTTTGTTTTTCTTAAGAATTACTCCATCAGAGTATCTAAGAACAGATGCTTAGATACTGCTGAGACCTTTGTTGGTCTTACTTGATCTCTGAATCCTAGTTTTTTGATCTTCTACATATTCTGGGTTTTAACCTGTACTGGCCTTCATGGTTAAAGAAGCATTTATATACTGTGCCCAGGCCAGGAAGCTTATCTTTTGAACTTTGCCCAAACTGTGTATGAAGGCCCTTCTTAAAACCCCATTAAATTCATTTCTAAACTTGATCATTGTAAATTGTGTCAGTTGGTAAATTCTGTCTTGTAGGGAGGTATTTTGTAGTAAATAACATGTTTTTAAAACTAAAATTTGCCTTTTAGTAAGGTGGTAATCATTTCATAATTCTTAGTTTTGTCAAGTGTCTATAAATAACACATCTGATCTTTTAAAATGTAAGGCAATTGAATTTATGTAATGATTCAGGCTTTTCAAAGTTAAAAAGGTAGTTATTTTAAGGAATGGATAGTTTGTGATATTTATTTTAAACAAAATAAGCCATTGATCTTATACACATAGCCATGTAAGTAAAATGTTTTCTTATTTTAAATTAGATTACATTTTAACATTTTTTTCGGTTTTGCTTTGTATTTGACTGATTGCTTTTCTTTATTCCTAATTCTTTTATTCTTTGTTCCGTTTTTAAAAGCTGATAACTGTTGTTTGTCAAATCAAAGTTGGATTTAAAAATAAACATTTAATTTTAATAAGCTCTCTGCTAGTGGCACTGCAGTGACAGATGGTTGAGAGTTTGTCCCTAAAGCTATGGCACCGGTCTTCTAATTGACTCACCCTGTATTCAGCCTGTGTAGCCCTGGCAGATTCTTTCTCTGTTTCAGAATGGGACAACAGAAGAAGTGACTTCAGAGGAAGAGGAAGAAGAGGAGATGGCTGAAGTAGGTATTTTATATAAGAATGACATTTCATAAATGTCGTCATTTTTGATTTGAGGAATTCTCTAAATCTCCTTTGTAAACTACTATTAATGTGGAATAATTGAAAGCACATTGTATTTGGAATGGAATATAATTTCTCACCTCTGGCTTTACCTCTAACTGATGATACATCTTTGAGAAAATTGCTTTATCTGAATTCTTTGGATTTGATTTTCTGGAAAACAAAAGCTCTTAACTTTTAGCACCAAAGTTGTACTTATATTTAATACTAATCAGTCCTTAACCTGTATTTGGTTATTTTTAGGAAAAGGAACTACTAAGTTTAAAAAATGTTATGTTTGCATAAAAGGAGAATTTGAGAACATGTTAGGGACTACTCACCAGAAGTAGTGACACTGTCTCTTGTTGAAAAATCATCAAGGAATTTTCTCTTAGTCTGTTTTATGCTGCTATAACAGAATACCAGAGACTGGGTAATTTATAAAGAACAGACATTTATTTTCTGACAGTTCTGGAGACTGGGAAGTCCAAGATGAAAATACCAACATTTGGTGTCTGAGGGCCTTCTTGTTGCCACCTCACATGGTAGAAGGCAGAAGGCAGAAGGGCAGGAGAGCAAGCTAGTCCAATGTGTGAAGCCTCATTCATCAGGGCCTTAATCCCATTAAGGAGGAAGGAGCCCTCTTGGCCTAATCACCTCCTAAAGGTCCTACCTCTTAATATCATCACATTGGCAACACCTGAATTTTGGAGGGAACACATTCAAATGGTAGCAAATTTAGTAGAGCACATTCCAAAGACATTGAGCCTAGGCCAGTTGTCAGTCATGGGTCTAATTTTAGACATTTTCAGGCTCTGAAGCTTTGCATTTAAATTCAAACTCCGGAACAAAGATCTGTGTCTCTGCATTGACCAAATAGAAGGTATGTGAATTTTATGGTCTTGATCGTTTTACAAGATTTTTTCTGTTTGGGGTCTTATAATTAATATAGGCTTTCATTTTCTTGGTTTGGAAATTATTAATCTAAAATATACTTTACAGTGCTTCAGAACTAAAGAAGTAGTGTTGTGGGCTTGTTTTTGTTTGTTTTTTTTAAGATAGGGTCTCCTGTCACCCAGGCTGGAGTGGAGTAGCATGGTCACGGCTCACTGCAACCTTGAACTCCCAGGTTCAAGCAATCCTCCTGAGTAGCTGGAACTACAGGCGGGTGCCCCACGTCCAGCTAATTTTTTAAATTTTCTGTAGAGTTTGAGTCTCGCTCTGTTGCCCAGGCTGGTCTTGAACTCCTGGCCTCAAGTGATCCACCACCTCGGCCTCCCAAAGTGCTGGGATTACATGCGTGCACCACTGTGCCTGGCTGTAGGCTTGTTTTATAAGTCTGGGAGTAAAATACTTCTTAAAATTGTCCAATTAGAATGAGAGTTTAGGCTGGGCATGGTGGCTCATGCCTGTAATCCCAGCACTTTGGGAGGCCGAGGCAGGTGGATCATGAGGTCAGGAGATCGAGACCATCCTGGCTAACAAGGTGAAACCCTGTCTCTACTGAAAATACAAAAAATTAGTCAGGTGTGGTGGTGGGCGCCTGTAGTCCCAGCTACTTGGGAGGCTGAGGCAGGAGAATGGCCTGAACCCAGGAGGCAGAGCTTGCAGTGAGCTGAGATCACGCCACTGCACTACAGCCTGGATGACAGAGCAAGACTCTGTCTCAAAAAAAAAAAAAAAAAAAAAAAAAAAAGAATGAGAGTTTAATGTTTTTATGCAGTTTAGCTCAGGTAGAATAAAGTGCAAGAAAACATTGAACCTTTTCTGTGGGTCAGGAAGCCATTGTAGTAAAGATCATGAACCCTTTCATCTTCCCCTCACAAAATAATAAACAAGGGACTGCAACTTTGAGGGAAATCTAGAAAGGTAGGAGACTGGACTTTGGAGATGTCAGATTAGGACTGGTGAAAAGCAGATATTCTAGGCTCCTAAAATAACGTGGGAACAAGCCCAGAACAACCTTGGACATGGTGTGTTTGTGCATGGGATGCTTTTCTTTTGAGACGGAAGGTTGATGTGTTGAAGTCATGGAAAGTGTTCAAAATATTGTGAGAATTACCGAAATGTGACACAGAAACATGAAGTGAGCACATGCTGTTGGAAAAAAATGGTGCTGATCTACTTGCTTAATGCAGAGGTGCCAAAAACCTTCAGTTGTAAAACAAAAAACAAAACAAAAAAAACAAAAAACAATAATAAAAAAAAGGAAAACTGCAATATCTACAGAGTACAATAAAGTGAAGCAGAATAAAATGCAGTATGCCCGTATGAAAGATTATGATGTCGGTGAACAAACAGTTGTATGCCTTCCTTTCCAATGTGTATGCCTTTTATTGATCCTTGTTGCTTAATCACTTTGGCTAGGACTTCTAGTACTATGTGGGAAAAAAGGGACGAGTATGAGCATCCTTGCCTTGTTCTTCATATGAGGGGGAAAGCTTTTTACCATTAAATATGTTGGTGTCGGGTTGTCATAAATGGCCATTGTTAAGTTGAAATATGTTCTTATTTGTTTGTTTATTTTAACTAGAGATAGGGTTTCACTATGTTGCCCAGGCTGGTCTTGAACTCCTGGGCTCAAGCGATCTTCCTGCTTCAGCCTCTCAAAGTGCTGGGATTACAGGCGTGAGCCTTTCTGAGCGTTTTTTCATCATGGAAAGGATGTCAAATTTTGTCAAATGCTTTTTGTGCATTTATTGAGATGATGATATGTTGTTTATCTTTTATGCTGTTAATGTGACATATCACAATTACTGATTTTTGTATGTTGAATCATTCTTGCATCCCAGGGATAAATCTCCTTAATCATGGTGGTATGATATGGATTTGGTTTATTTGGCCCCACTAAATTTTATGTTGAAATTTGATTCCCAATTTGGTAGTATTGGGAAGTAGGGCCTCATGGCAGGTGTTTGGGGTCTCATGAATGGCTTGGTGCCATCTTGCAATAGTGAGTTCTCATCTTGCAAGACTGGATTGGTTTTTGGGGTAATAAATTAGTTCCCCTTGGAGTAGGTTGTTACAAATCCAGGATACCCCTTGGGTTTGTTCTCATTTCACATATGCCCGCCTCACCTTTTACCTTCTTCACCATGTTTTGACACAGCACAAAAGCCCTCAGGAGAAGCAGATGCTGGCATCATGCTTCTTGTACAGCCTGTAGAACTGTGGCCATTTTAATGCGGTATTGAATTTGGTTTTCTAGTCTTTTATGGAAGATATTTGGATCTGTTTTCATCAGGGTTACTGGTCTGTGATTTTCTCTTTTTTGTAGTGTTCTGGTTTGGCTTTGATATCAGGGTAATGCTGGCATAGTAAAATGAGTTTGGAAGTGGTCCATCATCTTCAGTTTTTTTGAAGCAATTGGGATATACTGACATTAATTCTTCTTTAAATGCTTGATAGAATTCAGTAGTGAAGCCATATGATTCTTGTGCCTCAGCCTCCTGAGTAGCTGGGATTACAGGTGTGCACCACCGCACCTGGCTAATTTTTGTATTTTTAGTAGAGTCGGGGTTTCACCATGTTGGCCAGGCTGGTCTTGAACTCCTGACCTCAAGTGATCCACTCTCTTCGGCCTCCCAAAGTGCTGGGATTACAGGCATGAACCACTGTTCCTGGCCCATAGACTTCTTTTTGATGGAGATTTTAAACAACCAAATTGATATCCTTAATCATTACTGGTATGTTTAGTTTCTCCATTTCTTCATGCTTTGGACTTGGTAAGATATGGTTTCTAGGAATTTACCTACTTTTTTAGGTTATCTTTTTTATGGCATATAATTGTTCATCATAGACCCTTATGGTCCTTCTTATTTCTGTGGTATTAGTTTTCAAGTCTCCACTTTGATTTATGATTTTGTTTATTTGAGTCCTGTCACATTTTATCTTAGTCCAGCAAAAGGTGAATTTTGTATGTCTTTTAAGAAACAACTCAGTTTACTTTTCTGTTGTTTTTCTAGTCCCTACTTCATGTTTTTCAGCTCTGATCTTTAAGATTTCCTTCTTCTTTCTAACATTGGAGTTTGTTCTTCTTTTTCTAGTGTTTGAGGTATAAGGTTATCTTACTTATTTAATATCTTTCTTTTTTCTTCACGTAAGATTTTATCACTAAAAGTTTCTCTCTTAGAATTGCTTTTGCTGTAGCCCATAATTTATTATTTATTTATTTATTTATTTATTTATTTTTGGGATGGTGTCTCACTCTGTTGCTCAGGCTGGAGTGCAGTGGCATGATCTCTGCTCACTGCAACCTTCGCCTCCTGGGTTCAAGTGATTCTCCTGTCTCAGCCTCCCAAGTAAATGGGATTACAGGCACATGCCACCATGCCCAGCTAATTTTTGTATTTTTAGTAGAGACAAGATTTCACCATGTTGGCCAGGCTGGTCTCGAACTCTTGACCTCAGGTGATTTGCCCACCTTGGCCTCCCACAGTACTGGGATTAAAGGCATGAGTCACTACACCCGGCCTAGCCCATAAGTTTTTGTATGCTGTGTTTCCATTTTGATTTGTATCAAGATCTTTTTAAATTTCCCTCTTGGAAAATTTACCACTTACCCTTTGGTTGCTCAGAAGAATGTTGTTTAATTTGCATATATTTGTGAGTTTTCCAGTTTTTCTTTTTATTGATTTCTAGTTTCATACCATTGTAATCAGAAGATATTCTTCATGCAGTTTCAATCGTCTTAAATTTGTTAAAACGTGTTTTGTGGCCTAATACTTAAAGTAATTTGGAAATAATTTTATATGTACAAGAAAAAAAGTCTTCTGTTGCCTTTTGACAGAATGCATTGTATATGTCTGTTAGGCCCTCTTTTTGTCTAAAATGCAGTTCAATTACAATATTTTCTCATTGACTTTCTATCTGAACAATTTGTCCATTGTTGAAAGTGAGGTATTAAAGTTTTCTACTATTATTGTATCCAGTCTGTCTCTTCCTTCAGATTTATTAATATTTGCTTTATATAATTTAAGTGCTGTAATGTTAGGTGCATATATATTTGAAATTGTTATATCCCCTGATGAATTGACCTGTTTATCATTATATGATGATCTTCTTTGTATCTTACGAGAGTTTTTGACTTAAAGTTTATTTTGTATAAATTTAGCTATTCCTACTCTCTTTTGGTTTCCATTTGCATAGAATATAACCTTCCTTATTTACATTGACTCTAAGTGTGTTCTTAAAGCTTAAGTGAATCCGTTGTAGGTACCATATTGTGTGTGTGTGTGTGTGTGTGTGTGTGTGTTCAATCCATTGAGCAGTCTATCTTTAGAGTATTTAAGCAATTTATATTTAAAGTAATTATTGATAGGTAAGCAATTACTATTGCCATTTTGTTAATTGGTTTCTAGTTGCCTTGTAGATTCTTTGTTTGTTTCATCCTCTCTTGCTATCTTCCTTTGTGAACTGATGATTTTTTTGTAATGAGTGGTATGCTTTGATTCCTTTCTCTTTTTCTTCTATATATCAACTAGAGGTTTTTGGTTTATGGTTACCGTGAGGCTTACAGGAAATACCTTTTAGTTATAAAAGTCTATTTTAAGCTTATAACAAATTTTCTTTGATCACATACAAAATCTCTATACTTTTACACCCCTTATTTTTTGTTTATGATGTCAAAATTTATATCTTTTTAATATTATGTATCCACAGACTATTGTATTTACAGTTTTGTTAATACTTTTGTTTTTAAACTTTAAGTGATTTACACACCATTACAGTATTAGAATATTCTGAATTTATTAGAGTATTAGAATATTATTAGAGTATTCTGATAAACTTCCATTTGTCAGTTTTATACTTTCATATGTTTTCATGTCATTAATTAGCCTTGTTTCATTTTATCTTGAAGAACTCTCTAGCATTTCTTATAAAGCAGGTCTAAAGTGGTGAACTCCTCAGCTTTTGTTTGTTTAGAAGGCTTTAGATCTCCATTTTTGAAGAACAACTTTTTTAGGTAAAATATTCTTGGTTAGCAGTATCTTTCTTTCTTTTACCAGTTTGAATATATCTATATAATTCTACTATCTTCTGGCTGTAAGGCTTCTGCTGAGAAATCTGCTAATAGTCTTATCAGAGTTTGCTTGTATGTGCCAAGCCTCTTTTCTTGTTGCTTTCAAATTTCTGTGTCTTCAATTTTTGACAATTCGTTATGCAGGTGAAGGATCCCTTATCTGTAGTGCATAGAATCGAAGTGTTTCAGATTTCAGATTGTTTTAGATTTTGAAATATTTGCATTATACTTACCAGTTGAGCATCCCTAATTTGAAAATCTGAAATCTGAAATGTTCCAATGAGCATTTCCTTTAAGCGTCATTTTAGTTCTCAAAAAGTTTCAGATTTTGAAGCATTTCAGATTTCAGGTTTTTAGATTAGCGATGCTCAACCTGTAATGTGACTTGTGAGGCCTTCTTTGGATTGAACCTTATTACAGATTGCAAGCTTTGTATACCTGAATGTCCAGGTTTCTCCCCAGACTTTGGAAGTTTTCAGCCATAATTTTTTTAAATAAGCTTTCTCCGCTTTCTGTCTTTGTTCTTCTTCTAGAACATCCATAATGCAAATGTTAGCTGTCTTGATGGTGTTCCACTAATCTCATCGGTTTTCTTCATTCCTTTTCATTCTTTTTAAAAAAAATTTTCCTTTTCTAACTGGATATTTTCAAATGACTTTTCTTCAAGTTCACAGATTCTTTTTTCTGCTTGATCAAGTCTGTTGGTGTTTTTATTGCATTTTTTGAATTCCATTCACTGTGTTCTTCAGCTCTAGGATTTCTGTTCAGTTTCCTTTTCATGATTTCTATCTATTCATTGGAATTCTTTTGTTGATTCCTATTTTCTGTTTTATTTAGTTGTCTACCTATGTTTTCTTGTAGCTCACTGAGCTTCATTAAAATAGTTATTTTGAATTCTTTGTCAGGCAATTTGTAGATCTCAATTTCTTTGGGAAAAATCAAGTTTTCTTGATTTTTCATGTTTCTTGAAGTCTTCTGCTGCTGTCTTTCCATTTGAAGAAGGAGTAACTTCCTTCAGTTTTTACTTACTATAAATACCTTCACCAACCAGATTGGTTAGTGATTATGAGGCTCTCTCAGACTTTTTCTGTGGATTCACCCACTCCACACTTCTTATCCATTTTGGGGGAGGGAAATGCTTAAGATTATACACTTTCTTTCAATCTTGCAAAGCTAGGCCAGGGCTGAGAGCTTCCTGTTTTGATTTTCTAGAGTGGTGCACTGAAATGCTCAAGTTTGTGTGTCTTCCTCCAACCCTGCATAGTTGATACAGATACCTGCATGAAGTGCTTGCATTTGCTGTTCACGCAGGTGCATTTAGGGAACCAATCTTGGGAGCGAGTTGTGCCAAACATTTTGAGTGCCCATGCACCAGTTCAGGGGGTCCAAACACAATGTGTTCCAAGTGCCTTATAGATGCACTTCCTGATGGAATCACAGAGCAGTAAATTAGATCCCCACCTCTCTTCCCTGTCACTGTTCTCTTCCAACCACTAAACCATACCAATCACCATTGTAGTTTGGATAAGATGAGAAAGTGGGTGTCTTGTTCAGTATCCTACAAAGCTGGGGGAGCTGGGCACTCATGAACCATGCTTGCACTCTCCCCACCCACCAGGAGAAATCATGGACTGCAATGATCTCTCTTGGCATTGAGCTATGATGCCTTGGAGGAAAGGTAATGCAGGTAAAGTGAAACTGTTTTTCTTATCTTTTTCAGTGCATCTATTCTCAGATTTTTGTTCTGATGGCGTGCTAAAACTTTATCTGCTGGATTCTTGGACCCCACAAAAGTGCTCTTATAGATAATTGTCAAGTTTGATGCTTCTGCTAGGCGATAATGGTAGAACGCTCTTATTCCACCACCGCGTGAACATCACTCTGCTTTCTCTCTTAATTCTGCCTTATTCTGCACATTAGCCTCATTTTCCTCCTTGGAGCTTGTGAAGGAATTGAAGATGCCAGAGGCATCAGTCTTATTTTATGTAAGGATGCTCCTAAACCACTAATGATAGGACCTAAAATCTATTGTTGAAGATTCTGAGATATACTCTCCGTCTTTTAGCTGATGACCTCATTCAGGGCCATCACAGCTTACAGGCCAAACTGTCTACTAAAAACATTAGGAAGTGTTAATCACATAGACCTCTTCTAGAGCTGTGCAGTGTGTGACCGGCACAGCCATATGCATTAGCCATGATACCCCCTACTTCATCAAGATACAGCAGTAATGATATTTAGTGTCTCTTATCTTTTCTACAATACCCTTGAATACCTGCCATCCTACATATATTTTATGAAATGGGAGACTGAAAGAATGTATTTTCAAAGTAATACACTTTATGTAATATGTGGTTTTTACATAAACTTATTTATGGAAAATTAATGAATTCAGTAGTAGGTTTTGACATTTTATTATTTTATCTGGTAGGAAAAAGTCCTTCTTTCTTAAATAAGGACTTAATTAGTCCTTATTTCTTAAGGCCTGGATTTGCAAGATTGCTTTCAAAATTGCTTCATGCATATTTTTATATTTTCAATTCCATATGAATTTTAAAATCACCTTTCAATTTTATTGTGCTTGTATGAAAGTTTTGGGTTAACTTCAAGACAGCTGACTTTTAACAGTTAAAACTTTCCAACTAAAAATGTGGCTTTTCTCTCAAATGACAAGCTTTGTATAATTTCTTATAGCTTCCCTTCTTGTTTTCTCTTCAAAAGATTTTTAGAATATTTTTGTTATGATATTATCTTTAGATGAAGGTCAATTTGTATCTTCTTCTTTTATATTTTTAGCTTGGTGGGCCTTTTCTTGAAGACACTTGTCTTTCTTTAACATTGAAATACATTTATCCATTGTTTTAGGCAATTTGTACCTCTCCATTTTCTTTGTTCTCTCTTTTGGGAACTCGTTTTAGTCAAACTTTGGGCTTCCTGCTTTGATCTTCATTAATCCTTTAGTCTTTGTTCTAGTGTTTTTAGTGTCTGAAGTACTTTTTAAGGTTATCCATCTGGGTATGCTAGAGAATGCTGGTCTGGGTATATGTTTTACATGGGCATATGACAGAATCAGCATTACCTCAAATGGTCAAGCTGCCTTTCCTGTGTTGAGGACACAGAGTTTTTACCTGGAAAAAGTATGGAGACAGAGGAGCAAGAGGAGCCTGTGCTGAGCACTTTCTGTTTGCCCCTCCAGACTTACAGTTGACCTTTCTCAATTCACATCTGCCCTTTGGGAGGCTGACCATATCTGTGGGCTACTTCATCTTTGGGCTTTCTGTGGTGCCCTGGAAGAAGGTAAGAGTGTGGGGCCGTAACATTGGTTCCTCCCACTCTCTCTCCACGTGGACAGCCCAACTGCCTCCTCTCAGGCCTCCCTCTCTGCCAGACCTCTGGCGCTGGCTTTCTGCAGTTGCTCCTTCCCTTGCCCTTTTGGACCCAGAGGTTGTAATTATAACCCCAGCGTCACCTCTCAGGATACTGTATTATCCATCCCTGTGATTTTCCCACCCTGGCCCATACTTGCGTAAAAGTCCTTTTATTATTCTCAAATAATTTAAATTGCATGTTCCATGTATTTCCTACAGGTACTCTGAAAAATATAAATGCCCGTAATCCCAGCACTTTGGGAGGCCAAGGCGGGCGGATCACAAGGTCAAGAGATTGAGACCATCCTGGCCTACATGGTGAAACCCTGTCTCTACTAAAAATACAAAAATTAGCTGGGCACTGGGCTGGATGTGGTGGCTCGCGCCTGTAGTCCCAGCACTTTGGGAAGCCGAGGCGGGTGGATCATGAGGTCAGGAGTTCCAAGACCAGCCTGGCCAAGATGGTGAAACCCCATTTCTACTAAAAATACAAAAAATTAGCTGGGTGTGGTGGTAGGCACCTGTAATCCCAGCAACTCAGGAGGCTGAGGCAGAGAATTGCTTGAACCTGGGAGGCAGAGGTTGCAGTGAGCTGAGATGGCGCCACTACACTCCAGCCTGGGTGACAGAGTGAGACTCCATCTCAGAAAAAAAAAAAAAAAAAAAAGGGTGGCATCTGCTTGTAGTCCCAACTACTCAGGAGGCTGAGGCAGGAGAATCACTTGAACCCAGGAGGCAGAGGTTGCATTGAGCTGAGATTGCCCACCACACTCCAGCCTGGCAACAGAGCGAGACTGTGTCTCAAAAATTAATTAATTAATTAATTAATTAATTAACATAAACAACATGTAATAGAGAGGTTCAATAAGGCCAAAAGTGGTTCCTTTCAAAATTTGAATGTAACATACCAACACTGACCTAAGACATATTAGACATTAATAATCCAATGGCTAATAAGAAAATACATTTTTTTTTTTTAGATGGAGTCTCGCTTTGTGGCCCAGGCTGGAGTGTGCAGTGGCGCGATCTCGGCTCACTGCAACCTCCACCTTCCAGGTTCAGCCAGTCCTCCCCTCTCAGCCTCCCAAGTAGCTAGGATTACAGGCATGCACCACCATCCCTGACAAATTTGTTTTTGTATTTTTAGTAGAGACGGGGTTTCATCATGTTGGCCAGGCTGGTCTTGAACCCCTGACCTCAGGTGATCCACCCTCCTTGGCCTCCGAAAGTGCTCGGATTACAGGTGTGAGCCACCATGCCAGGCCTAGAAAATACATTTTTAAATTAAAAATATTACTTCTGCAATATCTCCAGACCTAGAGGCTTCACCAGTAAATTTTGCTAAATATATAAGAAAGAATAATACCAATCTTATTACTCATGAAATTGATAAATACCAGTGAGCTTGACTGAGGAAAAAGGGGCAAGGACACAACCAATGACAGAAATAATACATGGAATTCAGTATAGTCTTCTAAAACATTACATAATGGTAAGACGATGTTATATACAATTTTGTATCTTGCATTTGAAAATGTATATGAAAAAGACATGTTCCTAGAAAAATAAAGCTCATTAGAACTCACACTTTATCTTCCTCTTCTCTCTCTGTTTCTTTGTTTTGTTTTCTTTTGTTTTGTCTTCTTTCACTCAGACATATAGGAGGTCCAGGCAGCATGAACAGCTCCCTGGTCAGAGACACATGGATTTGCTCACTGGTTACTCAAAGCTGATTCAAAGCCGATTAAAGCTGCTGCTTCATCTGGGGTCCCAACCTCCAGTGGGAAAAACATTCTTCTTTTCCTGCTGGTGTCACCCACTGTTCCACGGATCCAAAACAACACCCAATGTTTGGTACAAATTTAGTGAAACAGCTCTTTCCATTCTTAACTCATGCCAAGCATCTCAGCTTGGGGTCAGGAAAATGCCAGGGGACATGAGCTCTTCTCCTAGAGTTAGAGAATTCTCTGCCTTAGTTGCAATAAAGGAAAAGATACACATTCTTCCTACAAATGCCAAAGTAGGCTCAAAATTTGGTTCCTAGAGTAGAGTATTGAAGTCGTGGCAAAGATCTTTCCAGTGATCAAAGCAGTGGCTCGTTATGTTCCCTCAGACTGAAGCTACAGTCTCATCTTCACTTTCTGTTAGCTCCCTCCATCCTCTGCGTAGGCCCACACCTGCTTCTTACAGTTGTGTGGATTATAGCACCTCCTCTCCAGCCTCAGGACCTTTGTGAGTGCTGCTCCTTCTTCCTTGACTGCTCTTCACCAGGGATCCTCAGGGCACAGCCCTTACCTCCTGCAAGTCTTGACTTAAATGTCACTTTCTCAGGGAGGCCCACACTCATCACCATTTCACACCCACCTCCCACATGACCTTATTTTACCTGTTCTCTCTTCTCCTCTTTTTTTTAGAGTACTTATGATCTCATGTGGTACATTTTGGGGTTTTTGGTTCTTCTGTATCCGCCACTGCCATGATCAGTTAGAATGTTGGAAACCAAGGAAACTTGGTTTTTTGGCCTGTGATGAAAACTATGGGGTCTAATAGTATCTGATAAAGTGGCAGACCCTCAATTATTATTTGCTGAGTAAATGAATGAAGGTGTGTAGACAACTAGCTCTAGAAGCTTAAATGAGTGATACCATGTTTTATAACATTGGAAGAGGCCGGGAATGGTGGCTCACGCCTGTAATCTCAGCATTTTGGGAGGCCAAGGTGGATGGATCTCTTGAGGTCAGGAGTTTGAGACCAGCCTGGCCAACATGGTGAAACCTTGTCTCTACTAAAAATGCAAAAATTAGCTGGACGTGGTGGCACACGCCTGTAATCCCAGCTACTCTGGAGGCTGAGGCACAGCATCACTTGAACCCAGGAGGCAGAGGTTGCAGTGAGCTGAGATGGTGCCACTGCACTCCAGCCTGGGCAACAGAGTGAGACTCTGTCTCCAAAAACAGAAAAAAGAAAGGGGGGGAAGAAAAGAAGAAGGAAGAGGAAAGGGAGGAGGAGGATTTATCATTCACTTACACTAGAAACAGTGAAAATAGATAATAGCTATAATTTACTCACATCTTATCTAAAACACAAATTCAGGGTAATTTATGAGCAAGTCATTTTCCGGTGGGCTTTCGATAGTGTGTGAATTTGGAATGAATGCTGGTACTTCCAGCTCCCTTCCACCTGCAGCACCAGGAAGCCATTGTTGTGGGGAGGCCACCAACTTGGCTGGCATGTTGCTTCTGCCTCAGTTAGTGATGATGGTGATTTGGAGAGAAAGGACACTCTGCTAGGCTCCAAATCCAAAGGATCAAGTGGATAAATGAAATGAATATCTAAATAAATATCAATTAGGTCAAAAGTTTGTTTTCATCTAAATGAAATCTGAACACTACTTAGGGCTATGAAACATAGCCAGAGGACATGGCCAGCTCTGGAGTGGGGCCTGGACTTGCTCTCCCCTGCTGGAAGTGCTTTTCCTCCCAGAGCTCAGAGCACCATGTGCGTGTGACCCCTGCCTTTTCACAGGCCATTGCCACAGGGCATCTCCCTGGTCCACCCGCCCCAAGATGAGCCAGCCTCCCACTCAGGAAGTGGGTGGGGAAGGGAAAGAAAGACAGAGGAGAGAGAGACAGTCACACACAGGCAGTGGAGCTCCCCTGCACCCACCAGGGAGCTTGAGCAGCTCATCTGCAGAGCAGGGAAACATTTTTACTACCATTGGGAAGACGCTGAGCAGAGAGGTGAGGGGACAGCATTTCTTGTCTCCCTGTGGCTTGTTCCACTCACAGTTCAGTTTCTCCTGTTCTTGGGGAAAAGGAGGGAAACTGTATTAGTCAGGGTTCTACAGAGAAACAGACCCAATAAGATGTGTGCATGTGTGTGTGTGTTTATATATGTTCACAGAATGTATATATGTGTATATATATGTATATGGATAACTGCATATATATATTATTTATAGAGAGAGAGAAGAGCAGGAGACAGAGATAAAGAGAGATTCATATAAAGAATTATATTCATAATTTATATAATAATTTGTTCCTTTAATCATAAAGTCTGGCAAGTCCAAAATCTGCAGGGCAGGCCAGAAGCCTGGGCACCCCGGAAAGAGTTGCATCTAGACTCTGAAGACGGTCTGGAGGCAGAATTCCCTCTTTCCCAGGGAATTCCAGTCTGTTTTCTCTGAAGGCCTTTACTGACTAGATGAGGCCCCCACACACATGGAAAGCAATCTGCCCTACTGAAAGTCTACTGACTTAGAGGTTTAGCTCATCTAAAAAAATACCTTCATAGCAATTTCGAGACTGGTATTTGACCAAATAGCTGAGTAGGTTGGCCTAGCCAATCTGACACATAAAATTAACTATCACAGAAACAAAATAATCAATATAGGTAATAACTGTGCCAGAATGCTGTGATGTTTCAGGATGACCTTGTTTACATTTACATTTATTGTCAAAACTTACCTTCTCTTTTTATATGGGCAATTAAATCTGCTACTGAGGGTATCAAGTACTGATTTAATTTACAATCTTAATAGATAAGATAGGTTCCTATTTTCTCCTCTCCATAAAAGTAATAAGTTTGGAGAAACCAGGTCGGAAATACCTCTCCAGATTTTAAAGCATAACCTCTTGTTTGGAATAATAAGTATGTAAATAAGCACCATAAAATATGAAACCAAACATTTCATCATTCTTTTATATACATTATCCCTTGCATTTTTAAAAAATAAGGAACACCTTATTAGCCATATTTTCAAATGGTGAAACCAACACCCCCAGCTCAGACTCTGCCGTGGTAGGCTCCAGGGTCACTGATACCAGATCCCATGGTATTTTCACTATATCCCACTCTTTCTTTGCATGTGGCTCTTTTTTAGCTGCATTGCGGGTAAACAGGTGTGGCTCTTTTCAAACCAATTCCATGCATATGTGAAGAAAATTGATCCTGAAGTTCCTTTTGCCAAAGATGCTTATGGAGAAGTGTCTGTGTCTGGACAGACAAAAGTGTCCATTTTTGCCTCGAAGCTTGGCAAAATTGAAATTGATGATGGGGAAGCTAGAAATACTTCAGTCTACATTTCGAATCCCAGCTGCGGGGAGGCTGGTTGAGGATTGCCCATCCCTCAGTCTGGGCTGGATTCTCCCTCCAGTCTCTGGGGTTCTCTTTTCTATTCACAAGAGGGTGCTAATGAGATGGTTTAATCTCTATACCCTGTGGTCCACAAATACAAGATGCCAGCGTGGCCAATGGGGCTTCCATAAGAGTGGCAATCAGGGGTCTCAAGCTTACCATGACGTTTTGGGCCCTGGAATCAGATCATAGTTCTACAGTTGTCCTGGCACTAGAACTCATGACAAGGTTGTGACTAGACAGAAGGAGAGAAGGCTGGAGGCTGACAGGAAGCAATGTGAACAAATGCCTTCGCAGGATGCATGGGTTTGGGCAACAGATGGTCAGGGGAGGTGCTGGTGCAGACGGGCTCAGTAGCAAAGCAATAACTGTGGATGGCCATTTTATGGCTGCAGATCACAGCACATTTATAAAAGATGTGTGTTTCATGAAAATGTGCATTTCATCGTGGAAATACTGTGGTTGGAGGAGATTTCTCAAAGCTGATAAATAAGTGTAGGTGACTTAACTTGCAAAAGATGATCATATGTGAGAACGGATGTCTCAAATTAGGAAATAACTTGTTAAGTAAAAAAGCCTCATGTATTGATTTGAAGAAAAAGATATTTTGGTGCTCATCAAAATAAAAGTATAATAAGCTGAAGGGCTGCTTTTTTCTGTAAACATAATTTTGTATCACCAGTTTTATTTTCAACGAGGACTTGAAATTCAGAAAAAAAATTAAAGCAGAGAAATGGGAAAAGGGCAAAAAAAAAGGACAGGAAAATAAAGCCAGAAAAAGGCAAATGAGTACAGAAAAAAATAAAGTATCCACTCAGGTTCTGGACACTTTGTTAGAACTGAGAACACACAGATCCAGAACTTCCTAGCAGTTAGTGTAAGTAGGAAATATCACTGTTCATATAATTCAAAGGGTTTTTAAGACCCAAAGAAGCATAGATATCTAACTCTGAGATCTCACAGTTCTCTGATGGTTCTAATAAGGAGGACATGGTATGAACAAATTATGCCTTACTGTTCGCTGAGGTTATATCAATGCCCGAACATTTCATCCAGCAAAGCAGTCACAACTAAAAACAGGTACATGATGGTTGCAGACAGCTTCTCAGTAGCCCAGAGAGTGAGAGCTCACCAGGGCAGAAGGTCCCTGAACCAGAGGCTGGCAGTGCACATGTGCTTTGGTCAGAGGAGAAGGACAACCATGCCCCACGGGGCTGAGGACCCAGTGGCTGGAACAAAGACATGATCCCAATTTTTTTGATACCTACTTTCTCACTTTGCCTTTGGGCCTCCACGGAGCTCCTGTGCAGCTGGCTGGACCATGGCCTATGTACAATGGCTGAGTCTACACACAATCAGAAAAGCAGCCTGAAACTCTGTGGACTGTGTCTGCTTTATTCTCAGCAGGATTAATGACCCTCATTGAATTCCCATCGCCTCAAAGCTTGGCAAAATTGAAATTGATTATGGGGAAGCTAGAAATACTTCAGTCTACATTTCAAATCCCAACATAACCTGAGTAAGGGAATTGCATGCTTTTCTCATCGAAAGCTCAAATAACTTAGTAATGGTTCAAAATTGTCTCCTACTGGCTTCTCAATTTAGCACACTAAATGGTCTTAGAGATCATTGCTCATCTTTGGACTAAGGCAGGCACAGTAATACATGTTCATTCTTTTGGCCTGAGCTATTACAGTAGCCTCCTAATAACTTATCTTCATCATCCTCTTTTCACTCATTCTATACTGGGCACCATGTCTGATCATTTTTTTTTCTGATATTTGGATCAGTTCTATTAAACTGATAACCCTGTGATGTCTTTTTTTCCCTTCAATAGATCTTTAAATTCCAATCCTCACCCTAATCTACTCTTTCCCAATATAGCACCGTTATTCACACTGCTCCCAAAATCTATTCCATCCTCTGACTTCTCACAATTTTTTTTTGTCCTAAGACTCCATGATAATAGAGAAAAGAATTTTGGTCTTCACAGAATGTATTGACTTAATGATATTCCAAATTTCTCTTGGGTGTCAAATATATTCCTCACCAAATATGACTGAAAGAAAACTCTATTCACCATGAATTTAAGGATCTCAAAATTATAATATCTTCTCCACTCTCATAATTCCACAGCCCCTGCTGTTACTATAATGACCTATATTGCAAAAGAGTGAATTCAATTAGAGTCCAAGAGGAAAACTGCTGGTATTTTTTTCATCTTTTGCCATCCCATACTTTATAAAGTGCAGTTAGACCCCCTGTTTGCCTCCCAGCATACCAAAGTTATGTAGATTATTTTAAATAAAATCTACTGAAAGCATGCATTTTTAAGTACCCCTTTTGTGTCCCCTAAATTACAGAGGATAAAACCAGCCATAGAGGCAAATTCCTTTAGACCTTCTCCTAGAAACAAACACTATCCATTACATAAAACCTTCAATTGCAAGGACAGTTCTGTAAACCATGATATTTGATCCTGGAAGCTTCCTAGATTGAACACAAAGAAGAGGGTACAGTATTTACATACCTCCAGCTTTAAGCTGTGTGCCTGGTGTTTTTCACTCCAAGGTGGTTGAGCATCTCCCTCTACACTGCCATCTACCCCATTCCTCATCACAAATGTCAACTCTGTCTGAGCTGCCTTCCAAAGTAAGCAGAGAACTCAGGACTGGGAAACCAGATGGGGCTGGCTTGGGAAGTGTGGCCTACCTGTTCCCTCCATGACCAAGCACAACACTGTATGTGGGGAATGAAATGGGACCAGGTCCCAGAGTACTGGGGAAACAGAACCTCATATCCAATGAGGAGTTCGGGCAGGCAGGTCAAAGATGGACCTGAGACCAACTCACTGTGATGGGTGTCAACAGAAAAGAAGACATGGCCTCAGAAGAGATGCTCCCTGAGAAGCTGGGCCACTTTCTCATGTGACTGCAGAGTAATCCATCCCTGCGTGGAGCTGACAAGGCACCAAGCTGCTGGGCATGAGACCCTTCACATATCCTCTCTGATCTTCTCGATTAGCTCTGAAGTCTCTCTGGTTTGAAACCTCATGTCACTTTTTTGGTATGTCTCTGTGGCATTGGACATCTTCTGCCTCATATTAGATGCATTGTGTAGTGTTTACTTATCCCTAATTTGCAGCCGCTTATCTGAGCATAGACACTAGACCACTCCATCTTTGCCTCTATAAATATCAGGTGTAGGACCTCGTACTTGACAGGTGCTCATAAGATATCTTTCTCTCCCTTTTTTTTTTTTTTACTTGAGTTCAAGTGATGAGGGTCTAGTAATAGGTATTGCTAAGCAGAGCAAATTCAAATAATTGTTTAGAAAAGTATTGATGACTGTATCTGATTAAGAGTATAAAAAATGGGGGAGGAGCTATGCTGAGCCCCCAATTTTAAGTTAGAGACAGGAGAATTCTGATGCCTGCCACAATTGATATCTTATAATGCTGCATTTGCAAGCTTAACATTCAATCGTTTTTCATTTAGAGTCCAAAGCAATCATTGACCATGGTGCCTGGGTGTTGGCTGTGAAGCCTGAATTCTAAAACACAATTGTAAACGTATTTTGCCTTATATTGAGATAAGCACATACAATACTTAAGACATGCAATATTTTAAAGAAATACAAAAAAATTGCTAACTGGCCACATCAGTTCTTAACTTTTTTATTAACCAGAACTGGTTTCCTCTTGCTGTTAGTTCCAGAAGAAAAGATTAAATCAGAATAGTTCTATATGTTTTACCTTGTGTATTAGGTATCAATTGTTGCACAACAAATCATCCCCAAACATACAGGCTTAAAACCACCATTAGTTCACAGTTTCTGTGTGCCAGGAAACTGGATATGGCTTGGATGCATCTTCAGCTCTGAATCTCTCACAAGGTCACCATCCAGCTGTCAGCTCAGACTGTAATCTTGTCTAAAGGTTTAATTGAGCAAGGAGCCACTCAAACTTAACTCTTGTAGAGTTGGCAGGATTCAGCCCCTTTCAGGTTATTGGACAGAGGGCTCAGCTCCTTGCTGGTTATTAGCTGAGGCCACCTCAGTTCTTGACTCTGTGGGTCTCTCCATTAGGAAGCTCACAGCATAGCAGCTGGTTTCCCTCAGACTGAGCAGAGAGCAAGAGAGAGTGCTCAAGGCAAAAGACACTGCCTTTTTGTAACTTAATCTCAGAAGTGACATCTGCTGTGTTCTGTATGTTAGAAGTGAGTCACTAAGTCCAGCTGAAACTCAGGGGAGGGCTTGCCTACCAGGAGGCAGGAATCACCAGGACCCATCAGAGACACCGTCTACCCCAGTCTGTGCTCGGGTCCTTCATGTCTCTCCCTCCTGAAATTTGATAGATTCTGCAAAAGAAAAAGCCTTGATCCACGCTGCTTTCTAGAATGTTGTAGTGAAAAGCAAGTCAGTGTGGTACATTCAGAGTAATTTTATAATTTTATAATTTAAAAATAATTGACATTACTCCCAGCATTACCAAAGTTGCCAAGATCAGCTTTTAAATGCTCACTTAGGTCATTTGTGTTTAATGCATTGAGTGTGTGCTCAATCTTCATCCCAAGACAGAGGGATTCAGATAACTGGCAAATGATATGAAGGAAAACCTTTCTGGAGTAGTCCATCTGGAGGCCACGTCAGGACTAGCCTCACAGGTAGAGTACAGGCATTCTGACTTTGGGAGCATTAAAAAGAGCATCAAACCAAATTATCTGATTCAGCCCTATATAATAGCCTACATAAGCCCCAAAGATCTCTATTTTAAATTAGAAATAAAGTTAATGTTTCACTTGAACATTCTGCAGGAAAGTGGTATGAGATCAAGGTATTATTAACTATTAACAACTGGCTGGGCACAGTGGCTCACGCCTGTAATCCCAGCACTCTGGGAGGCTGAAGCAGGTGAATCACCTGAGGTCAGGAGTTCAAAACCAGCCTGGCCAACATGGCGAAACCCTGGCTGTACTAAAAAATATAAAAATTAGCTGGTCATGGTAGTGTGCACCTGTAATCCCAGCTACTCGGGAGGCTGAGGCAGGATAATCATTTGAACCCAGGAGGTGGAGGTTGCGGTGAATCAAGGTTGTGCTGTTGCACTCCAGCCTGGGAGATGAGTGAAACTCCATCTAAAAAAAAAAAAAAAACCGAAAAACTATTAGCAACTTAGCATGAAGCACTCTGTCACCTGATAAGAACTGAGAAAGTGTAGCACAGGACAGATCAGGTTTGTCTTGATGGAAGAAAGGAAAGAGGAAATTACTGATGGTAATCTTGAGCCGAGCACAGAGAAAGGCAAGAAGGGATGGCTCTGGTTTCAAACAATCCATGTCTGATTCCTCCCAAGCCCATTCTTTGTTATCTATTGTAATGTCAATACTCATATTAGGTAGGGAGTTCCCTTTAATGACCTCTAAGGATTCTTTCAGCTGGAAGAGTTGTATCCATTCATCTGCTAATCTTCTTCATCAAAGGACAGTTGGAAAGGATGCGGCATTACTCCTTACAAGAAGGTGGAAGTCTAATTTTTAAACTATGAGCTTTTACCTTAATGTGAGCCATTTCTTTTTAAGCTAGGCATTTACATGTACTCCAATATAATTCCTTAGTAGAATACATTTATTTTTGGTGCAAAACAAAATTATTTAGTCCAGAGACACCCTTCACTGGCAAAGAAAGACATTCATTGTGCAGTGCAGTAATTCAGAGAAATATTACTTCCAAGTCTTTTTAAAGTTAAAGAAGAATGTTTTAGGGCCCATTTGAAAAGTGCTATTCATATGAACTTGAAGGTCATTACTCACAGATAATATTCAGGAGAACTCCTGTCTAGGCTGAGAGCAGCCACTTCTGTGCTGTTTCAAGTTTTCAGAAACCATGGTACTGTTACTCCTCTATAAGGTAGAAAAACCATATCTAACATATTTGATTTATTCCAAAAACTCAGCAAAATCGATTTCTTTTTCACTCTTTGGAAGAAAGTACAGAATGAGGAAAATCACTTCTTAAAAAATTCATCAAAATAACTATGTTAAGCCCTTATGATTTCCAGGCCCTGAGCCCGGTTCTGGAGTCATAGAGTTTAGAAGAAAAAGATGGAAATATGCAATCCAGTGGGACTTCCTTTATCAAATGAACGCAAGGGCCTGATTTCTTTGGTAGATAATGCGTTCAACTAAACGGATCTCTTTGAGATGAGGATATTAGCTGCGCTGCACTGTCTGTACAATTGTGTCTGTACCTGGAGGAGTTTCCACAGCAGCAGAGCCTGAGATTCTATGCATTTTAGATTTAGAAACCTCATTATACCAGTTCCTACAAGAATAGGTCTCTGAAAGGACGAATCTCACAAATCAAGCTCATAAAAAATGCATAAACAATGCTTACATCATTTATAATGAGAAGATGTTCATTCCCAGCAATAGGGCAGAGCAGATAATTGAGTATCTCCCTAGTGCAGAACATTCAGAAGTACTGGATACTGTAGCAAACAGTTTCAAATGGAGAGCTGAAATTCCAACAAAGTCCCAAGACCACATTTTAAGACGAATCTGCAAACCAGAACTGTAAAGCACATGAGTGGACCTCACTGACATCTTTGTTTTATAGTAGGAGGTGGTGCTCTGGGCTGCATCAGGTAGAAATTAGACCTAGATCCACAGTAAGCCTGTCCTATATGCTGACACTGCCCCTCCCTCCCAGTAAGCCAGAGACTAGAAAAACATTCAACCTCCTGTGGGTTCAGAGAAACAACAGAGAGCCTGTTTGACTGATCGCAGGTTCTAGGTGGTAAAGTCTCCCCTAAGAATTTATAGGCAAAGGCTGATGCCTCCAGTGTATTCACGTGTGAATTCATGCTCTCCTTGTGGCTTGGGAGTGGACAAAGTAAGACACTGATAGGAATTGTTTCCTGGATGGTAATACCACTGTGACATTGTTGTGGGAAGCAAGCTCTGAGACAGAGACTGACATGCAGGAGAGGGATGAGGGAATGCTCTTGGAATCTCCACCTGGAAGTGAGGAGTAGAAAGCAGGACTGGGACTGGGCCGAGGAAGAGGGCAAGACTCAGCCAGCCTTGCAGGGAGTTCTAAAGATTACGTGGCTCTTAAGAATTATCTGGAGTAGGGCGAGAGGCGAGGCCCTTAGTGCTCCAAGTGAATCAGTCTCGGGATGCTCTGGGAGGGGGCCATGACCTTGGGTGGTGGGGCCATGTCGGAAGGGCTGGCACCTGACTGCACTGTCAGATGGGGCAGGCAGTAAGTCCTTACTCCTGAAAGGACTGTCTGTCCAGGGCTTCTGCTGGCAGCACTGTCAGTCTCGGGGCAATAAGCCCTTTACTCCTGAAGGGATATCAGGGTGGCCATCACTGTGTCACCACAGGGTTCTAGCAGAAGCAAACACAAGGCAGCTGTGAAGGGCAGGCCCTCCACCTAGGATTCCAGTTGACCCATCTAGCAGGATAAAGATAGAAAATGATGGCAGTTCTCGTAACTACAGCATAATTAATTTCAGATTTAAAAAACCAGGTGAAGCTAAAATACCAGATTTTAAATAATGGAACTTGAAAGGGAGCTGATTAGAATTCATGAATCCTAAGGTCTTTGAATTATCCTGGTTAACTGGTGGAATTAAAACTGTATAGTTAACTATATGTATTAAAATATGAAAGGGAATCTTCAAAAATAGGGAAATAAAATGTATAGCTCTCCAGCAAGATACTAAAAAGCAAAAACAGAAAAATGAACATAATACATAGCATATAATAAAAAGAATGGAATACATCTAAATGTATTGGTAAAATAATAAATATAAACGATCAAAAGATGTTTCTTCTAAGGCACAAAATTAACATTATCTGCCACTTTATACGTAGAATCTGGAGGACCTTGAATAGCCTAACTATAATACCCCTACCCACCCTGCTCCAGTGGCAGGTCCACTAGACAACCTTCCTTATCATGGGTGGCAGAGCCCGGAAGCAAGTGTCACTCCACCCTCTTGTTACTACAAAGCCTGACTCCCTCAGCTCCTGCTTGTTCACTCTGTTTCCAAGCGCAGCCCTCATGTGGCCCCACATCATGTGGTTCCATCCTCCCCTGGGCTGTGTGTGCCTGTGACTAATAAGCTGGTGTGAACTCAACTGTCTAGTGTTGGGTGTCATGTGTCCAGTCATTTCCATAACCCCAGTGTGGGAATCTCTCCTCCACAAATGGGATGGAGACGAGATGAATACATGCCAATAAAAAGACATAGATATTCGTATTGAAATATTTTATAACAGAAAAATGTTGAGAGTAAACATGTGTATAGTATAGGGAAATAGACATATTAATATAAAAGGAAGGAAAATATATAGCAGACATTTTCTAATCAGAAGAAAGCCACCATGGTATTATTACCATCCAGAAAAATAAACCATACAGTAAAATGTATCATTAGGAATAAATACATTCAGTACATGAGGGTCAAGTATTCAACTCCTCAGAAATAGACAACAGTTTTTGTCTAAACCTAAGAACATAATATCAACTATGCACAGTCAGAACTTCATGAAGAAATTGGTAAGTAAAGTGATCACATATTTGTCAAGTGTGTCAATATTTAACTGCAACAAATAATTAGAAAGTACATATTCTCATTCACTCATGGAACATTTATAAAAATGGGCTATGTGCCATAAATACAAGAAAATTTTCAATAAAGATATGCAGACGTTATCCAATTGTTCTTCAGTCGTAAGGCAATGCAATTAGAAATCAAAATAAAAAATAACAAAAAAGATTGTATGTTAATATTTTAAAATCCTCATAAGTCAGTCAAATAACAATTTTTATTTGTAATCATAAGAAAACATTTGTATTAGTAATATATTGTTGCATAACAGGTCGCCCCCCTACTTAGTGATTTCAAAAACAATAATCTTTGATGATCTCTCATTTGTGGGTGGGTCATGTACTTAGGAGCAGCTCAAATATATATTTCTGGTTTGGGAGCTCTCAGGAGGCTTCAGGCAGATGTCTGGGGTAACGGCCATGTAAAGACTTGAACTGGTCGGCGGCTCCGCTCCGCACTGCCGGGCGCCGCCTCGCCATGGACGCGCGCGGGGGCGGCGGGCGGCCCGGGGAGAGCCCCGCCGCCGCCGCGCCCCCCCAACAGCAGCCGCCCCGGGCCGAGGCGTTGCCCCCGGAGGCGGCGGAGGAGGGCGGCCCGCGGGGCCAGCGCCGCAGCCGCGACAGCTAGTGCGGCAGCCCCGGCATCCCGGGCACGGCGAGCACGGCCAAGGGCAGCCGGAACGGCCGAGTGCGGGCGCGGCTAGCCGCAGTGCAGCCCCGCGGGGCCCGAGGGCCCGGCGCGGGGGCCCAAGGTGTAGTTCTTGTGCCCCGGGGCGGCCTCGGGGCCCGCGCCGGGGCCGGGGCCGGGGCCGGCGGAGGAGGCCGGCAGCGAGGTGGCGGCCCGGCGGCGGAGCCGCGCCGCAGCCGGGCCAGCTTCATGCAGCGCCACTTCGGCGCGCTCCTGCAGCTGGGCGTCAACAAGTTCTCGCTGCGGATGTTCGGCAGCCAGAAGGCCGTGGAGCGCGAGCAGGAGCGCGTCCAGTCAGCGGGGTCCTGGATCATCCACCCGTACAGCGACTTCAGGTTCTACTGGGACTTCACCATGCTGCTGTTCATGGTGGGAAACCTCATCATCATCCCAGTGGGCATCACCTTCTTCAAGGACGAGACCACTGCCCTGTGGATCGTGTTCAACGTGGTCTCGGACACCTTCTGCCTCATGGACCTGGTGTTGAACTTCCGCACCGGCATTGTGATCGAGGACAACACGGAGATCATCCTGGACCAAGAGAAGATCAAGAAGTACGTGCGCACGTGGTTCATGGTGGACTTCGTGTCCTCCATCCCCGTGGACTACATCTTCCTCATCGTGGAGAAGGGCATCGACTCCGAGGTCTACAAGACGGCGTGCGCCCTGCGGATCGTGCGCTTCACCAAGATCCTCAGCCTCCTGCGGCTGCTGCGCCTCTCGCGCCTGATCCGCTACATCCACCAGTGGGAGGAGATCTTCCACATGACCTATGACCTGGCCAGCGCGGTGATGCGGTTCTGCAACCTCATCAGTATGATGCTGCTGCTCTGCCACTGGGATGGCTGCCTGCAGTTCCTGGTGGCCATGCTGCAGGACTTCCCGTGCAACTGCTGGGTGTCCATCAATGGCATGGTGAACCACTGGTGGAGCGAACTGTATTCCTTCGCACTCTTCAAGGCCATGAGCCACATGCTGTGCATTGGGTATGGCCGGCAGGCGCCCGAGAGCATGACGGACATCTGGCTGACCATGCTCAGCATGATTGTGAGTGACACCTGCTACGCCATGTTCATCGGCCACGCCACTGCCCTCATCCAGTCGCTGGACTCCTCGCGGCGCCAATACCAGAAGTACAAGCAGGTGGAGCAGTACATGTCCTTCCACAAGCTGCCGGCCGACTTCCGCCAGAAGATCCACGACTACTACGAGCACCGTTACCAGGGCAAGATGTTCGACGAGGACAGCATCCTGGGCGAGCTCAACGGGCCCCTGCGGGAGGAGATTGTCAACTTCAACTGCCGGAAGCTGGTGACCTCCATGCCGCTGTTCGCCAATGCTGACCCCAACTTCGTCACGGCCATGCTGACCAAGCTCAAGTTCGAGGTCTTCCAGCCGGGTGACTACCTCATCCGCGAAGGCACCATCGGGAAGATGTACTTCATCCAGCACGGCGTGGTCAGCGTGCTCGCTAAGGGCAACAAGGAGATGAAGCTGTTCGATGGCTCCTACTTCGGAGAGATCTGCCTGCTCACCCGGGGCCACCGCATGGCGAGCGTGCGGGCCAACACCTATTGCCGCCTCCTTTCGCTGAGCGTGGACAACTTCAACGAGGTGCTGGAGGAGTACCCCATGATGCGGCGCGCCTTCGAGACGGTGGCCATCGACCGCCTGGACCGCATCGGCAAGAAGAATTCCATCCTCCTGCACAAGGTGCAGCATGACCTTAACTCGGGCGTATTCAACAACCAGTAGAACGCCATCATCCAGGAGATCGTCAAGTACGACGGCGAGATGGTGCAGCAGGCCGAGCTGGGTCAGCGCCTGGGCCTCTTCCCGCCGCCGCCGCCGCCGCAGGTCACCTCGGCCATCGCCACGCTGCAGCAGGCCGTGGTCATGAGCTTCTGCCCGCAGGTGGCGCGGCCGCTCGTGGGGCCGCTGGCGCTCGGCTCGCCGCGCCTCGTGCGCCGCCCGCCCCCGGGGCCCGCACCTGCCGCCGCCTCACCCGGGCCCCCGCCCCCCGCCAGCCCCCTGGGCGCGCCCGCCAGCCCCCGGGCACCGCGGACCTCGCCCTACGGCAGCTTGCCCGCCGCCCCCCTTGCTGGGACCGCCCTGCCCTCGCGCCGCCTGAGCCGCGCGTTGCGCCCACTGTCCGCCTCGCAGCCCTCGCTGCCCCACGGAACGCCCGTCCCAGCGGCCTCCACACGCCCGGCCAGCAGCTCCACACCGCTTCTGGGACCCACGCCCGCTGCCCGGGCCGCCGCGCCCAGCCCGGATCGCAGGGACTCCGCCTCACCCGGCGCCGCCAGCGGCCTGGACCCCCAGGACTCCGCGCGCTCGCGCCTCTCGTCCAACTTGTGACCCTCGCCAACCGCCCTGCGGGCCCAGGAGGGCCGGAGGCGGGGCCGTCATCCAGACCAAAGCCATGCCATTGCGCTGCCCCGGCCGCCAGCCCGCCCAGAAACCACAGACAAGACATAGGTAGCCGTAGTTGGACTGACGGGCAGGGCCGGCGGGGCAGCCCCCTCCGCGTCCCCGGCCGTCCCCCCTTATCGCCCTGCGCCCACTCCCATCGCCCCTGCCCCCGGCGGCGGCCTCGCGTGCGAGGGGGCTCCCTTCACCTCAGTGCCTCAGTTCCCCTAGCTGTAAAACAGGGACGGGGCGGCCCAGTGGCTGAGAGGAGCCGGCTGTGGAGCCCCGCCCGCCCCCCGCCCTCTAGGTGGCCCGCCGTCCGATGAGGATCGTTTTTTAAGTGCAATACTTGGCCCACCGGCTTCCCGCTGCCCCCATCGCGCTCATGCAATAACCGACCCGGCCCCGGTCCACGCGCGTCCCGCGGTGACCTTGGGGAGCAGCACCCCAGCTCCCTCCAGCACTGGCACCGAGGGGCGGGCCTGGTTGCTCCGGGCGCGGGGGCGAGGCTGGGGTCCCGCCACCGTGATGAATGTACTGACCAGCTGAGGCAGCAGTGCCCCCACCGTGGCCCCTACGCCCAATTAACCCCCACACCCCCATTCCGCGCAATGAACGACAGCATCGGCAAAAAAAAAAAAAAAAAAAAAGACTTGAACTGGAGAACCTACTTCCAAGGCAGCTAACTCACATTTCTGGGAAGTAGGTTCTGAGAAGTCCATTCCTTCCCACACAACCTCCTGCCCCAGGGCTGCTTGAGTGTCCTCTCAGGGTGGTGGCTGACTTCTTCCAGAAATGAAGAGATGTAAGAGCCAGGGAGAGCCAGGCAGAAGTTACAGGTCCACTAGACAACCTACAGTATGGCAAATTACAGTTGCCTGTTTCCTAGAAAAATTTATACCAGCTGAAGTAATTACAGGAGATAGAAAACTTTAATGGTCCTACATGAATTAAATGAATTACATCAACTCTTGAAAATTAACTTTGACAAAGTACCAAAGATGTGTTGCTAATAAATTCTATTCAAGGTACAGATACTTCTAGTCTTATATCATCTGTACTAGAGAATAGAAAAAGAAACAGAAATAAATATATAAAAATATGTGAGAATAAAGCATTATAGTCCAAGCTCGTTTATGGAGAGAGATGCAAATATCCTGAATTTAAAAAAATAAAGTATATACTTTACTCACAGAAAGCAATATACCTAAAATTAAATCTAACATAGATATGCAAAACATTTATGCAGAAGTAAATGTAGCATTGTCTTTCAACACAGAAAATAAACTAAAAATGAATGAGTAGATAGGCAAAGTTTTTGTATCAGAGGCCTAAATATTATGAAGATATTTAATAATTAAATGCAATTCAAATATAAATACCAGCAGGGTATTTCATTGAAAAAAGTTAAATATAAAATTTATATGAAAGTGTATAGGGCCAAGAAAAAAAAAATTTTGGAAAAGAAGAACTGTGCAGTAAAGTGTTAACTCAGCAGGCCTGGGCTGCCCAAACCCTGCATATTCCGAAGGGCTTCAGGACAGTCCCTGACAGGCTCCTGGAGATAACCTCTGAGCCTTTGTAATATTCTGTGTGATTTGAGTGACTTTGTAAACCTGAAGCTTTGGGTCACACCACATGCTATCAACATGCTTTATAGTGAACACCTGTTTATGTATGCCTGGGCCTTGGGTCACATTGTGTCACTTTGACCTCTGGGGGTGGCAGACAGCTGACTGGAGACTGAGTGGTTGAGGTCAGTCATGTGGAGCACAACTGGAAGCCCATGCCTCCTCCTTAGTGCTGGACTCTGCTGTGTGCACCTTTTTCCTTGCTGCTTCTAATCTATATCCTTTCACTGTAATTAACAATAGCTGTGAGTCTAACAGCTGTCTGTGTCCTGTGAGTCTTTCTAGCAAATCGTGCACTGGAACCAAAGTGGGTGGGCACTCACCAACTAAAACTATCAAACCTACTAGGAATCTGTGAAAATTAAAGAACGTGGCAGTACATAGACATAGCCAATAGGCAAAAGAGAATCAAACCTTAAGTGCAAAGAAATGCATTGCAGATCAGCAAGTAAGAGGTAAATTATGGGATAAAGTGATCCAAACACTGTTTATTCAGGAAAAATGTAGATTTTTATCAGACACCGTTTATAAAAATGTTTCAGATAGATTAAAACCTAATAGTGAGCAGCGAAATTAAGCATGTCTTTGGAAGAATGAGGATCATGTTCTTGTTCTCAGGATGGGGACAGATTTACTAATGTAGACAATCATAAGAAAATAGGTATTATAATAATTTGACAACATTAAAGTTAAACATACCTGTATGCAAAAAGACACCATAAGCCAGCAAGGATTAGGTATCATGTATCTCTAACCATGTGATATAGCTGACAGGGGCTTAGTATATTCAGATTATACATCAATCAAGTTAATTAATCCATTCAAACAAATCCTTATTGAATGTCTATGTGCCAGGCCCTGTTCTAGTCACCAGGGTAACTGTAGAAAACAAAACTAATATCCTCCCCTCATAGGAGAGGCAGACACTAATAAATACGTCATTACATATGTTGATAAACCTCAGATTTCAGAAAGTACCAAGGAGAGAACTAAAGCAGGTGGGAGAATAGAGCTTCGTGAGAGATGGGAGATGCTATTTTAGATTGGCTGTTCATAAAAAGAATAATTTTGAACCCAATGGGTTATGTAAAAATCAGTATAGAATAGAAAAATGACCCAATAGAAAAAGACAATTTTCAGCCGGGCGCGGTGGCTCACACCTGTAATCCCAGCACTTTGGGAGGCTGAGACAGGTGGATCAGTTGAGGTCAGGAGTTCGAGATCAGCCTGGCCAACATGGTGAAACCCCGCCTCTAGTAAAAATACAAAATTTAGCCAGGTGTGGTGGCACACACCTATAGTCCCTGCTACTTGGGAGGCTAATGCACAAGAATCGCTTGAACCTGGGAGGCGGAGGTTGCAGTAAACTGTGATCTTGCCACTACGCTCCAGCCTGGGCGACAAAGCAAGACTGTCTCAAAATTAAAAAAAAAAAAAAAGAAAAAGACAATTCTTGATTGAATGAACTGAATGCCCAATAAACATTTGAAAAGATCTCTGTAATGTATTTAACATAATTTTACATCTCTGTTCATATTAGAGAATTTATGGGGTTTTTAATAAAACACTTGGCCCTGAGTTGATAATTTTTGAAGCTGGGTGATAGGTTAATGGTGGTTGATTATATTATTCTCACTCTCTGTCTCACTCATTACACACACACACACACGAAATCATACATGATGATTTATACAGTTACTTATAGTTTACATAATTTATATATTTAACATAAATATAAGTATAAAAATAATTATTATAAATATAAATTATATGAAAATAATTTATAATGAATTCTAAGGTAATTAAGACACAAATAACAAATTTTAGGACTGAAACAGAGATATGGCCACAGATCATACAGGTATTAAAAAATAACTAGTAAATCTATGAAAATCTTTATACAAAATTATCTTTATACTATGAAAATCTTTATACAAAAATTGCTGAAAAACAGACAACTTCCTCCAAGCATATGATTTATTAAAGTGCATTCAAAAATATAAAGTCTTCACAACCCTATAATTATAAAATTGAATCTGTAATTAAACAATTTGTCATCAAGAAATGCCAAGTCCCAAAGGATTTACTGATGATTTTTACCACCAAACATTTGAGGAAGAAATAAGAAGTCATATTACACAAATCATTCTAGAGAATAGAAGAAGAGAAAATACTTTCCAATGAGGGAAAGATAATCTTGGTCACAACCAAAACCAAAATAAGAGTATCGGAAAAAATAAAATTGCTCTTGAATTCTTAATAAGTTACTCTAAACTCTTGAAAGACAATTTCTCTCTTGAATATGACTTAAAAATAAATCCAAGCCAGGCGCAGTGGCTCATGCCGGTAATCCCAGCACTTTGGGAGGCCAAGGCAGGCGGATCACTTGAGTCCAGGAGTTCGAGACCAGCCTGGCCAACATGGTGAAACCCCATGTCTACTAAAAATACAAAAAAATTAGCCAGGCGTGGTGGCGGGTGCCTGTAATCCCAGCTACTTGGGAGGGTGAGGCAGGAGGACCCCTTCAACCTGGGAGGCAGAGGTTGCAGTGAGCCAAGATTGCACCACTGCACTCCAGCCTTGGCAACAAAGTGAGACTGTGTCTCAAAACATAAAACTACAAAATAAATCCAAATAAAAACATTAGCAAACTGAGTCTAGTGACATATACATAAAGGAAAATACATCATGGTCATGTTGGGGGCCAGGGATACAAGATTAGTTTAACATATGAAAATCAATCAACATAATTCTCCATGAAAAAAACATTTTAAAAAATTGAACTGTCTAGTTATGATTGTTAAAAAAGAAACTATCACTATATTAGAAATAGGAATACACTTTCTAAATGTGAGAAAGGTGTTTTTATATTGAATGAAAAAATGTTGTAAGAGCATTCTCAGAGATTAGAAATTAAAACAACAGGATGTCTGCTCTTACCATTGTTATTCAACATGATACTGGAGGTGCTAGTCTGTGCACTGAGGCAAGAGATAGCCAGAAAAGCGTGTATCATTTTCAAGTGCCAGAATAATGAAAATGCTCAAAAAAGCAAAAAGGATGGGGCATATCAGAGAGATATAGAAGTGACCCTGATATAAAATAAATAACATGGTATTGGCTTACAACCCAAAGTATAAAATCAATATACATGAGGTTACACTGATATAAATAAATGATTAAATGAACAAGTAAATACAAAAGAAAGAAGAAGGACAACTCTTTGTAGAAGAATTCCAGATAATATGAATAGATACTGTCTCTTCCAGGAATTGGACCTTAGTGTCTACCTCCCAGGCCACCTTGTGCCTGGCCTGGACTTAGTGATTCACATGCAAGACTAGAGTATTGAAAGCCGGGAAAGAGTATCTGTGTGGTAGAGAAACCTAGCAAACGCCTCCTTGACCACATGATCAAGGTGAACATCACCAGTAATGAGGCATGTTGATATCACATCCCCTTGATATGAAGTGATGAGAAGGAAGCTTAACCTCTGCAGAATTTTTTCCAAAAGCTCATAATTCCAGCCTAATCAGGAAAAAAATAATCAGACAAACACAAATTAAAGAGCATTCTAAGGACCTGACCAGTAATCTTCAAACTGTCGATACACAGTAACAAGGAGAGGCTAAGAGTTGGCCACAGGCCAGAGGAACCCAAGGAAACGTAATGATTAAGTGCCAGATAGTATCCTGAACTGGATACTGGGAACAGAAAAAGAACGTTGGTGTAAAAACTTAGTGGAATGCAAATACATTACTGTTAATGAAAATTCAGAATTTAATATTGGTTTCTTAGTTTTGGCAAACGTAGCATGGTTGTGTAACATGTTAACTTTAAGGAAAGCTGGATAAGATAACTCTCTTTACTTTTTTTGCAGCTTTTCTGTAGATCTAAAATTATTCCAAAAGTAAAAAGTTTATTACATAAAAGAAAGAAGTCACAAAACTCTTATTTTAAGACTTACATGGCAAATTAAGTGGCCATGATTAAACAAGTCATATTTTTTCTATGTATGTATGTATTTATTTTTAAAATTGGTTAATTTATACATATATATTTTTAAATTTTACTTCAAGTTCTGGGATACACGTGCAGAATGTGCAGGTTTGTTACATAGGTATAGAAGTGTCATGGTGGTTTGCTGTGCCTATCAACCTGTCATCTAGGTTTTAAGCGCTGCATACATTAGGTATTTGTCCTAATGCTCTCCCTCCCCTTGCCCCCCACTTCCCTACAGGCCCCAGTGTGTGATGTTCCCCTCCCTGTGTCCATGTGTTCTCATTGTTTAACTCCCACTTATGAGTGAGAACATGCAGTGTTTGGTTTTCTGTTCCTGTGTTAGTTTGCTGAGAATGATGGCTTCTAGCTTCATCCATGTCCCTGCAAAGGACATGAACTATATTTACTTTTTTTTTTTTTTTTTTTTTTTTGAGACGGAGTTTCACTCTTGTTGCCCAGGCTGGGCAATGGTGCAATCTTAGCTCACCACAACCTCTGCCTCCTGCTTCAAGTGATTCTCCTCCTTCAGCCTCCCGAGTAGCTGGGATTACAGGTATGTGCCACCACGCCTGGCTAATTTTTAGTAGAGACGAGGTTTCTCCATATTGGTCAGGCTGGTCTTGAACTCCCAGCCTCAGGTGATCCACCTGCCTTGGCCTCCCAAAGTGCTGGGATTACAGGCGTGAGCTACCATGCCTGGCCTATATTTAATTTTAATTGACAAAAAAATTGTATGTTAAAGGTATACAAAATGATGTTTTGATATATGTGTACAATGTAGAATGTTTAAATGGAGCTAATTAATATATGCGCCACCTCACATACTTATTATTGTCTTGTGATGAGAACTTTTAATATTTACTCCCTTAGTGATTTTTAAGTATACAATACATTGTTGTTAAGTACAGTCACCATGTTGTACAATAGAGCTCTTTCAGTCATTCCTCCTGTCTGGCTGAAAATTTGTGTCCTCTGACCATTATCTCCCCATTTCCTCTTCTCCCTAGCCCGTGGAACCACCATTCTGAGCTCTACTCTTAGAAGGTTTTTAGATTTCATATGTATGTGAGATCACGTGATATCTTCCTTCCTCCCTCCCTTCTTCCTTCCTTCCTCTCTTTCTCTCTTTTCTTTTCTTTCTTTCTTTCTCTTTCTTTCATCTCTCTTTCCTTCCTTTCTTCCTTCCTTCCTTTCTCTTTCATCTCTCCTTCCTTCCTTTCTTCCTTCCTTTCTCCCTCTTTCTTTCCTTTCTTTCTTTCTTTTTCTTTCTTTCTTTCTTTCTTTCTTTCTTTCTTTCTTTCTTTCTTTCTTTCTTTCTTTCTGTCTTCCTCCTTCCTTCCTTCCTTCCTTCTTTCAGACAAGGTCTCACTCTGTCATTCAGGCTGGAGTGCAGTAGCGTGATCATAGCTCACTGCAGCCTTGAACTCCTGGGTTCAAGCGATCTTTCTGCCTCAGCACCCTCCAAGTAGCTGGGACCACAGGCTATATCACCATGCCTGACTAATTTTTTAAATTCTTTTTTTTTTTTTGTAGAGACAGGGTCTCCCTATGTTGCCCAAGCTGGTCTCAAACTACTGGGCTCAAATGATCCTTCCTCCTTGGCCTCCCAAAATGTTGGATTGCAGGTGTGAGCCACTGCACCTGGTTCATTATTTGTCTTTCTGTGCTTAGCTTATTTCGTAAAGAAGTCAATATTAAATATTAAAAGTTATTATAAAGATATATTAGCAAGACAGTATGGTAGGGACATAAATATAAACACACATACCAACAGAACATGACAAAAGAACAAAACCAGCCGCATGCATACTCCATGGAGACAAAGGTAACACTGCAGAATGGTGAAGGAAGAACAGTCATTTTAATGACAGTGTTGGCTTAATTGAGTATTCATGTTCAAAAAAGAAATTTGAGCCTTATTTCACATCTCATAGACACACACTATAACTTCCTTGTGGAGTTTAAATCTAAATGCAATAAGTGAGCAATAAAAATTTTAGAATATATTCTAACAGATTATATTAATGATCTTGGTGTAGGAACAGATTTTTTAAAACACTATATAGGAAACTTTAAACATAAAAAAGATTGATAAGTTAGACTACACTAAAATATTGAATATATCTTCAATGAAATACAATGTTTAAATAATGAAAACATAAATCACAGAGTAGGAGAGAATATTTTAAGTATGGCAGCGAAGGTCCTATGCCTAGATGATATAAAGTGCTTCTAAAAGCCAGTAAGAAAAAGACTCAATTAAAACATTGGGAAAACGTTTGGATAGGCACTTCATAATAAAAGAGTATTCAAATGATCAATGCTCACATTAAAAGTGGTTCAACATCGTTAATCATCAGGAAACTGCAAAGTAAACCAACCAAGAGATAACACTGTATACTCATCAAGAGGCCTACATTTTTTATTTTATTTGCTTACATTTTTACTTTAGATTCAGGGGGTACATATACAGGTTTGTTACAGGGGTATATTGCATGATGCTGAGGTTTGGGCTTCTATTGATCCCGTCATCCATGTAGTGAACATACTGCACGATAGGAAGTTTTTAGCCCTTCTCCCCTCTTTTTCCTCTTTTGGAGTCCCCAGTGTCTATTGTTCCCATCTTTATGCTCACATATACCCACAATATAGCTCCCACTTATAAGAGAACACGTGACTTTTGGTTTTCTGTTGATGCATTAATTCACTTAGGATGGTGGCCTCCGACTGCATCCATGTTGCTGCAAGGGATATTATTTTATTCTTTTCTATGGCTGCATAGTATTCCGTGGTGTATAGGTACCACATTTTCTTTATCTGATCCAGAGTTGACGGGCACCTGGATTCCATGTCGTTGCTATTATGAATAGCACTGCAATGAACATATAAGCTCATGTGTCTTTTCAGTAAAATGGCTTATTTTCCTTTGGGCATACACCCAGTAATAAAATTGCTGGATCAAATGGTACCTCAAATCTTAGTTCTTTGAGAAATCTCCAAACTGCTCTCCATAGTAGCTGGAGTAATTTACATTCCCACCAACAATGTATAAAATTTCCCCTTTCTTTACAACCTCACCAACATCTGTTATTTTTTGACTTTTAATATTGGCCATTCTGACTGATGTGAGATGATATCTCATTGTGGTTTTGATTTGCATTTCTCTAGTGATTAATGATGTTGAACTTTTTTTTTCATCTGTTTGCTGGCCACTTATATGTCTTCTTTTGAGAAGTATCTGTTCACGTCCTTTGCCCACTTTTTAATGGGGTTATTTGTTTTTTGCTTGTTGATTTGTTTAAGTTGCTTATAGATGCTGCTTTGTTGGATGTACAGTTTGCAAATATTTTCTCTCATTCTGTAGGTTGTCTGTTTACTGTGTTGATGTTTTTTTGTTGTTGTGCAAAATCTCTTTAGTTTAATTAAATCCTACTCACCAATTTTTGTTTCTGTAACAGTTGCTTTTGGGGACTTGGCCAAAAATTCTTTGCCAAGGCCATGCTAAAGAAAGGTATTTTCTATGTTTTATTCTAGCATTTTTACAGTTTCAGGTCTTACAATTAAGTCTTTAATCCCCCTGAGTTAATTTTTGTATATGGGCTAAGTGTCCAGTTTCATTCTTCTGCATATTATTAGGCAGTTTTCCCTGCACCATTTGTTGAATATGGAGTCTTTTCCCCATTACTTGTTTCTGTTGACTTTGTCAAAGATCAGTTGGTTGTAAGCGTGTGACCTTATTTCTGGGTTCTCTATACTGTCTCATTGGTCTATGTGTCTCTTTTTGTACCAGTACCATGCTGTTTTGGTTACTGTAGCCTTGTGGAATAGTTTAAAGACTTTACCAAAAAACTCCTAGACCTGGTAAATGACTTCAGCAAAGCTTCAGGATACAAAATCAGCATACACAAATCAGTAGCATTTCTATATACCAATAGTTTTTAAGCTGAGAGCCAAATCAAGAGTGAAATCCCATTCAAAATAGCACCACCCCCCAACAAATTAAAATACTTAGGAATACATCTAACCAAGGAGGTGAAAAATCTCTACAAGGAGAACTACAAAACACTACTCAAAGAAATCATAGATGACACAGACCAATGGAAAAACATTCCATGCTGGTGTGTTGAAAGAATCAATATTGTTAAAATGTCCATACTATAGATTCAGCATTATTTCTATCAAATTACCAATGCAATTTTTCACAGAATTAGAAAAACTGTTCTAATATTCATATGGAACCCAAAAAGAGCCAAAGTCATTCTAAGAAAAATAAAACCAGAGGCATCACATTACTTAACTTCATGATGGCTAAAATTTAAGGATTGACAGAAACACATTATATTACTGGTGTAGGTATAAATTATTACCATTAATTTGGAAAACTATTGACAGTATGTCAGTTTTGAACAAAATCATACCCTATGAGTTAGCAACTCCACTTTTGGGTACACACCCAGAACATGATTATCAAAAGGCATCCAAGTTTTATTTCATAAGCACCTAAGGATGTGGATCAAAATGCAAATCTGCTACACAAAATTAGTAGCCAGAGGGTTCTTGGTGAGTCTGGAAGCAAAGCACAGCATTGCTTTTTATTACTCAGCCGTCATGGCCCAGTTGCCTTTGGCAGGTGAGGCCAGCTGGCCAGTAGCTCAGATGGAGCAGGTATGAGGGGGTAAGAGCAGTGGTCCATCTGTCACTGGAGAAGCCTAGTCACCTGGGCAGAATATCTTGAACCTAGGATAAGTTCATCCATGGTAGACCAACTCTGTGATGGAGTTATGAGATGGGGAAGGAGGGTCTGGCACCATGCAACAGGATTTCCCCCAAAGCTCAGCACTCCAAGGAGCACATCAGCATCAGGAATGTCTGCTGGAAGCCAGCGGCTGTGGAGGAGGGGCAGTAGCCACTGAGCCTAGGTTCAGAGCTTCAATCCCCTTCAGTCCTCTTGACTGGCAAGAGAACAGCAGAGTCTATTAGAGAGGAATTACCATTCCAAGCAAGAATTTAGGCCACATCTTTCAGAATGAGACCATTGAGTTGAGGTCCACTTAGCAGGGAAAGTGGCTTCAGGTTGTGGTTGACTGTTTAATTACACCCTGCTGTTCACTCTCTTCACCATTGTATGCAAAGTACAGCATCTCTGACAAGCAAGGAACACTGGCTTGCCCCACAGTGGCTGGCTGGGGTTGATGAAATGAGCAGCGAAGTAGCAGTGTGCCCAGTCCAAGCAGAGACTACCTCTAGCAGGGGCATGACATTCCCCAAGAGAGGGCATCTCCTTTAGCCTGGACCTTGGAGCAAAAGCAACCCATGGATCAGACCAATAGACAACATGCAGCCCTCATCTAACCCAAGTGGAATATAGCTGTTGGTATAAGCCCCCGAGATTTTGAGGTTTTCCCCACAGGAAAGCAAACTAGCATAACACTGAATTGCTGAGCAAGTGGGTGGTTAATTAATAGCTCTCTTTCCCAACTAGAGCTTCCCTGAAAGTCCGAGGAGGCCTGGAGCATGCAGGGAGAGGACAAGCAGCCTCGGAGAGAAAGAGGGGAGGTACAAGTGACCTGGATGCAACACGGCCTGGCCCAGGAGGAATTGGATACTCTTAAGGGATATTTCACACAAGTCATATGAATCTGGAAGACTACCCCAGATCCATATAGGTATATAGGACAAGGCCAGACTACTCTCTATCCCCAACATGTCTCTCAACTGGAGAGTACTAATAAATACTGCCAATTCTTACTACCCAATTCCTGTTTTAATCAGTTATAAAATACAATTTAGTATATTGCCGTGGATTTTTATATTGGTAATATTTTCCTAAGGTGGCTTGCCAATTATCCCAGCCCCATTTGTTGAATAGGGTGTCCTTTCCCCACTTTATGTTTTTGTTTGCTTTGTTGAAGATCAGTTGGCTGTAAGTATTTGGCTTTATTTCTGGGTTCTCTATTCTGTTCCATTGGTCTATATGCCTGCTTTTATACCAGTACCATGCTGTTTTGGTGACTATGGCCTTAGGGTATATCAGTTGATACCTCCAGATTTGTTCTTTTTGCTTAGTCTTTCTTTGGCTACGTGGGCTCTTTTTTGGTTCCATATGAATTTTAGGATTGTTTTTTCTAGTTCTGTGAAGAACGATGGTATGTTTTGATGGGAATTGCATTGAATTTGTAGATTGCTTTTGGCAATACGGTCATTTTCACAACATTGATTCTACCCATCCACGAGCGTGGGATGTGTTTTCATTTGTTTGTGTCATCTGTGATTTCTTTCAGCAGTGTTTTGTAGCTTTTCTTGTAGAGGTCTTTTACCTCCTTGGTTAGGTATATTCCTAAGTTTTTTTTTTTTGTTTTGTTTTCAGCTATTGTAAAAGGGGATGAGTTCTTGATTTGATTCTCAGGTTGGTTGCTGTTGGTGTATAGTAGAGCTACCGATTTGTGTACAATAAATTTGTATCCTAAAACTTTGCTCAATTCACTTATCAGTTCTAGGAGCTTTTTGGAGAAGTCTTTGGGGTTTTCTAGGTATATAATCATATCATCAGCAAACAACAACAGTTTGACTTCCTCTTTAGCCATTTGGATGCCCTTTATTTCCTTCTCTTGTCTGATTACTTTGGCTAGGACTTTCAGTACTGTGGTGAATAGAAGTGGTGAAAGTGGGCATCCTTGTCTTGTTCCAGTTCTCAGGAGGAATGCTTTCAGCTCATCCCCCTTCAGTATTATGTTGGCTGTGGGTTTGTTGAAGATGGCTTTTGTTACCTTGTGTCCCTTCTATGCTGATTTTGCTGAGGGCTTTAATCATTAAGGGATGCTTAATGTCAAATGCTTTTTCTGCGTCTATCGAGATAATCATGTAATTTTTGTTTTTAATCCTGTTTATGTGGTGTATTGCATTTATTGACTTGCATAGTGTTAGTGGCTCTTTCTGCATACTTGAGAATATCTAGTTTTATGTCTCGTTTGAATCTGGGTAGGTTACTTAACCATGATGACAGTTCATTATTATATTTTATTTTAAAAATGTATTTTTTAAATTTTAAAATATTTAATTAACAAAGATTGAATATTTTTGGTGTGCAACATGATGATTTGACATATGTATGCATTGTGTAGTGATTACCAAAATCAAATTAATTAACACATCCATCACCACCCATGCTGTATATGAGAACCCCAGAACTGATTCGTCTTGTAACTGAAAGCTTGTATTCTTTGTCCAGCCTCTCACCCAGTTTCCCCTCTCCCCCACCCCTGGCATCACCATTTAACTCTCTGCTTCTATGAGTTTGACACTTTTATTTATTTATTTATTTTTGAGACAGATTTTTGCTCTTGTCGCCCAGGCTAGAGTGCAATGGCACAGTCTGAGCTCACTGTAACCTCTGCCTCCCGGGTTCAAGTGATTCTCCTGCCTCAACCTCCCGAGTAGCTGGGATTACAGGCATGGCATGTGCCACCACACCCAGCTAATTTTGTAATTTTAGTAGGGATGGGGTTTCACCATGTTGGTCAGGCTCCTCTTGAACTCCTGACCTCAGGTGATCCACCTGCCTCGGCCTCCCAAAGTGCTGGGATTACAGGTGTGAGCCACCATGCCCTGCCCAGTTTGACACTTTTAGATTCCACACATAAGTGAGATCATGCAGTATTTGTCTGTCTGTGTCTTTCTATGCTTATTTTATGTAACATGTCCTCCAGGTTCATCTGTGTTGTTGCAAATGGCAGGATTTTCTTTTTATGGCTGAATAATAGTCCACTTTATACTTCAAATTCTTCCTATCTTTCAGAACCAGATCCAATGCCATCTCTTCCGCAAAGCCTTCTTTGATCTTGAAGTTTGGCAGAGGAAGTTCTCCCCACTGTGAGGTTTAATTATATTGATTTCCTCCTGGCCATGGGTCTGTTTGTAATAGGGATTTATGCAGGAGATAGATAAGGTTTCTCATGCAGCTTGTCAGCTGGTATCATAGAGTGTTTTCTGTAGTTATTATTCTATAACTATTTATTTATGTTTTATAAGTCCTATGAAATATCACTTAAAGGAAAATTCTCTCAGCCTTGTTCCCAAATTCTGTGTGATCACAAAGACACTATTGCTTTCTAGGCCTTGCTTTCATGGAACTGAACCTAAATAGTGTACCTTTTTTAGGTATCTCCAGGGTCTTTCTTTAACTATTTTTGCTCAAGTAAAAGTGAATAGCAAAAATGGAGTATTTTAAACCTGAAAAAAAAAAAAAACAGAAAGGAAGTGAGGTGGCTTGACTTCCTCCTAAGTTTATAGTAAGTATATTTTCTCATGGGAAGAAAAAAACACACTGATGATTAGAAACACTTTGCTTTTTGTTCAGCCACAACCTAGCTATTTCCCACAAAGTTAATCCACTGTTACCAGAATAGGGAAGCATCTGTACACATAGAGAGAAATGGAACCTAAATATTTCTGGAAACCTCAAGTCACTTACACATTCCACAAGTTGCCTCATATCGAGAAACACAGAATTTGTTCAAACATTTCAATACTTCACCAGATTGAGTTTGCAAACAAAAACATTTTGGAATTGTGGCAAAGGGAGTGGCTGTCATGGCAGAGGTGAGCTCAGACATGTGGATTAGTATTCAGACGATAATTTGGCTCCAGAAATCATCACCACGGGGCACACAACCCTGTAGTCAGAAAGGACCTCATGAATCACCCCATAGATTACCCTAAAATTTAAAGATTTTCTCCAGAATGAACCTAGTAAAGAAGACTATTCTAAGAGGCAGCTTATCTCATTCTGAAAACATCTTTGTTGTTTCTTTCTTTCTTTTCTTTTTTTTTTTTTTTTTTTTTTGAGATGGAGTCTAGCTCTGTCCCCCAGGCTGGAGTGCAGTGGCGCAATCTCGGCTCACTGCAAGCTCTGCCTCCTGGGTTCACGCCATTCTCCTGCCTCAGCATCCCGAGTAGCTGGGACTACAGGCGCCCGCCACCACGACTGGTTAATTTTTTGTAGTTTTAGCAGAGACGGGGTTTCACCGTGTTAGCCAGGATGGTCTTGATCTCCTGACCTTGTGATCCTCCTGCCTTGGCCTCCCAAAGTGCCGGGATTACAGGCATCAGCCACTGCGCCTGGCCTGTTTATCTTTATTTCTTTTTTTTTTTCTTTTATTATTATACTTTAAGTTTTAGGGTACATGTGCACATTGTGCAGGTTATTTACATATGTATACATGTGCCATGCTGGTGCGCTGCACCCACTAACTTGTCATCTAGCATTAGGTATATCTCCCAATGCTATCCCTCCCCCCTCCTCCCACCCCACAACAGTCCCCAGAGTGTGATGTTCCCCTTCCTGTGTCCATGTGATCTCATTGTTCAATTCCCACCTGTAAGTGAGAATATGCGGTGTTTGGTTTTTTGTTCTTGCGATAGTTTACTGAGAATGATGATTTCCAGTTTCATCCATGTCCCTGCAAAGGACATGAACTCATCATTTTTTATGGCTGCATAGTATTCCATGGTGTATATGTGCCACATTTTCTTAATCCAGTCTATCATTGTTGGACATTTGGCTTGGTTCCAAGTCTTTGCTATTGTGAATAATGCCGCAATAAACATACGTGTGCATGTGTCTTTATAGCAGCATGATTTATAGTCCTTTGGGTATATACCCAGTAATGGGATAGCTGGGTCAAATGGTATTTCTAGTTCTAGATCCCTGAGGAATCGCCACACTGACTTCCACAATGGTTGAACTGGTTTACAGTCCCACCAACAGTGTAAAAGTGTTCCTATTTCTCCACATCCTCTCCAGCACCTGTTGTTTCCTGACTTTTTAATGATTGCCATTTTAACTGGTGTGAGACGGTATCTCATTGTGGTTTTGATTTGCATTTCTCTGATGGCCAGTGATGATGAGCATTTTTTCATGTGTTTTTTGGCTGCATAAATGTCTTCTTTTGAGAACTGTCTGTTCATGTCCTTTGCCCACTTTTTGATGGGGTTGTTTGTTTTTTTCTTGTAAATTTGTTTGAGTTCATTGTAGATTCTGGATATTAGCCCTTTGTCAGATGAGTAGCTTGCGAAAATTTTCTCTCATTTTGTAGGTTGCCTGTTCACTCTAATGGTAGTTTGTTTCGCTGTGCAGAAGCTCTTTAGTTTAATTAGATCCCATTTGTCAATTTTGGCTTTTGTTGCCATTGCTTTTGGTGTTTTAGACATGAAGTCCTTGCCCATGCCTATGTCCTGAATGGTAATGCCTAGGTTTTCTTCTAGGGCTTTTATGGTTTTAGGTCTAACGTTTAAGTCTTTAATCCATCTTGAATTGATTTTTGTATAAGGTGTAAGGAAGGGATCCAGTTTCAGCTTTCTACATATGGCTAGCCAATTTTCCCAGCACCATTCATTAAATAGGGAATCCTTTCCCCATTGCTTGTTTTTCTCAGGTTTGTCAAAGATCAGATAGTTTTAGGTATGCGGCGTTATTTCTGAGGGCTCTGTTCTGTTCCATTGATCTATATCTCTGTTTTGGTACCAGTACCATGCTGTTTTGGTTACTGTAGCCTTGTAGTATAGTTTGAAGTCAGGTAGCGTGACGCCTCCAGCTTTGTTCTTTTGGCTTAGGATTGACTTGGCGATGCAGGCTCTTTTTTGGTTCCATATGAACTTTAAAGTAGTTTTTTCCAATTCTGTGAAGAAAGTCATTGATAGCCTGATGGGGATGGCATTGAATCTGTAAATTACCTTGGGTAGTATGGCCATTTTCACGATATTGATTCTTCCTACCCATAAGCATGGAATGTTCTTCCATTTGTTTGTATCCTCTTTTATTTCCTTGAGCAGTGGTTTGTAGTTCTCCTTGAAGAGGTCCTTCACATCCCTTGTAAGGTGGATTCCTAGGTATTTTATTCTCTTTGAAGCAATTGTGAATGGGAGTTCACTCATGATTTGGCTCTCTGTTTGTCTGTTGTTGCTGTATAAGAATGCTTGTGATTTTTGTACATTGATTTTGTATCCTGAGACTTTGCTGAAGTTGCTTATCAGCTTAAGGAGATTTTGGGCTGAGACAGTGGGGTTTTCTAGATATACAATCATGTCATCTGCAAACAGGGACAATTTGACTTCCTCTTTTCCTAATTGAATACCCTTTCTTTCTTTCTCCTGCCTAATTGCCCTGGCCAGAACTTCCAACACTATGTTGAATAGGAGTGGTGAGAGAGGGCATCCCTGTCTTGTGCCAGTTTTCAAAGGGAATGCTTCCAGTTTTTGCCCATTCAGTATGATATTGGCTGTGGGTTTGTCACAGATAGCTCTTATTATTTTGAAATATACGTCCCATCAATACCTAATTTATTGAGAGTTTTTAGCATGAAGGGTTGTTGAATTTTGTCAAAGGCCTTTTCTGCATCTATTGAGATAATCATGTGGTTTTTGTCTTTGGCTCTGTTTATATGCTGGATTACATTTATTGATTTGCGTATATTGAACCAGCCTTGCATCCCAGGGATGAAGCCCACTTGATCATGGTGGATAAGCTTTTTGATGTGCTGCTGGATTCGGTCTGCCAGTATTTTATTGAGGATTTTTGCATCAATGTTCATCAAGGATATTGGTCTAAAATTCTCTTTTTTGGTTGTGTCTCTGCCTGGCTTTGGTATCAGAATGATGCTGGCCTCATAAAATGAGTTAGGGAGGATTCCCTCTTTTTCTATTGATTGGAATAGTTTCAGAAGGAATGGTACCAGTTCCTCCTTGTACCTCTGGTAGAATTCGCCTGTGAATCCGTCTGGTCCTGGACTCTTTTTGGTTGGTAAGCTATTGATTATTGCCACAATTTCAGCTCCTGTTATTGTCTATTCAGAGATTCAACTTCTTCCTGATTTAGTCTTGGGAGAGTGTATGTGTCGAGGAATGTATCCATTTCTTCTAGATTTTCTAGTTTATTTGCGTAGAGGTGTTTGTAGTATTCTCTGATGGTAGTTTGTATTTCTGTGGGATCGGTGGTGAGATCCCCTTTATCATTTTTTATTGCGTCTATTTGATTCTTCTCTCTTTTTTTCTTTATTAGTCTTGCTAGCGGTCTATCAATTTTGTTGATCTTTTCAAAAAACCAGCTCCTGGATTCATTAATTCTTTGAAGGGTTTTTTGTGTCTCTATTTCCTTCAGTTCTGCTCTGATTTTAGTTATTTCTTGCCTTCTGCTAGCTTTTGAATGTGTTTGCTCTTGCTTTTCTAGTTCTTTTAATTGCGATGTTAGGGTGCCAATTTTGGATCTTTCCTGCTTTCTCTTGTGGGCATTTAGTGCTATAAATTTCCCTGTACACACTGCTTTGAATGCGTCGCAGAGATTCTGGTATGTTGTGTCTTTGTTCTCGTTGGTTTCAAAGAACATCTTTATTTCTGCCTTCATTTCGTTATGTACCCAGTAGTCATTCAGGAGCAGGTTGTTCAGTTTCCATGTAGTTGAGCGGTTTTGAGTGAGATTCTTAATCCTGAGTTCTAGTTTGATTGCACTGTGGTCTGAGAGACAGTTTGTTATAATTTCTGTTCTTTTACATTTGCTGAGGAGAGCTTTACTTCCAAGTATGTGGTCAATTTTGGAATAGGTGTGGTGTGGTGCTGAAAAAAATGTATATTCTGTTGATTTGGGGTGGAGAGTTCTGTAGATGTCTATTAGGTCTGCTTGGTGCAGAGCTGAGTTGAATTCCTGGGTATCCTTGTTGACTTTCTGTCTCGTTGATCTGTCTAATGTTGACAGTGGGGTGTTAAAGTCTCCCATTATTAATGTGTGGGAGTCTAAGTCTCTTTGTACGTCACTCAGGACTTGCTTTATGAATCTGGGTGCTCCTGTGTTGGGTGCATATATATTTAGGATAGTTAGCTCTTCTTGTTGAATTGATCCCTTTACCATTATGTAATGGCCTTCTTTGTCTCTTTTGATCTTTGTTGGTTTAAAGTCTGTTTTATCAGAGACTAGGATTGCAACCCCTGCCTTTTTTTGTTTTCCATTTGCTTGGTAGATTTTCCTCCATCCTTTTATTTTGAGCCTATGTGTGTCTCTGCACGTGAGATGGGTTTGCTGAATACAGCACACTGATGGATCTTGACTCTTTATCCAATTTGCCAGTCTGCATCTTTTAATTGGAGCATTTAGTCCATTTACATTTAAAGTTAATATTGTTATGTGTGAATTTGATCCTGTCATTATGATGTTAGCTGGTTATTTTGCTCGTTAGTTGATGCAGTTTCTTCCTAGTCTCGATGGTCTTTACATTTTGGCATGATTTTGCAGCGGCTGGTACCGGTTGTTCCTTTCCATATTTAGCGCTTCCTTCAGGAGCTCTTTTAGGGCAGGCCTGGTGGTGACAAAATCTCTCAGCATTTGCTTGTCTGTAAAGTATTTTATTTCTCCTTCACTTATGAAGCTTAGTTTGGCTGGATATGAAATTCTGGGTTGAAAATTCTTTTCTTTAAGAATGTTGAATATTGGCCCCCACTCTCTTCTGGCTTGTAGGGTTTCTGCCGAGAGATCCGCTGTTAGTCTGATGGGCTTCCCTTTGAGGGTAACCCGACCTTTCTCTCTGGCTGCCCTTAACATTTTTTCCTTCATTTCAACTTTGGTGAATCTGAGAATTATGTGTCTTGGAGTTGCTCTTCTCGAGGAATATCTTTGTGGCGTTCTCTGTATTTCCTGAATCTGAACGTTGGCCTGCCTTGCTAGATTGGGGAAGTTCTCCTGGATAATATCCTGCAGAGTGTTTTCCAACTTGGTTCCATTCTCCCCATCACTTTCAGGTACACCAATCAGACGTAGATTTGGTCTTTTCACATAGTCCCATATTTCTTGGAGGCTTTGCTCATTTCTTTTTATTCTTTTTTCTCTAAACTTCCCTTCTCACTTCATTTCATTCATTTCATCTTCCATTGCTGATACCCTTTCTTCCAGTTGATCGCGTCGGCTCCTGAGGCTTCTGCATTCTTCACGTAGTTCTCGAGCCTTGGTTTTCAGCTCCATCAGCTCCTTTAAGCACTTCTCTGTATTGGTTATTCTAGTTATACATTCTTCTAAATTTTTTTCAAAGTTTTCAACTTCTTTGCCTTTGGTTTGAATGTCCTCCTGTAGCTCAGAGTAATTTGATCGTCTGAAGCCTTCTTCTCTCAGCTCGTCAAAGTCATTCTCCGTCCAGCTTTGTTCCATTGCTGGTGAGGAACTGCGTTCCTTTGGAGGAGGAGAGGCGCTCTGCTTTTTAGAGTTTCCAGTTTTTCTGTTCTGTTTTTTCCCCATCTTTGTGGTTTTATCTACTTTTGGTCTTTGACAATGGCGATGTACAGATGGGTTTTTGGTGTGGATGTCCTTTCTGTTTGTTAGTTTTCCTTCTAACAAACAGGACCCTCAGCTGCAGGTCTGTTGGAGTACCCTGCAGTGTGAGGTGTCAGTGTGCCCCTGCTGGGGGGTGCCTCCCAGTTAGGCTGCTCGGGGGTCAGGGGTCAGGGACGCACTTGAGGAGGCAGTCTGCCCGTTCTTAGATCTCCAGCTGCGTGCTGGGAGAACGACTGCTCTCTTCAAAGCTGTCAGACAGGGATATTTAAGTCTGCAGAGGTTACTGCTGTCTTTTTGTTTGTCTGTGCCCTGCCCCCAGAGGTGTAGCCTACAGAGGCAGGCAGGCAGGCCTCCTTGAGCTGTGGTGGGCTCCACCCAGTTCGAGCTTCCCAGCTGCTTTGTTTACCTAATCAAGCCTGGGCAATGGCGGGCGCCCCTCCCCCAGCCTCGCTGCCGCCTTGCAGTTTGATCTCAGACTGCTGTGCTAGCAATCAGCGAGACTCCGTGGTCGTAGGACCCTCCGAGCCAGGTGCGGGATATAATCTCGTGGTGCGCCGTTTTTTAAGCCCGTAGGAAAAGCGCAGTATTCGGGTGGGAGTGGCCTGATTTTCCAGGTGCTGTCCGTCACCCCTTTCTTTGACTAGGAAAGGGAACTCCCTGACCCCTTGCGCTTCCCGAGTGAGGCAGTGCCTCGCCCTGCTTCGGCTGGCGCACGGTGCGCGCACCCACTGACCTGCGCCCACTGTCTGGCACTCCCTAGTGAGATGAACCCGGTACCTCAGATGGAAATGCAGAAATCACCTGTCTTCTGCGTTGCTCACGCTGGGAGCTGTAGACCGGAGCTGTTCCTATTCGGCCATCTTGGCTCCTCTCTCTATCTTTATTTCTTATAACTTGTTTTAATCATCCTGTTTGGGACTCGTAGCTCTGACATTTGGTGATATTAAGAACACAGGGATTACTTATTCACAGGCTGTGATATCACATAGTGGAAAACCTTTATTATTTATGACTCCTGGGATAAATATTCCAGGTTTCTACACACAAGATGATTTTCATGTTTTCTGCCATCTGTATTATACCCTCTTTGTCAATATCATCCTTAAAATGAGCTGCCCTGCTCCCAGCAAAATGACTCATCTAGCAATGCTTATATGAGATTCCTGAATGCATTACTATGACAGGGTCACATCTCAATTTCATTTTTCTCTTTATAAAAGGAATTTATAATCTTTCCCAGATTATAAATTGTCAATTAACAGAACTAATAAAAATTATTTTAAAAGTATGTATATAAGTAACTGCTACAAGCATTTTCAACAATGATGAACATGAGAAAAGCTATCCTATTCTCTGGAGTTAAATATTTATTTTGAAATATTAAGATATTTCTAATTTTTCAAATCCATTGATAATATATCATTATCTGATGGGAAAATTTTCAATAGATATAAATGTATTTAGAATGTAAAAATGAATTCAGAATGGAATAATAATTCTACTTATAGTAGTATTCACAGAGAAAGTAGAACTATTGCCACCTTTTAATTGGGTGGTAGATTTCAATTGTTCTCACTGTTTTGGCAGCCTTGTCACAGGATTCCTTATGTGAGGTTTTATTTGCCTAAATCTCATTCCTTCCTCACATGAGTCATCACCAAGCCAGGAATCTTTTGTACCTTGCAAGCGACTTTCTGGAATACAGGCTATCACACTTTTTCCTAATAAATTTTATTTCATTTTTCTGTAGCTCCTCATTCTTATCTGTCAATGTCATTTTACAAGTCTTGAAGCTGTCTTCTACAGCAGAGCTGCAAATCTGTTTCCACTTGAGCTTCTGATAAACATACTAAACAATATATGCTGATGACCCAACATTCAGAATCACCTTTCAATTTGACACAGACCTGGTAGTAATACTCTTTAGAGATCTAGTTTAGGATCTCTAAACCCAGGAAATCACTTGGGTTGATCTCTAAACCCAGGCAAATTCTCTTTACCCAGGAAATTCACTAATCTATCAAGATACAGACACAGTGTCAAGTACTCGGCTGAAGTAGAGATACATACCACACTCTGTTCTAAAGGGCAATAACAGTTTTTTTTCCCCATTAGAACGGACTTACTCCTGGTAAACCTGGAGCTGTAAAGCTGATACGTAGGAATCATTCAACAAAGTGTACGCATTAGTATTATTGTTATCAGTTTGTATTAATCAATACACTATCCTCTAAATGCTCCCAAATTCATTGTTTAAAAACTAGATAAGGGGTTGGGTTAAGATAATAAGTCCTTATTTTCTGAAACGAGGAAACTAGTTAAGGTTAACTTCAGTTTGGTCATCTGGTACCACAGAAAAATCTAACACCACAGAGACACTGGGTCATATGCAGAGATTTATTCTTAATATTTCCTAACTGAAAAACAGCTCATTAGGCACATCTGGAGACCTTGGAGCTGTCCTAGGTACAAGGGTGGGGTGGCAGAGAAAAGCTTAATGTAGACTCTCTACTCTCAAACGACTCATTCTGGTGAATAGACACTAGTTAACTATGCAGGTAAAGTTTTCTTCATTCTTGTATCTCAACATCTGACACAGACCCTGGCTTGGTAACGGGAACTCACATGTGTGTGATGAAGGTAAGGAGCACTCCGAAGAGAGCCTGGTGATGCAGAACTAGCAGGCATGTGGTGCATCCCAATTCCCCTAGTGCTTCAAAGCCCTTACAAAGCAGAACCGTGGCCCCGATGTGAGGCACACAGGCTGGGGACACAATTCCTTTTCAAAGAGAAGCAACTGAATGCTCAGAAGTAGAGTGACTTGTGAAGGGTCACTGGGAAGAACGTGGCAAAGCTGAAATGAACACTCAGATCTGCAGACTATAAGTCATTTGCAGGGCCAGGCATGGTGGCTCATGTCTATTATCCCAGTGCTTTGGGAGGCCAAAGCAGGAGGATCTCTTGTGGCCAGGAGTTTGAGACTGGCCTGGGAAACATAGCAAGACCTGTCTCTACAAAAAATATAATAGAAAATTCACCAGGCATTGTGCTGTGTGCCTATAGTCCTAGCCACTGAGGAAGCTCAGGCTGGAGGATTGCTTGAGCCCAGAAGTTTGAGGCTGAACTGAGCTATGATCATGGCACTGCACTCCAGCCTGGGTGACAGAGTGAAATCCCACCTCTAAAAAGAGGGGAAAAAATAGCTTTTTTTTTTTTTTTTTTTTTTTTTCCTGAGATGGAGTTTTGCTCTGTCGCCCAGGCTGGAGTGCAACGGCACGATCTTGGCTCACTGAAACTTTTGCCTCCCGGGTTCAAGGAATTCTCCTGCCTCAGCCTTTCGAGTAGCTGAGATTACAGGCACCCACCAGCACACCAGGTTAATTTTTTTTTTTTGATAGAGACGGGGTTTCACCATGTTGTTCAGGCTGGTCTTGAACTCCTGACCTCAGGTCATCCGCCTGCCTTGGCCTCCCAAAGTGCTGGGATTACAGGAGTGAGCCACTGCACCTGGCTGGAAAAAATAGTCTTAACTATAGTCCCAGCTACTTGGGAGGCAGAGGTGGTAGGATCGCTTGAGCCCGGGAGGTCGAGGATGAAGTGAGCTGAGATCGCACCACTGCACTCCAGCCTGGGAGGCAAAGTGAAAACCTATTTAAAAAAAAAGTGGTGACTTCAAATCACTCTCTTTCAGCATTAGAGTAAGGTAGGAAGTCTGCATATTTTTAGATTCTCATGATTTTTCTCATGGAAGGGGTGATCATTTCTGATCACTGCCATTGCATCATGACAACAAAGCTGCTTCTGTGTGTCCTAGAATACAAAATGCAAATGGAATCCAGCCTGGTAAAAATGTGGAAGGAGAGCAAGAAGCCCTTTGGTGAGCATAGCCAGGCCACCCATTTAGGTTGTGTTGGTGCACATCCTTGCAGGCCCCATGCACATCACAACTTCCACAGACTCACATGTGCTTTACAACAGTTCTCTAGAAGATGGTAGTAGGAGATCTTATTCTAACAAAACAGTGTAATATGACAGCATCCCAAGAGATAGAAGTAACATGTCTTGAGAAAGAAGTGCCTCTTTTCTAATCTTCATGGAGACAGCTCATGGACTGTGATTGCTTTGCATCCAGTCTCTCCAGATGACCTACTGCTCTCAAATATCACTAATGACTGACTACAAGCCAACAAGAGAGAGGGTTGAGTTTCATGTATCTTGTGCAGAGTAGGTGCTGAGTTAATATTTCTCGAATTCAGAGTTGTGCTAGGTCTCCCAAGAATTTCATAATGTAATGCTGAAGAGCATGGGCTTTGGGGTCAGGCAAGCTAAGGTTCAAACTTTGACTACTGCTTAGGATACTAGAATAAGTTCTACATCTTCATTGTCCTCATGGAAAGATTCATGGTCCTCACGGGTAAAATGTGATGAATAAAATCTGCAGGACTGGGAGGAGTAAAGGATATAAATAATATTGCATTCCATGCCTGGTACGTAGTTGGTGCTGTCGACAGTAGCTAGAGAGAGAGAAATGAATGATGGTAAAGAGTGCAGGCTACTCTACCTGTACCCATGTTCATCATAGCACTATCCACAACAGCCAGAATATGGAATCAACCTCCGTGTCCATCGACAGGTGAAGAAAATGTGTTATAAATACACGGTTGAGTACTATTCAGCCTTAAGAAACAAGGAAATCCTGTCATTTGCAACACCATAGATGAACCTGGAGGACATTATGCTAAGCAAAATAAGCTGGGTGCCAAAAGACAGCTACTTTATGATCTCACTTATATACAGAGGCTAAAAATGTCAAACTCACAGAGGCAGAGAGTGGGATGGTGCTTACCAGAGGCTGGGGCAGGGGAAGGACTGAGAAGAGGTTGGCCAGGGATACACAATTTCAGTTAGGAGGAGAAACTTCAAGAAATCTGTTGCACAGCATGGTGACCACAGCTAAACACAGTGTCTTGTATTCTTGAGCACTTCTAAGAGAGTAGTTTTAAGTGTTCTTACCACAAATAACTGGCAAGTAGGTGAGGCAATGCATATGTTACTTAGTTCAGTTTAGCCATTCCATAGTGTACGCATACTGTATATCAAAACACTATGTTCTTCTTAGGACAGGCGATGAGGACAAAAAAAGAAAAAACATTATGTCATATACCATAAATATATACAGTTCGTGTCCGTCAATTAAAAAAAAAAATTATGGCTGGGTGCAGTGGCTCACGCCTGTAATCCCAGCACTTCAGGAGGCCGAGATGGGCGAATCACCTGAGGTTGCGAGTTTGAGACCAGCCTGACCAACATGGAGAAACCCCGTCTCTACTAAAAATACAAAATTAGCCGGGCGTGGTGGTGCACAACTATAATCCCAGCTACTTGGGAGGCTGAGGCAGGAGAATCACTTGAACCTGGGAGGCGGAGGTGGGGTGAGCCGAGATCGCACTATTGCACTCCAGCCTGGGCGACAGAGCGAGACTCCTTCTCAATAAATAAATAAATAAGTAAAAATTTACAAACAGAGCACAGACTGTGGAGTCCAGCTGCCTGGAGTCAAGGCCAAGCTTGTCTCTACTTAGCTGTGTGGCATTTACACAGGTCCCTGAAGCTCTCCATGCCGCATTTTCTCTTCTGTAAAAGTCTTTTGGGGAGGTAAATGACAGAACACATGTATGGGGGTCGTTGCTGCTGGCACCTAATATTTCTGATCCTTAGGCACAGCCTGCTCCCCTTCAAATCAGGCCTGGCCTTGGGATTGTGCTTTGGCTTGTGGTATCTGTTTGTTCACTTCTGGCTGGAGCTTCAGGAGACAGCGTGTGATTTGATATTTCTCTTTATCTGCCAGGTAGTGCAAAATGACATACAGCACAGCCTGGCCAGTCCAAAACTGACACATAGTACCATAAAATCTTCTGGGACTTTGTCGGTTTAGGTCCCAGAAAATATTGATGATATTTTATTATTGCAATATGGCCTCCCCCATCTTTTTTTTTTTGTGACAGAGTCTCACTCTGTCACCCAGGCTAGAGTGCAGTGGCGTGATCTTGGCTCACTGCAAGCTCCGCCTCCCGGGTTCAAGTGATTCTCCCGCTTTAGACTCCAGAGTAGCTGGGATTACAGGAGCACACTGCCACACCTGGCTAATTTTTTAGTGTTTTTATTAGAGATGGGGTTTCACCATGTTGGCCAGACTGGTCTCGAACTCCTGACCTCAGGCAATCCACCTGCCTCGGCCTCCCAAAGTGCTGGGATTACAGAAGTGAGCCAGCACGCCCGGCCAGCCTCCCCCATCTTAAGGAAAACAGAATCTAAAGTGCCCAAACTCGTGTCTGGCCCATAGTTGGTACTCAGCAAATGTTTATTATTGTTATAATAATAATGATTATTCCTGTCATCATTCCTAATGATGTTCATATTTGAACAGCCCCAGCTCTGCCTAGCTACACCTTGGCCATTGTTGGACTTCATGATTTTAAGATCTCTCTTCTCTAGAAGAAACAGTTTAGTATTTGGCACAAGAGAAACACAGAAAACTACTTCAAACATCTATTGACTGACTGTGGATGCATCTGAAAGTGATTCATCTCTGAGTCTTTATTTCATTATCTGTACAATGGAGATGAATCCTAATGACTGAGAAGTTTGGTCACAAGCAAACTTCTTTTGGCTGCAGTGCCTGGGACAAGGTCAGCACTAGCCACTCCTGTCCGTGCTATCTCCTTTGCAGCACCAATCCCAGCTCCTCCAGCCTTCACATCCTAGTCTCTCACCAGCTATAAGACTTTTCTTTCTCCTAATTGTTGGCTGTTCCACAGGGAGATGGAGAGGAGCTTGCTCACTTGTTAATTTTGCTATTGATAGCTTGAGGAAAAAATTACATCTAGTAGGAGACTCTAATCAGAATATCTGTGGAATTTAGGTAGCTCCATCATTTCTAGTCCACAAATGTAGCTATGAAACATTGGAATCCTTTATGGTTTTAGAACGACCTAATGCATTTGGTGTCTGTGGCTATGTGTAGCTCAACAATGTTGTAGCCTGTACTCACACTTAGCTATACCAGGTGATCATTTTCCCACTGTCTTGGCTTTTCTGGGAAGACCTGCTCAATGCTGCTACGGGCACACGCAGGTGGACAGGTCACGACCTAGGAGTCACTGCTCTCAGCCAAATGTCACATGTAATTGTGTTCCAACATCCTCCTGAAAGGAGCCTTTCAAATAACTGAAAAAAACTAATTAAATACGTATAGCATGAATCATTTCTGGAAGATAACTAAACCCAAGCAGTTACGCCAGTTGGTCTTCATCATAGTTCCTTAATTTAATAGTAATCTTCATAGGAAATTGTGGTATCACGTGAGGTGGATCTGGCAAGCTTTTTCATCCGGTTCCAGATGGGGAACTTAATTGATCTCAAATTTGCTCACTGAGCTTTAAAGTATGGAAAAAGACCCAGAGCCCTGACTTTCCAGCCAAGTCTCAGGTCCCCACCACTGGGCCACATACCCTTCCCAGGGGCCAGCAGAGGAAATAGAACTCAATTTGTGTTAAAGGTTTACAAACCTGTTAATGCTTTTTGTTCAGTATTTCAAAATTTAGAGAACATGGTGCTGCACATTTTAAGGAATATTACTTTTCTTCCTTCCCTCCTGCATCCTGTTTTCTCTTGGTGCTATTATGGTTCACATTGGTTGGCAATACATTGCAGCAAGAAAGGTATTAAAAGCTTGAGGTGGTAAAACTATAAAGTTACCACCTTTCCATGCTAATTCGTGTGAAAACATGATGCGCTCCACATCTTTCATGGTGCAATAACATAGGTGAGTCAACATCAGGCACGTGAGTTTGTTCAAGCAAGTCATTTGAAGTCAGAATGGTAACTTGTGGAGGCGGATCTGTGACATGCTGGGAAGAAGTCAGGTTTAGTATACCATATTGCAGTTTATTATCCATGAAGTAGATTACCCAAAAAACTTAGCCATTTTGCAGTACGTATAAAACGTGCCTTTATTCAGCAATTCAGTTTCTAAGAATTCCTTCTAAATAAATAAGGATGTGTACAGATATATAGATGTAAAGATGGTTATTGTAATTTCTTTAGGATAATCAAATCATGGTACATCTGAACTGAATCATCCTGCATTCATTAAAACAGCAGTGCTGGGATTTCATCATTTATATAAATATGGAAAATTCATTTAAGTACTAAGCAGGTTGCAGAGCAGCAAAGATGTCATTTTTTTTACTTTTGAGCAAGTGAAGATGGAGAGACAGACCCACAGTCAGAAGCACATATTTCCAGGTATCCGTAATTTTGTAATTTTCATTTTCCTTTTACCTATATTTCATAATTATTCTGTATGTAACGTGGGTTATTTGCATCATCAAAATGCCTTTCAAAATAATGTGTAAAAACAGTATTAATTGCCTTTTTAAAAAATTATTATTATACTTTAAGTTTTAGGGTACATGTGCACAATGTGCAGGTTAGTTACATATGTATACATGTGCCATGCTGGTGTGCTGCACCCATTAACTCGTCATTTAGCATTAGGTATATCTCCTAATGCTATCCCTCCCCCCTCCCCCGACCCCACAACAGTCCCCAGAGTGTGATGTTCCCCTTCCTGTGTCCATGTGTTCTCATTGTTCAATTCCCATCTATGAGTGAGAACATGTGGTGTTTGTTTTTTTGTCCTTGCGATAGTTTACTGAGAATGATGATTTCCAATTTCATCCATGTCCCTACAAAGGACAAGAACTTATCATTTTTTATGGCTGCATAGTATTCCATGGTGTATATGTGCCACATTTTCTTAATCCAGTCTATCATTGTTGGACATTTGGGTTGGTTCCAAGTCTTTGCTATTGTGAATAAAAAATATGGAACGCTTCACGAATTTGCGTGTCATCCTTGCTCAGGGGCCATGCTAATCTTCTCTGTATCGTTCCAATTTTAGTATATGTGCTGCCGAAGCGAGCACTAATTGCCTTTTTTTTCTTGGACTGAGTTTGCTAACATCTGTGACATAAGGTTAAAGATGCACCATTTAGTGTCATTTTGCCCCCAACTCACTCTGTGACAACTTTTGGTGCCATGAATTTCCAGAGGGTGGGATGCACGTCTTGCTAACTGCAGCATCACCCCAACAGAGCAGCTCATGGTTATTGGCCTGAAATGGGAATTTTGATTAGGAACTAAGGAAAGGGCATCTCATTTCCTAGCTGTGAGCTTCTGGACAGTGGGGCTGTGTCTTTTGTCATCTTTGGGCTCCTGTTCTCCTTTCCACTGAAACATGGGCCAGTGGCTACCTGGTAGCAGTCACTCAGAAGTGTGATCCAGATCTCATTGTGGGTGGGGAGATCGAGGCACATAAAGATGAAGTGGCCTGTCCCCAGGCGCATAGCACCTGCCCCTGCTCCACTCACAGATACTGGGCGTTCTGTGCTAACAGGGGCACCTTCTGGGCAAGAGGATGAGGGGAGCACTGAACACCTCTCTCAAGAGAAATTTTTTTTCTTCTGTCACACATGCATACAAACAACAACCGATGAGCTTGTGGTTTGTCTTCAAGGTTCAGGAAGACTCAACTTTTCCAGCAGAAAGGACAATGATGCCTCAACAGAGCCGGATGACTCTCGATGGCCATGCCACTTAACAAAGCGTGGCCACCCACTTGTTCACCTGCAGCCTGAGGAAAGGAACAGCTGCAACACCTGCCAGGGACTTAGGGGATGAAGCCCTGGAGGCTGATCAGATATCCTCCTCTGGAGGTGGAGCCACATGGCTAATACACCACTGGACACAGATGTGTGCAGTTTTGTGTTTGCTGTGGGCTGTGATGCAAATCGCATTTTGTAGTCCCCATCTTTGGAGATGCTCCAGACAGTCCCTCGGAGAAAGACAGAAATGGATCCCTTTGTTCTTTCTGTTCTTTCCAGGCAACCTGCCTCTGAGGGGAAGAGGGCCCAGACATAGGATGCTGGTAAGCAACTACTGTAATTGTCAGCGTAAGGGGCTGGAACTCAGGTTCCATCCTGCACACTTGCACAAGCCCACCAATGGGATCAAAGATGAAGGGTGGCAGCGATTGGAGAGGTCAGGATAAGAAGATTCAAGATGCCAGAAATCTGCAACATGAGATACAGCCCAGGCTCTGGGCTCGTTCCTCCAGGGCTGCGTCGCTGCGTAGCTGATGTGGCCTGTGAGCTGGGCCTCAAAGGACATTGCATTTAAAGCAGAGGAGAGGAGGAAATTTTTGGGAGATAAGATGGGATTTACAGAGACACCAAAAGAGCAAAAGAAAATAATTCCTGATGGTCTGAGCACATAGAGAGTCACCGTGGAGGAGACTGGACATTGGTACATATCCTACAATGCCTGCCCCATGGCTCTGGCCTCATGCCATGCCATGCAACATGGCACCTGGCATCTCAGTCAACAGATGTCCCAGATCTCAGTCGTTGGCATTTATTACCAAATTATTCTGCCATCTTATATTCAAGTCCTTCCAAAGCCTTTCTTGTTGTGGGAGGGGGAGAATCTTATTTTTTAAATTTTATTTTAGTTATTTTATGTATATAAGTTGTACATCATGATGGATTTTTTAAATACATTTAATTGTGTATGTTTAAGGTAAGCATCATGATGTTTATATATATATATATGTGTGTGTGTGTATATATATATATATATATATATATATATATAGTAAATTGGTTAATATAGTGAAGCAAATTAATGTACCCATGTTTTGTGTGTGGGGCTGAAGTATCTACAATCAACTCATTTAGCAAAAATCCTGAATACAAGACACTGTTAGTATTGGCGGTCCTCATGTTTTACATTAGATCTCTAGACTTGTCCACCCTCCTTATCTGCGACTTTGTAACCCTTGACCTACTTCTCTGCAATTCCTTCCTGCCACACTGCCCCTGGTAACCACGGTGTAATTCTCTATTTCTGTATATTTGAATTTGTTTAAAAGATTTTACATATGAGTGAGATTATGCAATATTTTTCCTTCTGCATCTGACATATTTACTTAGCATAATGTCTTGCAATTCCATCCATGTTGTGGCAAATGGCAGGATCTCCTTTTTTGAGGCTGAAGGATATTCCTTTGTACATATATATCACAGTTTCTTTACCCATTTGCCTGCCAATGAACATTTAGGTTGTTTCTTATCTTAGATATTGAGAATAATGCTGGAATGGACATGACAGTGAAGATATCTCCCTGAGTGCTGATTTCCTTTCCTTTGGATGCATACCCAGAGGAGGAATTGCTACATCTTATGGTACTTCTAACTTTAATTTCTTTAGGAAGCTCCACTTGCTGGTGTCAGGTGATAACGCATAATGGTTTTGATTTGCATTTCCCTGAGGATTAGTGACATTGAGCATCTTTTCATTAACCTGTGGGTCATTTTGATGTCTTCTTTGGATAAATAACTATTCAGATAATTTGCCCATTTTTTAATTGGGTTATATGTTTTTTGCTATTGAGCTGTGTGAACATTTTATAAATTTTGGATATTAAACCTTATCAAATATATGTCTTGCAATTATTTTTCCAATCTATAGGTTACTTTTTCATTTTGTTGATTGTTTTCTTTGCTGTGCAGAAGCTTTTCAGTTTGACATATTCCCATTTATTTATTTTTGCTTTTGTAGCCTTTTGGTGTGATATTCAAAAATTATTGCCAAGGGCAATGTCAAGGACCTGTTCTCCTATGTTTTCTCCTTGGAGTTTTATGGTTTCAGATTTTACATTTAGGTCTTGTATCCATTTTGAGTTGATTTTTGTGTATGGTACAAGGGCCCAGTTTTATTCTTTTGGGCATGCAAATCCAGTTTCCCCAGCATCATTTATTGAAGAGATTATCCTTTTCCCATTTTGTCTTCTTGGTGCCTTTGTCAAAAATTAGTTTACTGTATATATATATATATAGATTTATTTTGGGGCTCTCTCTTTTGTTCCACTGGTCTGTGGTCTGATTTTATGCCAGTATCATAGTGTTTTGATTGTTATAGCTTTGCAATCTAATTTAACTCAGGAAGTGTGATAACTCCAATGTCATTTTCTCTTCTCAAAATTACTTTTATTATTTAGTTTTTTTATGGTTCCATACAAATTTCAGGATTTTTTAAATTTCTGTGAAGAATGCCATCGGGATTTTGATAAGGATGCCATTGAATCTGCATATTCCTTTGGGTAATATGGACATTTTAACAACATCAAGTTTTCAGATCCATGAATATGGGTTATCTTTCCACGTATTTGTGTCTTCTATTAATTTTATCAATGGTTTATAATTTTCAGTGTACATGTCTTTTACTTCCATGGTTAAACTTATTCCTAACTGTATTTTTGATGCTTTCATAAATACAATCGTTTCCTTGATTTCTTTTTCACGTAGGTTGTTATTTGTGCACATAAATGCAACTGATTTTGTATCCTTTAACTTTACCAAGTTTGTTTTTTAGTTCTAACATTTTTTTTTTTTTGGTGGAGTCTTTGGGGTTTACTAAATATGGGATCATGCCATCCATAGAGATAATCTGAGTTTTTTCTTTCTGATTTAAATGCCTTTTATTTCTTTTTCTTGTCTAATTGCTCTTGCTAGTATTTCCAGTACCACGCTGAATAGAAGCAGCAAGAGTGGGCATCCTCACCTTGTACCAGATCTTAGCGGAAAAGCTTTAATTTTTTTCCCATTGACTATGATGTTAACTGTGGCTTTTTCATAGCCTTTTTTATGATGACAAACTTTCCATTTATACCTAAACTGTTGAGAGTTTAAATCAAGAAACAATGTTGAACTTCGTTGAATGCTTTTTCTGCATCAATTGAGATGATCATGTGATTTTTATCTTTCAGTCTGTTAATGTATCACATTGATTAATTAGTATATGTTAAATGAGGGTCCATGTCAGTGATAAATTTCACTTGATCATGATGTATAATATTGTGATGTGTTGTTGAATTTGGTTTGCTAATATTTTATTGTGTTTTTTTCATCAATATTTTCAGCGATATTGGCCTGTAGTTTTCTTTTCTTACAGTATCTGTCTGGCTTAGGTATCAGGGTGATCCTGCACTCATAGAATGTGTTAGGAAGTATTCCCTCTAGGTCTATTTTTTGGAAGAATTTAGGAAATGTTGGTATTAATTTGTCATTGAATGTTTGAAGGAATTTAGTTGCAAAACCATTTGATTCTGGGCTTTTTGTTGTTGTCGTACTTGTTATGAAATTTTTAATTACTACTCTGATCTTTTTATTTGTTATTGGTCTGTGTAGGCTTTTTATTTCTTCCTGATTCAATTTTGGTAGGTTAAATTTTTCTTGGAGTTTGTCTGTTTCCCTTAGGGTATCCAATTTGTTGGCATAATATTGTTCACAATAGTCCTTTATGATCCTTTTTATTTCTGAGGCATCTGTTGTAATGTCCTTCCTTTTATTTCTGGTTTTATTTATTTGAGGCTTTTCTCTTTTTTTTTTTTTAAGTTTACCTCAGGGTCTGTCGATTTTGTTTGTTTGTTTGTTTTTAAACTAACTCTTAGTTTTATTGATTTCTTCTATGGTTTTTTATTCTATTTTGATTTATTTCTGTTCTGATATTTGTTATTCCCTTCCTTCTTGTAACTTTGGGCTTGCTTTGTTCATTTTTTAGCTCCTTGAGGTGTAATGTTAGGCTATTTATTTGGGGCCATCTTCTCTTTTAATGTAGGTATTTATTGATCAGTACTCTTAAGAATCTTAACTTTGGTGGTGCATACATGAACTTAACATGGGTGGTAAATTTATCTAGAACTAAACGCGCCTAAATACATACACAGACACACAGATAAGTATAAGTAACACTGGAGAAATCTGAACAAAATCAGTGAATTGTATCCATGTCAATATTCTGGTGTGATATACTAAAATGGTTATTGCTGGGGGAAGGTGAGTTAAATGTACCTAGGATTTCCCTGTATTATTGTTTGCAACTGCATATAAATCAACAGTTATCTCAATAATAAGTTCAATTAAAAAACCAAAATTTTATGCATATATCAATATGACATGCTTAAAAGAAGACTTGTAAATTTGCCTTTGCAGAAGGAGGGAAAGGTCGTGAGTGATTCCCACTTCTCTTGGAAAGGCCCATAGCTAGCCCATATTCTCTGAGCCCACATGCAGTGTGCTATTCACATCCCAATAATGCCGATTGATAAATGACACACAGTTTTTATACTTTTTACTCGAGACTTTTACAAGGATAAGCTTAGCTGAATTGTACAATAACATTGTAAATTAAGCTATTTGAACTTTATTTTACAAGAAAGCAAAAGTGTTGCAAAATGCCTTGCTAAATGCCCACAGATGGTGAATGATAAGGAGTTAAACATAGCTGTTTGCTCCAAGTCCAGAGCTCCAAGCTGCTTGTACTGTCTCAGCCCCATTCTTTTTTTTTTTTGAGACAGAGTCTTGCTCTGTCACCCAGGCTGGAGTACAGTGGTGCAATCTTGGCTCACTGCAACCTCCATCTCCCGGGTTCGAAAAATTCTCCTGTCTCAGCCTCCTGAGTAGCTGGGATTACAGGCATGTCCACCATGCCTGGCTAATTTTTGTATTTTTAGTAGAGAGAGGGTTTCACCATGTTGGGCAGGCTGGTCTCAAACTCCTGACCTCATGATCTGTCCTCCTTGGCCTCACAAAGTGCTGGGCCACACCCAGCCCAGCCCCATTCTTAACAAGAGATCCTATTGCCCAGATTCAAAGGCTCTGTGGGAAACAAGGATACCATTTACAGTACTGGTGAAAATACAGAACGTTTCTCTTTCTTAAGCCTTGTATAGTCACCACCTCCACATTCATGCCTGCCGCCAGCCTTGGTTGTTGATAATGCCATGAACACTAGGCTCAGGCCATAGAGCTGTGCGGGCTCTAAGCAATGCCCACTCCTGAGATGGGGCTTATCAGCTGCAGAGACCTCCTTGTCCGGGTTTGGAAAATTCCAAGGGTCAGAGTGCAACTGAACTTTTTCTTTTGCAATTTGCACCTGTGGGTCCTAGTGCTACCTCTGGAGTTAGCACTTCTTTCGTATGCCAGTTCTCCCAGGGTCTGCTGGCAGTGTGCTGGAAGTGGCTGGTGCTGCGGGGCAGCTGTGGGCAGAGGACCAGGGGAGCCACTCCTCCTGGTACACTGGGAGATGGAGGTGACAGCCTGAGCTATATGGGTTCCCTTAGCAGCTGACACATTCTCATCTCAACCCAACAAGGATGAAAGATCTACCTTTGGGGAAAGGTGATGGAATCATAGCAATGATGTTCTAGGAATCCAGTTTCTTCATATTTGAGAAAATGACTTACATGTGCAAAAATGTCTATGCTGGAAATAATACAGCTTTATACAATATAGCACTCTGATTTGAAGAACCTTGCCCTGCATTCTCTTGTGTGAACCTGCCCACAGCCATGTGACACGAGCCAGGCAGCACTCTTGCATTTAGAACTTGGCAGAGATAAAAATGAGGCTCCACACCTAATGCTTTCCTTCAGTACTGGATTCAGCCGCTTCACTTATTTTTTTCTGCCAAAACACCACTGTATTTTCAGCCTCCCAGGTACGGGGACGAATTTAAGGCTGCCTGCCCAGTAGACAGTTTAGTGTGGGGTAAATAGCACCATTCTAGCTTCATGGCTTCCCCGAGCCCATCCTGCTCTGCCCCCGGCTGGCCGCCTGTCGTTCCAGCCTCGCCCTGTTTCCCTCCGTCCCCTCTTTAGCACTTGTTCTCTTGGTCCTCATCTTTCTTCCAGGAGGGCATGTCCTGGGTCCCTGTGCCTAGGATCTGTTTCCCTTTCCTGCACTGCCCTTTCTCCTGGCTCTTCTTTTCCGTCGCCCTCCCCCTCCTACCAGCTTGCTCCTTGCCTTAGACACAGACATTGACAGGTCCAGCGAAGAGCGCCTTTGCTGCAGCCCAGTGTGTCCAGATCTTCCCGCACCTGTGCCGCCTGGCGCTGCTGAGGCAGGGACTCCCGTCTCCCCAGGAGCTACCTGGAGGAGGCTCAGAATCCATCCTAAGGAGTTTGATGACATATGTGCCAGATCGTGTAGAGGTGTCCAGGTATGCCCCACCATGTGGACCGTAACACAGACACGCGGGATGGATGGACGCGTCCCCCCTTGGAAGTGTCCAGAGAGTGCCAAGGGCAGGCTCTCCATCCTCGCTGGGAGCATAGCCAGCGCCACACACAGAGGCCAGGTCTCAGCTCAGCCTGGGAGCGCCCGGTTCTTTTTACTGCTCTGTCTGCCTCCCTTTCTGAGTGTAACAGTTCCTCTCCTTCCTTCTTCACCTCTTCCAATCTGTCCCAAACACCAGCTTCCCCAGGGATTCACGTCCCAAATCCTTAACCACCACATGGGACAAGCATCAACCCCGACACGAATCAAGCAGAATCCGTACCAACCAGGACCCCAGAGGTCCCTTCAGGACCTCAGGGAGTAGGGCTGGGTCGGGGGTGTCTTGAGGAAAGCCAGGGTGACCCGAGGCCCTGGGGGAATCTCAGTCTTGTAAAAAAGCGGCTTGGCCACAGCTGTGGTTACCACTCATCTCTCATGAGCGCTCTCATCATGCCTCCCTACTTTCCTCCTTCCGCGAGTCTGCAGGAAGGGTTTTCTAGGCCCCTTTGCCCATTTCCCATCCACTCGGCCTCAGCACAGCCCGTAGCGGCCACCAGAGGGCGCCCCTCTCCTGCAGCTCCGCATCCCCGCACAGCTGAAGTCCAGCCAAGCCCTGGCCTTGGAAGACCCTTCTGCTTTCTAACCTGACAGAGGCGCGTGGAGGTGGGGGGGCCCTCAGAGCTGCAGAATGGACAAAAACTCAAAAAGGGTGTGAATTTCGCCATGAGGTCCGGGTTCCTGGGGCTTCGCTGTTGTTCTGTTTATTTTACCCGAACCCTCCTATACCATCTGTATGAGAAAATATTCTCAAATATTGAATCATGTAGGACTTTTTTTTTTCTTTTAAAGGATTTGATATGTTAATGGGTTAATTTGGGCAGAGATACCTCCATCTCCAATCCCCTTCTGTCAATAACAGCTCTAGTTACCATGAGAACTTTTGGGCTTTTCTTAAACAGCCCATTCTCCTGTTCAATCTTTTTGGTAATCAGAATAGCCTCCAAAGGGCATTCTTTTAAAATCCCATAAGATCCTTCATCACTTTTGTCACCATAGAAATAATAAACACATAAATAACCCTCCAAAGGCAAAAAATTTATCAAAAATGAGATATCAGAAATATAAAAATTCAGTGGCTCTTGGTCAGCTGGTGCTGGAAGACCCGTGGCTTACAGAAGAGAGAAGGGACCTCTGAAGTTCTGCACAGTTGTTGAAAAGCCAGATGCAAAATCTGTACCTAAGACTGGTGCGTGAGAGACTCACGTTCCTCCATTTCGAATCTGGTTAACTTGCTATGATTGAGAAGCTCGCTCACAAATCCTCACCCTCTCATTCCTATCCTTTCTGGATTGAGTGAAAGATTTTCAGGTTGTGAAGGCTGAAGAAAATGGCTGCTGACTTCACAACCTGTTTCAGCCAAATTGCAAAGCCCCAAAGGGTCAGTAAAATTCTTGCTGGGCTTCATCAGACATTACATTTCATAGGGGCACGGGAGGAGTGTGCTCTTCTGTCTAATGAAATGTGGGCCTTCAGCCTCACTTCCACTGTGATTCTTGAAAAACATTTATTTCCTCACTAACGGTTCAGTGTTCAGCAACCTGGGAGGTTTGCCCTAGTACTATTCTACAAGGTCACAGGTATACTTTGCAAGGTTCTGCCTCTCTTTCTCTCGGAGAGCTTATTCTCTCTTGTGGCCTAAACCTCACCTCTGTCTGCACATGACACTCAAATCAGTTTTTTTCTGCTTTATGCTTGTGTCTCCAGAGCTGTTTCAATGACTGTATTCGGAGTCTCTGCTTGCAGCGTGCTCTGCATGAGAACAGGCACCAAGCCTGCCTATAATTGGAAGATCTGCCTGAATTTCCATAGTGAAGGTCTACACTGCCTCCCAGCCCATTCATTCCCTTCATCATTTCATTCCAGTAGTTTTCTAAAGTGTGGCCACTATGTTGTTGATTATGGCAACCCAGCATCCACACAGGACAACAGGGGGCCCAGGGCCAGTCCTGGCTGCTGCTTATATTTTGGCCCCAGGGATCCATCTGATTTTGTCATTGAAGTGCTGGCACATCCATCCCCACTGATGTTTGTCAAATGATTTCCCAGCTCAGATTGGAATCTCAAAGGTAATTTTCACAAAATTGGAAACAGCTCCTCTGATATGTCCCTGAAAACAGTTTTTGTTGCCCATATGGAGGATGTGACAGGACATCACTAGGAAGATGGACAGACTCAGCCTGCAACATCCCCTTTCCACTGCCAAAGTTGTTAGCAATCCAGACAGACTGTCACCTTGAGGCTCAAAGATCATCTTACCCCCAAACACTCTGACGACCTCTCTCCCTGTGTGCCTTGATGCAGGTACTGAGTCTTGCAGCAGAGCAGTGCCAGGCCCTGTGCTGAGGCCTGCCTGCCAGCAGGATTCGCTCCTTCCAGTAACAGGCACTGATTGAGTCCTCCCTGTATCACAGGCATCGGGGAGGAGTGGCAGGTCCAGCTGTCTATGAGCCAGACACCGTCTCTCTGTCTTCAGCCCAGCTGGATATGGAGAACATTCAACAAATAATTGCACATGTAGTTAATAATTACATTTGTGATAAATACCAGCAAGGAGAAGGATGTGTTGTCATAGAATATGCAACAAGATGGTCTCTGGGACTGGATGGGGGTGGAGAATCAAGAAGTGTATCTTGATGGATGGGCTCAGAGGGGCTTGCAGAAGAGGGACACCAGTGTTCAGGGTCATTTGGTGGCAACGCAGGATTGGCTGGAGCTGCGGTGCTCGTGTTCACCTTGCCAGCTACCATTTCACATCCTGCAGAGGAGGCAGGAGGCAGCCGTGGAGATGGTTTTTCACAAGACAGCAAGGAGATTAAGATGGTGGAGAGGAGGACTAGCTTAATGCTCCCACTTGGACGGACAGAGCAGTGTGTGGAGACTCACATTGTGAACTTCTGCTCCAAGAAGTACCACAGGAATCTACCAAGAAAGTCAAGAGAATCCACAGACCCTTTGAAGGAACTGGATCCCTGCTACAGGCTCCCTGAGATGCCAAAAAACTATGAGTCTGCTTATTTTCTCAGTGGGGAGGCTGGTGGTCTGGGGCAAGTTCTCAGCCCTGGTCACCAGCTGCCTGGAAGTAGACTCAGTGCTGTTGCCGGGGCACAGTGGAAGTAATACTGGCCTCTAGGACTACCGGCTGCATGGGAGTGGGGTGAGGCCTATGATTGCCGGTTTTCCCCCACTTCCCTGGCAACCTGTGTAATGCAGCAGAGACAGCCATAATCTCCCTGGAAATATAACTCCATTGGCCTGGGGGCCACACCCCCACAGCAGCCACAGCAAGCCCTGCCCCAGGAAAGTCTGAGCTCAGACATGCCTATCCCTGTCCCCACCTGGTAGTCTTTCTCTACCCTCCCTGGTAGCTGAAGAAAAAGGCCATAGTCTCTTGGGAGCTCTGTGGCCCTGCCCAACACCTGAGAAACCTGAATGCTTAACCAGGTGACCCTAGGCCAAGTTTGCATCCTCCCTCATGCACCTCATGCACCTCATGCACTCTTGAAAGCACCACCTCCTGGCTGGAGGCCAACCAACACAAAATCAGCACAAAGCCAGCACACTAAACAAAAATACAACTAAGGACCCTCACAGAGTCCACGTCACTCCCCTGTTGCCTCCACCAGAGCAGGTGTTGGTATCCACAGCTGAAGACCTGAAGACAGATCACATCATAGGACTCTTTGCAGACACTCTCCAGTACCAGCCTGAGCCTGGTAGCTCTGCTGAGTGGCAAAAAATAATCACAGCGGTTTGGCTCTCAGGAAGTCCCATCCCTATGGGAAGGAGGAGAAAACCACATAAAGGGAGCACCCTGTGGGAAAAAAGAATCTGAACAGCAGCCCTTGAGTCCCAGATCTTCCCTCTGACATAGTCTACCCAAATGAGAAGGAACCAGGAAAACAATTCGGGTAATATGACAAAACAGGCTTCTCTAACACCCCCAAAAAATCACACCAGTTTAACAGCAATGGATATAAACCAAGATGAAATCACTGAATTGGCAGACAAAGAATCAGAAAGTTGATTATTAAACTATCAAGGAGACACCAGAGAAAGGTGAAGTCCAACTTAAAGAAATCAAAAACATGATATAGGACATAAAGGGAAAAATCTTCAGTGAAATAGATAGCATAAATAAAAAACAATCACAACTTCTGGAAATCAAGGACACACTTATAGAAATGCAAAATCCACTGGAAAGTCTCAGCAATAGAACTGAACAAGCAGAAGAAAGAACTTCAGAGCTCGAAGACGAGGTTTTCGAATTAACCCCATCCACCAAAGACAAAGAATAAAGAATTTTAAAAAATGAACAAAGCTGCCAGGAAGTTTGGGACTATGTTAAGTGTCCAAACCTAAGAATAATTGGTGTACCTGAGGAAGAAGAGAAATCTAAAAGTCTGTAAAATATATTTGAGGGAATAATTGAGAAAAACTTTCATGGCCTTGCTAGAGATCTAGACATCCAAATACAAGAAGCTCAAAGAACTCCTGGGCAATTCATCACAAAAATATCATCACCTAGACGCATAGTCATCAGGTTATCAAAAGTCAAGATAAAGGAAAGAATCTCAAGAGCTGTGAGGCAAAAGCATTAGGTAACCTATAAAGGAAAACCTATCAGATTAACAGCAGATTTCTCAGCAAAAACCCTGCAAGCTAGAAGGGATAGGAGTCCTATTTTTAGCCTCCTTGAACAAAACAATTATCAGCCAAGAATTTTGTATCCGGCGAAACTAAGCTTCAGAAATGAAGAAAAGATAAAGTCTTTTTCAGACGAACAAATGCTGAGAGAATCTACCACTACCAAGCTGGCACTACAAGAACTGCTAAAAGGAGCTCTAAATCTTGAAACACATCCTCAAAATACACCAAAATAGAACCCCCTTAAAGCATAAATTTCACAGGACCTGTATATCAATAGCACAATGAAAAAAACAACAAAGTATTCAAGTAACAAATAGCGTGATGAATAGAATACTACCTTACTTCTCAATACTAACGTTGAATGTAAATGGCCTAAATGCTCCACTTAAAAGATACAGAATGGGGCCGGGTGCGGTGGCTCATGCCTGTAATCCCAGCACTTTAGGAGGCCGAGGCGGGCGGATCATGAGGTCAGGAGATCGAGACCATCCTGGCTAACACGGTGAAACCCCATCTCTACTAAAAATACAAAAAAATAGAAAAAAATTAGCCGGGCGTGTTGTTGGGCGCCCTCAGCCTGTGAGAGGCTGAGGCAGGAGAACGGTGTGAACCCAGGAGGCGGAGGTTGCACTGAGCCGAGATCATGCCACTGCACTCCAGCTTGGGCGACAGAGCGAGACTCTGTCTCAAAAAAAAAAAAAAAAAGATACAGAATGGGCCCAGTGCAGTGGCTCATGCCTGTAATCCCAGCACTTTGGGAGGCCAAGACAGGTGTATCACCTGAGGTCAGGAGTTCGAGAACAGCCTGGCCAACATGGTGAAAACCCAAATACAAAAAAATTAGCTGGTCATGTGGGTGCATGCCTGTAATCTCAGCTACTCAGGAGACTGAGGTGGGAGAATTACTGGAACCCAGGATGGAGATTACAGTGAGCTGAGATCATGCCACTGCACCCCAGCCTGGGTGACAGAGTGAGACACCATCTCAAAACAAACAAACAAACAAAAAGGAATGGCAGAATGGATACAAATTTACCAACCAAGTTTCTGCTGTCTTCAGGAGACTCAGCTAACACATAAGCACTCACATAAACTTAAGGTAAAGGGGTGGAAAAAGATATTCCGTGCAAATAGAGACCAAAAGTGAGTAGGAGTAACTATTTTTATATCAGACAAAACAAACATTAAAGCAACAGCAGTTAAAAAAGACAGAAGGCAGTTTGTGGGGAAGAGGGGGCTTAGGGAGCACATAGCACTGGGCAGACCTGGTGGGGGCAGGAGGGCTGGAGAGTGAGGCTTGGAAGTTTCCTAATTCCATGGGCCAGGGTCCTGCCAGTGTTTATCTCTACCTTTCAAAATCTGTACTATCATTGGAGTCAAATGTACATTTGCACACAAAAACTAAACAAAGAAATGAAAACAAAAGTCTGCCCCATGTCAAACCAACATCTGGGATGCCTGCTCAAAGCCAGCTCTTGTTTCTGTTTCTTCTTCTGTTCCTCTGGAGGATCTTCTATCCCTCATTTCTTGATTTAGATACTTTCTATTATTCCTTGCCTCTTCTCTCTTTCCACTCCCTCTCAATTTTTCTTAGTTATGGTCTGATTTTTACTTCTTTTGCCTTTAAAACTTTTTATGAGTTGTGTGAGCATATTTTTCTGGTTGCACCAATTTGACAGTCTCTCTTGTCTCCCTTTTATCTGAGATGAGGAAATATTTTTCCCTGTGCTTCCCTTCTGCTAGTTTCCGGAGCTGTACCTGACTTTCACATTTATGACGTTTTAACTCTTACACTCCTATTCCTTAATCCCAAGTCTCCTGGGCTTGCTCTAGATGTTGACTGAAAACTAAGAAGCAGCCTTCACAATATTAGGAGGATTGTCACTGCAAACAGGAGTGTAGTGCACTTGGCTGCAGATAGAAGGACCTGGGATTCCCAGACTGATACATCTAAGAAGCACATACTAAAATTCAAAGTCAAGTCAAATGAAGTCTCAAACACTTTTGTAGCCTATCTAAAGGTATAAAGCAGGGATTCGCAAATATTTTCTGTACAGAATCAAATAGCAGATATTTAGGCTTTGGGGCCATAGGGTGTCTGTCACAGCCACTACCCTCTGCTGTTGCAGAGTGGAAGCAGCCATAGAAACTGCAGGATAAAATAAGTGTCATGAGTTCCAACAAAACTGATTTACAAAAAGAGGCCACTGCCAAACCCTGGTCCAATGCAGAGGATCAAAAACCCCTGGAGGGCTTGCTGAAGGCAGATTGCTGGGTGCCATCCACAGTTCCTGATTCAGCAGGTCTGGGGTGGCCTAAGGATGTGTATTTCTAACAAGTTTCCAGGAGGTGTCCATGCTGCTAGCCCATGGCATGTGCTTGTTGCTTGGCACTAAAGCATGACTCTCTTCTACATATTTGTGAGTTTCCTAGAATTCCCAACATTTTCCCTTTGTTTTAAACTTGTCCTCTGACTTATCACCAAGATTTTCCACCATCGTGATGCTTTTGCTTTCACAAGTCTGCTTTCTTCTTAAACGTTTCTCCCTAGCAACATTTGCACCTGCACTCCCCTGACCTTGCACTGTGGTAGACCAGTTGCTCTCTAAGTCTGCTGCTCAGTTGTCATCTGAGATAGTCCTTTATTGTCTTGAGGATGGGGCTATGTCTCCTTTTGTCTAGGATTTTTATTGGTTTTACTGCAGAATATCATCAAGGATTTATCTTTTTCACTGAAGATGCATAAAGGGTAAACATTCTGAGGCCTAGGATGACTGAAAATGTGTTTATTTGGCATCGACACTCAGTATAATTTTTTTTTACCAGGTGTAGAATTCTAAGTTGAAAATAATTTCCTCTGTGGACTTTGAAGTTACTGCCTCATTGTATTCCAGTGTTACTAATGAGAAATCTGATGCGAGTTTGACTGTGATTTCTTTACAGATGCCCTGTTTTGTTCCTTCTCTTCTGAAACATCACAATGATGCATTTAGGGGTGGGTGATTTTTTTATATCTCCTGATCAACCGTCGGTGACTTTTTAAGTCGAGATGCACGCAGCACCTCCTCATAGCTCTGGAAAATGTTCTCCTAATAGGCTATTCTTTGATCATTTCATTTTTATCAGTTTCTGTATTTTCTCTTTATGTAACTCTTTGGACTTCCTGGATTTAAATGCTCTTATTAAACTTTTTTTCTCATATCTCTCTTCATGTTTTCTCTTTTTATGTACATGCTGACAGTTGTCCTTCAAGTTTTCTTTCAGACATCGTATCTTTATTGTAATGATTATATTTCTAATATTTAAGAATATTTTATTTTCTGATTTCCTCTTTTTCATTGACATATGCCCTTGTTTAATGGGTGCAATATTGTCCAGCTTCTCTTTAAGATACAAGTTAGAATATTTTAAAAGTGTACTACATTTGATGAATTTTTGAATTTTTGCCATCTTTCTCCTGAGTCAATTATTCTGTTTATGCATCTTGGCCTATTATGAATAGAATGTTTGTGTCTCCCCCAGATCCACAGGTTTAAGCCATAATGCCCGGTGTGGCTATATTTGGAGGTGGGGGAGGGGGGTCTATAAAGAACTAAAGTTAATAAGATCTTAAGGGTGGGGCTTTGATCCGAAGGGATTTGTGTTCTTATAAGAAGATACACCCCAGTGCTCTCTCACAGCATCTCTCTGTCTCTTTTCATGCAAGCCCCAAGGAAAGACCATGTGAAGACACATGGAGAAGGTGGCTGTCTGCAAGCCAGGAAAAGAGCCCTCACCAGGAACATGTTGAGAGAAGCAGTCACACAAACGTAGTCTTTTGACCTCTGTACAGTTGCATAGGAGTGTGCCTTGGGTTAGGAACATTTTCTTACAAAGAGATAAAGAGCTTTCACAGCCTGCGCTGTCCATTACCCTTTATGGGGAACCTCTTTCTCTGTTCTGGACTGGAGGCGTACTTCTTCGTTCTACTAAAGCATGTGCATCATATGGCACCTGAACGACCCCACTGCTGGGAACAGGGGCCTTTGTCTATAGCATGAGTGTGTGGAACATCTCCCTGTGCTGGCTGTGGGGTGAGACCCACTGGCCATGAGGGATCAACAGTCGAAACTGAAGCTGCTCTTGCTCTGTGTCTTCTCTATGTGCATAAAGCGTTGTTCCATCCAGTGCCTGCATGAGTCGTGCCTGAAAATCATGTGGTGGGTTGACGTCTTGGGATTACTGCTCCTGGAGGCAGGCATTGTTATGCTTTCTGTTCTCCACTGTTTAGTGGGACTCTGCTGCTGGAGGTGGTCACAGGTGTCACTTGCTTGACTTGGACTTCCAGCCTCCAGAAACTTAATCTTGAACTTGCATCCTCCATCACTGTGAGAAAAAATTTCTGTTGTTTGAAGCACTCAATCTATGACATTTTGTGATGTCAACCTGAGCAGACTAAGACATGACCCCTCTTTTGTATGTAATTAGGTTTATTTAATATTGAATGGACTTTGTTGATCCTCAGGTTTATTCCCCTACCCCTGGATGACAGACTGCAGACTGCTGCCCCCATACAAACATGAGGGTAGCTTTATTTGTAAGAGCTGACATCCACATAGGGAGCCCTAACACTCCCTCTGCAGTCCAGTGACAATTATGTTGACTGTCAGTGAATGTCCAAGTCAGTGTGTGTTCAAGGGGCAGCCAGCTGACATTTGCCTGCAATGTGGATGTGGCAGCACATCCTGCCAGTGTGGCAGAGGGGGGACCCTGGCCTCAGCATGGGAATGTTCCCTGGAAGGCTCAGTCCTTTCATCATTCAGGTTATCATGGCGTCATCATTCGTGTAATGTACTGTGAGGCCATGTGGCCCTCACTCATATATACCTGACATGTGACACAAATTCACTGTTTGTTTTATTATAGAATTTTTTTCACTTAATACAAAGTGGAAAACTTATAGAAAGCACAAGCATATTTCTGTGTGTTCTCAGTGTCTTTGGGCCATAGTTTCTGCAGAATATCTTGGAATTGGTTCACTTGGAGCATAATGCCAGAGCAGCATTTTCCTAACAGATATCTCAGGGTTGGTGAGGCACCTCCCCTTGTCAGAGAAAGAGCACTGGACACTGTTAGAGGCAGCAAGACAGATTTCACTCAGACTACTGCAGTAGGGCAGAGAGGCTCCAGTATGAATCAGTTTAATTCCAAATAAGACAAAGGTGACTGGGGTTTTCAAAGGGAGATCTGATAGGGCACACAACGAGATTATGGGAAGTAAAAAAAGGGGGACCAGAAAAGAGACTGGGGGCTATAAGTAGGAAGCTACAGAGTGGAGTTGCAGAGGATTACTGAAAATGGTTTGGCCTTGTGGGTTGGGACAATTTACATCTGGCAGTTCAGGAGCATTGCATTTTCTTGAGCAGAGACTCACACAAGAGCTGTGTCACTTTTAGGCACATGACTAGTGCAGGTAGAAGCCAGGCTGAAGTGTGGCCAAGGATCTCAGCACTGCATGTGGGCAAGTCCTTTGGGTCATTGGGAAGTTCACAGTTCACACCCCAACCCAAATAAAACATTTGGAAACAAAAACATTTGGAAATCACGCAAGGTCTATCTTCCCACTTTCCCACCTGTGGACATATAGGAAGTTTTGCATGAAAGAAACTTTGTTTTCTGTCATGCAACATTTCTCAAACATTCTTGGTATCCTACACGAAATCTATTTATATCCAACATAACTAATGTTCTGAGGAACCCACTTTATGAAACAGGATTTTGTACTGCTATTAGTGGTGAGTCACAATAAGAAGGGAAAGATACCCAAGCTCGCATTGTGAGAGGTCATACAGAGATGGGTCCAAATGGAATCAGGAGTTGAAAGGCATAGAGATGTCCCTAGAAACTGGAGGAGACCACCAAGTTGTTCTAAAGCCAGGAGAAGAATCTAACATTGGCCTGAAAGCTAAAGCCTACCTGTGGGTACAAATTGGACAAAGGATACTTTGCTGGACAGTCAGAAATTCAGCTGTGGAGCACCAGGCTGGCAGTGAGCTCTGCCCTCAGGCACGCCACATAGGCAGCACCAGGACTGAGGACATCTGAGGCTGAGAACGGATGTAAGAACCATCTTGGGTGTTGTGAGATGAATTGCATCCCCCCCCAAATTCAGATGTTGAAGTTCTAACCACCCCTTTGGTGCCTCAAAATTCAGAACGTGACTGGATTTGGAGCTAGAGTGTTTAAAAAGGCAATTAAGGTTAAACGAGGTCATATGCCTGGGTCCTAATTCAATATGACTTCCGTCCTTAAGAGGAGATTAGGATGCAGTCCTGCACAAAGGGAAGAACAGGCAGAGACAAAGGAAGATAGCAGCCATCTACACATCAAAGAGACAGGCCTCAGGAGAAAGCAACTCTGCTGACACCTCGATCTTAGACTTCTAGCTTCTAGAATTGCGAGAAAATAAACTTCTGTCACTTAAACCACTCTGTCTGTGGTATTTTGTTATGGCAGCCCTAATAAACTAATACACTAGGGGCACAGAGCAGGTGGGGAAGCCAGATGCAATCGGTCAAAAGAAAAAAAAACTATTTAGTAGCCAAAGAAGACAGGTGCAAATAAGCAAGCCACGGTTAGAGTCTACAACAGTTAGCTTAACTCTGAGCCTAACCCTAGCTGGCCAAGAGACACAGACCATCATGACAAGGGACTGGGGGACTGGACTTTCCAGGAGGACTGGAACACAGGACAAAGCAGTGGGCAGGACCCAGCTCCCCTATCAAACAGGGAAGAATCAGAGACTTGTAGCCACAGGGAGCTCTTCAAAATTCATGCTGGAGCTGGAACCAATCTCAAGATATGAATTGAGTTGAGAGATGTGAGATATTTAAGATGCTGATCATAAAGTTATCATGTCTGAGCCTGGAGCAGAGAGTACCGGTGACATGAAGCAATCCCAATTGTTTTAGATTATTTAAATCTATGACAATTAGCCTTATCTCTGTGTTCATCACAACATTTGGACATGACCATGGCGAAGAAATTACTGCCAGTTGTACTTAATGGGCTCAAATTCAAGCTGAAGTTTTAAAACATGAAAATAAGAAGATTTTATTAATATATAAATTGTAATGTTTTCAAGGGAGAGTTAGCATCACAGTCCCTTTGCAAAATGTTGTCTAGGGAAGCTCAATTTAAGTGTTTCTCATTGGGCCAATGGAGACTTAACAGAAAACACATCTTGACAATAGATTTGGTCTGTTGAAATGATGACGTTTGTTGGCCAAGGACTGAGGATTCATGCTGTGCACTGCCAAGTCCTATGCTCTTCTTCAACTCTGCTACTGCCTGCTTTTCATTGTCGTCATTGGTTCTTCTTCCAGAGTACAAAGAAGAAAAGAACATAGGGCAAAAAGTGCTATTTGTGACTTTTTAGCACACATAAAGTAATTATAAGTAGGCATGAAAGCAAGGCATCCCAGAGTTTGGAAAGTTTAATAAACACACTTTAGTTAAAGTGTAGGTAAGTGGGTAAGTATGCAAAGTTAGACTTAAAAAAACAGACCGTGCAAAAACAAGACAAAATTGCATTTTAATTGATGATATTGATCTACCTGAAGAAGTAATGTGTCACTTAGAAGAAAAGAGTCCAGCGTGGATTACAAGAAGACATAATCAGAGATGCAAGTTGAAGGTCATTTAAGAAAACATGTCAGTGAAGTTCCTTCCAGGCCTGTGCTTGGGGGCCATACACATTCACTGAGTGAACTTACATATAAGACCTCTAACTAATTCCCATTGCTGTGAATCTATATGCACCACAAAACTTTCGGATTCTCATTTGACTTCCCTTAAGTCAGAATAAACTTTCAGTTTTGTGGTAGATAATTTTATTATAAAATAAAGAATTATTTTGCTTCATATATTGGTTTCCTGTCTGCTTGTTATTGTGGATTTTCTTCAGTGATGGCCCTCAGCCTCTACTGAGGCACAAACAAAACCAAGTTTTGCTATGGCAAAGGAGGTGGCGACTGTGAAATGCTCTAGTGCATGCAACTCAGGACTGCTGGGGAGGCACCGGTTTGGAGCAGGCATGCAGGCATCCCTCTGCTGGTACCCTCTCACCTGACCTAGGCCTGCAATCCAGAACAACGCTTTTGGGAAGAAAAACTGATGTCTGGAACTGATAGGGAACCTGAAGAATTTATGTGGTTTATTATTGTGTCTGTGCCTTGAACTCTTTTTAGCAAATAAAATCTAATTGAGTTTAATTGAATTGAACATGGATACATTACATAGATAACATTTTCTAAGGCTACAGCTGCCATAGATAGTGATCGCTTTGATGTATCCAGGCAAAGTAAATAAAAAGCCTTTTGGAAAGGACTCACCATTCTAGACGCCACAAAGAACATGTGTAATTCATGGGAGGAGGTCAAAATATCAACATTAACAGGAGATTGGAAGAAGTGTATTCCAACCCTAAGGATGATTTTGAGGGGTTCAAGGCTTCAGTGGGAGAAGTAACTGCAGTTGTGGTGAAAATAGCAAGAAAACTAGAATTAGAAGTGGAGAATTGCTGCATCTCTTGATAAACTTGAATGGATGAGGAGTTTCTTCTTATGAGTTACCAAAGAAAGTGATTAGTTAAGATGGAATCTACTCATGGTGAAGATACCATGAACACCATTGAAATGACTACAAAGGATTTAAAATATTACATAAATTTAGTTAGTAAAGAAGTGGCAGGGTTTGAGAGGATTGACTTCAATTCTGATTGAAGTTCTACAGTGGATAAAATGCTATTAAAGGAAACTTGCTTAAGGAAAGAGCCCAGGGAGGGATAACTTAAGCCAGCATTTGAGTTGAGGAGACAGAATTGGGACAGAATTGGCTCAGGGGAACCAACGTAGCTAGAGTTCATGGGACAGAGTACGAGGGAAGAGACAACGAGAGAGAGAGAGGAAGAAGAAGAGGCAGAGCAAAAGGAAGAGGAAGAGAAGAGAGGAAGAGAGGAAAGAAGAGAGAGACATTGAACTCCAGATATCTGCAAAGATGTCACTTGAGTCTCCAGGTTAGTATTGATAAGTGCATGTGTATGAAAATATCCAAGACCAAAGTACAGTCTAATGAAGTAGGCATAATAATTTCCAGGGATCACATGGAACTAGGGATATTTTGTTTCTATCAGCCAGAAAGGCAAACTGTTAAAATGCATGACACATTGGGTACAGTAATCGGAAATATATTGGCTCAGTAACAGAAAAAAAAAATAGCCCTTGATTAAAGGTTTGATCTATCCCACGTAAGAAAGATTAAAAGCAAAGCTAGAAAAGATCAGATTTGTTTCTAAATAACTTATCTGCGTCCTAAAACAAAACTAAAAAATTTTTTTAAATACAGTAATGTATTAACACATACTGAAACTCAATACATACAGAGAAACGAAGATAAGAATAAGAAGTCCAAGTGCAGCGGCTCATACCTGTAATCCAAGCACTTGGGGAGGCCAAGGCAGGGGATCACTTGAGGCCACGAATTTGGGACCAGCGTGGGCAACACAGCAGAACCCTGTCTTTACAAAAAAAAAATAATAATTTTTTTCCTTTTTGGTAGAGACAGGGTTTTACTGTGTTTTTTCGGGGGGAAG